>NC_000013.11:100002979-100627979 GCF_000001405.40 Homo sapiens
TTGACCTCGTGATCTGCCTGCCTGGGCCTCCCAAAGTGCTAGGATTTCAGGTGTGAGCCACTGTGCCTGGCCAGAGATGGGGTTTCTCCATGTTGGTCAGGCTGGTCTCGAACTCCCGACCTCAGGTGATCCACCCGCCTTGGCCTCCCAAAGTGCTGGGATTACAGGCTTGAGCCACCGCTCCCATCCTTCTTTTTTCTTTATGTACCACTCCCCAGTCCATGAAAGAAAATGGTGCCTCTTTATAGGAAAAGATGCATAGTACTTCATATAGTGTCAGGTAGCTTGTTCTCTAATGGTGGGGTTAAGGCAAGTATGGAACACAACGAAATAATACAAGGTAAATAATGTTAAAGTATGGAAAGGGGCTAATACAAAATATAGTAAGTGCCTTAAGGAAGTATCAGGCCAGGCACGGTAGCTCATGCCTGTAATCTCAACACTTTGAGAGACTGAGGTAGGAGGATTGCTTGAGCCCCGGCGTTTGAGACCAATCTGGGCAATATCATGAGACCTCATCTCTACAAAAAATCTAAAAATTAGCTAGGCATGGTGGCATGCGCCTGTAGTCCCATCTACTCAGGAGGTGCTTAAGCCCAGGAGGTCATGGCTGCAGTGAGCTGTGATCACGCCACTGCACTCAAGCCTAGGTGACAAAGAGAGTGAGACCTTATCTCAAAAGAGAGAGAAAAAGAGAAGAAATATCAGAAAATTTTTATTGGATAATCAAAGGTAGACAAGATAACATCAGAAACTATAAAAAATTACATACAAAGAAGCAACATTTAGGCTAGCAGTATACATCTCAACATTAATAAGACAGGTCTGAAGACAAAGGAATAATATTTTGAAAGAGCTAAGAGAAAATAACTGTAACTTAGATGCCATACCCAGCTAAACTATTATTCAAAAATGAGAGCTAAACAAAAACCAGATTTCAGAAAGTGGGAATTTACCACTTACAGACTTTTAATAATTATTACAGATTTTACAGTAGTAAATTCCCACTTTTCCAGATTTCAAACGTGGGAATTTACCACTTAAAGACCTTTAATAATTATTACAGAGGTGTAGGATGTATAGGAGGAAAAATTATATTAAACCCAGCAGGAGAAAGTGGACTACAAGAAGGAATGGTATACAAAGAAGTTGATCACCAACATATGGGAATATTGAAATAATTATTGCATATATAAAATAATATTAATGACTAATTTGAGATATTTAAAACATGGAAGAAATACAACTTACCAAAACAGAAGATGATATAGAAAGTTAATGATACAGAAAATATATATATTTGGCCGGGCGCAGTGGCTCACACCTGTAATCCTAGCACTTTGGGAGGCCAAGGCGGGTGGATTGCCTGAGCTCAGGAGTTCGAGACCAGCCTGGGCAATATGGTGAAACCCCATCTCTACTAAAATACAAAAAATTAGCCAGGCGTGGTCATGGGTGCCTATAGTCCCAGCTACTTGGGAAGCTGAGGCAGGAGAATTGCTTGAACTAGGGAGGTGGAAGTTGCAGTGAGCCGAGATTGCACCACTGCACTCCAGCCTGGGTGACAGAGCAAGACTCTGTCTCCAAAAAAAAAAAAAAAAAGAAAATCTATATATATTTGAATGTATATCATATATATTATACATATATAATTAATATAAAATGAATACAACCCACCAAAACTCAACATCATCTCTCAGTTTTGGTATATATATATAAACTTTTTTTTTTTTTTGAGCTGGAGTTCCGCTCTTGTTGCCCAGGCTGGAGTGCAATGATGTGATCTTGGCTCACCGCAACCTCCGCCTCCCAGGTTCAAGCGATTCTCCTGCCTCAGCCTCCTGAGTAGCTGGGATTACAGGCATGCGCCAGCACACCCGGCTAATTTTGTATTTTTTGTAGAGACGAGGCTTCTCCATGTTGGTCAGGCTGGTCTCGAACTCCCGACCTCAGGTGATCTACCTGTCTTGGCCTCCCAAAGTGCTGGCATTACAGGCGTGAGCCACCGCACCCAGCCTCTATGTGATATTTTCTAGATCATCTCTCAGTTTTGAGAAGTTCTATTCATTTTGTATAATACATATATATACTTGTTAACAAGTTATTGAACAATCACTCCTCTTTTGGCCAAGCCAAAATAACTGATAACAGAGTGTAAACCACATACAACTGGACAAAATACATAAAACAACTGTTTTCAAATGTTGGACAGCAGGCAGTACGGGACTGTATCTGTTGGAGAAGGAAAATGCACAAGTTGAGCCTCACAATTTGCCTTTCTGTGTGGAGGCACTTTGTGATCCATGGTGCAGGGAGGTGGAACCCTTGTAGAATATTGTGGTCTTCATGAGTTGAAGATATAGAGATTGGATTTTTGAGCTGTTGAGTTCTATAATGGCTAGGTCAGGTACCAGAGAGGGAGCTCCACAGAGAAGTAGCACTAAAAGTCTGCATAAGGGCCACTTAAGTCTTTGACAAAATATAAGCTGTGTATTCACAGGGAGAAACTCTGCAAGACCTGGCAGAGAGCAGCTACAGTGTAGCTGAATGGAGACTCCAGAAATCATACTGCACTGGAAGAGATGTTGGACTTTCAGTCAGCCACAAGAGAGACCTCACTAAACACACCACTTAACAACATAGGAGTATGGCTATTCTGACCCTAAAGTGTCTACTAGACCCATGCAAACAAAATTGTAAAACAATTGAGTTGATAGGTCATTTTATTTTGTTTTATTTATTTTTTCTTGAGACAGAGTTTCGCTCTTGTTGCCCAGGCTAGAGTGCAATAGCGTGACCTCGGCTCACTGAAACCTCCGCCTCCTGGGTTCAAGGGATTCTCTTCCCTCAGCCTCCCAAGTAGCTGGGATTACAGGCACCCACCACCATGCCCGGCTAATTTTTGTATCTTTAATAGAGATAGGGTTTCACCATGTTGGCCAGGCTGGTCTCGAACTCCTGACCTCAAGTGATCTGCCCACCTTGTCCTCCCAAAGTGCTGGGATTACAGGCGTGAGCCACCTGGCTGATATGTCATTAAAAAAAAAAAAATCCAGCCAGGCACAGTGGCTCATGCCTGTAATCCCAGCGCTTTGGGAGGCCAAGGCAGATGGATCATGAGGTCAGGAGTTTGAGACCAGCCTGGCCAACATGGTGAAACCTCATCTCTACTAAAAATACAAAAATTAGCCAGGTGTGGTGGCAGGTGCCTGTAATCCCAGCTACTCAGGAGGCTGAGGCAGGAGAATTGCTTGAACCTGGGAGGCGGAGGTTGCAGTGAGCCGAGATCGCGCCATTGCACTCCAGCCTGGGTGACAGAGCAAGACTCCGACTCGGAAGGAAAAAAAAAATCCATATAAGACTGGGTCTGGTGACTCATGCCTATAATTCCAGCATTTCAAGATACTGAAGTGGGAGGATTGCTTGAGACCAGGAGTTCAAGACCAGGCTGGGCAACATAGCAATATCCCATCTCTACAAAAATTTTAAAAATTAGCTGTTGGGAGCGGGGTGGTGGCACATGCCTTTAGTCCCACCTACTTCAGAGGCTGAGATGGAAGGATCTTTTGAGCCTGAGAGGTTGAGGCTGCAGTGAGCCTAGATCGTACTCCAGCCTGGGTGACAGAGCGAGACTCCATCTCAAAAAAAAAAAAAAAAAAAAAAAAAAATTAACCTGCCAGAACAAAATTCTTTGAAAAAAGAATATCCAGACCCCAAGTAATATTCACAGTATTTAGCATAAATGTTAAAGATTATTAGAAAAGGCCAGGCGCGGTGGCTCACACCTGTAATCCTAGCACTTTGGGGGACCGAGTTGGGTGAATCACTTGAGGTCAGGAGTTCAAGACCAGCCTGATCAACATGGTGAAGCCCCATCTTTACCAAAAATACAAAATTAGCTGGGCGTGGTGGCGTGAACCTGTAGTCTCAGCTACTCGGGAGGCTGAGGCAGGAGAATCACTTGAACCCTCGAGGCAGATGTTGCAGTGAGCTGAGATTGCACCACTGCACTCAAGTCTGAGCAACAGAGTGGGACTCTGTCTAAAAAAAAAAAAAAAAAAAACAAAGGCAAAGAAGTAGGAAATTGATATGTGTAACTAGGAGAAAAACAGTCAATACAGACAAACAAAGACTGAGAGTTGACAGAAGTATAAGAATAAGCAAAAAGGGCTTAATGTGAGTATTTTAAATGTTTAAGAATTAAAGGAGGCCAGGTGTGGTGGCTCATACCAGTAATCCCAGCCCTTTGGGAGGCCGAGGCAGGCGGATCACTTGAGGTCAGGAGTTCTAGACCAGCCTGGCCAACATGGTGAAACCCTGTCTCTATTAAAAAAAAAAAAAAAGAAAATTAGCCAGGCATGGTGGCGGGCACCTGTAATCCTGGCTACTTGGAAGGCTGAGGCAGGAGAATTGCTTGAACCTGGGAGGTGGAGGTTGCAGTGAGCCGAGATCATACCACTATACTCCAACCTGGGCTACAGAATGAGACTCCGTCTCAAAATTAAATAAATAAAATAAATAAATTAAAGGAAAAGAAGGACCTAGTGAATGAAAAGATAGGAAATATTAGTTGAAAAATGGAAACTGTTTCAAAAGAACCAAATAGAAATTCAAGAACTGAAAAATATGATATCTAAAGGGAAAATTATACAGGATGGGCTTGACAGTGGATTTGATGTGGCAGAAGGCAGAATCAGTGAACTTGAAGACAAGGCAAAAAAAAAAAAAAAGATCCAAACTGAAGCACAGACAGCAAAATGCTAGGAGGAAAATTTTAATGGAAGATCAGTGACCTCTTGGACAAGATTTTTGAAACAGGAACCCCATAAGGATGGAAAAGAATAAGGAAGAAAAAAATTTGGAAGCAATAGTGGCTGAAAAATCTGACATATTGGAGAAAAACTATAAACCTACAGATTCAAGAAGTTTAACAAACCCCAAGTAAGATAAACAAACGAAAACACAACTAGGGGCCCGGGCACAGTGGCTAATACCCTGTAATCCCAGCACTTTGGGAGGCTGAGGCCAGCCAATTGCTTGACTCCAAGAGTTCAAGACCAGCCTGGGCAACATGGTGAAACCCTGTCTCTACCAAAACTACACAAAAATTAGCTGGGCGTTGTGGCACATGCCTGTAATCCCACCTACTCAGGAGGCTGAGGCAGGAGGACCACTTGAGCCTAGGAGGTCAAGGGTGTAGTGAGCTTTGATCATGCTGCTGCACTCCAGCCTGGGTGACAGATCAAGACCCTGTCTCAAAAAAAAAGGCCGGGCGCAGTGGCTCACGCCTGCACGCCTGTAATCCCAGCACTTTGGGAGGCTGAGATGGGCGGATCACCTGAGGTCAGGAGTTCGAGACCAGCCTCAACATGGAGAAACCCCGTCTCTACTAAAAATACAAAATTAGCCAGGCGTAGTGGTGCATGCCTGTAATCTCAGCTACTGAGGAGGCTGAGGCAGGAGAATCACTTGAACCTGGGAGGCAGAGGTTGTGGTGAGCCGAGATTGCGCCATTGCACTCCAGCCTGGACAACAAGAGCGAAACTCCGTCTCAAAAAAAAAAGAAAAAAAAAGAAAAAGAAAAAGAAAAAACACAACTAGGCACGTTATAGTTGAATTTCTAAAAACCGAAGACAAAGATAAATAAAAGACAACTAACTAAATTTAGGAAACATAACGAAGAATGACTTCTCATCAGAAACAACATAAGCCAAGGGGATAGCATTTTTAAAGTGCAGAAAGAAGACGATGTCAACCTATATCCAATGGAAATATCCTTCTAAAATGAAGGGGAAATAAAGATATTTTCAGATAGGTTAGAGAATTAGTCACTAGCAGGTCTGCACTATGAGAGATGTTAAAGGAAAGCTGAAGGAAAAAGATACCAGGTAGAAAAATCATGTCTATGAGAAGGAATGAAGAACACGTGAGCATTTGTGGGTAAATATAAGAGACTTTTTTCATTTTTAAATTCCTTTAAAACATAATCGACAATTTCAAGCAAAAACAAAATAAAATGGTGATTTATTGTGGGGCTTAAATTATGTAGAAGTGAACTGTAATGGCCATAATAGCACAATACACAGGAAGGGAAAAATGGAAGTCTATCATTTTAATATTCCTTTGTTATATACAAAATGGTCCAATATGAATTCATGGTAAAGTGTGTAATAAGTTAAGAATGCATATTATAACCCCTAGAACATTGGGTGAAAAACAAAGAGGTATAATAAAAAGCCAATAGAGGACACAAAGTGGAAAACAAAAATAATCCAAAATAATGCAGAGAAAGAGGGGGAAAAAAACAGCAACAACAAAAACATCTTGTAGTATCTAGTACTAATAGAAAACAAAGATTCAGATAGTGGCCTGAAACCCAACAATTTTTGAGACAGTTTTACTGTGTCGCTCAGGCTAGAACAGTGGCCCCCAACCTTTTTGGCACAAGGGACCTGTTTTGTGTAAGACAGTTTTTCCATGGATGGGGGAGAGAGGATGGTTTCAGGATGATTCAAACACATTACATTTATTGTGTACTTTATTTATATTATTATTACATTGTAATGTATAATGAAATGGTTATACAACTCACCATCATGTAGAATCAGTGGGAGCCCTGAGCTTATTTTCCTGCAACTAGATGGTCCCATATGGGGGGTGATGGGAGACAGTGACAGATCATCAGGCATTAGATACTCATAAGGAGAATATAGATCCCTCATAGATCCCTCACATCCCCAAGTAGCTGGGACTTTAGGTGTGTGCCACCATGCCTGCCTAATTTGTGTGTGGATAGAAAAATATTATATACCATGTAAACACTAATCATGAGGAAATAGAGTGGCTTTTAATGTCAGAAAAGTATACTTCAAACAAAGAATATTATCAGAGGCTGGGTGTGGTGGCTCACACCTGTAATCCCAACACTTTGGGAGGTAAAGGCAGGCAGATCACCTGAGGTCAGGAGTTTGAGACCAGCCTGACCAACATGGAGAAAACCCGTCTCTACTAAAACTACAAAATTAGCTGGGTGTGGTGGTGCATGCCTGTAATCCCAGCTACTCAGGAGGCTGAGGCAGGAGAATCACTTGAACCCGGGAGGTGGAGGTTGCAGTGAGCCAAGATCTGGTCATTGCACTCCAGCCTGGGTGACAAGAGCAAAACTTCATCTCAACAACAACAACAAAAAAGAATATTATCAGAGAAAAAAGGGACATTTCAGAACGTTTATAAAGACAGTCTTGTACAGCCTGTTGACCCTTGAACAACTGTGTAAGAGTGTGTTTGGGCCTGGAACGTTTTCTTTTTCTTTTTTTTTTTCTTTTTTTTTTTTTTTTTTAAAGACGGAGTCTCGCTCGGTTGCCCAGGCTGGAGTGCAGTGGTGCTATCTTGGCTCCCTGCATGCTCCGCCTCCCGGGTTCATGCCGTTCTCCTGCCTCAGCCTCCTGAATAGCTGGGACTACAGGCGCCTGCCACCACACCTGGCTAATTTTTTGTATTTTTAGTAGAGACGGGGTTTCACCCTGTTAGCCAGGATGGTCTCGATCTCCTGACCTTGTGATCCGCCTGCCTTGGCCTCCCAAAGTGCTGGGATTACAGGCGAGAGCCACCGCGCCCGGTCAGAACATTTTCTTATATGGAGATAAAGAAACTTCACAACTTGTGCTTGGCATATTGCCTTGCTTGGGATTATCTTCCCCTGTTCTAGGCTAGATGTTTATTACCTTGTTTTACTTAAAGTGTGTGCTTCATGTGTGCCTGGCCAACCCCACTATGATATCTGTTCCCAGTAGGGAGCAGATGGTGTCCTTCACCTATAACACAAGATGGATGCCTGCAGACCATCTCCCTGCATTGGCTATGTGGTCAGACTCACTGGCCTTGGGGGAACGAATGCTTGCTGTTGAAGCTGATCTCTTTCAGTGTCTGTTCTCTACATGAGTAAAGTATGGTTCCATCCAGTGCCTGTATGAGTTGTGTCTTTTAAACAATGGAGTGGTTTGACATCCATGGAGTGGGCTGGCATCCTGAGACTGCTGCTTCTGATGGTGGGGAACAGGTGTCACTTACTCAAGAAATAATGATAAACATTCATGGAGAAAATAGCATAGTGTGAAATGGGCAGAACTAAAGGGAAAAGTGCAGAAATCTATACTTTTTTTTTTTTTGAGACAGAGCCTTGCTCTGTTGGGAGGCTGAAGTGCAGTGGCACGATCTGCTCACTGCAACCTCTGCCTCCCGGGTTCATGCGATTCTCCTGCCTCAGCCTCCCAAGTAGCTGGGACTACAGGTGTGCACCACCACACCTGGCTAATTTTTGTATTTATAGAATAGACGGGGTTTTGCCATGTTAGCCAGGCTAGTCTGGAACTTCTGACTTCAAGTGATCCATCTGCCTCGGCCTCCCAAAGTGCTGGGATTACAAGCGTGAGCCACAGTGCCTGGCCCCCAAAGCTACAATTACATTTGATGAGTTTAGTATCCTTCTCTTAGTTATTGATAAAACAGAGAAAAACTCAGTGGTGATACAGATACTTTTAACAACTTTATTACCTGAGCCTAACTGAAATATATAAACACTACACCCAAGATTTGGTTTAAACAACATTATCAACCACTTTGAGATAACTGGCATTTATATAACACTACGCACAATCATATATGTATTATTTTCTTTTCTTTTCTTTTCTTTTTTTTTTTGAGACAGAGTCTTGCTCTGTCGCCCAGGCTGGAGTGCAGTGGCACGATCTCGGCTCACTGCAAGCGCCGCCTCCCGAGTTCACGCCATTCTCCTGCCTCAGCCTCCCAAGTAGCTGGGACTACAGGCAACTGCCAGCGCGCCCAGCTAATTTTTTGTATTTTTAGTAGAGATGGGGTTTCACCGTGGTCTCGATCTCCTGACCTCATGATCCGCCTGCCTCGGCCTCCCAAAGTGCTGGGATTACAGGCGTGAGCCACCGTGCCCAGCATATGTATTCTTTTCAATTGCAATTTGAACATTTGCCAAAATAGACAATATGCCATGTCATAAATCTAGTCTCAAAATTCAAAAGATTAAAATTATACAGATGGCCGGGCGCGGTGGCTCACGCCTGTAATCCCAGCACTTTGGGAGGCCGAGGCGGGTGGATCATGAGGTCAGGAGATCGAGACCATCCTGGCTAACAAGGCGAAACCCCGTCTCTACTAAAAATACAAAAAATTAGCCGGGCGCGGTGGCGGGCGCCTGTAGTCCCAGCTACTCGGGAGGCTGAGGCAGGAGAATGGCGTGAACCCGGGAAGCGGAGCTTGCAGTGAGCCGAGATTGCGCCACTGCAGTCCGCAGTCCGGCCTGGGCGACAGAGTGAGACTCCGTCTCAAAAAAAAAAAAAATAAAATAAAATAAAATAAAATAAATAAAATAAAATAAAATTATACAGATATGTGACCTAAATTAAGTGAAATTAGGAATTGAAAACAAAAAAGATATTTGGAAAATGCTGAAATATTTGGAAATTAAGCCACACAGCCTATGTAACTTATGGATCAAAGAAGAAATCACAAAGGAGGTTAGAAAATATGTTGAGCTGAATGATAATGAAAACACATAAAACCTGGGGACACAATTAAAGCAGTCCTTAGAGAGAAATTTGTAGCTTTAAATGCTCATGTTAAAAAATAAGAAACGTGGCTGAGCACTGTGGCTCACACCTGTAATCCCAGCACTTTGGGAGGCTGAGGTGGGTGGATCACCTGAGGTCAGGAGTTCAAGACCAGCCTGGCCAACATGGTAAAATCACGTCTCTATGAAAAATACAAAAAATTAGCCGGGCATGGTGGCACGCGCCTGTAATCCCAGCTACTCGGAGGCTAAGGGAGGAGAATCCCTTGAACCGGGGAGGTGGAGGTTGCAGTGAGTCGAGATCGCTCCGCTACACTCCAGCCTGGGCAACAAGAGCGAAACTCTGTCTCAAAAAAAAAGAGAAAGATTAAAAATCAATTATTTGGCTGGGTGTGGCGGCTCACGCCTGTAATCCCAGAACTTTGGGAGGCCGAGGTCGGTAGATCACCTGAGGTCAGGAGTTGGAGACCAGCCTGGACAATATGGTGAAACCCCATCTCTACTAAAGATACAAAAAATTAGCCAGGCATGGTGGCACGCACCTGTGGTCCCAGCTACTCAGGAGGCTGAGGCCGGAGAATCGCTTGAACCCAGCAGGCGGAGGTTGCAGTGAGCTGAGATCATACCACTGCACTCCAGCCTGGACAACAGAGTGAGACTCCATTTAAAACAAAACAAAACAAAACAAAAATCAATTATTTACAATCCCATTGTAAGCAACTAGAGAAAGAGAGCAAATTTAACTCAGAATTAGCAGAAGGAAATAAATAATAAACAGTAGAAACTAATGCAATAGAAAATGGATAAATAATAGAGAAAAAGTTTTTTTTAGAAGATGTTATCACAAGGCTGGGCTCAGTGGCTCACACCTGTAATCCCAGTACTTTGGGAGGCCAAGGCGGGCGGATCACCTGAGGTCAGGAGTTCGAGACCAGCCTGGCCAACATGGTGAAACCCCATTTCTACTAAAAATACGAAAAAAAATTAGCTAGGTTTGGTGGCAGGCCCCTGTGATCCCAGCTACTTGGGAGGCTGAGGCAGGAGAATTGCTTTAACCCGGGAGGCAGAGGTTGCGGCATTGCACTCCAGCCTGGGCAACAAGAGCGAAATTCCCTCGCAAAAAAAAAAAAAAAAAAGATGTTATCACATTTAAAAAAAAAAAAGAAAAAACCCTCTAACTAGAATAATTAAGGGAGAGAGAGTATGTGTGTGCACACAAATTACCATAAAAGAAATGAAAGATATCAAAAAGATATCAGTTGCAGCCAAGTGTGGTGGTGCACACCTGTAGTACCAGCTATGTGGGAAGCTGAGGTGGGAGGATTGTTTGAGCCCAGAAGTTTGATACCAGCCTGGGCAACACAGCAAGACCCAATCTCTTAAAAAAAACAAAAAGGAATCAGTTGCCAGTAAATTTGGCAACTTATATGACATGGACAAATTTCTTGAAAGACATAAATACCAAAACTGACAAAACAAGAAATTGAAAAGTTAATGGTTATGTAGTATAGTTTGGATATGGTTTGTTTGTCCCCACCAAAGCTTGTGTTGAAATTTGGTCCATGATGTGTGGAGGTGGATACTAGTGGGAGATGTTTAAAACATGGTGGATATCTCATGAATAGCTTGGTGTAGGTCTCCCAGTAGTGCATGCTTACTCTGAGAAGCTGGATTAGTTCCCACATGGATGAATTAGTTCTCATAGAATGGATTGTTATAAAGCCCGGATGCACCTCAGATCTTGCTCTCTTCACTTGTATCTGCTTCTCCCTTGAACTTTCTCTACCATTTTAAAACGCAGCCTTCACTAAAAGCCAAACGGATGCCAGTTTTGTGTTTCTTACACTTCCCAGTCTGCAGAACCATGAGCTAAATAAATCTCTTTTCTTTATAAATTACCCAGACTCAAATATTCTGTTACAGCAACATGAAGCAGACTAAGACACTCTCTATCTAGTAAAGAATTTGAATTCATAAATATAAACCTTTTCATCTCAATAGAAACAAAAAAAAGCATTTGACAAAATTTAACTCTTGTTCATGATAAAAACTCTTAGCAAACTAAGAATAAGGCATCTTCCCTATAAGATAAGGAGCATCTACAAAAAAAAAAAAAAAAAACAACAAAAAAAACCCAACTAACATATTACTCAATGGTAAAAGACTAAATAGTTTCTAAGATTGGGAACAAGATAAGGATGTCAGCTCTAACCACTTTTATTCAAGATTGTGCTGGAGATCCTAGCCTTGTAGACAGTGCAGTAAGTCAAGAAAAAAAGACAGAAAAAGCGTAAGAATTAATAATTGGTAATGAATAAAAACATTTGCAAAGGATATGACTAATAGGTAGAAAATCTAAAGGCATCTATGAACTATCCAAAGTAATAAGTATAATTTAGCAAGATAACTAGATACAAGGTAAACATATGAAAACCAACTTTATTTTTGTAAATTTTTTTTTAAGAGACTGGATCTCACTATGTTGCCCAGGCTGGATTCAAACTCATGGGTTCAAACAACCCTCCCATCCCATGCTCTTGAGTAGCTGGGATTACAGGCATTCCACCACACCTGGCTTCAAATGAAGGTTTTAAAATGCCATTAGCAATAACATAGAAAATGGCTTGGAAAAAAAAAACTAACAAAGATGTGAAGAAGGAAGGAAATAACATTGAGCACAGAAAAGAATGACTAGAAATCAAAGAAACAATTGGAGGCTCAAAAAAACCAAAGGTGGAGGCCGGGCATGGTGGCTCATGCCTGTAATCCCAGGACTTTGGGGACAAACTTTTGGCAAAAAAGAATTTTAAAAGGCACAAAAGTACAATAGTTGGCATTTTTTAAAGGTGCAAAACTGTAGATATGGTAGGGATTCTTAAAAATTATAAGAGAAGCCGGGGGCAGTGGCTCATGCCTGTAATCCTAGCCCTTTGGGAGGCTGAGGCAGGTGCCTGAGCTCAGGAGTTTGAGACCAGCCTGGGCAACATGGTGAAACCCTGTCTCTACTAAAATACAAAAAATTAGCCGGGCATGGTGGCATGTGCCTGTAATCCAGCTACTCGGAAGACTGAGACAGGAAAACCGCTTGAACCTGGGATGCGGAGGTTGCAGTGAGCCGAGATCATGCCAGCCTGGGCAACAGAGTGAGACTCCATCTCAAAAAAAAAAAAAAAATTATAAGAGAAGTTAGGACTTTAGGTGAAATGACAATTTCCTGGAAGGATATAACAACCAAAGTGACTACAGCAGATGCAGCCAGTTGACAATTTCAAATCCGACCTTCTTCCTCTTTTACTATCAGAGCTCTGATTTTGTTTGGGGTAATAATGTGCCTAGATAAAAGTACTTTCCCAGATTCCTTTGATGCTAGGTGGGTCACAAAGCACGATTTTGGGTGATTGGATAAAAGCTTTGGCTTCCTCATATAGGTGCCACCTTTTTCTGTTTCATTTTCATTTAATTTTTTTTTTTTTTTTTTTTTGAGACAGAGTCTGCTCTGTCACCCAGGTTGGAGGGCAGTGGCGTGATCTTGACACACTGCAACCTCTGCCTCCCAGTTTCAAGCGATTCATTCCCCTACATCAGCCTCCCGAGTAGCTGGGACTACAGGCACATGTCACCATGCCCAGCTAATTTTTGTATTTTTAATAGAGATGAGGTTTTCGCCATATTGGCCATGCTGGTCTGGAACTCCTGATCTCAAGTGATCTACCTGCCTTGGCCTCCCAGAGTGTTGGGATTGCAGGTGTGAGCCACCACACCTGGCCCCATAATGCTTTTAAAACTTAAAGGCTTGGCTGAGCACGGTGGCTCATGCCTGTAATCCTGGCACTTTGGGAAGCCGAGGCGGGTGGATCACGAGGTCAGGAGATCGAGACCATCCTGGCTAACGCAGTGAAACCCCGTCTCTACTAAAAGTACAAAAAATTAGCCAGGTGTGGTGGCATGGGCCTGTAGTCCCAGCTACTCGGGAGGCTGAGGCAGGAGAATCGCTTGATCCCAGGAGGCGAAGGTTGGTTGCAGTGAGCCAAGATGCAGCCACTGCACTCCAGCCCAAGCAAGACTCCCTCACAAAAAAACAAAAACTTAGAGGCTCATAATGACTTTCAGGCTTCAAGGATTAACTATTGATGGCTGTTGTGATACCTCGGTTCTTGTCTTCTTGGTTTAAAAGAATGTAAAATTAAACAAGAGACACACAGGAAAGGAGGTATAGCATAGAGAAATTTATTGCAAAAGAAAAAGAATATTTTGAAAGTTAGGTAGTTAGGTACAGAATAAACAGTACACCCTGAGAAAGAGGATTTAGGACGGGCTGATCATAAGGGCAAGACAGTAAAGACTAGCACTAGGGAGACTCCCTTTATGAAGTCTTACATGATTATTCATAAGGAGGTGGAAAGAAGCATTTCTAGTAAGCATGTTCTGGGTGGTTTTCTGGGTGCACATGTACAGTAACTGTACATGCTTGTTCATACATCGCATGTCTCAGCATCTTAAATGTCCACTCAGAGGTGTGTTTTTTTACTATTAAAATGAGCAAAGGGTCAGTTCAAGGACAGGTAAAATCAAATTGTGCGTGCTTGGATGGGCACGGTGGCTCACGCCTGTAATCCCAGCACTTTGGGAGGCTGAGGTGAGTGGATCACCTGAAGTCAGGAGTTCGAGACCTGCCTGGCCAACATGGCAAAACCCCGTCTCTATTAAAAATAGAAAAATTAGCTGGCTGTGGTGGTGGGCGCCTGTAATCCCAGCTACTGGGGAGGCTGAGGCAGGAGAATCACTTGAACCTGGGAGGGAGAGGTTGCAGTGAGCCGAGATCCTGCTATTGCACTCTAGCTTGGGCGACAAGAGCAAAACTCCGTCCCCCCAAAAAAAAAAAAAAAAAAAAAAAATTGTGCATGCTCTCTAGAGGGGAAAGTCCCCACTGAAGATAGCTTTGCCTGAATGAGCTCAATTTCAATGTGAATGCAAAGGCTTGTTGTATTAATTGTACAGTCACCATGGTTGCTGCGTCCCAAGAACATGGTCCCTTCCTTGACTACCTATCCTGCCTCATAACAGTATAAAACTCCTATTTTACATAAACAGTTCAATAGAATTTTTAAAAAGAAGGAAAGTTTTCCAATTTATTTGATGAGTGTGGTAAAATTTAATGAGGATAGTAAAAGAAAATCAAGAAAGAAATATAGTTTTGTTTTCCTTATTAACATAAATGCAAAATTCCTAAATAAAACATGAGCAAATAATATGTGGCATGTATAAAAACACAATTTTGGCTAAGGAGGATTTATCCCAGTAATTCAAGGATGGTCTAACAGTAGAACACTTACTGAAATAATTTATCACATTTATGGATTAAAGGAAGAAAATGATATAATCACCTTAGAAGATTCAAAAAAAAAGTTTTCATAAAATTTAACACATATTTGTAGTACAAACTTATATAGGAGAAATGATAAGATAATCCTTTTAACGTGATAAAGGGTATCTCATAAAACTCAAAGTAAGCATCAGTCAGTATCCCCTTTTAAGTGAGGAACAAGATAAGTATGCTAGGCCGGGCGCGGTGGCTCACGCCTGTAATCCCAGCACTTTGGGAGGCTGAGGCGGGTGGATCACGAGGTCAGGAGATTGAGACCATCCTGGCTAACATGATGAAACCCTGTCTCTACTAAAAATACAAAAAATTAGCTGGGCGTGGTGGTGGGCGCCTGTAGTCCCAGCTGCTTGGGAGGCTGAGGCAGAAGAATGGCATGAACCTGGCAGGTGGAGGTTGCAGTGAGCTGAGATTGCGCCACTGCACTCCAGCCTGGGCGACAGAGCAAGATTCCATCTCAAAAAAAAAAAAAAAAAGTTAAGTATGCCAGTCTCATGACTGCTGTTCCACATCTTATTAAAGTTCCATCAGGGCAATAAGAAAAGAAGTGAAATGCATAAAGATGAAAAAAGAAAGTCTAACTTTTTATCATTCATCATAATTACTTACATAGAAGATCTAAACCATTAAAATTAATAAGAGAATTCAGCAAAATTTAATTACAGGATCAGCATGCAAAAGACCAACAACATTCCTATATACCAACAAGAAACAAGATAAAATGCAATATAAAAAAATTATATCATATTGATATGGTTTGACTCTATGTCTGCACCCAAATCTCATGTTCAATTATGATCTTAAGTGTCAGAGGAAGGGCTGGGTGGGAGGTGATTGGATCATGGAGGCAGATTTCCCCTTGCTGTTGTCATGATAGTGAGTGAGTTCTCAGATCTGGTTGTTTAAAAGTGTATAGCACTTCCCACTTCACTCTCTCTTGCCACCACGTCAAGATGTGCTTTTTTCCCCTTCACCCTTTTGTCATGATTGTACGTTTTCTGAGGCCTCCCCAATTATGCTTCCTATACAGCCTGCAGAACTGTGAGTCAATTAAACTTTTTTTTTCATAAATTACCTAGTCTCAGGTAGTTCTTTATAGCAATGTGAGAATGGACTAATACAGAAAATACTAGAGAAGTGAGGCATTGCTATAAAGATACTTGAAAATGTGGAAGTGACTTTGGAACTGGGTAATGGGCAGAGGTTGGCTCAGAAGAAGACAGGTAGATGAGGGAAAGTTTAGAACTTCCTAGAGACTTGTTGAATGGTACCAAAATGCTGATAGGGATATGGACAGTGAAGTCTAGGCTGAGGTGGTCTCAGATGGAAACAAGGAATTGGGAACTGGAGTAAAGGTCACTCTTGTTATGCTTTAACAAAGAGACTGACAGCATTGTGCCCCTGCTCTGGAGACCTGTGAAACTTTGAACTTGAGGGAGATGATTTAGGATATCTGGCAAAAGAAATTTCTAAGCAGCAAAGTGTTCAAGATTTGGCCTGGGCTGGGCGCAGTGGCTCACGCCTGTAATCCCAACACTTTGGGAGGCCGAAGCGGGCAGATCCCCTGAGGTCAGGAGTTCGAGACCAGCCTGGCCAACATGGTGAAACCCCATGTCTACTTAAAATACAAAAATTAGCCAGGTGTGGTGGCAGGTGCCGGTAATCCCAGCTACTCGGGAGGCTGAGGCAGGAGAATCGCTTGAACCCAGGAGGCGGAGGTTGCAGTAAGCTGAGATTGCACCATTGCACTCCAGCCTGGGGGACAAGAGCGAGACTTCATTTCAGAAAAAAAAAAAAAAAAAAATTGGCCTGGCTGCTTCTAAAAGCCTATGCTCATAAACAAAGAAATGACCTGAAACTAGAACTTAAAAGGGAAGCAGAGCATAAAAGTTTGGAAAATTTGCAGCCTGAACATGTGGTAGATAAAGAAAACCCATTTTCTGGGGAGGAATTCAAGGCTGCAGAAATTTGCATAAGTAAAGAGGAGCTGAATGTTAGAAGCCAAGACAATGAGACCTTTGAAGCAGCTCATTCCCTTCACAGGCCTGGAGGCCTAGGAGGGGTAAATTGTTTTGTGGGCTAGCCTAGGGCCCTGCTGCTCTGTGCAGCCTCAGGACATAGCACCCTGCATCGCAATGGCTCTAGCTCCAGCCATGGCTAAAAGGGGTGAAGCCATGGCTAAAAGAGGCCAAGGTACAGCTCGGGCTGTTGCTTCAAAGGGTGCAAGCCCCAAGCCTTGGTGGCTTCCACCAGGTGTTGGGCCTGCAGGTGCGCAGAAGGCAAGAGTTGGTCTGTGAGCCTCCACCTAAATTTCAGAGGATATATGAAAATGCCTGAATGTTCAGGCCAAAGCCTCATGGAGAGGCTCTACTAGGGCAGTGCAGAGGGGAAATGTGGCGTTGGAGTGCCCACACAGAGTCTTCCCTGGGGCACTGCTGTGATCAGAGGGCCACCATCCTCCAGACCCCAGAATGGTAGATACACCAACAGCTTGTGTAGTGCACCTGGAAAAGCTGCAGGCACTCAACACCAGCTTGTGAAAGCAGCTGGAGGGGCTGTACCCTGCAGAGCTACAGGAGTGGGGCTGCCTAAGGCCTTGGGAGCCCACCTGTTTCATCAGCATGCCCTGGATGTGAGATATAGAGTCAAAGGAGATTATTTTGGAGCTTTAAGATTTAATGACTGCCCTACTGGTTTTCAAACATGCATGAGGCCTGTATCCCCTTTGTTTTGGCCAATTTCTCCCTTTCGGAATGGGAGCATTTATCGAAGGCCTGTACTTGCATTGTGTTTTGGAAGTAACTAACTTGGTTTTCATTTTACAGGCTCACAGGTGGAAGGGACTTACCTTGCCTCAGATGAGGCTTCGGACTTGGACTTTTAGATAATGCTGAAATGAGCTAAGACTTCGGGGGACTGTTGGGAAGGAAGGATTGTGTTTTGCAATGTAAGAAGGACATGAGATTTGGGAGGGGCCAGGGGTGTGATGATATGGTTTGTGGCCCCACCCAAATCTCATATTGAATTATGATCTTCAGTTTTGGAGGAGGGGCCTGGTAGGAGGTGATGGATCATTGGCGCAGATTTCCCCCTTGCTGTTGTTGTGATAGTGAGTGAGTTCTCACAAGATCTGGTTGTTTAAGTGTGTAGTACTTCCCCCACCTTCACTCTCTCTCTCCTGATGCCATGTCAAGATGTGCTTGCTTCCCCTATGCCCTTCTGCCGTGATTGTAAGTTTCTGAGGCCTCTCCAACCATGCTTCCTGTACAGCCTGCAGAACTGTGAGTCAATTAAACCTCTTTTCTTTATGAATTACCCAGTCTCAGGTAGCTCTTTATAGCAATATGACAATAGACTAATACACATGTGAAAAAAAACTATGAAGAACTTTGAAATATACCGAACAAAAGATGTTGGCTGGGTGCATTGGCTCTCACCTCACAGCAGTTTGGGAGGCCAAGGTGGACAGATGCTTGAACAGGAGTTCAAGACCAGCCTGGGCAACATGGTACAACCCCATGACAGACTGAGATCCTGTTTCAAAAAAGAAAAAAATTGAAGATCTTTATGGAGAAAATTACAAAAATTTACTTAAGTACATAATATGGAGGCAACATGCTCATGAATGAGAACTCAGTTTTATAAAGATGTCGTTTCTTTTTTTTTTTTTGAGACAAAGTCTCGCTCTTGTCCCCCAGTTTGGAGTGCAATGGCACAATCTCGGCTCACTACAACCTCTGCCTCCTGGGTTCACGCCATTCTCCTGCCTCAGCCTCCCGAGTAGCTGGGATTACAGGTGCCTGCCACCACGCCCAGATAATTCTTGTATTTTTAGTAGAGACGGGGTTTCACCATGTTGGCAAGGCTGGTCTCGAACTCCTGACCTCAGGTGATCTGCCCGCCTCGGCCTCCCAAAGTGCTGGGATTATAGGTGTGAGCTGCCGCGCCTGGCCTAAAGATGTCATTTCTTCTTGTATTAATCTATTCATACAGCGTAGTTCCACTATAAATCCTGGCAGGTGTGTGTGTGTGTGTGTGTGTGTGTGTGTGTGTGTGTATGTGTGGTTTGATAGGTGAATGTTAAATTTTAAATGGAAGAGTAAATATCAATAATTTTCAAGACACATTTGAAAAATAATGAGAGATTTGTTCTACCAAACATCAGAATTTAGTGTGAAGTTTTAGTAATTATAGCAATGTGACATTGGCACAAGTTTATAAGCATAGGGCAATAGAACAGAAGATAGTCATCTATGGTTGTTTAGTATATGACAGAGATGGCATTATAAATCAGTGGGATGGAATATTCAATAAATAGTGCTGAAAGAATTGGTTAACTACATTATAACTGTAAATCCTTACTTTAACTGTACACATACCACATGCCAGGATTAAAGCCTGGATTTGAGAAGCAAAGCTTAAAAGTTTTAGGAAAGAAAAATAGAGTATCTTTTTGATCTTAGGAGGGATTTCTTTTTATCTATTATTATTATTTTTTTTTGACACGAAGTCTTGCTCTGTTGCCCAGGCTGGAGTGCAGTGGCACCATCTCGGCTCACTGCAACCTCCGCCTCCTGGGTTCAAGCGATTCTCTTGCCTTAGCCTCCCCAGTAGCTGGGACTACAGGGGCCTGCCACCACGCTCAGCTAATTTTTGTATTTTTAGTAGACGGGGTTTCGCCATGTTGGCCAGGCTGGTCTCAAACTCCTGATCTCAGGTGATCCGCCCACCTCGGCCTCCCAAAGTGCTGGAATTACAGGCATGAGCTACCGCGCCTGGCTGGGATTTCTTATATTAGACATAAAGAACAATCACCCTAAATAAAGTACAGTAGTCCTTTCTTATCTGTGGGCAATCCATTCCAAGACCTCTAGTGGATGCCTGAAACCAGAAATAGTACTGACCCTATATATACTATTTTTTTTTAATCTGATAACCAAGACAGCTACTAAGTGATTAACAGGTAGGTAGCATATACAGCATGGGATCACTGGACAAAGGGATTATTCACTTCCTGGGCAGGATGGGGCAAGATGTGAGATTTTAATCACGCTACTCAGAATGGCATGCAATTTACAACTTATGAGTTATTTATTTCTGGAATTTTCCATGTAATATTTTCAGCCTGTAGGTAACTGAAACAGAAAAAAAACCGAATTACAGATGAGGAGTGACAATTGTAATTACTATTTGTGTGTTATCTAAGAAATTTTTCTTAAACGTATTTGGCAATATTTGGTCACATGTCTTTTTTTTTTTTTTTTTTTTTTTTTGATATGGTGTCTCACTCAGTCGCCCAGGCTGGAGTGCAGTGGTGCGATCTCGGCTCACTGCAAGCTCCGCCTCCCGGGTTCATGCCATTCTCTTGCCTCAGCCTCCCAAGTAGCTGGGACTACAGGCGCCTGCCACCAAGCCCGGCTAATTTTTTATATTTTTAGTAGAGACAGGATTTCACCATGTTAGCCAGGATGGTCTCTATCTCCTTACACTGTGATCTGCCTGCCTTGGCCTCCCAAAGTGCTGGGATTATAGGCGTGAGCCACCGCACCCGGCGGCCACGTGTCTTTAAAAATTTTTTTTTTTTAGAGACAAGGTCTCACTCTGTCACGCAGGCTGGAGTGCAGTGGCATAATCATAGCCCGCTGCACATCAGCCTGCTGAGTAGTTGGGACTACAGGTGCGAACAACTGCATCCTGCTAATTTTTAAATTGTTTGTAGAGGCCAGGCACAGTGTCTCATGCCCGTAATCCCACACTTTGAGAGGCCAAGGCGGGCGGATCACTTGAACTCAGGAGTTTGAGACCAGCCTGGCCAACATGGTGAAACCCTGTCTCCACAAAAAAATACAAAAATTAGCTGGGTGTGGTGGTGCATGCCTGTAATCCCAGCTACTCAGGAGGCTAAGGCCCAAGAATCACTTGAACCCAGGAGGCAGAGGTTGCAGTGAGCCAAGATCGTGCCACTGTACTCCAGCCTGGGTCACAAAGTGAGACCCCATCTTAATCAGTAAATAATTAAGTAATTTGTGGAGAACAGGTTTTGTTATATTGCTCAGGCTGGTCTGGAACTCCTGGCCTCAAGCAATCCTCCTGCCTTGGCCTCCCAAAGTGCTGGGATTACAGACACGAGCCACCATGCCCAGCTTACCAAGTGTCTTTTTAAAAAGATATTCGAAATTCAGTGGCTAATATGATAGAAGTTTATTTCTCTTTTATGTAATAGTTCAGGGTAGGTGGATGAACTTTGCTCCATGAAGCCATCTTACAGACCCAGCCTGGTTGAGTAACTTTGTTATTCTTAACATATAGCTTGTAAGATTGCTCTCAATTATAACATTTAACATGCCAGTATGAAGGAAGGTGAAGAGACAGTGATGGAACACATGTTCAGTATTTTAAGGCACATACCAGGAAGTGGCACACTTTACCTCCAGGTACTCTCCATTGTTTGCAACAGAATACTGTGTCTAACTCCAAATATTACTGTGGCAAAAGGGGAGAATAGA
This sequence comes from Homo sapiens, assembly GCF_000001405.40. Lineage (NCBI taxonomy): Eukaryota > Metazoa > Chordata > Mammalia > Primates > Hominidae > Homo > Homo sapiens. The sequence continues at coordinate 100,024,467 of NC_000013.11, forward strand.
GTACAGTGGACAATTAGTAGTGTCTGCAATAATTATTTTAAAATTAAAAATTTCTTTATAATAAAAGACACCATGAAAAAATTGAATGCTCAAACCAAAGACTAGGAGAAACTATTTTGAAGGTATATTGATATCAAGAATATATACATAGTTCTACAATCAAATAAACAGACAACCAAATACAAAAATGATTAGTCATTTCAAAGAAGAGAATCTTGAATGGTTAATGATACTTACACTTGGCATCAAGGAAATGCAAATTAAGAAATCAGGAGATACTATTTCACATCCATCAGATTGGTAAAAATCAATATATTTGATAGCCTGAGTTATTAGAGAATGTGGGAAAACTGAAACTTCTTTGGTGTTAATGGGAACACAAGTTGGAACAACCTCTGGAATTTTCAAAGAAATGAGGAAATACATAAAGTGGCATCAACTGCTAGCACCAGCATTTAAGGCAGGAAGTGACAGGCTAACTCTACTGCTTTGTGTAAATGTTTTTGTGCAACTGATTTATAATCAGGACTGCCCTTATCTATAAAGCTGCTAACCTCTGAACCATGAAGGGAAAAGATAAACACCAGCTGCCAGTCTTTTTTTTTTTTTTTTTTTTTTTGAGACGGAGTCTCGCTCTGTCGCCCAGGCTGGAGTGCAGTGGCGGGATCTCGGCTCACTGCAAGCTCCGCCTCCCGGGTTCACGCCATTCTCCTGCCTCAGCCTCCCAAGTAGCTGGGACTACAGGCGCCCGCCACTACGCCCGGCTAATTTTTTGTATTTTTAGTAGAGACGGGGTTTCACCGTTTTAGCCGGGATGGTCTCGATCTCCTGACCTCGTGATCCGCCCGCCTCGGCCTCCCAAAGTGCTGGTATTACAGGCGTGAGCCACCGCGCCCGGCCGTGCCAGTCTTTTGGTTGTACAATAAGAAGGCTTGGACAGTGAGAACCCTTTTTCTGGGTTGGTTTCATTGATGCTTTGCCTCTGAAGTCAGAAAGTAACTTGCCAGTAAGGGATTGCCTTTTCTTTTTATTTATTTATTTATTTATTTATTTGTTTATTTATTTTTTTGAGACAGACTCTCGCTTTGTCACCCAGGCTGGAGTGCAGTGGCACGATCTCGGCTCACTGCAAGCTCTGCCTCCTGGGTTCACACCATTCTCCTGCCTCAGCCTCCCGAGTAGCTGGGACCACAGGTGCTCACCACCACGCCCGGCTAATTTTTTGTATTTTTAGTAGAGACAGGGTTTCACCGTGTTAGCCAGGATGGTCTCGATCTCCTGACCTCGTGATCTGCCCACCTCGGCCTCCCAAAGTGCTGGGATTAGAGGCGTGAGCCACTGCACCCGGCCGAGATTGCCTTTTAAAGTTATTTTGATATTGGCCAATGGCCCTGGCCCTCAGAACACATCATCTATAAGTTAGCCTCTAGATCGGAATCATAGGTTCGTTACACACAGTGCTCTATGGAAAGGATTGTCAATGCTGTGGAAGAGAACTGTGATAGAACATCATGAAAGTCTGAAAGGGCTGGCCACGGTGGCTCATGCCTATAATCCCAGAACTTTGGGAGGCCGAGATGGGCAGATCACCTTAGGTCGGGAGTTCGAGACCAGCCTGACCAACATGGAGAAGCCCTGTCTCTACTAAAAATACAAAATTAGCTGGGCGTGGTGGCACATGCCTGTAATCCCAGCTACTCAGGAGGCTGAGGCAGGAGAATCACTTGAACCCCAGAGGCAGAGGTTGCGGTGAGCCAAGATCGCACCATTGCACTCCAGCCTGGGCAACAAGAGCGAAACCCCGTCTCAAAAAAAAAAGAAAGAAAAGAAAAAGAAAGTCTGAAAGGTTTACACCATTGAAGATATCATCATTGTTATAGAAAAAGCTGTAAAAGCCATCAAACCCAAAACAAAAAATTCCTGCTGGAGAAAACTCTGTCCAGATGTTGTGCATGACTTCACAGGATTTACGACAGAACCAATCAAGGAAATAATGAAAGAGATTGTGGATATGGCCAAAAAAGGTGGAGTGGGGGGCAAAGGGTTTTAAGATATGGATCTTGGAGGAATTCAAGAGCTAATAGACACCACACCAGAGGAATTAACAGAAGACGACTTGATGCAGACGAGTGCTTCCGAAATGGTGCCATATGATGAGGTAGACGACATAGAAAAAGGTTCCAATTATTCAAGACTGCTTTTGACTTATTTTACAATGTGGGCTTTTCTATGATTTGGGTACCTAAAGGAAGGCAAATGGTGGGAGGAGGATTGGTACCATATAGAAGCATTTTTAGAGAAATGAGAAAGCAAACAAGTCAGACAAAAATGGATGTATTTCTGTAAAGTTACACCAGGTGTGCATGCCCCTCCTGCTTCCCCTTCCAACTCCTCCACGTCTTCTGCCTCTGCCACCCCGAGAAAGCAATATCAACCCCTCCTCTTCCTCCTCCTAAGCCTACTCAATGTGATAACTATGGGGGTGAACACATTTATAATGATCCACTTCCACTCAATGAATAGTAAACATGTTTTCTCTTACTTACAATTGTCTTAACATTTTTTCTAGCTTACTTTATTGTAAGAATGCAGTATATAATACATATAACCTATGAAATATGTGTTTATGTTATCAATAAGGCTTCTGATCAACAGTAGGGTATTAGTAGAGTTTTTGGGGAGTCAAAAATTATACTTTGATTTTTGACTGCATGGAGAGTTGATGCCATGCAAGTCCTGCATTGTTCAAGGGTCAACTGTATTTGTAAATAATTTATACTTAAAAGATTTCAAAGTATTATAGAAATACAATAAACTGTTCAGCTCTTGAAATGCATTTCATAGGAAGGCTTATACATTAATGCTTAATGGCTAACTTATTTTTTATTAAAAAATTTTTTAGTCAAATGATTTTAATCAACTTATAATAACCAGTAAAAGTGTAATTACGGATGGGCGTGGTGGCTCATGCCTGTAATCCCAACACTTTGGGAATCCGAGCTGGGTGTATCACCTGAGGTCAGGAACTCTAGCACAGCCTGACCAACATGGTGAAACCCCAGCTCTACTGAAAATACAAAAATTAGCCAGGCGTGGTGGTGCACACCTGTAATCCTAGCTACTCGGGAGGCTGAGGCAGGAGAATCAGTTGAACCCAGGAGACAGAGGTTGCAGTGAGCTGAGGTCCTGCCACTGCACTCCAGCCTGGGCAACAGAGTGAGACTCCATCTCAAAAAAAAAGAAAGTGTAATTACGTGAAAAGGCCCATATTTTTACATGTTTAAATTGTTAATGTTTTTATTTGTAAAGTGCTGAAGGTGAGACTCACTTCTGTATCTTCTTTCTAGTAGTAGAATAAGGTAATACTGTTCTGGATTTTGAATTTAGGGTTTGTCTAAATGAATTTAAGAGGAGTGGGTCATTTTGTTTTTGGAGAATCAGCAGTCATACAGTGAAACCACCTGTGCCATTTGGGAGGTACCGTGCTCTCATTCACATCCCAGATTGTGTTTTGCCATTAATTTCAGCAGCATCTATAAATCATTGGTGATGGCCAAAAAATTGATTGTTGTCTTCATGGTATTTGTTTCCATATTTTTCTTTCCCCACCAGTGCACCAACCCTCATATAATTTGCCCTGAAGAAAATCCACAGATAGACATGGAGGCCACCATAGCCACTAACCTGCTGCAGCCCATACTTAAGGACTCCATCTTTACCTGGTGCTCATCAGCTTATTTACCTTTTTTTTTTTTTTTTTTTTGAGATGGAATCTCACTCTGTCACCCAGGCTGGAGTGCAGTGGTGTGATCTCGGCTCACTGCAAGCTCCACCTCCTGGGTTCTCGCCATTCTCCTGCCTCAGCCTCCCGAGTAGCTGGGACTACAGGGGCCCGCCACCACGCCTGGCTAATTTTTTGTATTTTTAGTAGAGACAGGGTTTCACCGTGTTAGCCAGGATGGTCTCGATCTCCTGACCTCATGATCCGCCCACCTTGGCCTCCCATAGTGCTGGGATTACAGGCCTGAGCCACCGCGTCCAGCTTCTTTTTTTTTTTTTTTTTTTTTTTTTAAAGAGACAAAGTCTTACTACATTGCTCAGGCTGGAGTTCAGTGGCTATTCACAAGCGCGATCAGCTCTTGAGCCCCAGCGATTCTCCTGCCTCAGTCTCCTGAGTAGTAATTTACCTTTATAGTATGAGTAAGTAGGACAAGGCAAGATGAAATTGATCAGACAAAAGATGAAAGGATGATCACTAATTGAAATAGAGAATTCAGAAGGAGCTGTGGATTTTGGAGGAGAAGATGCATTCAACTTTGAGTGTATTAAAATTCGTATTGTAATTCCTTTGGAATATCCTAATGGAGATATCAGGAAGGCAACTGGAAGTATAGTTCTGTTAAGGGGGCAGATCACAGCTAGAGAAAGAGACTTGAAAGTCACCTGTATGACCATTGACATCATAAAAGTGGATGGGATGCTTCCCATCTTGTTGTGTTCTGGATCATGATCCTCTTTTTTTTTTTTTTTTTTTGAGACAGAGTTTCTCTCTTGCTGCCCAGGCTGGAGTGCAATGGCGCGATCTTGGCTTACCGCAACCTCCGCCTCCCAGGTTCAGGCGATTCTGCTGCTTCATCCTCTTGAGTATCTGGGATTACAGGCATGTGCCACCATGCCCGGCTAATTTTGTATTTTTAGTAGAGACAGGGTTTCTCCATGTTGGCCAGGCTGGTCTCGAACTCCCAACCTAAGGTGATCTTTCCACCTCGGCCTCCCAAAGTGCTGGGATTACAGGCGTGAGCCACCGCGCCCGGCCCATGCTCCTCTTTTCTGGACTTAATGCCTGGTAGCCAACACTCAGTAGAATCTAAGTAGTAAAAATAGGCCCAATGCAAAGTCTAAGGTAGGTTAACTCCCAAGAACAATAACAAGAACTTTTTTTTTGCTTTCTTTGATATATAACTTTATCACCAAATAGCTTTAAAAGAATTTTTTAAGTCCCCACAACTATAGAAACATTCTTTGGAAAACGTAAAAGCAACATAGTATAAAGTATAAACACAATATTTTCCCACTACCAATAATTTGTAAATTGTAAGAAAACTTAAAATATTTTTGTAATTAATTTTAGCAAAATTCTGTTTTCAACTTCCTCATTTTTATTTGCTTACATTTCTTTCTTAATTAGTTGTAACTCAGTTAAATGTTATTGCCTTATTATTATCCAGAAATGGTTCCTAATTCATATTAATTAGGAGAAACAATGTTTTTTCTATAGATCTAGGGATGGATTTCTCAAAAACACAATTTAAAGGAACACAAGTGGGGTTTAAAAAAACAACTGGCCAGGTGCAGTGGCTCATGCATATAATCCCAGTGCTTTGGGAAGCTGAGGCAGGAGGATCCCTTGAGGCCAGGAGTTTGAGACCAGCCTGGGCAACATAGTGAGGCCCTGTCTATACAAAATTTTTTTAAAAAAATTAGCTGGGCTTGGTGGCATGCACCTGTGGTCCTAGCTACTCAAGAGGCGGAGGTAGGAGGATCACTAGAGCCCAGGAGTTTGAGGTTGCAGTGAGCTATCATCAAGCCACTGTACTCCAGACTTGACAGAGTGAGACCTTGTCTCTAAAAAACAGAACAAAACCATACTCTAATAGTAGTATTTTATGATGACCCAGCAAATTTATGGATTATTTTTATAACTTTAATTTAATGAATTTAAGTAAAGCAGTAATTGCATGTTAAAAATTGTGTTAGCTTACTTGGAATATTTTTTGCCATCTTCTGAATATTTCTTACATGGTAATTTTCCTCCTTTTGAAGTATTTTTGCAGAAATAAAAAAGGAAAACAGGCCCAGTGCAGTGACTCATGCCTGTAATCCCAGCACTTTGGAAGGCCAAGGCAGGTGGATCACTTGAGGTCAGGAGTTTGAGACCAGCCTGACCAACATGGTAAAACCCCATCTCTACAAAAATACAAAAATTAGCCGGGCGTAGTGACGGGCGCCTGTAATCCCAGCTACTCAGGAGGCTGAAGCAGGAGAATTGCTTGAACCCAGGAGGCAGAGGTTGCAGTGAGCTGAGATCGCATCACGGAACTCCAGCCTGGGCAACAGAGCAGGACTGTCTCAAAAAAAAAAAAAGAAAGAAAGAAAGAAAGAAAAAAAGAAAGGAAAACAAATCAGCCACTACACTTCACCTCAAAGTTATTGCTTGAGATTAGGGAGCAGACTTATTGAATTATTGATCTACTAAAAAAGGCTACACTAAAATCTTTTGAATGTGCTAAACCTGTATGAGGAAAACTTTAAAATTTAAGTTAAAAATAATAAAAACTTACAGCAGTAGTATCACAAGTAATATGAAGAGGCTAATGATTAAGTGGCAAAATATTTGCAACTCATATTATAAATAGTTAAGGTTCCTAAAATATAGAGAACCTTTATAAATAAGTCAAGAAGGCCAGGCGCGGTGGCTCACACCTGTAATCCCAACATTTTGGGAGGCAGAGGCAGGTGGATCACCTGAAGCCAGGAGTTCAGGAACAGCCTAGCCAACATGGTGAAACCCCGTCTCTACTAAAAATACAAAAATTAATCGGCGTGGTGGTAGGCACCTGTAATCCCAGCTACTCAGGAGGTTGAGGCAGGAGAATCACTTGAACCTGGGAGGCGGAGGTTGCAGTGAGCTGAGATCACACCAGTACACTCCAGCCTGGGCGACAGAGTGAGACTCCGTCTCAAAACAAATAAAAAGAAAAAGAAATAAATCAAGAAGAAACAGAGTTAACAACTCAGTAGAAAAATGTAGAAAGTATTTTAACAGTTTCAGAAAAAGAAATCTTAAGTACGTGAAATGATGTTCAACCTCACTCATGAATTAAAACCCTTTTGAGATGAATCATTTATCACCTATCTTATGTGCAAAAATTCTAGAGTTTAATAACACACTTTGTTGGAGAGGTGAGAAAAGGGAAAATAGGTATATTGCTGGTTTAAGAACAAAAAGGTACAAACTTTATTAAGGAAATTTGGTTATATATATAGAAACTTTACAGTTACATTTACCTTTTGTCTTAGTTTCCTACTGCCTAACAAATTGACACAGACTTAGTGGCTTAAAATAACACAAATCTATTATTTTACAGTTCTGGAGATCAGAAGTCTAAAATGGGTCTTCACAGATGTGTTCCTTCTGGAGACTGTAGGGAAGCATCTATTTTCTTGTCATTTCCAGTTTCTGGAGGCTGCCTGCGTTCCTTGGTTCATGGACCCTTCGTTCATTTTCAAAGGCAGTACTGTGGCATCTTCTCTCCTTTCTGACCTGCCTCCCTTTCTTTTTTTTTTAAGGTTTTTTTTTTTTTAAATCAATGTTGACCAGGTTGGCCTTGAACATGTAGCCTCGCCTTCCCGAGTGCCAGGGCAACCGGCCTGAGCCACGGTGGCTCCCCTGCCTCCCTTTCATAAGCACCCTTGTGATTACACTCATATTCAGGGTGGAAGTAAGGAGGTCTTTAAATCAATCACTTCTTCAGAATTCCTTTTGAATACAAGGTAACATATTCACACTTTGTTGGGATTAGTACATGGACATCTTTTTGGGGAGCATTATTCTGTCTACCACATCCTTTGACTTAGCATATCCACTTCTAGGAATCTATCATGCAGATATATCTGCATATACGAGGATATCTTAGTGGCATTGCTTATAGTAAAAGATTGGAAACAATTCAAGGTGTCCAGCAATAGGGGACTAGTTAAATAAGCAGCGGTATATCCACAAAATACAGTGCTAAGCAGCTGTAAAAGAGAATGAGGACGATCTCAGGGTACTAATACATAGAGAGATCTCTGGGATGTACTGAAAGTGAACAAAGCATGGAGGTGACCAGTTTATATATTAAGCTATCTTTTGTATAAGAGGAAAATACCATTTGCTTGTGTTATATAAAGAAATACTGAGTTGGCCGGGTGCGTTGGCTCACGCCTGCAATCTCAGCACTTTGGGAGGCCGAGGCAGTCAGATCACCTGAGGTCAGGAGTTCGAGACCAGCCTGGCCAACATAGTGAAACCTCGTCTCTACTAAAAATACAAAAATTAGCTGGGTGCAGTAGCATGCGCCTATAATCCCAGCTACTCAGGAGGCTGAGGCAGGAGAATCGCTTGAACCCAGCGGAAGAGGTTGCAGTGAGCTGAGATTCTGCCACTACACTCCAGCCTGGGCGACAAAAGCAAAACTCCGTCTCAAAAAAAAAAAAGAAAAGAAATACTGAATTTACAAAAAAATGAATAAAAATGCTTCTCCCTACAACTCGAGAGGCAGCTAAGGCTTGTTGGTGAATATCTTTTTATGTTATGCTATTTATTTATTTATTTATTTATTTATTTATTTATTTTGAGATGGAGTCTCACTCTGTCCCCCAGGCTGGAGTGCAGTGGTGTGATCTCGGCTCACTGCAACCTCCACGTCCCGGGTTCAAGGGATTCTCGTGCCTCAGCCTCCCAAGTAGCTGGGATTACGGGCGTGCACCACCACACCTGGCCAATTTTTTTGTATTTTTAGTAGAGACAGGGTTTCACCACGTTGGCCAGGCTGGTCTCGAACTCCCAACCTCAAGTGATCTGCCCACCTCGCCCTCCCAAAGTGCTGGGATAATGGGCGTGAGCCACCATACCCTGCCTATATTATTTAATTTTTTAATCATGAAAATATATTACACAGTAAAAATAAGACCTCATAGATAAATGCAAATTCTTGTTTAAAAAAAAAAGACTTCATGAAGCAGACAATTTTTTTTTTTCTGTTTTTCAGACAGCTTTTTATAATTTGAAGGGAGCTCTGAGCCACTGACCTCCCACCAAAGTGCCTGGATTTTCTAATTTGTGTCCTTGACTTGAATTCAGGTGCTGTGTTCAGTGGGTCCCAGTTAAAATACAAATGTGTAACATGCTAACCTAGATCTTCATTCATAATTTGATGTGCTTTAGAATCTTAAGTTTAGATAATCAGTTTCATGGAATACTCAGGAAAGTTCTGATGGAAGGCAAGAGGTTGGGAAATATTACAATAATGGGCCACCATATGTTGTAGGGGTGGGCCTTTGACACCAAGAGGCTGTACAAAGGCACTTGAGTGCTGGGAGCTTGGTAGTAGGGGGAGGAGTCCCAAATGTAACCCTCATCTAAGAGAAATTTAAACTTTTTTTTTTTTTTTTTTTTTTTTTGAGACGGAGTCTCACTCTGTCGCCCAGGCTAGAGTGCAGTGGCATGATCTCGGCTCACTGCAACCTCTGCCTCCTGGGTTCAAGCGATACTCCTGCCTCAGCCTCCTGAGTAGCTGGGACTACAGGCGGGTGCCACCACACCTGGCTAATTTTTGTATTTTTAGTAGAGACGGGGTTTCACCATGTTGGTCAGGCTGGTCTTGAACTCCTAACCTCGTGATACACCCATCTTGGCCTCCCAAAGTGCTGGGATTACAGGCGTGAGCCACCGCGCTCGGCTGAGAAGTTTAAACTTTTAACTATAATTGCTATGTAAACTGTAATCTTATCTCTAACTTAGTTTTTAGTTTAGCCCTGCCTGGAAAACCATGCTTTCTGTCCCATGAAACATAGATTTCATTTCACCTTCTTAGGTTATACGTTTCAACAGAACTACTTAGATTTGAGTCCTAGTCCTGATGTTCACTAGCCAGGTAAAATTGCAAAAGTTACTAAAACTCTCTGTGCTTCAATTTTCTCATTTATGACATGGGTCCAAAAATACCAGGGTAGGTGTGAGTTAACTACCAAATTAAAATAAAATACAAGACCGGGCACGGTGGCTCACGCCTGTAATCCTAGCACTTTGGGAGGTTGAGGTGGGCAGGTCACGAGGTCAGGAGATCGAGACCATCCTGGCCAACATGGTGAAACTAAAAATACAAAAATTAGCTGGATGTGGTGTGCCACTGCATTCCAGCCTGGCGACAGAGAGAGACTCCGTCTCAAAAGAAAGAAAGAACAAGAATTGACTCAGGATGAATTTTGAGAGCTCATGGCCCAGTCTAGTGGGCTATGGTTAGGCTGATGCAACACCCATACCGGACAGACATAAAAAGTTGTTGGCCAGGTGCGATGGCTCGCGCCTGTAATCCCAGCACTTTGGGAGGCTGAGGAGGGCAGATCACCTGAGGTCAGGAGTTCGAGACCAGCCTGGCCAACATGGTGAAATTCTATCTCTACTAAAAAGGCAAAAATTAGCTGGTTGTGGTGGTGAACACCTGTAATCCCAGATACTCGGGAGGCTGAGGCAGGAGAATGGCTTGAACCCAGGAGGCAGAGGTTGCAGTCAGCCAAGATTGCACCACTGCACTCCAGCCTGGGCAACAGAGCAAGACTCCATCTCAAAAAGAAAAAAAAGGTGTTAAGATTTTTTTCAAGAATTGATATTTGGCCGACCACAGTGGCTCACGCCTGTAATCCCAACACGTTGGGAGGCCAAGGTGGGCAGATCACCTGAGGTCGGGAATTCAAGACCAGCCTGAGCAACATGGAGAAACGCCATCTCTACTAAAAAGGAAGTATTAGCTGGGCATGGTGGCACGTGCCTGTAATCCCAGCTACTCGGGAGGCTGAGGGAGGAGAATAGCTTGAACCCAGGAGGTGGAGGTTGCAGTGAGCCGAGATCATGCCATTGTACTTCAGCCTGGGCAACAAAAGCGAATCTCCATCTCAAAAAAAAAAAGAAAAAAGAATGATATTTATTTAGATCCAATTCTAAGCTATGCAGTTGTTATGCTGTATTTTTCAGAGCTTTCTTTTCTTAGTTTTGATAAAGGAATTAAATTTTTTTCCTTCATGGGCAAGAATTGTGTATGATATATATTTTGAATTGCTCACAGTACTTTACATTCAATACACAATTATTATTGGCAATGATATAAATGCTAGTGATCCTTTCCATTAGATTATATATTAAATAATTTTCTTTTTTATTATTCCCTAATTTTTTTATTTTGTAACTTTTCAAACATACTAACAGCTTTAAAAAGTAGTAAAATGAACACCTCCAACTAAATTAAACAACTGTTAACATTTTGCCACATTTGCTTTGTACTTCTCTTTCTCTCTCTCTGTATATATATAGACCTTAGCACTATATATATATATATATATATATATGCACACATACACACACACACACACACACAATTCATGTATGTAACAAGTTTTTGAGACAGGCTGTCACTCTGTTGCCGAGCCTGAAGTGCAGTGGCATGATCATAGCTCACTGTAGCCTCAAACTCCTGGGCTCAAGTGATCCTCCTGCCTCAGCCTCCTGAGTAGCTGGAACTACAGGTATATGCCACCACACCTACCTAGTTTAGTTTTATTTTTTGTAGAGACAGGGTCTCACTATGTTGCCCAGGCTGATCTTGAACTCCTGGTTCTCAAGCACCTTGAGTCTTTCCACCTTGGCCTCTCAAAGTGTTGGGATTACAGGCATGAGCCACTGCTCCTGGCCTATATAGCAATTTATAGATACACACACATAGAGTAACTATGTGTTTGTATGTTTGTATACATGTATATATACAGCATATATATATATGCATAGTCATGCATCATTTGACAGGGATGTGTTCTGAGGAATGTGTCATTAGGCAATTTCATTGTGCAAACATGGTAGAGTATACCTATAGAAACTGAGATGGTATGGCCTGATATACACCTAGTCTACAAACCTATACAGCATGTTACTGTACTGAATACCTTAGGCAATTGTAACACAATAGTATTTGTGTATCTAAACATAGTTAAACATAGAAAAGGAGATGCGTTGCACTATGATGTTATGATGGCTAGAACATCACTAGGCAACATAAAATTTTCAGTTCCATTATAATCTTATGCGACCACTATCATATATGTGGTCCATAATTGACTGAAACATCATTATGTAGAGACTAATTAGTGTGTGTGTGTGTTTGTGTACGTGTGTGTGTGATTGTGTGTGCATAAAAAAGCTTTTTGGGCTGGGCATGGTGGCTCATTCCTGTAATTTTAGCATTTTGGGAGGTCGAGGCAGGTGAATATAGTGTGTGTGTGTGTGTGTGTGTGTGTGTGTGTGTGTGTGTGTGTGCATAAAAAAGCTTTTTGGGGCTGGGCATGGTGGCTCATTCCTGTAATTTTAGCATTTTGGGAGGCCAAGGCAGGTGGATCTCCTGAGCTCAGGAGTTCGAGACCAGCCTGGGCAACATGGTGAGACCCTGTTGCCCAGGTTGGAGTTTAGTGGCACGCTCTCAGCTCACTGCAACCTCTGTCTCCCAGGTTCAAGCAATTTCCTGCCTCAGCATCCTGAGTAGCTGGAACTACAGGCATGCGCCTCACGCCCAGCTAATTTTTTGTATTTTTAGTAAAGACAGGGTTTCGCCATGTTGGCCAGGCTGTTCTTGAACTCCCGACCTTGTGATCTGCTGGCCTCGGCCTTCCAGAGTGCTGAGATTACAGGTGTGAGCCACTGAGCCCAGCCAAAAAAGGTTTTTGATACCATAGCAACACCCAAACTTTCAGTATGTACCTGCTAAAAATACATTCTCCAATATAACTATATCACCATTATGACAATTTTTTTTTTTTTGAGATGGAGTTTCGATCTTGTTGCCCAGGGTGGAATGCAATGGCGATCTCAGCTCACCACAACCTCTGCCTCCCGGGTTAAAGCAATTCTCCTGCTTCAGGCTCCCGAGTAGCTGGGATTACAGGCATGCACCACCACACCCAGCTAATTTTTTTTGTGTGTTTTTAGTGGAGACGGAGTTTCTCCATGTTGGTCAGGCTGGTCTTGAATTCCTGACCTCAGGTGATCCGCCCGTCTCGGCCTCCCAAAGGGCTGGGATTAGAGGCATGAGCCACTGGACCCAGCCCACAACTTCTAATATACAGATAATATTCAAATTTCTCCAGTTGTTTCTTTTTTTTTTTTTTTTTGAGATGGAGTCTCGAGGCTGGGCACCGTGGCTCACGCCTATAATCCCAGCACTTTGAGAGGCTGAGACGGCCGGATCGTGAGGTCGGGAGTTCAAGACCAGCCTGGACAACATGGTGAAACCCCATCTCTACTAAAGATATAAAAAATTAGCCAGGCATGGTAGCACATACCTGTAATCCCAGCTACTTGGGAGGCTGAGGCAGGAGAATTGCCTGAACCTGGGAGGCACAGGTTGCAGTGAGCCAAGATTGCACCATTGCACTCCATCCTGGGCGACAGGGCGAGACTCCGTTTCAAAAAAAAAAAAAGAGATAAAATCTCCTTCTGTCACCCAGGCTGGAGTGCAGTGGTGCAATCTCGGCTCATTGCAACCTCTGCCTCGCAGGTTCAAGCAATTCTCCTGCCTCAGCCTCCCGAGGAGCTGGGATTACAGGCATCTGCCACCACACCTGGCTAATTTGTGTATTTTTGGTAGAGATGGGTTTCACCATGTTGGCCGGGCTGGTCTCGAACTCCTGACCTCACGTGATCTGCCCGCCTGGGCCTCCCGAAGTGCTGGGATGACAGGCGTGAGCCACTGTGCCCGGCCCAGTTGTTTCAACAAGTATCTTTTATAGCTTTTTAAAAAAAGATTGAAAGATCACTTGAGCCCAGGAGTTCAAGATGAGCCTGGGCAACATGGTGAGACCTCATCTCTAAAATAAAATTAAAATAAATAAATAAATTAAATAATAAGATATAATAAAAGTTTCCACATTGTTACATCTCTTTAATAATTTTTGATCTAGAATAGTCTCTCACCTTTTATTTTCTATTATATTAACTCTTTTTTTTTTTTTTTTTTAGACGGAGTCTTGCTCTGTCACCCAGGCTGGAGTGCAGTGGTGTGATCTTGGCTCACCACAACCTCCGCCTGCTGGGTATAAGCGATTCTCCTGCCTCAGCCTCCTGAGTAGCTGGGATTACAGATGCATGCCACCACGCCCAGCTAATTTTTGTATTTTTAGTAGAGACAGTGTTTCACCATGTTGGCCAGACTGGTCTTGAACTCTTGACCTCGTGATCTGCCCGCCTCGGCCTCCCAAAGTGCTGGGATTATAGGCATGAGCCACTGCACCCGGCCCTACATTAACTCTTTTTTGAAGAGTTCAGGCTGCTTTTCTTATAGTATGTCCTACATTCTGTGTTTGTCTGTTTCATTATGATGTTATTTAACTTGCTGTATCCCTTCTCTTCTATAAATTCATTGTGAGTCTAGAGACTTGATTAAACACAGGTTAAATATATAAAGTCATTTTTTCCCATTATTAGTGATGCTATGTTTGATCACTTAAGTGGTCACTTGCAGTAAGGTAGTAATTGCAAATTCTATCAGAAAGGTACATTTTCCCTTTGTACTTACAGGTAAGCTATGGAGTGATACTTTGGCATTGCACAAATATTCCTTCACCCAATGATTAAACATGCGTTTATTTATTTATTTAATAGAGAAGGGGGTCTTGCTATGTTGCCCAGGCTGGCCTTGAACTCTGGGCTCAAGTAATCCTCCTGCCTTAACCTCCCGAGTAGCTGGGACTAGAGGTGCATGCTGCTGCACCTGGCTCCTAAACATGCATTTAACTGTCTTATTTGGCTTGTCCTGGTGTGGAGTTGATTCATATTTATAGGCTTAAAATCAGAAGACACCTCCATCTAGATTAGTGCTTCTCAACTGGGGGAGGTTTTGCCCCTCAGTGATAGTGTTTCTCAACTGGGGGTAGTTTTACCCCTCAGTGAACATTTGGCAATGTCTGGAGATATTTTTGGTTGTCACAACTTGGAGGTAGGGGTGCTACTGGTATCTAGTGGGTAGAGGCCCGGGATGCTGCTACACATCCTCCAGTACACAGGGCAGCCCCCTACAGCAAATAATTATCCTGCCCAGAATGTCAGTAGTTCCACTAGTGAGAAACCTTAATCTAGACATTGGATTAAGCTTCTTTCTCACACGCAGTTCATTGGCCTTTTTGGAGATGCTAGTAAAGTTTTAGAAATTATCTTCAGAAGTAGAAACCAAGCAGATGTTAGAGTCCATCAAAATCTTCCCATAATTCAAACCAGGCAGATTTTTACTACCCACCTGTTCTGTTTTTCCATTTCCTTTATATATGTCCTCTCGATGTAAGGATTTAAATTGCTTTTCTCTACTGTCAATAAACAAATACATCACGAAAGGATTAAAAAACAGAATTAACACATCTAAGCATTTTGGTCCGATTTTGTGTTTCCTAGAAGATTTTGGAATGTCATCTTAATAGCCCCAGAGCCAGAGAAGAGAAAATGGGGAAAAATAAATATCAAGTTAAGAATTTACCATTACAAAAATGGCCCAGAGAGAGTGACCAGAGTTCAGGAAGGGGCAGGAGAGTGCAGAGGGCATTTCCACTCTCACACCTGTAAGTTATTAATGACCTTTGAAGTGATTGTTGATGGAAGCACTTGTACATTTGAGCTGCTTCATATGTATACGTAGTGTATTCAGAGAACTGCCTAGCTTCTGGAGCCCTGAAATATCTTCGAGCTGAATCAGAGATCAAACAGTAAAATCCATGACTTGGGAATATCGTATAGCCATGTGACATGTGGAAGGACCGAGAGTGTGAGAACCAATGCCTAAATAACTACACTGTATATCTTTAACTCCAAGAGACTTAGCATTGCTTTGATAACTTTTAAAATAGCAGTCTCAGAAAATAATGTCCTAGAGTTTCAAGAAAATATAGTAAGATATAACACTTTATACATTTATTTTGCGTGTAAATGCCTAAGCTTAGAAGATTAGAACCTAATTACCTTATTTTCATTCAAATTGTCACTAGATAGCTTGTACAACATTTGCTCCTTTTATGTTTTGAATTCCCACGACAAGGACATTGCCTTTCCTGTTGAGAGCTGAGTCAACAATTTTGTTTGCATTTAACAAAGACGGAATCACTTCAAGTCTAATTTTCTCTGTATACTAGGGAGTTAGCACATGAATGCATTCATCAACTACAGTTTCATTTTTAGAGGAAGCAGCAAAATACCCAGGTTTGTGACTTCAATTTTTATTTTTCTCTATTAATATTTTAAGAGTTATTTTTCATACTTTTTCACTAACATATCTTTCTAACTTGAAACAGCTGTTGACATGACATGGTATGAAGAGACCACTCCCTTCAGTGGGAAATTATAGAACATGATTTATTTCCAAAGTATAATTTTTTTTTTTTTTTAACATGGAATCTCGCTCTATCGCCCAGGCTGGAGTGCAGTGGCACAATCTCGGCTCACTGCAACCTCTGCCTCCCGGGTTCAAGTGATTCTTGTGCCTGAGCCTTCTAAGTAGCTGGGATTACAGGCACCCACCACCACACCCGGCCCAAAGTATAATTTTAGGAATTATAACTCAATAATTTAACTCTATTTATCATCATTTACATTATTTCCTGTATTGGCTCAATTTCTATAAAATATAAAAAATTGAAAAAAGAGATGTGGCATAGTATATATCATTTAAAAATATTATTCTCTATAAATGGGATGAGAGAATTAGGAAAGGAGAATCAGAAGACAGAATAATTATTCTAATATCTAGAGTCCTTTGTATTGTCACTGTCAGCAACTTTTCTCTATCTTTGAAATTCTCATTCGTTATGAAAGAGACTCATTTAGAGCAACACCAAAAGCTAACAAAGATAGTAAAAGAAATGTATAGGGTCATCTCACTCATAAATCCTAAGTAAAATCTAAGCAAATTGAATCTAGTGATTAATAAGAATGATAAATACATCATTACCAAATTGGACTCAACCCACGAATGTAAGGTAAAGTGTAATGTTCAAAAATCAATTCTATTGTCATTATTAATAATATATGCCATTTACTAGATTAAGAGGATAAAGTATTGAAAACCATATGATCATCTTAATAAGTAAAAAAAAAAAAAGCCCAATCTAAATAAGCTAGGAATATGAAGAAACTTCCATAACCTAGAGAAGGCTCATTCTCCTCAAGAGACAAGTGCAAGAATGTTAATACTATCATTGTTTAATAAGGACAGAAACACAGAAGCAACACAAATGTTCATCAATAGTAAGCTAGATAAATAAATTACAGTATAATCAGACCGGGCGTGGTGGCTCATGCCTGTAATCCCAGCACTTTGGGAGGCCGAGGCAGGCGGATCACCTGAGGTTGGGAATTCGAGACCAGCCTCACCAACATGGAGAAACCCCGTCTCTACTAAAAATATAAAACTAGCTGGGTGTGGTGGCACATGACTGTAATCCCAGCTACTTGGGAGACTGAGGCAGAAGAATCGCTTGAACCCAGGAGGCGGAGGTTGCCATGAGCTGAGATCATGCCATCGCACTCCAGCCTGGCCACAAGAGTGAAACTCCGTCTCAAAAAAATAAATAATATAAATAAATAAATAAATAACAGTATAGTCATACATTGATCTGTTTTTTAGCAATGAAAATAAATGTGCCTTAGCTGTTCTCATTAGTAAGAATGATCTAAAAAATGTAATATTGAATGGAAAAAGTAAGTCACAGAAGAGTAAACAATATTCTGTTTGTATCAAATGTAAAACAGGCACATTTAAATTATACATTGTTAAGCTCAACATATATATGTCATAAATCCCTGAAGAAAATGATTGAACAATTATTATAAAATTCAGGATCGTAATTACCTCGGGTGGAATGATGACTGGGAAAAAGCATGATGTGGGGGAAGGGTGTCAAAGTATTGATAATGTTCTCTCTCTAAGCTACATCCTCGGTACACAGGTGTTTGTTATTTTCTAAGCTGTGTGTTCATAATATACACTTTTTTATTTGTGTATAATTTTTTTCATATTGAAATGGTTAAATAGAAGACATTATTATTGTATGACTCTTGGTCCCTTTACCTTTATCAGGGATACATATGAATCATATTCTTGAATAAGAGAGAGAGAGCAGACTTTTTTTTAAATAAAAACATTTTTATTTGGAAATGATTTCAAACTTACAGAAAAGTTGTAAGAATGATATCAGAAATACCTATTTACCTTTTTTTGTTTTTTGTTTTTTGAGATGGAGTCTCGCTCTGTGGCCCAGGCTGGAGTACAGTGGCATGATCTTGGCTCACTGCAAGCTCCACCTCCTGGGTTCACACCATTCTCCTGCCTCAGCCTCCCGAGTAGCTGGGACTACAGGCACTGGCCACCACACCCTGCTAATTTTTTGTATTTTTAGTAGAGGTGGGGTTTCACCGTGTTAGCCAGGATGGTCTCAATTTCCTGACCTCGTGATCCGCTCGCCTTGGCCTCCCAAAGTGCTGGGATTACAGGCGTGAGCCACCACACCCAGCCTTACCTATTTACCTTTTATCCAGATTTACTTACTGTTAACATTTTATTTCATTTGCTTATTGTTAGGGATTTATTCTTTCTCTGTCAACATATATATATTTTTTTCTAAACTATTGAAGAATAAACTACATACATCACGCCCCTTTGCCTCCAGATACTTCCTTGTATATTTCCTAAGAAAAAGGACATTCTGTTAGAAAGTCACAGTACAGTTATCAATGTCAGGAAATTTCCCATTGAAACGATACTTTTAAAAATAATCTACCATCCACATTCCAATTTGTCAACTGCCTAAATAATGTTCTTTATAGCATTTGTTTTGTCCTCCACTAGAGGTTGCAGTATCCATATCACATTTAGTTGTTATGTTTCTTTTTTCTTTTCTTTTTTTTTTTTTTTTTGAGACAGAGTTTCGCTCTTGTTGCTCAGGCTGGAGTGCAATGGCGCGATCTCAGCTCATGGCAACCTCCGCCTCCTGGGTTCAAGCTATTCTCCTGCCTCAGCCTCCCAAGTAGCTGGGATTACAGGCATGTGCCACCATGCCCGGCTAATTTTGTATTTTTAGTAGAGGTGGGGTTTCTCCATGTTGGTCAGGCTGGTCTCCAACTCCTGACCTCAGGTGATCCGCCCACCTCGGCCTCCCAAATTGGTGGGATTATAGGCCTGAGCCACTGTGCCTGGCCTAGTTGTTGTTTCTTTAGTCTCTTGTCTGGAACAGTTCCTGAGCTTTTCTTTGTCCTTTATGACAATGATATCTGATTCTTTTTTAACAAGAATGATTCTCATTTTTAGTTTTCTCATGATAATATTCAGGTTATGTGTTCTTAATTAAAATGCTACATAAATGATATATTCTCAGAGTATCACATTTTTAGGTGCACCAATATGTCTGTTTCTCATCATTGATATTCATTTTGATAATCTGACTAAGGTGTTGTGCAGTGTCTTCACTCTTAAGAGAGAGGAATTTTTTACAAGGCTTTCTTTGGCAAGAGCTGCTGATGGGCTTTGAAGCCTACTCTCCTCTAATGTAGAGAAGTAGACACTTTATTTCCCACTCATCTGAAGTTAAAAGAGAAAGGCTTCAATAAGACCAACTGGAAAGCTTAATATGTGTTCTCTTAATTTATTTATCAGGTCACAGTTCACTAATGTCTGATTCCTCCTGGGGACATTTTTTTTTTTTTTTTTTTTTTTTTTTTTGAGGCAGAGTCTCGCTCTGTCGCCTAGGCTGGAGTGCAGTGGCGCGATCTCGGCTCACTGCAACCTCCGCCTCCCGGGTTTATGCCATTCTCCTGCCTCAGCCTCTCCGAGTAGCTGGGACTACAGGCGCCCGCCACCACGCCCGGCTAATTTTTTTTTGTATTTTTAGTAGAGACAGGGTTTCACCGTGTTAGCCAGGATGGTCTCGATCTCCTGACCTCGTGATCCGCCCACCTCAGCCTCCCAAAGTGCTGGGATTACAAGCGTGAGCCACCGCGCCCGGCCAGGAAATCTTTTTTTTTTTTTTTTTTTTTTTTAGACGGAGTCTCACTCTGTTGCCCAGGCTGGAGTGCAGTGTTGTGATCTCGGCTCACTGCAAGCTCCGCCTCCCGGGTTCATGCCGTTCTCCTGCCTCAGCCTCCGAGTAGCTGGGACTACAGGTGCCCGCCACCATGCCTGGCTAATTTTTTGTATTTTTTTAGTAGAGGCGGGGTTTCACCATGTTAGCCAGGATGGAGGAAATCTTGACATTAAGAGAAAGGCTGTAATCCCAGCACTTTGGGAGGCCAAGGTGGGTGGATCATGAGGTCAGGAGTTCGAGACCAGCCTGGCCAACATGGTGAAACCTCGTCTCTACTAAAAATACAAAAGTTAGCCAGGTGTGGTAGCGGCTGCTTGTAATCCCAGCTACTCGGGAGGCTGAGGCAGGATAATGACTTGAACCCAGGAGGCAGAGGTTGCAGTGAGCTAAGGTCACTCCAGCCTGGGCGACAGGGCAAAACTCTGCCTTAAAAAAAAGAGAGAGAAGGGCTGCCTTGCAGCTTGGAGGTGGAACAGAGGAGAGTTACTAGTAGATTGGAATTAGCCTGTTATTCCAGAGTTTGTTAGGCAACGAGTGCTTAAGTGTTTCCCATGAACCAGATGTCATGGGAATTCTTACTTAATTAAAAGTCCCATAGTTGGTTTGAATCACAAACATAGTCTCAATTTCATTTTAAATAAAAATGTCACCTAGGCTGGAGTGCAACATCTGTCCCATGAAAAGACAGCCTGTTTCGGGCCATTTCATAATCTGACTCAAAGGCCACTGAAAGGGTGAACAGGCCTAGCAGGGGAGAAGCTGGCAGAAACTCACTGAATTCCTAGTGGTTAGGAATGAATAAGGTCCTTGAAATAGAGTGCATTTTTTTCTGTTCAAGGGAACTGCAGGTGAGAGTCTGACGATGATTTGTGGGAGACATCTCCTAAGAACCTATAAAGCAGTGGTCTCCAACCTTTTTGGAGACGATTTTTCCATGGATGGGGTGGGTGAGGGGTGGGGGGATGATTTCAGGATGAAACTGTTCCACCGCAGATCGTCAGGCATTAGATTCTCATAGGTAGCACACAACCTAGATCACTCACATGTGTAGGTCACAATAGTGTTTGCACTCCTATGAGAATCTAATGCTGCTGCTGATCTGACAGAAGGTGAAGCTCAGGAGGTAATGCTCTCCTGCCTTCTGCTCACCTCCTGCTGTGTGGCCTGGTTCCTAACGGGCCACTGACAGAGAGCAGTCTGCCACCCAGGGGTTGGGGACCTCTGCTATAAAGGACTCCAAAAGAGAAAGAGTCAGCTTTCAATTTCTGCAAGCCCAGAAAGCATGAAACCATCTCATGACCTTATGGGTAGAATAAGAACATTGCTGTCCTCCTCTGTGTGGAGAAGGCCAGGTCAGAAAGAGAGGTTAGTAAAATCACAGTAGGCAGGGTAGCAGCTTGAGGGGAGAAAGGACCGTGTTCCCTTCTGGCACTAACGGGCTTACCCCACTGCAGACCCCATCCGTGGGAGAGGACAAGATCTACCTTCAATTAACTTTGCAGCGCATTATTTTATGGGATCAAACATTTTTATTTAAAATGAAATTGAGACTACGTTTGTGAATCAAACTAACTACGAGACTTTTAATCACGTAAGAATGATCTGAAAAGTCATGCCACTCCTTGAGTATTCATTGAGGGGCAGAGTAAAAACATATCTGGATAAATTGTATTTATTTACTTGTTTGAAGAATTTATTCATAGTGCATTACATGACCCAAAATAAAAATGATATGAAAAGTATGCATTATGAGAAATCTCCTCACATCTGTATCCATCCACCCAATTGTACTTCTCCTCTTACAGGTAAACCTTACATGTTTAATGTTTGTTGTTCTAATATTTCTTTAGGCAAATACAAGGAAATATGAATATATAGTTTTTTTGTTTTTTTTTTTTTAGACAGAGTTTCACTCTTGTTGCCCAGGCTGGAGTGCAGTGGTGTGATCTTGGCATACTGCAACCTCTGCCTTCTGGGTTCAAATGATTCTCCTGCCTCAGCCTCACAAAAAGCTGGGATTACAGGCATGTGCCACTACGCTTGGCTAATTTTGTATTTTTAGTAGAGACAGGGTTTCACCATGTTAGCCAGGCTGGTCTTGAACTCCTGACCTCAGGTGATCTACCCGCCTTGGCCTCCCAAAGTACTGGGATTACAGGCGTGAGCCACCAGGCCCGGCCTGTAGTCTTATGTATCTGTTTCTAACACAAGAGGTAGAATACTGTTTAGAACTTTGCTTTTTTTTTTTTGGCCGGGTGCAGTGGCTCACACCTGTAATCCCAGCACTTTGGGAGGTGGAGGTGGGTGGATCACCTGAGGTGAAGAGTTTGAGACCAGTCTGGCCAGCATGGTGAAACCCTGTCTCTACTAAAAGATACGAAAATTAGCCATGCATGGTGTTGCATGCCTGTAATCCCAGCTACTCGGGAGGCTGAGGCAGGAGAATCACTTGAACCTGAGAGACGGAGGTCACAGTAAGCAGAGATCGTGCCCACTGCACTCCAGCCTGGGTGACAGAGTGAGATTCTGTCTCAAAAAAAAGAAAAAGAAATTTGCTTTTTTAAATTGTGGCAAAATATATATAACATTAAATTTACCATTTTGTCCTAGATGTGGAATTTCTAGATGATACGGTAATTATATTCTATTTACCTTTTTGAGGCACTTCTAAGCTGTTTTCTTACAGTGGCTGCACCATTTTACACTCCTACCAACAATGCATGAGGGTTCCAATTTCTTCATATTCTTGCCAAAACTTTTTTTTTTTTTTTTTGAGATAGGATTTTGCTCTGTCACTTAGGCTGGAGTGCAATGGCTTGATCTTGGCTCACTGCAACCTCTGCCCCCTGGGCTCAAATGACCCTCCTGCGTGTCTCCTAAGTGGCTGGGACTATAGGTGTGACCCACTGTGCCCAGCTAATTTTTGTATTTTTTGTAGAGACAGGGTTTTGCCATGTTGCCAAGGCTGGTCTCAAACTCCTAGACTCAAGCAGTCCTCCCACCTTGGCCTCCCAGAGTGCTGGTATTACAGACATGAGCCACCATGTGCAGCCTGGCATTTTTTTTCCGTTCACCCCGCCATGTAATTTGATTACCACAAATATACTGTGTATCCGTTTTTTTGGTTTTGTTTTTTGTTTTGAGACAGAGTTTTGCTGTTGCTGTCCAGGCTGGAGTGCAATGGTGTGATCTTGGCTCACCACAACCTCCGCCTCCCGGGTTTAAGCGATTCTCCTGCTTCAGCCTCCTGAGTAGCTGGGATTACAGGCATGTGCCACCACAGCCAGCTAATTTTGTATTTTTTATCAGAGATGGGGTTTCTCCATGTTGGTCAGGCTGGTCTCGAACTCCCAACCTCAGGTGATCCTCCTGCCTCAGTCTCCCAAAGTGCTGGGATTACAGGCATGAGCCACCCTGCCCGGCCTACTGTGTACCTGTTTATGTATTATATTTTTATTTGGGTTTATACATAAAAAGAGTAAACGCTTTTTATACATAAAATAACTTAGGCCAGGTGCAGTGACTCATGCCTATAATCCCAACACTTTGGGAGGCTGAAGCGGGTGGATCACCTGAGGTCAGGAGTTTGAGACTAGCCTGGCCAACATGGTAAAACCCCGTCTCTACTAAAAATACAAAAAATTAACTGGGCCTAGTGTTGCACGCCTGTAATCCCAGCTACTCCACAGGCTGAGGCAGGAGAATCGCTTAAACCCGGGAAGCAGAGGTTGCAGTGAACCAAGATCGTGCCACTGTGTTCCTGTCTGGGCGACACAGCAGAACTCAGCCTCAAAAAAAAAAAAAAAAAAAAAAAACCTTTATACACTTTTTGCTCCCCAAGAATCAATTATTGCCCCTGTTGAGAATGCATACTCTAAAGATTGCAAGTGTAAATTATTAGCAACAAAGTATTTGCTATAGTTGCTGACAAGTGAGTACATGGGACTGGGAAAAGGGACCTAAGGAGATCTAAGTGGGGCACCAACAGTTTGGCCACACAATCAATTTAAGTATGATGTGTAGTTCTTTTTTTTTTTTTTTTTTTTTTTTTGAGACAGAGTCTCACTCTGTTGCCCAGGCTGGAGTACAGTGGCATGATCTTGGCTCACTGCAACCTCTACCTCCTGGGTTATAGCTGTTCTCCTGCCTCAGCCTCCTGAGTAGAGTAGCTGGGATTGTAGGCACACACCACCACGCCTGACTAATTTTTGTATTTTTTTAGTAGAGACGGGGTTTCGCCATGTTGACCAGGCTGGTCTCAAACTCCTGACCGCAGTTGATCCGCCCACCTCGGCCTCCCAAGGTGCCGGGATTACAGGCATGAGCCACCATGCCCGGCCTGTTGGGTAGTCTTTACAATTGTTCTGTGGGAGGTTAGTCCAATCCAAGCTATTTGATCATGGTCAGAAACAGAAGACCCCCGTTTCTCTTTATTTCTAATAGTAGAATGAAAGATACTTGTGTTAGGTCATTCTTGCATTGCTATGAAGAAATACCTGGGACTGGGTAATTTATAAAGAAAAGGGGTTTAATTGGCTCATGGTCTGCAGGCTGTACAGGAAGCATGGTTCCAGCCTTTGCTTGGCTTCTGGGGAGGTCTCAGGAAACTTTCACTCATGGAGGAAGGTGAAGTGGGAGCAGACATGTCACATGACCAGAGCAGAAGCAAGGGGAGGCAGGGAGGTGCCGCACACTTTTAAATGACCAGATCACAATAACTCACTCACTATCACAAAGACAGCACCAAGCCACGAGGAATCCTCTCCCATTATCCAAACACCTCCCACCAGGCCCCACCTCCAGCATTGGGGATTACAATTCAACATGAGATTCGGGTGGGGATGAATATCCAAACTACTTCAGTATCTCGTAAGTATTAATAAGCAGTTGAGGGAGATATAATATTTCCTTTGACCCTGAACTCTTATAATATCTAAAATTATCATGGATAATAAACTTCTTTTAATCTCTTAAGGGAACCTGAGTTACAAGGGAAAATATCTATTTATTTGCTTATTCTAAGGGGAACACCAGTTGAAATATTAGAAGAGTAAAGTGTGGGCCTGAGGGATGAGTGGAAAGTGTCTTAACATCACTGCCTTTCTAAAGCTTTATCACTGAGACCTGTAATTATAATGGTTACTGGTTCTAATTCCAGCCAGGCAGGGTGGCTCACACCTGTAATCCCAGCACTTTGGGAGGTGGGCAGATCACCTGAGGTCAGGAATTCGAGACCAGCCTGGCCAACGTGGCGAAACCCCATCTCTACTAAAAAGACAAAAATTAGCTGGGCATGGTGGCATGTGCCTCTAATCCCAGCTACTTGGGAGGCTAAGGCAGGAGATTCACTTGAACCTGGGAAGTGGAGGTTGCAGTGAGCCAGGATCGCACCATTGCACTCCAGCCTGGGCAAGAACAGTGAAACTCCATCTCAAAAAAAAAAGTTATAATTTCACTCTTTACCAGATGTGTGATGCAGACAAGGTAGTGAATTTGAGGTAGAGTCAAGGAAGGTCACACAATGGATTTTGTTTTTATATTAAATAGAGGACTGCATCGCGTTAGAAAGTGGTTCAGATTGGTGTGTCTTATCCAGCTTTTATATTGTATTGGTGACAGAGTATGTATATCGTTAACGAAAAAAACGCAAACTCTGTAAAATATTCAAAGAGGATTATTCTGAGCCAATACAAATGACCATGGCCTGGGGAATGGTCTCCAGAAGTCCTGTTGATAGAGGCAGGAGGCAGCCAAAGGCCTGGGCAGATAAGGAAGGGACCCAGAGAATCTCTGACATGCCCCACAAGTGTTTTTTTGTTTGTTTTGTTTTGTTTTTTTGAGACAGGGTCTCTATCACCCAGGCTGGAGTGCAGTGCATGATGTCGGCTCACTGCAACCTCCGCCTACCAGGTTCAAGCAATCCTCCTGCCACAGCCTCCGCAGTAGCTGAGACAACAGGCACATGCACCGCAACCGGCTAATTTTTGTATTTTTTGATAGAGATGAGTTTTCACCATGTTGCCCAGGGTGTGGTCTCAAACTCCTGGCCTCAAGTGATCCGCCCACCTCAGCCTCCCAAAATGCTGGGATTACAGGTGTGAACCACTGTGCCTGCCGCCCCCCCACCCCCCAGCAAGTGTTTACACCATATGTTTCCTGTAAATAAGGGAACCTGCACAGGGCGCTTGTTTGGGCATGCCCGCAGCCTACTGGAGGCCCACATGCACTGGGGGAATGGGGTGGAGCCACCAGGAATTCACACCTTATGCAGGGGAGGAGCCTGGCCTCTTCAGCTCCTGTGTGGTAGTCATGGTATTCAATTTGTGAGGTGGAAACCTGCTTGCAAGACCCCCTCTCTTTGCTGAGAGTTTTCCTTTCGTTTAATAAATTCCACCCTCCTCACCCTTCCATGTGTCTGTGTACCTAATTCTCCCTGATCATAAAACAAGATCCTGGATTAGCTGAGCTAAGGAGCAAAAAATCCTGCACCACTGAGAAAGTGCACCCAAAGTGGTTGGGTTACAATTTAGTTTTATACATTTTAGGGAGAAAGAAGTTACAGGCAAAGACATAAATCAATATATGTAAGGGTATACATTAATTTGGCCCATAATGGCAGGACATCTCAAAGTGGGGGGTTGGGGATGATGGGGGTTGGGAGAAAGGGTTCAGGGGATCTTAGAAGTCACAGGTGGATTCAAAGATTATCTAACTGGCAGTTGGTAGAAAGAATTAAGCTTTGTCTAAAGGCTTGAAGTCAGTAGAAAGAAATGCTTGAGTTAAGATAAAGCGGCTTGTGGAAGCCAATGTTTTTATTTAGATGAAGCCTCCAGGCTCTTCCTTTGGCGAGAATAAATGGTAAATGTTTCTTTTCACACCTTAAAAGGTGTCAGACTCTAATCTCTCCTAGATCTGGGAAAGCCCTGGCTGCATTAACGGAGATTCTCTACAGATGCAAATTTCCCCCATGAAAGATGACTTTGCAGGGCCATTTCAAAATATGTCAAATAAATCTATTTTGAGGTAAAATATTTTTATTTTCTTCAGGATCTGCTATCTGTCATGTGATGCTATACCAGAGTCAGGTTGAAATTTGGTATCTTATTGCCACAAAGAGTCTGTTCTGTCTCATGATCTCTGTTTCAATGTTAATGCTGGTCAGTTGTACCTCACCTCCAAAAGGGAGAGGGGATAACGAGGTGTTTTGGACCCCCCTTCCCATCATGGCCAGAAATTCAGTTTTTCAGCTTTCTCTGGGGTCCCATTGGCCCATAGGAGCTCCATTCAGTAGGTTGGGGAAGGTTAGGATTTTCTTTTTGGTTTATAGTTTCTTTTACAACAGGGCAAAGCAGAGTGTGTTTATCAGAGATTTGAAGTGATTTCAAATCAGAGATTTGAAGCTGAGATTGCTCCTTGATGCCTTGAAAAACAAAATTACATATGTTGTATGATATGTGTATGTATGTATTATTTAGTCAAGCTAAGAATTTAGTCAAATATAGTAAGTCAAACTGCCATATTGTTACTTACATACAAGAGTAGGCCTTGTGGACTTACTATTGCTTGGGGCATTTCAATGTTTATTAGCCTCTCTGTGTGTATATATGGGTATATATCAATCCGTTTTACTACCTGTCAGATACTTTGGTGAAATACTGATCCATTCAAAAGAGGTAGGGCCGGGCGCAGTGGCTCACGCCTGTAATCCTAGCACTTTGGGAGGCCGAGGCGGGTGGATCACGAGGTCAGGAGATCGAGACCATCCTGACCAACATGGAGAAACCCCGTCTCTATTAAAAATACAAAAAAAATTAGCCAGGCATGGTGGCGCATGCCTGTAATCCCAGCTACTCAGGAGGCTGAGGCAGGATAATTGCTTGAACCTGGGAGGCGGAGGTTGCAGTGAGTCGAGATCGCGCCATGGCACTCCAGCCTGGGCAACAAGAGCAAAACTCCATCTCAACAAAACAAAACAAAACAAAACAAACACACACACAAAAGGCTGAGGTAGACCAGGCACAGTGGCTCATGCCCATAATCCTAGCAATTTAGGAGGCTGAGGCAGGTGGATCGCTGGAGCCCAGGAGTTTGAGACCAGCCTGGGCAACAAAGTGAGACTTCATCTCTACTAATACACAAAAATTAGCCGGGTTTGGTGGCACGCGCCTGTAGTTCCAGCTACTAGGGAGGCTGAGGCAGGAGGATTGTTAGAACCCAGGAGGTGGAGGTTGCAGTGAGCCGAAATTATGCTACTGCACTCCAGCCTGGGCGACACAGTGAGACCCTGTCTCAAAAAAAAAAAAAAAAGAGAGAGAATTAGGTACTGACTGAGTTTGCTTTCTGGGTTTTGGGTATTTGTTTCCTTGTTTCTATTAACAGAGT
The DNA here is from genome assembly GCF_000001405.40 of Homo sapiens. Taxonomy (NCBI): domain Eukaryota; kingdom Metazoa; phylum Chordata; class Mammalia; order Primates; family Hominidae; genus Homo; species Homo sapiens. The sequence continues at coordinate 100,052,769 of NC_000013.11, forward strand.
TGAGCATAGTATTATTAGTAGAGCTGTCTTCCTAAAATATCCGCTTACATTTGGTGTAGGAATAGCTATCATAGGATATGCAACCGTTCTTACTGTTTATTTACTTTTACTTTTTATTTTGCAAATCAAAACATCTTTAAAGTACAGGTTTTATACAAAAAAGGACTTAAATCATAAGTATACAGTTTGATGAATTTTTACAAAGTAAAGATACTTATATAACCAATACCTAGACCATAAAGAGTATTTCCCATGCAGCAGAAACCCCTTGACTCCTCTCAGTTGTTATTTCCCAAGGGTAACCATTATTCTGATTTCTTTTTTTTTTTTTGAAAAGGAATTTCACCCTTGTTGCCCAGGCTGGAGTGCGATGGCACGATTTCGGCTCACTGCAACCTCCACCTCCTGGGTTCAAGCGATCCTCCTGCTTCAGCCTCCCAAGTAGCTGGGATTACAGGCACCTGCCACCACGTGCAGCTAATTTTTGTATCTTTAGTCAAGATAGGGTTTAACCATGTTGGCCAGGATGGTCTCGAACTGCTGACCCCAGGTGATCCACTCACCTTGGCCTCCCAAAGTGCTGGGATTACAGGCATGAGCCACCACACCCAGCCACCATTATTCTGATTTCTAACATCATGGATTTGTTTTGCCTGTTTTAAACTTTATATAAATGGAATCATACTGTATGCTTGCTTTTTTGGTCCAGCTTCTTTTGTTTGGCTTAATATTTGTGAGATTCATTCCCTGTTGTGTATAGTTCATTCGTATTCCATGAAAAACTTCAAACATACACAAAAGCATACAGAACAGAATAGTGAACTTTCATTTCCTATCATCCAGCATCAACAATTGTCAACTCATGGTCAATCTTGGTCCAGTTAGCTGCCACCCACTGTCCTCAACTCCAGATTATTATGAAGCAAACCCCAGCCATGAAATAATGGTATCTATAAACATTTCAGTATATAACTCTGGAAGAGAAAGCCTTTATTTTTATTCTATTTTATTTTTTGTCTTCTGTACTATCTTTTATTAACATCATAGTCTTTGCATCAGGATACATAACAATGCTAGCAGGTTTTGTTTTAAAGCTTAGTATTAAATATTAAATATATTTCCCAATTTTAATTTAAGAAATTAAAACTCAAGTTATTTGAAGCCTGGACACACTTCCATGATTAGCAGGGCTGTGTAAAAGTTGGTGGCTTTATTTTTCCTCCTGTATAGGCAGATCCAGGTGGCCCTAGAAAGATAGAACCAGATTATATAATTGTATTTTTGTTTTTTGTTTTTGAGATGGAGTTTCAAGTTGCCCAGGCTGGAGTGCAATGGCACGGTCCCAGCTCACTGCAACCTCTGCCACCTGGGTTCAGCGATTCTCCTGCCTCAGCCCTACCCCCCAACAACAGGCATGCACCACCATGCCCATATAATTGTTTTAAAGTGTGCTACAAGGCTGGGTGTGGAGTGGCCTGGTGGCTCACACCTGTAATCCCAGCACTGTGGGAGGCCAAAGTGGGTGGATCACTTGAGGTCAGGAGTTCAAGATCAGCCTGGCCAACATGGCGAAACCCTGTCTCTACTAAAAATATAAAAATTAGCCAGGTGTTGTGGCGCGCGCTTCTATGAGGCAGAAGGATTGCTTGAGCACAGGAGACCGAGGTTGCAGTGAGCTGAGGTTGTGCCAGTGCACTCTAGCCTGGGAAACAGAGTGAGAATCCATCTCAAAAAAAAAAGTGCTACAAAAATGGATGGCCTGGCCAGGCATGGTGGCTCAGGCTGGGCGCAGTGCCTCACGCCTGTAATCCCAGCACTTTGGGAGGCTGAGGCGGGCGGATCACTTGAGGTCAGGAGTTCGAGACCAGCCTGGCCAACATGGTGAAACACTGTCTTTACTAAAAATACAAAAATTAGCCTGATGTCGTGGCAGCAGGTGCCTGTAATCCCAGCTACTCGGGAGGCTGAGGCAGGAAAGTTGCTTGAATCCCGGAAATGGAGGTTGCAGTGAGTCAAGATTATGCCACTGCACTCTAGCCTGGATGACAGAGCGAGACCCCATCTCAAAAAAAAAAAAAAAAAAAAAATTGATGGCCTGTTATAAGCCAGGATACAAAGTAAGGATGTGGGTAAGGGAGGGATCGTTTTCTTCCAGTAAAAAGACAGAATTTTGAACCTGGTGAGGTGGCTCACGCCTGAAATCCCAGCACTTTGGGAGGCAGAGGCGGGCAGATCACGAGGTCAGGAGTTCAAGACCAGCCTGACCAACGTGGTGAAACCCCATCTCTACTAATAATACAAAAATTAGACCGGGCGCGGTGGCTCACGCCTGTAATCCCAGCCCTTTGGGAGGCCAAGACAGGCGGATCACCTAAGGTCAGGAGTTCCAACACCAGACTAGCCAACATGATGAAACCCCGTCTCTACTAAAAATACAAAAAGTTAGCCAGGCGTGATGACAGGTGCCTGTACTCTCAGCTACTCAGGAGGCTGAGGCAAGAGAATCACTTGAACCCAGGAGGCAGAGGTTGCAGTGGGCTGAGATCACACCATTGCACGCCAGCCTGGGCAACAAGAGCAAAACTCTGTCTCAAAAAAAAAAAAAAAGAGGCCGGGAGCGGTGGCTCACACCTGTAATCCCAGCACTTTGGGAGGCCAAGGCTGGCGGATCACAAGGTCAGGAGATCGAGACCATCCTGGCTAACACAGTGAAACCCTGTCTCTACTAAAAATACAAAAAATTAGCCAGGTATGGTGGCAGGCGCCTGTAGTCCCAGCTACTCGGGAGGCTGAGGCAGGAGAATGGCGTGAACCCTGGAGGTGGAGCTTGCAGTGAGCCGAGATCACGCCACTGCACTCCAGCCTGGGCGACAGAACGAGACTCCATCTCAAAAAAAAAAAAAAAAAAAAAAACGAAAATGTATGTGGAGGCTAAAGGAAGATAACAATTTTTTTAATAAGGTCTGTTTGTACAGGATTCTCTCAGTCTCAACCTCCCAGATGATAAGAAAGTTTCTTTTCTCCTGTTACAGGAAGAGCCACTCTCACATGGTAATTTCATCTCTTGTTTTTAAGAAAAAGAAGGGAGATCAGGCCAGGCGTGGTGGCTCACGCCTATAATCCCAGCACCCCAGCACTTTGGGAGGCCAAGGCAGGCGGATTACTTGAGGTCAGGAGTTTGAGACCAGCCTGGCCAACATTGTGAAACCCCATCTCTATTAAAAATACAAAAAATGAGCCGGGTGTTGTGGTGCACACCTGTAATCCTAGCTACTTGGGAGGCTGAGGCAGGAGAATTGCTTGAGCCTGGGAGGTGGAGGTTGCAGTGAGCCAAGATTGTGACACTGCACTCCATCCTAGGTGACAGAGCGAGACTCCATCTCAAAAAAAAAAAAAAAAGAGACATCAGAATGTCCTTGTATCTGCTGTTTGTTGAGTGTTTTTAACTCAAAACAGTCAACATGCCAGCATGGCATATTTTGCAGTGGCATAATCTGAACTCCTTCAGGTGCCAGGAGTACTTATAGCTACTGAGGTATTTTTGTTTCTAGACACTTTAGGTGGACAGAGAAAAGAAATTTTTTTTTGTTTTAATAAAATATATTACAAGTTCATGTTGGTATTATGGTAGTTTTTTTTGTTTTGTTTTTTAAGAAAATTCTGGCAAGGTGGCTCATGCCTGTAATCCCAGCACTATGGGAGGCCAAGGCAGGTAGATCACCTGAGGTCGGGAGTTAGAGACCAACCTGACCAACATGGAGAAACCGTGTCTCTACTAAAAATACAAAAAATTAGCCGGGCATGGTGGTGCATGCCTGTAATCCCAGCTACTCAGGAGGCTGAGGCAGGAGAATCTCTTGAACCCGGGAGGGGGAGGTTGCAGTGAGCTGAGATCAAGCCATTGCACTCCAGCCTGGGGAACAAGAGCGAAACTCTGTCTCGAAAAAAAAAAGAAAAAAAAAAAAAAGAAAATAATTCTCCGTCCCCATCACCTCCCTGAAAAAAGTATACCATCCCTTCCTATTGACATTAGGCTTTGCCATGAGACTTTTTCATGTCATTTATGACAACCATTGACTTGGGGCTTGAATATGTGACTTGCTTTGGCCAATGGTATATTAGCACATATGACTGAAAAGGTTGGTAATGTGCTCGTGCATATGGGCTTGCCCTCTTCTATCTCTGCCATTGCCATGAGAAGAACATGCCACAAATAGCCTATTGCTTTCAGAATAATGAAAGATACATCTTGTAGACCTGAACCAAACGTGCAATCTGGAGCTAAGCCCAGCTGAGTCCAGCCTAAATTGTTCAAATGCCAGTCAACCTGTAGAATGTAGCTTAATGCAGAGGCACAGATATGTGAATGAGAAATAAATGCTTAGGGTTGTGAGTCATTGATGTTTAGAGTGGTTTGTTATGCAGCATAATTAGGTATATAGTGGACTAATACAAATATTTACAAGCTAAATTCAAGATTATAGGAATAATAGAATTGATATCTCACAAAATTATTCATTTGCATTCCAAAATGTGCACCCAGTAGTCTCAGAATAATAATACCAATACTGCTGCTAATAATATGATTATTGAAATCAGCCTAAGCTTTTATTTTTTGCAATTTTTAATCTTTAGGATGTTTCCCTTTATTGATGTACAGTGAAAATTTTCTGTTATGAAGTCATTTGGAATGGTTTTTATGTGTGGTTATGCCACAACTGGATATGCATTAAATACTATTTGTTTGATTTTATTTTGGGGAATTTCCCCTTAAAATTCAATTTTACTTAATGATTATATAAAATGTGTACTTGCTTCCAAAGTCAACTCTCTGAAACAAGTTATTTCAATGAAGTCTACCTTCTATTCTAGCCACTCTCACCTTATTCTTTCCCTCTCCCATAATTAACTACTTAAAAATATTTTATGATTTATTATTTGTTTTAATTGTACCTGGATTTTAATTTATAGAGGTGACTGAGTGATGATGCAGACAGGACAATGCCATTGAAAGAAGCCTTTTTTTTTTTGAGACAGAGTCTCGAACTCCAGCCTAGAGTGCAGTGGCGCAGTCTCGGCTCACTGCAACCTGTGCCTCCTGGGTTCAAGCAATTCTCCTGCCTCAGCCTCCTGAATAGCTGGGACCAAAGGCACGTGCCACCAGGCCCAGCTAATTTTTGTTTTTAGTAGAGATGGGGCTTCACCATGTTGGCCAGGATGGTCTCGATCTCCTGACCTTTTTTTTTTTTTTTTTTTTTTGAGATGGAGTCTCGCTCTGCAGCCCAGGCTGGAGTGCAGTGGCGTGATCTTGGCTCACTGCAACCTCCACCTTCCGGGTTCAAGAGATTCTCCTGCCTTAGCTTCCCAAGTAGCTGGGACTACAGGCGTATGCTACCACGCCTGGCTAATTTTTTATATTTTTAGTAGAGACAGGGTTTCACCATGTTAGCTAAGATGGTCTTGATCTCCTGACCTCGTGATCCCCCCACCTCAGCCTCCCAAAGTGCTGGGATTACAGGCATGAGCCACCGTGCCCTGCAAGAAGTCTTATTACTTACAGTTCCTGAAGAGAAGGGGCCACATCATGACACATAGGGCCATAGAGTGAAGTATCAGGATTGGTCAGGAGGCAGAAGGAGCAAAGGACAGAAGCGCGGCCCAAAGCCTTTATTGTCATTTCTATGGAAAGGAAGGGATGAGGCAGGACACAGGCAAATTTGAGCAAATTTAGGATTATATAGCTTAAAATCATTTCAGTTGGCTCAGGGTTATAGAGGTGGCCTCTGATCGTCTGGCACCTGGCCCTGGGGTGATTTAGAGCAGGGGAAATGTTCACTTGGTGTCTGAGAGTAAGCTAAAGTGGTTGCAAATATGTGCTTTGGTTGGTTGGTTTGCATAAGAAAGGTGAGTCTGCAGGGCGGGTGGCTCTAGCCGGTAATCCCAGCAATTTGGGAGGCCGAGGTGGATGGATCACCTGAGGTCAGGGGTTTGAGCCCAGCCTGACCAACATAGTGAAACCCCATCTCTACTAAAAATACAAAATTAACTGGCCTGTAATCCCAGCTACTTAGGAGGCTCAGGCAGGAGAAATCGCTTGAATCTAGGAGGCGGAAGTTGCAATGAGCCGAGGTCGTGCCACTGCACTCTTAGGCAACAAGGGTGAACTCTGTCAGAAAGAGAGAAAGATAAAGAGAGAGGGAGAGAGAAAAGAGAAAGAGAGCGAGAGAGAGATAAAGGAAAGAAAAAGGAAGGAAAAAGGAAGGGAGGGAGGAAGGAAGGAAGGGAGGAAGGAAGGGAGGGAGTTTACAGGGGAGCCATTTGCTACCTCTAGGAATTAACTAGCCCTGGGAGAGGTAGTCTCTCCCTGGCCAGCAAGGCCCTCAGGATGTCAAGGCATCACAAAATAAAGAAAATTAAAAATATGATTCAGCAGTTTCCAGATAGCTGAGCACAGGGAAGTTCCTGGAAGGTGGTGCACACTGGAGAGGGCATGGAAGCCCCACGTCCCTTCCCACCTACCTTGCTCTATACGTCTCTTCATCTGTACCCTTTGTAATATCCTTCAAGATAAACTTCTAAATACAAACACTGACAAAAATGCTCTCCAATCACAATTGGAATATCAAAGGACAGGTACGGTGGCTCACGCCTGTAATCCCAGCACTTTGGGAGGCCGAGGCGGGCAGATCACCTGAGGTCAGGAGTTCAAGACCAGCCTGGCCAACATGGTAAAACCACGTCTCTACTAAAAATACAAAAAGTATCTGAGTGTGGTGGCAGATGCCTGTAATCCCAGCTACTCGGGAGGCTGAGGCAGGAGAATTGCTAGAATCCGGGAGGCGGAGGTTGCAGTGAGCCATTGCATTCTAGCCTGGGGACAAGAGTGAGACTTCATCTCAAAAAAAAAGAATTGGAATATAAAAATTTAAGCTATAAATACGGTCTTCACTCCTTATTCCAGGAATCTACTTGTTCTGAAAGCTGGACTGGCTTGAATAAGGCTTTATGGCAATTTCTTGGAGGACCTATCAGGATTTCTATAAAAATTCACTCAAAACTGACCAAAACAAGATGTTCAATAAAGGGATCTCATGGTTAAAAAAATAAAATTAAATCAAGCCAAAACAACAACAGTAAAACATGATTCATTCATCCTTCTATGGAGTTTACTTCATGATAATAAATAGTGATAGTTGTAATTTCTTTCTTTCTCTCTCTTTCTCTCTTTTCTTTTCCTTTCTTTCTCCTTCCTTCCTTTCTCTCTTTCTCTCTTCCTTTCTCTTTCTGTCTTTTTTGACGTGGGGTTGGTCTGGCTGTGTTGTCCAGGATGGAGTACATTGTCTTTTCACAGGCACGATCATGGCACAGCACAGTCTCCAATTCCTGGCTGGGTCTACAGGCCCATACCACCATCCCTGGCTTAATTTCTGCTTACAGTGGCACAGTACGCCAACATGTGGCTTTATAATTATACAACCAGTTCCTTACTAAAGGACATTTGTATTGTTTCTGTGTATTTCCATACTTTTCTGATACAAACATCCTGCAATAAATAACTGTGAGCATGTCTTTCTTTTTTAGGTGGGCTAATTTATTTATTTATTTTTGCTTTTAATCAATGCTTTATTTTTTTAAAAAATTTTTTGTTTCTATAGGTTTTTGGGGAGCAGGTGGTGTTTGGGTACATGAGTAGGTTCTTTAGTGGTGATTTGTGAGATTTTGGTGCACCCATCACTCGAGCAGTATCTACAGAACCCAATTTGTAGTCTTTTATCCCTCATCCCCCCACCAACTTTCCCCGAGTCTTCAAAGTTTATTGTATTATTCTTTTGCCTTTGCATCCTCATAGCTTAGCTCCCACTTATGAGTGAGAACATACGATGTTTGGTTTTCCAATCCTGAGTTACTTTACTTAAAATCATAGTCTCCAATCCCAACCAAGTTGCTGCGAATGCCATTAATTCATTCCTTTTTATGGCTGAGTAGTATTCCATCATATATATATATGATGTGATATATATATCACAGTTTCTTTTCTTTCTTTGAGATGGAGTTTCTCTCTTGTTGCCCAGGCTGGAGTGCAATGGTGTAATCTCGGCTCACTGCAGCCTCCGCCTCCCGGGTTAAAGCGATTCTCCTGCCTCAGCCTCCTGAGTAGTTGGGATTATAGGCAAGCGCCACCATGCCTGGCTAATTTTTTGTATTTTTAGTAGAGATAGGGTTTCTTAATATTGGTCAGTCTGGTCTCAAACTCCCAACTTCGGGTGATCCACCCGCCTTGGCCTCCCAAAGTGTTGGCATTACAGGTGTGAGCCACTGCACCCGGCCACATATCACAGTTTCTTTATCCACTTGTTGATTGATGGGTATTTGGTCTGGTTCCACATTTTTGCAATTGTGAATTGTGCTGCTATAAACGTGTGTGCAAGTATCTTTTTCGTGTAATGACTTCTTTTCCTCAGTAATGGGATTGCTGGATCAAATGATAATTCTACTTTTAGTTCTTTAAGGAATCTCTACACTGTTTTCCATAGTGGTCGTACTAGTTTACATTCCCACCAGCAGTGTAGAAGTGTTCCCTTTTCACCACATCCATGCCAACATCTATTATTTTATGATTTTTTGATTATGGCCATTCTTGTGGGAATAAGGTGGTATCACATTGTGGTGTTGATTTGCATTTCCCTGATCATTAGTGATGTTGAGCATTTTTTCATGTTTGTTGGCCATTTGTATATCCTCTTTTGAGAATTGTCTATTCATGTCCTTAGCCCACTTTTTGATGGGATTGTTTGTCTTTTTCTTGCTAATTTGTTTGAGTTCATGTGGATTCTGGATATTATTCCTTTGTCGGATATATAGATTGTGAAGATTTTCTCCCACTCTATGGGTTGTCTGTTTACTTTGCAGATGGTTCCTTTTGCTGTGCAAAAGCTCTTTAGTTTAATTAAGTCCCACCTATTTTTCTTTGTTTTTACTGTATTTGCTTTTGGGTTATTGGTCATGAACTCCTTGCCGAAGCCAATGTCTAGAAGGGTTTTTCTGATGTTATCCTGTAGAATTTTTATAGTTTCAGGTCTTACGTTTAAGTCCTTGATCCATCTTGAGTTGATTTTTATATGAAGTGAGAGATGAGAATCCAGTTTCATTCTCCTATGTGTGGCTTGCCAATTCTCCCAGCACCATTTGTTGAATAGGGTGTCCCTTTTCTGCTTTATGTTTTTGTTTGCTTTGTCGAAGGTGAGTTGGCTGTAAGTATTTGGGTTTATTTCTGGGTTCTCTATTCTGTTCCATTGGTCTATGTGCCTATATTTATACCAATACCATGCTGTTTTGGTGACTGTGGCATTATAGTATAGTTTGAAATCAGGTAATGTGATGCCTCCAGATTTGTTCTTTTTGCTTAGTCTTGCTTTAGCTATGCGAGCTCTTTTTTGGTTCACATGAATTTTAGGGTTGTTTTTTCCTAGTTCTATGAAGAATGATGGTGATATTTTGATGGGAATTGCATTGAATTTGTAGATTGCTGTAATAGCCTTATTTAGTTTTAAGAATACTGAAGGAAAATTTTTGTGTTGCAGTTGCCATCATTATGTCATCAACCTGATGTTCAGTATATTTCTGTAAAACCCTAAAACAGAAATTCTTAACTAAGTTATCCCATCACTGAAGGCTTCTTTTGGCCAGAGAATTTCTTTAGGTATCAGGTATAGTACTCAAATATCTTTATCAGGAGATGTTTTCCTATCCCAGTCTTCAGAATTCTTATTTCTGGTGCCAGAGGCAATAAGAAGAAAACAGATGATCCAGGAATTAGACTCTCAGTTCAAGGTCACAGGCAGCAGCAGTTCAATCTGCACACACTACATAAAACAAAGAGTCCTTCAGAAGCCCCTGACTCTGCTCCTTGGCTTTTTCCTGAGGAGGAGTCTTGTAAAAATATATGTAACCCTGTGTAATTTCATCCGAACGTTCTCTAGAGAAGATCACTATGATATCTGTGTTCTTCCAAATATACTGGGAAATTACAAACCTACCTACTGAAGTGTGAACTATTGTTATGTCTTAAATTTCCAAGGAAAATATTATTTCATCCAGGACCTGAATGCCTTCCTCAGAGTGGTGTTCACTTTCAATATGATTTTCCACCTTTCTAGCAGCCAGTACATTGGGACTGATTTCATGCCAATCGCAAATGTCTAGAGAGTGTCTTACACTTGGGACTCTTTCAGCTGCATCAACAGAATGGCAGCAACGAAGCTGGAATCCAAGCCTTTTCTCTGTCATCAGTCGTTTCTTAATAGCACTGTCAAAAGGAATCCAGAGGTTGCTCTTCACAGTTTCTATCTCAAAACTGTTTCTCCACACTGTTATAGAGGGCATGCAGAGGTTAATCTCTACAGTGATGACTCTCTAGGTAGGTGTTTCTGCCCAGGAATACTTTCTTATTGACAGTATTTAATAAAATAAATGCAAACACTCAGCCCAACATACACATTTTCTGCCCAGTCCCTCCTTTGTCATAAAGATGAAGGATTATGTCACCATCCACTCTGGCCTTGTAATCAAATTCAAAATGGTATTATACCTTCTTGTGGTTGTAAATTTCACCACTGCAACAGAGCCACAAATGAAGATATTTCCTCACTTGAATTGGCTGGATTCCAAACAGCTGGTCAACTACGACCAACTGGTGAAATCCAAAGCAGCAGCTGATGTATCCATTGACATTCTCAGGACGAAATGCATCTGGACCCGTGTGTGATCTTCATAGCACTCGGATGCTGACCAGAGAGGCTATCATTGCTGCCAAAGAGGGCCCAAATGCCACACATGGTACGGTGGAGCTGCGGGTTCTGTGGGTATGTGAGCAGAGGCCAGGGCTGTGGACTGTTTCCATTGTTTACTTTCAGTACAAGCATCTCTGTATATATCTTTATTCCTTTTTTCTTAGATAAATAGTAGCAACTGTACACATTTTTCTTTACCACAATTTTTTTTTTCTCTGAACAATATATCCTGGAAATCACTGCATAGTTATATGCAGAGATTTTCTGCATTCCTTTTTACAGGTATTATAGTACCCTGTTGTGTGGACATTCTGGTACATTTCAAGAGGGAACAACTGTACTAGGAAAGATTCAAAGCATGAGAAACCTGCAAGAAGAAGTCTTTTATTTTAGCCAAGCTGTGGGTAACTTGAGGGTCGCAGAATAGGCTGAGGAGTCAACAGAGAAGATGGCTGAACAATTACACAAGATTGCTGCTGGCCCTATTTAATAAGCCTCATTGTTCTCTAAGGTGAAGCGAAGCTGAAAGGATTTGAGGAAATAAATAGGCTGTTTCCTTTCACCCATTCTTCCTTGTTTTTCCTACTATTATTCTAGTAGGTTTTAAAGTAAAGCCTGGAGTAAGCCTGAGCGCAGCTGTCTCTTATGGGAAAGTGCCCTGATGGGTATCAGGGAAATCCTGCGTTTGACTTTGTGAGACTCTTCGCCTGATGGTCATTGTTTCTCCTCTGACTCCTAGAATCAACTCACTGGGGCGATGAGGGGTGCCCATCAGAAGTCTCTGAATTGAGTCAAAAAACAATTTAACTCCAGAATCCTATTGTATACTGTATCCCCAAATTCACCCTCCAAGCTATTTCCCATCCTGCATTATGCTTCACCATATTGTACAATAAAACTTCCTAAAGAGTGTTTCAATGAGTACTACATAATATCATAGCCAGTAATATAAACATATGCAAAATCCTCAGTGAAGAGAACAAGAATCAGGGCAAATAGAATGTAGATGTTTGTGCTTGGCATGGTGGCTCACGCCTGTAATCCCAGTACTTTGGGAGGCTGAGGCGTGATCAGCCCCCTTCCTCACCTCTCCTCAAAGAGAAGAGTAGCTATGACTGGTGATATTCAGTTGACCTAGTTTCACAGAGGATAGGATCACTCCCTGTAGTTTAAAAGATTACACATGAAGCCTGTACGAGAAACATTTTGAAATAGTCCTGAAAAATCACAAAAGTAGGATTAAACAAAAATAGAAACACATTCCTTGTTTTGAATAGAACCAATCAACGTAATAAAGTCTCTCCAGGTTCATGTATAAATTTAATGTAATCCCAATAAAAATGCCAGCAAATTTTTTTCCTGGCACAGGATCCTACACTTCATATGGAAAAATAAATAAGCAAGAATACTTATGAACATCTTCAAAAGAAAGAACAATAAAAGGGGACTGGTCTTACTACATATTAAAACTTATTATAAAGATTTGATAATTAAAACAGTGTGGTGTTGGTTCCTGCCTAGACATTCAAACCAGTAGGAATAGTTATGAAGCACATAGGGAAATTTAGCATATGACAAAGGTGGGATCTTAAATTATTGGGGAAAAGATTAACTTTTTTATTTTTTAATTTTTTGAGACAGAGTCTCGCTCTGTTGCCCAGGCTGGAGTGCAATAGCACAATCTCGGCTCACTGCAACCTCCGCCTCCTGGATTCAAGTGTTTCTCCCACCTCAGCCTCCCAAGCAGCTGGGAATACAGGTGCGTGCCACCATGCCTGGCAAATTTTTTATTTTTAGTAAAGACGGGTTTCACCATATTGGCCAGGCTGGTCTTGAACTCCTGACCTCAAGTGATTTGCCCGCCTTGGCTTCCCAAAGTGCTGAGATTACAGGCATGAGCCACCATGCCAGGCCAGAAAAGATTCACTTTTAAATAATGACATTAGCACAACTAGAGTTTTTATGTCCCTAATTTACATTAGGACCAGGCACGGGGGCTCATGCCTGTAATCCCAGCTACTTGGGAGGCTGAGGCAGGAGAATCACTTGAAGCCAGGAGGTGGAGGTTGCAGTGAGCCTAGCTCGCGCCATTGCACTCCAGCTGGGGTGACAATAGCGAAATTCCATCTAAAAAAAAAAATTTACATCAGAATGTACTTCAAACAGATCCCTTATTTCAATGCACAAAAAATGAAAACATAACAGGTTCAAGAAGAAAACATATGAATTTCTTTGTAATCTGGACAAAGGAAAGCCTTCTGAATTATAACTAAAATTCCAGAAGCCATGGAGAAAGATTGATAAATTCAAATCTATCCATTTATATCTACAGCTGTATCTATCTATATATGCACAAACATATATATATATATATGCATAGACTTTTTTTTGAGATGGAGGCTGGAGTGCAGTGGTGCAATCTTGGCTCACTGCAACCTCTTCCTTCCGGGTTCAAGTGATTCTCCTGCCTCAACCTCTTGAATAGCTGGGATTACAGGTGCCCACCACCGTGCTGGCTAATTTTTGTATTTTTAGTAGAGACAGCGTTTCGTCATGTTGTCCAGGCTGGTCTTGAACTCCTGACCTCAGGTGATCTGCCCGCCTTGGCCTCCCAAAGTGCTGGGATTACAGGCGTGAGCCACTGCACCCGGCTGATACGTGGATAGACTTTTGCTTGGCAAAAACATCATAAACAAAATCAAAAGAGATGAAAAAAATGGGAGAAAATATTTGTAGTTTAAATTACACAAAATAGCTAATTTCCATCATAGATAAATAAGTAAAAAAAAAGAAGAGTATTGATGCATGATACATGGAAGAACCTCCAAAATATTATGCTAAGTGAAAGAGTCAGTCACAAGTCTACATATTGTATGATACAATTTATATGAAATGTCCAGAATAGACAAATCTATAGAGATAGAGTAGACTGGTGGTCACATAGGGCTGGATAGGGTAGGGGCAAGGGGCAGGAATGGAGATGACTACTGAGAGGTAAGGGGTTTCTTTTTGGAATGTTGAAAATGTTCCAAAATTATACTATAGCAATGGTTGCATAGCTCCATAAATATACTAAAAACCATTGAATTCTATACTTTAAACGGATGAACTTAATGGTATGTATATCTCAATAAACCGGGCACAGTGGCTCACGCCTGTAATCCCAGCACTTTTGGAGGCCAAGGTGGGCGGATCACGAGATCAGGAGTTCAAGACCAGCCTGACCAACATGGTGAAACCCGTCTCTAGTAAAAATACAAAAACTAGCCAGCCATGGTGGCGCGTGCCTGTAGTCCCAACTACTCAGGAGGCTGAGGCAGGAGAACTGCTTGAACCCGGGAGGCAGAGGTTGCAGTGAGCTGAGACCATGCCACTGCACTCCAGCCTGGGCTACAGACTGAGACTCCATCAAAAAAAAAATCTATCTATATATATTTGTATGTATGTGTGTGTGTGTGTGTATATATATATATATATATATATATATATCTCAATAAAGCTGTTTAAGTATAAAAGATTTTACTGTTCAAGAAGCTGGGTGTGGTGGCTCATGCCTGTAATCCCTGGACTTCGGAAGGTAGAGGCAGGTGGATCACTTGAGGTCAGGAGTTTGAGACCAGCCTGGCCAAAACAGTGAAACCCTGTCTCTACTAAAAATACAAAAATTATCTGGGCATGGTGGTGGGTGCCTGTAGTCCCAGCTACTTGGGAGGCTGAGGCAGGAGAATCGCTTGAACCTCAGAGACAGAGGTTGCAGGGAATGGAGATCACACCACTGCACTCCAGCCTGGGCAACAGAGACAGTCTCAAAAAAAAAAAAAAAAAAGGTTTTTGAAGTAAAATCCTAGTAGGAAAATGGCCCAAACTGTTAAGAGACAGTTCACAGATGATTAAAGGCAAATGTCTGTGAAGTACTTGGAAAAATACTCAGCATCACTTCTTATAAAAGAAATGCAAATTAAAATATGGTCAGCCCTTGGCATCCATGGATTCCACATTTGTAAATTCAATCAACCATGGATAGAAATGACAGTCATGTATTGCTTAATGATGGGGATACATTCTCCAAAATGTGTTGTTAGGCGGCCAGGTGCGGTGGGTCACGCCTATAATCCCAGCACTTTGGGAGGCCAAGGCAGGCGGATCACCTGAGGTCAGGAGTTCTAGACCAGCCTGGCCAACATGGTGAAACACCATCTCTACTAAAAATACAAAAAAAAATTAGCCAGGCATGGTCACAAACTCCTGTAATCCCAGCTATTCGGGAGGCTGAGGCAGGAGAATCGCTTGAACCCGGGAGGTGAATGTTGCAGTGAGCTGAGATCACACCATTGCACTCCAGCCTGGGGGCAAGAGCAAGACTTCATCTCAAAAAAAAAAAAAAAGTGTTGTTAGGCGATTTCACCATTGTGCGAACATCATAGAGTGTACTTACACAAACCTAGATGGTATAGCTTACTACACACATAGGCTATATGGTATAGCCACCATTGTATATGTAGTCAGCTGTTGACTAAAACTTCCTTATGGGTGCATGACTGTATTTGAAAAAAAAATTGTTTGTATTGAATATGTACAGACTTATTTTTCTTATTAGTATTCCCTAAATAATAGAGTATATCAATCATTTGCATAGCATTTATATTGTATTAGGTATTATAAGTAATCTAGAGATTATTTAAAGTATACTGGAGTATGTGCATAGGTTATATGCAAATATTACCACATTTTACATAAAGGACCTGAGCATTCATGGATTTTGGTATTCACAGGAGGTACTGGACAGCGTATATTCAAATACTGTTCTTCCCTTATCAGATTGGCAGTGTTGAGAGACAATCCTTCATGGTGTTTCTATACGTCTTGTGACAGCTTCTGTTCTCAATGTCTTTTGTGCTGCAAACATTCTGGAAGGACAGAGGGTAGATTCCTCTCCTGACCAAGACAATAAAAACAACATTTTCCTCCAGGTCAAAGGTTAGGTAGGTTTTTAGTAGCTCCTTATAAGACTGGGGGTTTCCTAATTTCAGTGTTCTTTAGCTCTGACACAAGCCCACCAGGGCAAGGCATCCACCTTGCAAGGAGGGCAAAAATCTCAGACACCTCACAGTTCTTAGGCAGAAGTACAAAAGCTTGACAACATACGCTGTTGGTAAGCCTGGGGAGAAACAGGTATTTCCACACATTGCTGTTGGGATTGCAAAATGGCACAACTCCCCTGGAAGGAAATCTGGCAATATTTAACAAAATTACATGTTCATCTACTCTTTGATTCAGTGACTCTTCTAGAAATCTAGCTGATACACCTCCACAAATGCAAACTATGATGTACAGATATGATATGCAAATGCAAAATAAGATATGCTATACAGATATGCTATTTGCAATAGGAATGGCTTGAAAACCAGTACAACTACCCATGAATAGGAGACTGATTGAATAAACTAGGGCACATCTACACGCACACACATATTTATGCATATGTATTTTTTCAAAGAAATAATAAACAAGAAATTGTTGAAAATGGAAATGGCTACTTCTGAACAATGGGTGAGATGGGAATAGGGAACAGGGTGAGAGCAAGAACTCTTGGAGTATCTTTCTTTATACAGTTTTAACTTTTCAATCATGTAAATTACTCATATATTCAAAAACCAAAATTAAGTCAAATGGGAAAAAATCAAATTAAACACAAACAGAAACAATTGAACACAAACAGAAACAAATGAACAGACCTGAATATAAAACCTAATCACACAGGGGAAATGATTACTTCAAATAACTTTAGAACATAGAACACTGGCAGTAACATTTTCCAGACACACATTGTAAGGACAAATAAAACTATGTTTTCTGATTTCCATTGTGTGCATGTTCCTGTAGACTGATTTCAAGTCACCAGTGGTTTCACAACTATCTGGCAAGATTCCTGACAATTTAGCAATTGATTCTCATAAGCCGGTTCTATCTGGCTCTAAGAAATCATTGCTTATAGGTACTCTAGTCAAGGTAACAAGCTGTCTGTCAACAAAGCAAAGCATAAATCAAAAAAGATGAAAGAAAATATCTAGAAAAATTATGAAAAGCCTCCATGCAGATTGAAGTGTGACAAACACATAGCTCCAGCTCCTTATCTTCCATGGTCCTCAGGTCTTGGGCTGTCTTCATGCAGTCGTTAGCTTGTTCCTATGGTCTTCAGTGGAAGTTGTCCCCTTCCTGCAGTTTTCTGCTTCTGGATGATTCCTCAGTATTCTCCATTTGAGGTCTCTGATAGCAATGTCCTCCTGATTCAAGAATGGCTAATTTCTCCTTGGTCAAGAAACAGGGATATAGCTGGGCACAGTGGCTCATGACTGTAATCTCAGCACTTTGGGATGCTGACGTGGGAGGATATCTTGAGGGATTGAGGGCAGGTGTTTGAGACCAGCCTGGGCAACATGGCAAGACCCCATCTCTTAAAAAAAAAAAAAATTAGCTGGGTGTGGTGGCGCATGCCTGTAGTCCCAGCTACTTGGAGGCTGAGGTGGGTCATTTGAACTGGGGCGTTTGAGTTTACAGTGAGCTATGATTGCATCGCTGCACTCCAACCTGGGTGACAAAGACCCTGTCTTAAAAAAAGGAAGAAAGAAAGAAGGATGCAAGGATCAATACCCTAGAGTTCAATTGCTGTGTTATTTGTTAGTTAGTGCCTACAAGGTCCTTTCCACTGAGGTAAAGGGCAGTCTTTTTCTGATGTGTCCTTCAGCAGATGAAGCCTCTACATTTTAAATTGTCAATGGTTTTTGTTTTTGTTTTTTTAGATGCAGTTTTGCTATGTTGCCCAGGCTGGAGTGCAGAGTGCAGTAGTAGGATCATAGCACTCTAGCAAGATCCAGTAGCAGGATCATAGCACACAAACTTCCAGCCTCAAGCGATCCTCCCATCTCAGCCTCCCCAGTTGCTGGGACTACAGGTGGGTGCCACCATTCCCTACTAATTTTTTGTTTTTTAAAAATTGTTTGTACACACCATGTCTTGCTATGTTGCCCAGGTTGGTCTCAAACTTCTGGCCTCAAGTGGTTCTCCTGCTTCAGTCTTCCAAAGTGTGGGGATTATAGGTGTGAGCTACTGTTCCTGGCCTGGGATTGTTTTGAGGGATATTTTTGAAAAGGTATTCATATTTCTTGATAAAACAAATAGTTGTTGATATGAGTGTATCAATTCCACTTATGTGAAGTACCTAGAGTAGCCAAATTCATAGTGAGAGAAAGTAGATGGTGGTTGCAAGAGGCTGGGAGAAGGAGGAAAATGAGGGGTTAGTGTTTAATGGATAGAGTTTCAGTTTTGCAAGATGAAAAAAGTTTGGGATGGATAGTGGTGATAGGGGCACAACAGCGTGAATGTACTTAATGCCACTGGACCATACACTGAAAGATGGTTAAAATGCTAAATTTTGTTATGCCTATTTTACCTCAGTTTTTACAAAACCAAGCGTATCACCCCAGTCATAGGCAATATTGGCTATATCAGCTCGTAATAAGACAGTCTATAATGGGAGCAACATTCCCAGGCAGATAAGATGACTAAGTATCAGTTAATAGGTTGAGAATCAATGGGCTAGGCCAGGCACTGTGGCTCACGCTTGTAATCCCAATGCTTTGGAAGGCCAAGAGAGGGAGATCACTTGAGGCCAGGATTTTGAGAGTTAATGGGCTACCTATGGAGTTGACTTCACTGTCATTAAGAGAAAAGGCAATAGTTTGGGTCAAGGAAGTTCAAGCGTTTCTGAAAGTTTAACTGGAGTTTGAGAATTCTATTTGTCCTTTCTATATTACTTGAGATTTGGGAAATTCTGAATAATACAAAGAATGATTGCAACTCATTGAGCAAATAAAAAGCTGAGGCCACAGTGGGGTGTGTGTGTGTGTGTGTGCGCATGTGTGTGTGTGTGTGCGACAGAGAGAGACAGATGGGAGAGTAAAAAAGAAAATGTCTTCTTTACAGGATGTTAGCTAACGAATATAGAAGAAATGACAGAATTAGGGCCAGGTGCGGTGGCTCATGCCTGTAATCCCAGCACTTTGGGAGGCCGAGGCGGATGGATCTCCTGAGGTCAGGAGTTCAAGACTAGCCTGGCCAAAATGGCGAAACCCCGTCTCGACTAAAAATACAAAAATTAGCCAGGCATGGTGGCATGCATTGTAATCCCAGCTACTTGGGAGGCTGAAGCAGGAAAATCGCTTGAACCTGGAAGGCAGAGGTTGCAGTGAGCTGGGATCACGCCACTGCACTCCAGCCTGGGTGACAAGAGCGAAACTCTGTCTCAAAAAAAAAAAAAAAAAAAAAAGAATGAACAGGGATGAAAAAATACAAGTGTTGGCCGGCGTGGTGGCTCATGCCTGTAATCCCAGCACTTTGGGAGGCCGAGGAGGGCGGATCACCTGAGGTCAGGAGTTCGAGACCAGCCTGGTCAACATGGTGAAACCCTGTCTGTACTAAAAATACAAAAATTAGCTGGGCATGGTGGCATGTGCCTGTAATCCCAGCTACTCGAGAGGCTGAGGCAGGAGAATCACTTGAACCTGGGAGGCGGAGGTTGCAGTGAGCCGAGATCGCGCCATTGCACTCCAGCCTGGGTGACAGAGAGAGACTCAGTCTCAAAAAACAAAACAAAACAAAACAAAACAAAAAACCAAAAAAAAAACAAAAAAACAAGTGTCTACATCAGAGTAAAGTACGGGACGTGGCAAAGTGAGCTGCCCTTATACAGTGTAAATGCTATCTAAATAGTTATTATACTGTATCCCTGTATTGTTGAGCATCCCTGTATTGTTAAATCTTTTGATTTCTCATGAGAAGTAGAAAAGTTAAAATTTTATGTGAAAGCTGCCATATTTTGGATATATATGTAGTTAACTAATTCAAATTTGCACACACATGTCCACACACACAAACTGAACATAGCCTTATGCCACATGTGGCCCCCCTTTTGCCTCAGTGTGATCTCTGGCC
This sequence comes from Homo sapiens, assembly GCF_000001405.40. Taxonomy (NCBI): domain Eukaryota; kingdom Metazoa; phylum Chordata; class Mammalia; order Primates; family Hominidae; genus Homo; species Homo sapiens. The sequence continues at coordinate 100,072,550 of NC_000013.11, forward strand.
TCTTAGATAAAAACTCCAAACTCTTTAGAACAGTATTCACTTTCTTTAGGACCTGGCCCTCGCCTATTCCTAAAGACTTGTCTCTAGTATTTTCTCCAGTTGCGTGGTACCATTTGTAACTTGGCAATGCATGTGGCTAGCTTCACGCCTTGCTATGTGGCATGTGGTATTCTCTTTTCACCCAGAATGTCCATCTACCTATGTTTGTTTTTGTTTGTTTGTTTGTTTGCTTGCTTTGAAACAAGGTCTTGCTCTGTTGCCTGGGCAGGAGTGCAGTGGTGTGATCATAGTTCACTGCAGCCCCTATCTACTGGGCTCAAGTGATCCTCCCATCTCAGCCTCTCAAGTCGCTGTGTACTTGGTACAGGTGCGTACCATCATGCTTGGCTAAATTTTTTATTTTTTATTTGTAGAGACAAGGGGTCTCCTTTTGTTACCAAGTCTGGTCTAGAACTTTTGGGCTCACGGGATCCTCCCACCTCGACCTCCCAAAGTACTGGGATTACAGGTGTGAGCCACCTCATCTGGCCTATCTATCTTTTGACTACTTTTTAAGATCCAGCACAAGTGTCTCCTGTTCTGTAGAAGTCTTCCCTGACTCACATGTACATACTGATTACTTTATTTTGTTGCTGCTAAACAGCATAATTTTTATTTTTACTTAAATTGTGTTAATATTGTGATTGAAATATACAGAGAAACATAGAATAATGTAATAACTGTGTACCTACCAATGAGCTCCATTAATTCCTGACACTTTTCCATTCTAACCTCAAGTCTTTTTTTTTTTTTTTTTTTTTTTGAGAAAAAATATTGAAAGCTGCAATTGCAGCCACCTGAAGAGAGGTGGTTTAGCATAGTGGAGTATATGTGCTCTGAACGCCCACTGCCTAGGTTCATCATCCCTGCCCTGTCACTTACTAGCTGTTCACCTTCAGCAAATTGTTTAACCAGCTCATCTGTAAGAGGGGATAATAATAGTATCCATCTTACAGAATTGTGAGGATTAAGAATACATTCAGGTCACTTAGAACGGCCAGTTTCTGGAATAGAGTAAGCATTCAATAAACATTAATAATTAGTATTTTGTCTACTCCTCCTTTATTTATTTATTTATTTATTTTTGAGACTGAGTCTCGCTCAGCCACCCAGGCTGGAGTGCAGTGGCGTGATCTCAGCTCACTGCAACCACCGTCTCCTGGGTTCAAGCGATTCTCCTGTCTCAGCCTCCTGAGTAGCTGGGATTACAGGCACCCGACATCATGCCTGGCTAATTTTTGTATTTTTAGTAGAGATGGGTTTTCACCACGTTGGCCAGGCTGCTCTCGAACTCCTGACCTCAGGTGATCTGCCCACCTTGGACTTCCAAAGTGCTGGGATTTCAGGTGTGAGCCACCATGCCCAAGCCTACTCCTCCTTTTCATCTGAGCAAGAAATAGACTATTTGTAGCTCTTTTAATCTTTTAGGGTACAAACAATCAAGTTTATCCTTTTGCTTGCTTACTCTTTCTAATAAGTGTAGATTAAGGATAAACTTTCCTAAATAACAGTATTTACAAATGTTACTTGTTCTCTCAATGCAGATATGAGTTAAGGGAATCTTGGCATATTTTCTCAAGATCAGTGTTCATAAACTACTACCTGAATTGTTTCTGTGAGAAGAAATGTTACACAGAGATGCCAGGGGACTCAACCATATTCAAGAATTTCCCCAAGATCTTCCATGATTGTTGGGTTCAAATTCTTGGGCCAATAAATTGTTGCCAGGATGAGAAGGTTACTTGACACAAAGAATGGCTACTTAAAGCTTAAGGAATCTCCTGTGGCTGCTATACTGAGAAAAAGTTATGGGCATGGCAGGCGCTCCATAGGCTGTTTAGAAGTGGGCTTCCGTAGAGTGGTACACAACTTGATGCTTAAAATTTGTTTTCAGGATGCTGCTTCGGACTCTTAGGATAAATTTTAAACTCTTTGAGAAAGGGACCGCACCTTTGTATTTCTATTACACTAACTGGAACAAAAGAACTCAATAAATTCTTTTTTTTTTTTGAGATGGAGTCTCGCTCTGTCGCCCAGGCTGGACTGCAGTGGCGTGATCTCGGCTCACTGCAAGCTTCGCCTCCCGGGTTCACGCCATTCTCCTGCCTCAGCCTCCCGAGTAGCTGGGACTACAGCCGCCAGCTACCATGCCCGGCTAATTTTTTTGTATTTTTAGTAGAGACGGGGTTTCACTGTGTTAGCCAGGTTGGTCTCAATCTCCTGACCTCGTGATCCAACCACCTCGGCCTCCCAAAGTGCTGGGATTACAGGCGTGAGCCACCGTGCCCGGTCTTGTGTTTTTTTTTTTGTTTTTGGTTTTTGAGATGGAGTTTCGCTTTTGTTGCCCAGGCTGGAATGCAATGGCGTGATCTTGGGTCACCGCAACCTTTGCCTCCTGGGTTCAAGTGATTCTCCTGCTTCACCCTCCCGAGTAGCTGGGATTACAGGCATATGCCACCATGCCCTGCTAATTTTGTATTTTTAGTAGAGACGGGGTTTCACCATGTTGGTCAGGCTGGTCTTGAACTCCTGACCTCAGGTGATCCACCCACCTCGGCCTCCCAAGTGCTGGGATTACAGGTGTAAGCCACCGTGCCTGGCCTAATAAATTCTTATTGAATGAAGAGAGCTCTCTGGTAATTAGTAATAATAAATGTCTACCATTTATAATTTAGGGTAGCAAGGTAATATCATTCATTTGTAGGCATCTGTATCAGCAAACAAGAGGAATCTAGCTAGTTTAAATATGAATGGAATTTATTAAAGAACATTGACTCAGCTGGGTGTAGTGGCTCCTGCCTGTAATGCCAGTACTTTGGGAGGCTGAGGCCAGTGCAGTGCTTGAGTCCAGGAGTTGGAGACCAGCCTGGACAATATGGCGAAACCTGTCTCTACAAAAATTACAAAAATTAGTCAGGCGTGTTGGTGCATGCCTGTAGTCCCAGCTACTTGGGGGGCTGAGGTGGGAGGATCACTTGAGTCCGGGAGGCCGACGGTGCAGTGAGCTGAGATCGTGCCACTGCACTCCAGCATGGGTGACAGAGCAAGACCCTGTCTCAAAAATAAATAAATTAAGAACATTAATGCACAAGATCTTCAAAGGGCCTAAGAATCAATCTGTAAGTTACACAGCCAGGAAAAAATACCCCACTGCTCCTCCAAGCCCATAGCAAAGACCTCACTGTCATCAGGGCTTGGCATGGACACTGCAGTGGGTACTTGATGCCAGAACCTCTGTCGTTGGTGCTCCTAACAGCTGGAAGCCTCTACTGCTACCCTCACCAGGAAATGGATTCTGTGTTGCAACTGCTTCACCACATTGCTCTCTTGAATCAAGGTCTCTTTCAGACACAGCTACTAGTGCAGCTAGGTCATCTGCCTGCACCAAAACTCCAAGTAAGGAAGACAAAGCAAATTTCTGGCCCTGTCTTTGGAAGAACTCATCACATGGGAAATTTGCCAACATGAGAAAGGTTTTCAGATGATGGTGGATGCCCATAAAACATGACACACATCTTTGACGGCAGCATGATGCAAGTGTTTCTGCAGGCCAGTATCAAACCTCAAAGTGCTGGTTATGGGTCCTTGCTGGAATAACTACAGAAACTGAGGGTAGCATTTCTCTTATTGTAGCTCTAAGAAATACTCAGAAGATAGATGTTCTTATTTAATCACAGAATTATCACAGAGGGTTGGCAGATTGGCACTGTTTCCGGGATTACACTTAGCGTAGTGTTACTCCAGAGCAGAGTAACCCTTGGCCAAATCTGGCCAGTCCTCTGTTTTTATAAGGCCTGCAAAACTACAGTTTTTTTTTCTACATGATTAAAGAGTTGCTAAAGAACAAACAAACGGCCGGGCGCAGTGGCTCACACCTGTAATCCCAGCACTATGGGAGGCTGAGGCGGGTGGATCACGAGGTCAGGAGATTGAGACCATTCTGGCTAACACAGTGGAATCCTGTCTCTACTAAAAATACAAAAAATTAGCCAGGCGTGGTGGCGGACACCTGTAGTCCCAGCTACTCTGGAGGCTGAGGCAGGAGAATGGTGTGAACCCGGGAGGTGGAGCTTGCAGTGAGCCGAGATGGCGCCACTGCACCCCAGCCTGGGAGACAGAGCGAGACTCAGTCTCAAAAAAAGAACAGACAAACATGCAACAGATGTCTGTGGTGCTCCAAGCCTGAAAATCTGTCCCTTTAGAGAAAGTTTGCCAGTCACTGCCCTGGGTGTCCTCCACTGTTGAATTCTTTGAGAAAGAATGCTTGCCACATACTTATATGCCTAGGTTGTTATTCACTGGATAAATACTATTCTTTTTTTTTTTTTGAGGCAGAGTCTCACTCTGTCATCCAGGCTGGGGTGCAGTGGCGTGATCTCAGCTCATTGCAACCTCTGCCTCCTGGGTTCAAGCTGTTAGAAATGCTTGTTCCTCAGTGCCGTAAATAAATAGCACTTGAACATAAATTTAATTTCCTCAGCAAGGCCATTTTTACTTTATGCAGAAAGGGTACACTCACCCGCAGTTTTGCCATGAGAGTACACCAAACAAAGGAGACAAGGACATTCATAACCTGAGGTGTCCACCCTACTGCTGTGTCCGGTTTCCATTGGCTGGAATGGGACCTCACATTCTGTATTTGTCCTGATTGGCTAGCAACTTAGAACTTTTAAAAGAGGCAAAGGCAGAGGAGAACAAAGGAAGGAGGAAGTCACTTGTGGAATGCTGAGAAAAGTAAAAATGAGAGGTGACAGCGTGCTGGCAGTCCTCACAGCCCTTGCTCGCTCTTGGCACCTCCTTTGCCTGGGCTCCTCCCACTTTGGCAGCACTTGAGGAGCCCTTCAGCCCACCGCTGCACTGTGGGAGCCCCTTTCTGGGCTGGCCAAGGCGGGAGCCGGCTCCCTCAGCTTCCAGGGAGGTGTGGAGGGAGAGGCGCAAGCGGGAACCGGGGCTGCGCTCAGTGCTTGTGGGCCAGCTGGAGTTCCGGGTGGGCGTGGGCTTGGTGGGCCCCGCACTCGGAGCAGCCAGCCGGCCCTGCCGGCCCCGGGCAATGAGGGGCTTAGCACCCGGGCCAGTGGCTGTGGAGGGTGTACTGGGTCCCCCAGCAGTGCTGGCCCACCGGTGCTGCGCTCGATTTCTCCCCGGGCTTTAGCTGCCTTCCTGCAGGGCAGGGCTCGGGACCTGCAGCCCGCCATGCCTGAGCCTCCCACCTCCTCCATAGGCTCCTGTGCGGGGGAAGCCTCCCTGATGAGCGCTGCCCCCTGCTCTACGGCGCCCAGTCCCATCGACCACCCAACGGCTGAGGAGTGCGGGCACACAGCGTAGGACTGGCCGGCAGCTCCACCTGCAGCCCTGGTGTGGGATCCACTGGGTGAAGCCAGCTGGGCTCCTGAGTCTGGTGGGGACGTGGAGAACCTTTATGTCTAGCTCAGGGATTGTAAATACACCAATCGGCACTCTGTATCTAGCTCAAGGTTTGTAAACACACCAATCAGCACCCTGTGTCTAGCTCAGGGTTTGTGAATGCACCAATCGACACTCTGTATCTAGCTACTCTGGTGGGGACTTGGAGAACCTTTGTGTTGACACTCTGTATCTAGCTAATCTGGTGGGGACGTGGAGAACCTTTGTGTCTAGCTCATGGATTGTAAACGCACCAATCAGCCCTGTCAAAATAGACCACTCGGCTCTACCAATCAGCAGGATGTGGGTAGGGCCAGATAAGAGAATAAAAGCAGGCTGCCCGAGCCAGCAGTGGCAAACCGCTTGGGTCCCCTTCCACACTGTGGAAGCTTTGTTCTTTCGTTCTTTGCAATAAATCTTGCTACTGCTCACTCTTTGGGTCCACACTGCCTTTATGAGCTGTAACACTCACTGTGAAGGTCTGCAGCTTCACTCCTGAAGCCAGCGAGCCCACGAGCCCACTGGGAGGAACGAACAACTCCAGATGCGCCAACTTAAGAGCTGTAACACTCACCGCGAAGGTCTGCAGCTTCACTCCTGAGCCAGCGAGACCACGAACCCACCAGAAGGAAGAAACTCTGAACACATCTGAACATCAGAAGGAACAAACTCCGGACACGCTGCCTTTAAGAACTGTAACACTCACTGCGAGTGTCCGTGGCTTCATTCTTGAAGTCAGTGAGACCAAGAACCCACCAATTCTGGACACATTTTGGTGACCACGAAGGGACCTTCACTTATCACCAAGTGGTGAGACAATTGCCGAGCGGTGAGACTATCGCCTATCGCCGAACGGTGAGACCTTCGCCTAGCGTTGAGTGGTGAGACCATCGGACCCCTTTTGCTTGTTATTCTGTCCTATCTTTCCTTATAATTCAGGGGCTAAATACCAGCCACCTGTCGGCCAGTTAAAAGCAACTAGCACGGCTGCCGGAATAAAGACACGGGTGTCAGGCTTTCTGGGAAAGGGCTCTCTAACAACCCCCGACTCTTCAGAGTTGGGACCATTGGTTTGCCTAGAATCAGCTTCTGCTTTTCCTATACTTCTGGGCTGAGCTGAGGGTCGACAGAGAGGAAAGCCATGCAGCTCCGAGGTCCTGACAACAAGTTAGTTGACCCTGCGGCCATGAGCAGAACTCTGAAAGGCATGTCGCCCAAGCGAGACTCGCCCATCTATCCTGACCCTTGCCCCCGGGTCCTAATGCCTGCCAGACAAACTTCCTCTCGCCTCTCTTCTCCAAGGCTTGTCCTGCTTCTAAAAATTGCTACCTGTCTCTGGTGCTTTTCTAGTTTCTCCTATAAGAATGATTTCTAGTATAAACTCCAGGACTCTGTTACCTTCTTTAGGTACCAGGGCTCACCAATCAGAAAGACATAATTTTTGCCCAAAGCCCCGTCATAGTGGGGACTACCTGGAATTTTAGGATCCCTCCTCAGACTGATAGGCCTAACAAAGCTATTCCTGAAGCTAGGATATGGGGAGCCTCAGAAAGTGTATCCTTCATATTCATATAAGTGAGGACAAAAGGTGTCACTCTTCCAACCCTGGAGATCCCTGCCCTCCCTCAGGGTATGGCCCTCCACTTCATTTATGGGGCATAACATCTTTATAGGACGGGGTAAAGTCCCAATACTAACAGGAGAATGCTTAGGACTCTAACAGGATTTTGAGAATGCGTCGGTAAGGGCCACTAAATCCGATTTTTCTCGGTTGGTCCTCCTTGTGGTCTAGGAGGACAGGCAAGGGTGCAGGTTTTCGAGAATGCGTCGGTAAGGACCATTAAATCCGACCTTCCTTGGTCCTCCATGTGGTCTGGGAGGAAAACTAGTGTTTCTGCTGCTGCTTCAGTGAGCGCAACTATTCCGATCAGCAGGGTCCAGGGACTGTTGCGGGTTCTTGGGCAGGGGGAGAAACAAAACAAACCAAAACTGCAGGCGGTTTTGTCTTTTAGATGGGAAACACTCAGGCATCAACAGGCTCACCCTTGAAACGCATCCTAAGCCACTGGGACCAATTTGACCCACAAACCCTAAAAAAGAGGTGGCTCATTTTTTTCTGCACTATGGCTTGGCCCCAATATTCTCTCTCTCATGGGGAAAAATGGCCACCCGAGGGAAGTACAAATTACAATACTATCCTGTAGCTTGACCTTTTCTGTAAGAGGGAAGGCAAATGGAGTGGAATACCTTATGTCCAAGCTTTCTTTTCATTGAGGGAGAATACACAGCTATGCAAAGCTTGCAATTTACATCCCACAGGAGGACCTCTCAGCTTACCCCCATATCCTAGCCTCCCTATAGCTCCCCTTCCTATGAATGATAATCCTCCTCTAATCTCCCCTGCCCAGAAGGAAATAAGCAAAGAAATCTCCAAAGGACCACAAAACCCTCCTGGCTATTGGTTATGTCCCCTTCAAGCTGTAGGGGGAGGGGAATTTGGCCCAACCCGGGTACATGTCCCCTTCTCCCTCTCTGATTTAAAGCAGATCAAGGCCGACCTGGGGAAGTTTTCAGATGATCCTGATAGGTACATAGATGTCCTACAAGGTCTAGGGCAAACCTTCGACCTCGCTTGGAGAGACGTCATGCTACTGTGAGATCAAACCCTGGTCTTTAATGTAAAGAATGCGGCTTTAGCTGCAGCCCAAGAGTTTGGAGATACCTGGTATCTTAGTCAAGTAAATGATAGAATGGCAGCTGAAAAAAGGGACAAATTTCCTACCAGTCAGCAAGCCATCCCCAGTATGGATCCCTACTGGGACCTTAACTTGGATCATGGGGACTGGAGTTGTAAACATCTGTTGACCTATGTTCTAGAAGGACTAAGGAGAATTAGAAAAAAGCCCATGAATTATTCAATGATGTCCACCATAACTCAGGGAAAGGAAGAAAATCCTTCTGCCTTCCTCAAGTGGCTATGAGAGGCCTTAAGAAAATATACTCCCCTGTCACCCGAATCACTTGAGGGTCAATTGATTCTAAAAGTTGTTTATTACCCAATCAGCTGCAGGTATCAGGAGAAAGCTCGAAAAGCAAGCCAGGGCCCTGAACAAAATCTAGAGGCATTATTAAACCTGGCAACCTTGGTGTTCTATAATAGGGACCAAGAGGAACAGGCCCAAAAGGAAAAGCGAGATCAGAGAAAGGCCGCAGCCTTAGTCATGGCCCTCAGACAAACAAACCTTGGTGGTTCAAAGAGGACAGAAAATGGAGCAGGCCAATCACCTGGTAGGGCTTGTTATCAGTGTGGTTTACTAGGACACTTTTAAAAAGATTGTCCAATGAGAAACAAGCTTCCCCCTCGTCTATGTCCACTATGCCGAGGCAATCACTGGAAGGTGCACTGCCCCAGAGGACGAAGATTCCCTGGGTCAGAAGCCCCCAACCAGATGATCCAACAACAGGACTGAGGGTGCCCGGGGCAAGCGCCAGCTCATGTCATCACCCTCACTGAGCCCCGGGTATGTTTAACTATTGAGGTCCAGGAAATTGACTTCCTCCTGGACACTGGCACGGCCTTCTCAGTGTTAATCGCCTGTCCTGGATGACTGTCCTCAAGGTCCATTACCATCCGAGGAATCCTGGGACAGCCTGTAACCAGGTATTTCTCCCACCTCCTCAGTCGTAATTGGAAGACTTTGCTCTTTTCACATGCCTTTCTTGTTGTGCCTGAAAGTCCCACACCCTTATTAGGGAGGGATATATTAGCCAAGGCTGGAGCTATTATCTACATGAATATGGGGAACAAGTTACCCATTTGTTGTCCCCTACTTGAGGAGGGAATCAACCCTGAAGTCTGGGCATTGGAAGGACAATTTGGAGGGGCAAAAAATGCCTGCCCAGTCCAAATCAGGTTAAAAGATCCCACCACTTTTCCTTATCAAAGGCAATATCCCTTAAGGCCTGAAGCTCATAAAGGATTACAGAATATTGTTAAACATTTGAAAGCTCAAGCCTTAGTGAGGAAATGCAGCAGTCCCTGCAACACCCCAATTCTAGGAGTACAAAAACCAAATGGTCAGTGGAGACTAGTGCAAGATCTTAGACTCATTAATGAGGCAGTAATTCCACTATATCCAGTTGTACCCAACCCCTATACCCTGCTCTCTCAAATACCAGAGGAAGCAGAATGCTTCACAGTTCTGGACCTCAAGGATGCCTTCTTCTGTATTCCCCTGCATTCTGATTCCCAGTTCCTCTTTGCCTTTGAGGATCCCACAGACCACACATCCCATCTTACGTGGACGGTCTTGCCCCAAGGGTTTAGGGATAGCCCTCATCGGTTTGGTCAGGCCCTAGCCCAAGATCTAGGCCACTTCTCAAGTCCAGGCACTCTGGTCCTTCAATATGTGGATGATTTACTTTTGGCTACCAGTTCAGAAGCCTCGTGCCAGCAGGCTACTCTAGATCTCTTGAACTTTCTAGCTAATCAAGGGTACAAGGTGTCTAGGTCAAAGGCCCAGCTTTGCCTACAGCAGGTTAAATATCTAGGCCTAATCTTAGCCAAAGGGACCAGGGCCCTCATCAAGGAACGAATACAGCCTATACTGGCTTATCCTTGCCCTAAGACATTAAAACAGTTGCGGGGGTTCCTTGGAATTACCGGCTTTTGCCAACTATGGATCCCCGGATACAGCGAGATAGCCAGGCCCCTCTATACTCTAATCAAGGACACCCAGAGGGCAAATACTCATCTAGTAGAATGGGAATCAGAGGCAGAAACAGCCTTCAAAACCTTAAAGCAGGCCCTAGTACAAGCGCCAGGTTTAAGCCTTCCCACAGGACAAAACTTCTCTTTATATGTCACAGAGAGAGCCGGGATAGCTCTTGGAGTCCTTACTCAGACTCGTGGGACAACCCCACAACCAGTGGCACACCTAAGTAAGGAAACTGATGTAGTAGCAAAAGGCTGGCCTCACTGTTTAAGGGTAGTTGCAGCAGTGGCCGTCTTAGTGTCAGAGGCTATCAAAATAATACAAGGAAAGGATCTCATTGTCTGGACTACTCATGAAGTAAATGGCATACTAGGTGAAAAGGAAGTTTATGGCTATCAGACAAACGCCTATTTAGATACCAGGCGCTCTGCCTTGAGGGACTGGTGCTTCAAATACGCACGTGTGTGGCCTCCAACCCTTCCACTTTTCTCCCAGAAAAGTGGACTTAGAAGTCCCCTTCTAAGTCCTTCTAAGACTTAGAAGTCTCCCAGAAAAGGGGACTGAGAAGTCCCCTTAACTAATCCTGACCTTAACCTATATACCGATGGAAGTTCATTTGTGGAGAATGGGATACGAAGGGCAGGTCACGCCATAGTTAGTGAAGTAACCACACTTGAAAGCAAGCCTCTTCCCCCAGGGACCAGTGCCCAGTTAGCGGAACTAGTGGCACTTACCTGAGCCTTAGAACTGGGAAAGGGATAAAGAATAAATGTGTATACAGATAGCAAGTATGCTCATCTAATCCTACATGCCCATGCTGCAATACGGAAAGAGAGGGAGTTCCTAACCTCTGGGGGAACCCCCATCAAATACCACGAGGAAATTATAGAGTTATTGCACGCAGCGGAAAAACCCAAGGAGGTGGCAGTCTTACACTGACAAAGCCATCAAAATGGGAAGGAGAGGGGAGAACAGCAGCATAAGCGGCTGGCAGAGGTAGGGAAAGACCAGCAAGAATGAAAGAGAGAAAGAAAGTCAGAAAGAGAGACAGAGAGACAGAAACAGAGAGACAAAGAGAAGGAGTCAGAGAGAAAGAGGGACAGACACAGAAAGTCAGAGTCAGAAAGAGAGGAAGAGACAAAGAAGTCAACGAGAAAGAGAGATGGAAGTAGTAAAGAAAAAACAGTGTATCCCATTCCTTTAAAAGCCAGGGTAAAGTTCTTTCTACCCAGACAAGGCATATTCTTCTTATGTGGAACATCGACCTATATCTGCCTCCCCACTAACTGGACAAGCATCTGCACCTTAGTCTAAGTCCCAACATTAACACTGCCCCAGGAAATTAGACCTTATCAGTACCCCTCAAAGCTCAAGTCAGTCAGCGCAGAGCCATACAACTAATACCCCTACTTATAGGGTTAGGAATGGCTACTGCTACAGGAACCAGAATAGCCGGTTTATCTACTTCATTATCCTACTACCACACACTCTCAAAGGATTTCTCAGACATTCTGCAAGAAATAATGAAATCTATTCTTACTTTATAATCCCAAATAGACTCTTTGGCAGCAGTGACTCTCCAAAACCGCCAAGGCCTAGTCCTCCTCACTGCTGAAAAAGGAGGACTCTGCACCTTCTTAGGGGAAGAGTGTTGTTTTTACACTAACCAGTCGGGGATAGTATGAGGTGCCGCCTAGTATTTACAGGAAAAGGCTTCTGAAATCAGATGCCTTTCAAATTCTTATACCAACCTCTGGAGTTGGGCAACATGGCTTCTCCCCTTTCTAGGTCCTGTGGCAGCCATCTTGCTGTTACTCGCCTTTGGGCCCTGTATTTTTAACCTTCCTGTCAAATTTGTTTCCTCTAGAATCGAGGCCATCAAGCTACAGATGGTCTTACAAATGGACCCCCAAATCAGTTCAACTAACAACTTCTACCGAGGACCCCTGGACTGACCCGCTGGCAGTTTCCCTGGCCTAGAGACCTCCCCTCTGGAGGACACTACAACTGCAGGGCCCCATCATCGCCCCTATACAGCAGGAAGTAGCTAGAGCGGTCATTGGCCAAATTCCCAACAGCAGTTGGGGTGTCCTGTTTAGAGGGGGGATTGAGAGGTGACAGCCTGCTGGCAGTCCTCACAGCCCTCGCTCGCTCTCAGCACCTCCTCTGCCTGGGCTCCCACTTTGGCGGCACTTGAGGAGCCCTTCAGCCCACCACTGAAACATCTTCAAATAAGGAAGAGGAACAGGCTATGACCTAATGCTTGCTTGGACTAGTATAAGCATGCCAGGGCAAATATTTATGCTAAATTGTGGGAGCTAGGAACATAAAGTACATTGATTTATTAAAGCTAGCAGATATTTAAGAATGTTAGCACAGGTCTTTGAATAAATTTTGCTTCTAAGAGAAGTTACTATTTATTCCTAATTAGATGGGGAGGAAAGTCTTTGAAGAAGAACCTCTACTTTACCTTCTTTTTTTTTTTTTTGAGACAGAGTCTCCCTCAGTCACCCAGGCTGGGGTGCAGCAGCGCGATCTCGGCTCACTGCAAGCTCCGCCTCCCGGGTTCACGCCATTCTCCTGCCTCAGCCTCCCGAGTAGCTGGGATTACAGGTGCCCGCCATCATGCCTGGCTAATTTTTTTGTATTTTTAGTAGAGATGGGGTTTCACCGTGTTAGCCAGGATGGCCTCGATCTCCTGACCTCGTGATCCGCCCATCTCGGCCTCCCAAAGTGCTGGGATTACAGGCGTGAGCCACTGCGCCCGGACTAATTTTTGTATTTTTAGTAGAGACAGGGTTTCCCCATGTTGGCCAGGCTGGTCTCAAACTCCTGCCCTAAGGTGATCTGCTCACCTGGGACTCTCAAAGTGCTGGGGTGAGAGGTGTGAGCCACCGTGCCTGGCCATTCTTGATATTGTTAATGTATGTTTTTATTCTGAAAAAGGTTTTTTGTTGTTTATTTATTTATTTTTGAGACAGAGTCTCACTCTGTTGCCCAGGCTGGAGTGCACTGGTACAATCTTGGTTCACTGCAACCTCCGCCTCCTGGCTTGAAGATTTTCCTGCCTCAGCTTCCTGAGTAGCTGGGATCACAGGCACGTGCCACCATGTTTGGCTAATTTTCGTATTTTTTGTAGAGCTGGGGTTTCACCATGTCGGCCAGGCTGGTCTCAAACTCCTGACATCAGGTGATCTGCCCACCTCGGCCTTATAAACTGCTGTGATTATAGGCATAAGCTACTGTGTCTGGCCTAATTGTCCTCTACTAATACTGTATTAGGCTGGGAAGACTAACTGCTCTAGCAATCCTCAAATCTCAATGGTGTAAGAAAATAAAAACTTTATTTTTTGCTCATGTCACAGTTCGGTGCAGGATAGTGAGAAGGATCTGCTCTCCTTTGCTACTGGAGACCCAGGCTGCTTCTGTGTAGTGCCTAGAAAAGTCTCAGCAGCTGAGAGGTGAAAAGGTGTGGAGGATTGCATGGAAGGTTTTATAAGCCAAGCCCAGGGGCTGTTGAATTTCATGTCCTCTCATATTTTATTGGCCAGAAATCAGGTATAGTACCACATCGAACTGGAAAGGAGGCCAGGATATGCTGCCCAATAGGATGCTCCGAGCAGTGCACTCAGAAGAATGAACAGGTTTGGAGACAGTCCAAGTCTGCTGTGTCCTCAACTTCCTTGGGGGTATTTTCCTTACAATCTATAACTTTTTTTTTTTTTTTTTTGAGATGGAGTCTTGGTCTGTCGCCCAGGCTGGAGTGCAATGGTGCAGTCTCAGCTCACTGAAACCTCTGCCTCCCGGGTTCAAGTGATTCTCCTGCCTCAGCCTACCGAGTAGCTGGGATTACAGGGGCCTACCACCATGCCTGGCTAATGTTTGTATTTTTAGTAGAGATGGGGCTTCACCATGTTGGCCATGCTGGTCTCGAAGTGCTGACCTCGTGATCTGTCCGCCTCGGCCTCCCAAAGTGCTGGGATTATAGGCGTGAGCCACTGCTCCCGGCCACAATCTACAACTTCAAATGGAAAAGGCAAAGATAAATATTAGTCCTCTATCAGTAAGGACACACATGTAGCTGCTGTAACAAAGGCAAAACAAAAAAACACAATGCAATAACTTAAACAAGATACAGTATTTTTCTTGCTTGCATAAAAATCTGAACAAAGCACTCCAGGGTTGACGTGGCGGCTCCACAGAATCAGGCACTAAAGGCTCCTGGTATATTGTTTTGTCTCCCCGATCACCTAACTTCCTTCTTATCATCTGAGATGACAACTTTACCTCCACTGTAGTGTCCACATTCTGGCAAACTGGAAAGAGGAGAAGGGCAAGTGGAAAGCAAGCCTTTCCCTTTAAAGGTATAACCCAAAAGTTGTCTATGTCACTTGTGCTTATGTCCCATTGGCCAAAACTTAGTAACCAAATCTTGGTAAGCACCCTTGCTGCAGTGGGAGTTGGGAAATGTAGATCTTTGTTTAGGTAAGAAAGAAGAGGGCATGGAGGGCACAGTCCTTACATTCCAGACCTTAGTCATGGCGCTACACCTCGTTGTAAGGGAGGCTAGCTATTGCAGCCTTTCGCTGGGTGGCCATGTACCCAGCTAGATCTCAGGGGCACTCTTACTAAAGTAATGCATGGAGAATGGATAGCATGAGAAGCAGTTTCTGCTACAAGTGCCTTTCATAAAAAGAACTCCTATAAGAAAAACAAACAGGGCCTAAGGAAAACTAATCCAAAGGGTAAAACATGGGGAAAAGACAAAAAACAAAAGAAAAAAGAAAAGCAAGTTTCCCAGGTAGAAAATGAATGAAGACTGAGGTACATAAGTGAGAAGTCCTGTAAAATTGATAATCCTTTTCATTTTGTCACAAAAGTCCCTACTTACATTCTAAAATTCCATTAAATGTCACCTTTCTGATATCCCCATTTTATTTCTCTCTCTTTGGGCATTTACCATGCTGTAGTGTACTCTAGGCCATTCCTAGCTTTGTAACTCTCTCAAGGTGACTCTGCAGGAGATGCAAAGTAGTTAAGAGGAGAACCCCCAATACTGATGTGTTTATAGGTGAGGTGGTCTGATGTCTTAGATTTGCTTTAAAATATTCCTGCACAAAATAAAAAGGGGAATAGATGAAACAAGATTGACAAAATGTTGATTCATTGACGCGGTGTAATGGGTATCTGGGTGATCATAGTACAATTTTATCTCTTTTGTATATATTTTAAAATTTCCATAATATAGCAAAACATGAGCCCAGTCCCTCAAGGCAGCCAGATTTGGGTTCAAACCCTAGTTTGACCTTTTACTCGCTGAGTGACTTTACCCTGCTACAGCTTCAGTTTCTCCAAATGGAAATAATATATACTCCATTAAGGTTCTTGTAAACTCTCAAGTAAGAGGGAATCTGAGGCTCTAGCACACGGCCCGGCCCTTAATAGTTGTACTAATTTTTATTTTATTTTTCGAAACGGAGTTTGCTCTGTCACCCAGGCTGGAGTGTAGTGGCATGATCCGGCTCACTGCAACCTCCACCTCCAGGGTTCAAGCAATTCTCCTGCCTCAGCCTCCTCCCGAGTAACTGGGATTACAGGAGTGCGCCACCACGCCCAGCTAATTTTTGTATTTTTTAGTAGAGACGGGGTTTCGGCATGTTGTCCAGGCTGGTCTCCAACTCCTGACCTCAGGTTATCCTCCCGCCTCGGCCTCCCAGAGTGCTGGGATTACAGGCGTGAGCCACTGCGCCTGGCCAGTAGTTGTACTAACAAGGGTTTCTGCTTGCGAGCAACAAAGACTGACTCTAGTTGTGGCTAATTTCTTTCACACACACATATTAAGTGCCAGAGGTAGGACTTGAGCTCGGATCTCTGATTTCCAGACCTAGAACTTTTTATGTGTTATTACAGTCGTTAAAAACCTTACCTGGATTTGTGCTTTGCAATTTACGCTTTCGAACATGCAGGAATGTAGTTTGGGCATTTGTCTGGAACTTCGGATTCTCGGGACTCCAGGGTGGCCAAGGCGCGGAGGTGACTCAATGACATTGACCGGCCTGGATGCACGTGGGTTGCTGAGCCGATGCTGGGAAGGTACGGGGTTTGCCCGGTGCAGGCCGCCGGAACTCACGCACGCCCCTGTCTCTCTCACTCCTGGGGTCGGCTCTGGCCGGTGGCCTCCAGCTCAGCTAGCGGCCGGACGCGCAGCCCGCCGACTAGCCCTCCAGGTCCTAGCGCGACTCCCGGATCCCGGATCCGGCGGATCTGGCCGACCACTCACCCTCCCCTTTCCGCAAGTTAGGGGGCGGGGCATCGGGTTTCTGGCTCGTGATTTGCCGGAGCTCCTGCGCTCCCCTTCTCCACCCCCTCCGGCTGTGTGAGAGGTCAGCAGAGGGGCGGTCTGCGGGGACAACAATGGCGGGGTTCTGGGTCGGGACAGCACCGCTGGTCGCTGCCGGACGGCGTGGGCGGTGGCCGCCGCAGCAGCTGATGCTGAGCGCGGCGCTGCGGACCCTGAAGGTGAGGAGCAACGGGGCCTCGCGGGTCCGGGCTTCACTGGGCTTCTAGCCGTGCCGCCTCTGGGCGGCTGGCGCCGGGAGAGCGCTGGCTGGGTCCGGCTGCCCCCGCGCCCCGGTTCCGCATCAGCTACACCGCTTGCTTTCCTCCCTCCCGGAGTTCGCGTGGCAGCGGGCTCAGGAGGCATCCCTCGTTGCAGCTGTTCCTCGCGGGGATCCTGCGGAGCAGAGAGGCCTAGGGCAGAGGCAGTTGGGTGCCCGCACGCCCTCCGAGGCGGCTGATGGCTTTGGGCAGGCATATTGCTCGAGGTCTGCTTCCAGGGCCCCGCGGCATTGGCTTTGTCTTAAGCTTTCCAGGGTGTCTTTTTAGGTGTCCTTATAGTTTCCGTGTTCTGTTGCCTCTTTCCAGCATTTTTGAAGGGACACTGTGAACTGTTGCTTAAGTAGTGTTAGGGTTGTGAGTTTGTCTTATCTTTTAAAGTATTATACCATGTCAGGACTGCCAATAGATTTTACGTTTCATTTGAAAGCCTGTTTTAATTGTATGACACCCCAGTCTACTGTGTACCAAATGCATCCCGTGAACTTACTTTCCTTTTCGGTATAGTGGTGAGCCTGATTTTGGCACTGTTCTAAACACATTTCATGACTGTTCTGTATACCTAGGCTGTCATGATGGCAGATTGACAAACAGGTTGGAGTGCTTGTGTGTGCTTCTGAGCTCTGTCTCCAGTCAATGTCGAGTCTGTCGTTAATTCTGGGGCACAGACCACCTAACCTACTTTATAAGGTTTGTTGAGGCACTTGAACACATTCTTTAAAATGAAGGTCCCCTGAAAACCATCTGTCAGCTGGTTCAGTGTGCTTGTTAAACTTCCTTTTAAAAAATAATTATTAAAACATTGCCACATAACTTGATTTATAGTCATTTAATTTTAGACGTTGAAGACACTTTAGAGACGACCTGCCCCATCCTACTCTTTAAAGAGGAGGGAACCGAGCCCCAGGTGGGCAGTATGAGAGCTGGAGCTTATCGACATGGAAGTGAGTGGCACCTATGTTTGTTTTGTGTCCAATTCAGCGTGCGGACTTTCACTGTTTTCTGTGTTCCCATACAGTTTAGTGTTCTTTAATCTTTATCATTCTGTTCATCTGTGTTGGCCACTTCAATTGCAGCTGTAAGACTTATGCATTTACATAGGAGGCAAGTTAGTATGGTGTAAAGTGTGGGCTTTGGGGTCAGGCGCATGAGGCTTTGTATATTGGACAGGTCTCTTCCTTGGGCGTCAGCTTCGTCCTTGTAGCTATTTTTTTCAACAAATATTTACTGAATATCTCCTGTCTTCCACTTCTGGGGAATGAATATGGTTTCTGCTTTCTTAGAAATTTTACTCTAGTAGGGAGACTGTAACAAGTGTAAAATGGTATTAGGGGAGATGCCCGGGTGCTATAAGAAAATAAAATAGAGGGATTTGACCAAGCCAAGATTTTGAATTCTGTGTTCTAGATACTGTTCTGTTGCTTTGCTTGAACTAATTTATTCAATCTCACAACAGTCGTATGTCCCCCATTTACAGAAGATGAAAGTGAGGCACTGAGTGTTAATGTGACTTGCTCGAAGCTATAGTGCCAATAAGTGGCAAACAGGATTTAGAACTCCAGAACCTGTGCTCTTAATCATACTATGCTATCTACGGTAAGGGAGTGTTTTCCTTTGGAACTGAAAATTGAGACAAGTTTTGAAGGATGAAGTGACCTTTTCTAACAAACAGAGATGAATGTTATAGGTGAGAGAGCAGTGTATGCAAAGGTCCTGTGGCCAGAGGGAATGACAGGTTAGAAGAACTGAAAAAAGCCTACAGAGGCTCTGATGCAGAGAGTAGATGGTGTTGGGGAAGCTGGCAGGAGTCAGACCATCTGGCTCTTATAGATCACATTATGAGGTTTGGTGTTTGTCTTAGAGCAGTGGGAAGACATTGATGTTGGAGGTGGGAGGGATGACACTGACATTTTAGATTGGAGAGGCTGAGAGGAAGGCTGTTACTGTACTTACTGTTGTACACTTGTTATACACTTACTGTGTAATACATACGCTTTGATGATTCTTACCTGGTTTTTTCCTTTTAATGTGTTGGCAGAGACTGCATCTTGTCTATTTCTGTGTTCTTAGTACAATGTTTGACACAATAGGTGCTGAATGTGTAACAATAGAGTAGCATTATGTTTGTGCCGGTAAAGAATTCCTCCTTGGGGTGGGAAGCATCTCTGAAGTTCACTATCACTCTAGGGGAACTTGAGCTGCTGCTTAGCTTCTCTCTGCGCTTCTCTTCTATGAACTTGAAATATGCTCTACTGAGTCTGTTTGAAGCTGAATCTTTTGAAGATTTTAACCCCTCCCATCCCTCCCTCCACCTCTGCAAACCTTTTGGTTGGTTGAAAAGCAGCCAGCTAACTCTAGGGTCTAGTCTAGAGAATTCTGACCATTCTTTTAGCCAGTCAACAGAGTTTATTTATTTTTAGGGTATATGTAGAGTTCACCTTTTAGTCTTATTTGTTTTGTGTATCAGCTTTTTAAGCACATTCTGTTTTAATGCCTAGTTTTTTCTTCTGCGTAAATGTTTTCAGTGGCTCTAGGATGTTGGTTTTATGGTAATTGCTATAGTTATTATTGAACTCTTATATGCCTTGCATGATTTTTCTTTGCTTTTCTTTTTTTTTGAGATGGGGTCTCGCTCTGTTGCCAGGCTGGAGTGCAGTGGCGCGATCTCAGCTCACTGTAACCTCCACCTCCTGGGTTCAAGTGATTCCCTTGCCTCAGCCTCCCAAGTGGCTGGGACTACAGGCGCACGCCACCACCACCGGCTAATTTTTTTTTGTATTTTAGTAGAGATGGGGTTTCACCATGTTGGCCACCTCGATCTTCTGACCTCTTGATCCACTGCCTTGGCCTCCCAAAGTGCTTGGAATTACAGGCATGAGCCACCGAGCCCAATGGTGTGATTTTTCATATATCTTTTATCCTTATAACAACTAGGTAAAAAATCCCAATTTTACAGTAGAGGAAACAAAGCTCAGGGCAGTTAAGTAGTTGCTTAAAAGCACAATTGGCTGAAGTAGAATTTGAACCTTAGATAATATGATTCTGAAGGCTTTCTTTTCTTTCTTCCTTTTTTTTTTTTGAGATGGGGTCTGGCTCTGTTGGCCAGGCTGGAGTGCAGTGGCATGATCTTGGCCTACTGCAGCCTCTGCCTCCTGGGCTCAAGCCATCCTCCCATCTCAGCCTCCCAAGTAGGTGGGACCACAGGCACGTACGACCACACCTGGCTATTTTTTAATTTTAATTTTTATTTTTTGTAGAGATGGGGTTTTGCTATGTTGCCCAGGCTGGTCTCAAACTCCTGAACTCAAGCAATCCACCCACCTCAGCTTGCTTTTCTAATTACAAATTGTCTCATTTGAATCATGGTCTCATTGTGTGATGCATTCATGAAATTTGAATGTTTAAGCCCTGTGTTACTTGACATCCATTATTTTCTTTTGTAATCAGTAAATATGGAAAAGAATGTTTAGGCTTATATGAATGCTTTAGAATTGCCTGGAGGTTAATGTTTCCAACATGCTGATAAATTTCTGACAAATCATTTGGGAAAAGAAATTTCTGAGATTATTACAGAAACTAGTTTCTGGTGTAAAAAAATGTTTATAGACATTTATATATTTATACATCTACCATTTGGATTTTATTCTGTTCCTGAGAGGTTCAGAACAGAGGTAAAAACTGCTCTAGTCCTTTTCTAAGAGGAAAAGATGTGACATTTTTGATGAAGAGTGAGGGAAAAGGATTTGTTTAAATGATTCCAAACTTTAAAAAATGTAGGTGGGAGAACAAGGATGAAAAAGGAATTTGGGAAGAAACACTTTTTTGGTGGGGCTGGAAACATAGTGTTTCATTGTAGGTATCTGGAGTTAGATGCCCGCAGGAGCCATGCTGAGGTGCTGGGTATCAGTGGCTGGCTTTTGGGCCAGGGATACGAGGCTAGAGTTAGAGTTAGAACTGTGAGCCCTGACGGATATAGTGAGTCAGTTAATATTTAATTGAATAAATGCTTCGTTTTATAACCCTAAATTAGGATTTGGAAGAAGGAAGAAGAGACAAGAGGAGTTAGAGGTATGGTTTGAGAGGAGCCAATGTAGTGTAGTGTTACCAAACCTAGGAAAGAAATTTCAAGAAGTAGTTAGCATTCATTCATTCATTTGTCTAGAGATCTAGCTCTTTACTCAGAAAGTGTTTGTGGAGCATTTTCTAAGTTCCAGGTACTATGGCACGTACAGAGGAGAGAAAAAGAAATTAAAACATATTCCCTAACTATGTCCCAGGTGCAGAGAGGCTAAGGAATAAAAGATTGATGAGGCCAGGTGTGGTAGCTCACGCCTGCAATCTCAACCCTTTGGGAGGCCAAAGTGGGAGGATTTCTTGAGCTCAGGAGTTTGAGACCAGCCTAGGCAACATAATGATACCACCCCCACCCCCGGCTATCTCTACAAAATAAAATAAAATAAAATAAAAATTAGCTGGGTGTGGTGGCACGTGCCTGTGGTTCTAGGTACTTGGGAGGCTGAGGAGGGAGGATCACTTGAGCCCAGGAGGTCAAGGCTGCAGTGAGCTGTGATCACACCAATGTACTACAGCCTGGGTGACACAGCAAGACCCTGTCTCAAAAAAAAGTCTGGGCACGATGGCTCATGCCTGTAATCCCAGCACTTTGGGAGGCCGAGGCAGGCAGATCACCTGAGGTCGGGAGTTCAAGACCAGCCTGACCAACATGGAGAAATCCCGTCTCTACTAAAAATACAAAATTAGCCGGGCATGGTGGCGCATGCCTGTAATCTCAGCTACTTGGGAGGCTGAGGCAGGAGAATCACTTGAACCCAGGAGGTGGAGGTTGCAGTGAGCCGAGATTGCACCACTGCACTCCAGCCTGGGCAACAAGAGCGAAAATCTGTCTCAAAAAAAAAAAAAAAAAAAAAAGATTGGTGAAAGAATTTGAAAAGATCTTTGATCTTTAATGAGAATAATTTTAGTAGCATGGTAAAGTGTTATATACAAAAAATACTGCTTTTGACAACACTCTTGAATAGTTGAAGCAAAATTATATTTTTTGAAAGATAAGCATATTGCATAACTTTCAAAAATTAGTTTCTTTATTTTAAATGCCTATTGACATTTTCGTTAGAAAAAACCCCACAAACTGATGGGATCAACCTAATAAGATCAAAATAAAAGTGAATTTAAAGAATGTTGGAAGATACAGTTTTGTGATTTCATTCACAAAACCTAATACAGCATCCATGTGGCATACTCTCTTTGGTATTGTTTGTTTGTTTTTGAGATAGAGTCTCATGTTGTCCAGGCTGGAGTTCAGTGGTGTGATCTCCGCTCACGGCAACCTCCGCCTCCGGGGTTCAAGTGATTCTCCTGCCTCAGCCTCCTGAGTAGCTGGGATTACAGGCATGTGCCACCATGCCCAGCTAATTTTTATATTTTTAGTAGAGACGGGGTTTCACCATGTCGGCCTGGCTGGTCTTGAACTCTTGACCTCAATTGATCCGCCTGCCTCGGCCTCCCAAAGTGCTGGGATTACAGATGTGAGCCACCGTGCCTGCCCTCTCTTTGGTATTATTTATTCAAGAAACCTTTGGTTTCCTAGAGCTGCTGTACAAATGACCATGGACCTGGTGGCTTAAAACAACAAATTCATTCTCCCACAGTACTAAAGGCCTGAAGTCTGAAATCAAGGCATGAGCAGGGCCATGCTTCGCCTGAAGGCTCTAGGGGAGAATCCTTTCTTGCCTCTTTGAGCTTCTGGTGGCTGCATTCATTCCTTGGCTTGTGGCTGCATCACTCCAGTCTCTGCCTCTGTCTTCACATGGCTGCCTTCTCCTCCTCCTTCTTGTGCGTCTTTCCCTCTCATTCTTTTATAAAGACACTTTTCATTGGATTTAGGGCCATGACAAGATCTAGGATGATTTCATCTCAAGATCCTTCACTTTGTTGTATTGGCAAAGACACTTTATCACAGGTTCCAGGACGTGGACACATCATTTTAGGGGCTATCGTTCAATTCACCTACACGTAGTATGTGTCAGACACTACTTAGAGCTGGGAATATAATTGTGACTGTTTCTGCTCCCATTGTGGTTACATTTGAGTAAGGAGACTGTGCTCGTATAAATAGAAAAGTTCAGAGAGTGAGAAGTGCTCTCGAAGGAAAAAGATAGGTTAATGGGATAGAGAGTGGTAGTGGTGCTGAGTTGGGGATGTTACCTAATGAGACCATGGGGGACATTTCTGAGCATGTGGCATTTGGACAGGAAACTGAGCCAGCCAGCCATGTGACTATATGGGGGCCTAGCATTGCAGACCAAGGAGTGCCAGGGCAAAAGCTCTGAGGGGAGATTGCATTTGGCATAATTAAGGGATGAATGTGGCTGCTGTGGTTGGAGTGAACTGAATGAGGGGGTGATCTTAGGAGATGAGGGAGGAGGAGTGGGTAGGCGGGACAGAGTCATCAGGGGCTTGTATTTGGAATTTAGTAATGAGAGTCCAGTTGGAGGCATTTAAGCACATTGAATTTATGTTTGGAAAAGACGTTTGTGACTAGTACGTAGCGAATGTCTTAGTAGGGGTGGGAGTAGGATTGGGGACTGGGGTGGGAAGAGTGGAAACAGAGAGACCCATCAGGAAGCTGTTGTAGAAGACCAAGCTAGAGATGATGGTAACTTGTGCTAGGGCACTGGAGTTGCTGAGAACTGGTCAGACTTGGAATGTATTTTGGAGCTAGAGCCAGTATCTTGCTGTGGGGTTTGAAGGCAGATACAGATGTACCTCATATCTTGGCTTTATTGACCCTGCAGATACTGCTTTTTTTTTGTTGTTTTTACAGATTGAGGGTTTGTGGCAACCCTGCTTTGAGCAACTGTATTGGTGTCATCTTTCCAATAGCACATACTTACTTGGTGTCTCTGTGAAACATTTTGATAATTTTTTCATTATTACTATGTCTGTTATGGTGATCTGTGATCAGTGATCTTCGATATTCTTATTGTAAATATTTTGGGGTGCCGTGAACCACGCCCATATAAGTTGGAGAAACATAATTGATAAATGTGTGAGTTTTGACTTCTCCAAGCAGTTATTCCCCTATGTCTCTCCCTCTCCTCAGGCTTCCCTAATTCTCTGAGATACAACAATATTGAAATTAGGCCAATTAATAATCTTCTAAGCGTTCTAGTGAAAGGAAGAGTCACACATCTCTCACTTTGAATCAAAAACTAGAAATCATTAAGCTTAGTGAGGAAGGCCTGTCAAAAGCCAAGATAGACTGAAAGTTGGGCCTCTTGTGCCAAATTGTAAATGCAAAGGAAAAGTTCTGGAAGGAAATTAGAAGTGCTACTCCAGTGAGCGCACAACTGATTAAAAAAAGTGAAACAGCTTTATTGCTGATATGGCGAAAGCTTTAGTGGTTTGGATAGAAGATCAAACCAGCCACAACATTTCCTTAAGCCATAGCCTAATCCAGCGCAAGGTCCTCGCTTCAGTTCTGCGAAGGCTGAGAGAGGTGAGGATGCTGCAGAAGAAAACTTGGAAGCAGAGGTTGGTTCATGGGGTTTAAGAAAAGAAGTGAGGCCGGGCGCAGTGGTTCACACCTGTAATCCCAGTACTTTGGGAGGCCGAGGCGAGTGGATCACAAGGTCAAGAGATTGAGACCATTCTGGCTAACATGGTGAAGGATCAGATGATTGTTAGCATTTTTGAGCAATAACTGTTTTGAACAATAATTAATTGGACCTGAACCTACAGTATCTGTAAGGTATGTACAAACAGGGAAAGGAAGGAATTAAGAGTGACTTTTGAAGGGTAGACACACAAGGTCGCTATTGTGTGATTTTGTGTTTATATGCAGTCTCCAGAATAGACTGATCCATGAAGACAGAAAGTAGATTAGTGGTTGCCCAGGGCCTGGAGGAGAGGGGATGGGAGTGACTGCGAATAGTTAAGGGTTGTCTTTTTGGGGTGATAAAAAATGTCCTGGAATCAGTAGCCATCATGGTTCCATGCCTTGTGGATATACTAAAAACCACGGAGTTGTATACTTTTTTAAAAGGGTGAATTTTATGGTATGTGAATTACATCTCAATTAAAAAATAAAAGAATGGTCCGGGTGCAGTGGCTCACACCTGTAATCCCAGCACTTTGGGAGGCCGAGGCAGGTGGATCACCTGAGGTCGGGAGTTCGAGACCAGCCTGACCAACATGAAGAAACCCCATCTCTACTAAAAATACAAAATTAGCCAGGCATGGTGGCACATGCCTGTAATCCCAGCTACTCGGGAGGCTGAGACGGGAGAATTGCTTGAACCTGGGAGGCAGAGGTTGCAGTGAGCCAAGATGGCACCACTGCACTCCAGCCTGGCGACAGAGTGAGACTCCGTCTCAAAAAACAAACAAACACAAATCTTCGAATACTTATGTTAACAAAGTAAAGCAAAGAGGCCAAGGTGGGAGGATCACTTGAGGCCAGCAGTTCAAGACCAGCCTGGGGAAAATAGTGAGAACCCCCCAGCCGCCCAGTCTCTACAAAAAATAAAAAAATTAGTGGGGCATGGTGACATGCATCCATAGTCCCAGCTATTCAGGAGGCTGAGGTGGGAGGATTGCTTGAATGCAGGAGTTCAAGGCTGCAGTGAGCTATGATCCTATCACTACACTTCAGTCTGGGCAACATAGTGAGATCCTGTCTCAAAAAAAAAAAGTACAATGAAGCTAGGTGTGGTGGCAGGGATGTGTAGTCTCAGCTACTTAGGAGGCTGAGGTGGGAAGATCATTTAAGCCTAGGAGTTAGAGGCTGCCATGGGCTATAATTGTGCCTGTGAGTAGTCACTGCAGTCCAGCCTGGGCAAACATAGTGAGACCCCCATCTCTTAAAAAAACAAAAAAAGTAAAATAAGGTGAAATTAATATATTTTACTTAATATATTCAAATATTCAAAGTATTATTTGAATATGTAAATGTAAAAATTCACTAATGAGGTCTTTTACATTTTCTGGGTACTAAGTTTTCAAAATCCAGTGTGTAGTTTACTCTTAGAGCACATCTGAATGTGGCTCGTGGCTGCCATATTGGATGGAACAGCTCTAGGGCACAGATTGTGCTACTAATCAAGTCCCACCTTGAGGTGCTGGGACTGGCCTTTTGAATGCAGTGTTAGTCAGCCCTTGGCCAGGCAGGGTCGGGGGAGCTCTCAGGCTTGATGGAGAGCTGTATAGTTGAGGAACATGGTCGAGATGAGGGTGCAGGTGTGAGCCGTTAGTTGTCAACACAGCAGTTAGAGAGGATCTGAGTGGCCACTGACAACATCTGCTACAGCGGGATGGGGAAGAATGGCCTGGCGGAAGAGTCAAGGGTGGGATGATGGAGCTCTAGAGTTGACATGTA
The DNA here is from genome assembly GCF_000001405.40 of Homo sapiens. Taxonomy (NCBI): domain Eukaryota; kingdom Metazoa; phylum Chordata; class Mammalia; order Primates; family Hominidae; genus Homo; species Homo sapiens. Next base: position 100,098,719 of record NC_000013.11, read on the forward strand.
TAGTTTCCTGGTGCTTGAGCTTAGTACAGAGGCAGAGCCCAGAGAATCTTGAGTCTTGAACATCTCTCTCAAATATTAGGTGTTCAACTTGGCTTTTGGCAGACACTGAAGATTGGAATGGTCTCTAAGATCCTGAAGACTAAATAGTCTATTTGAAAGAAAAGCTGTGCTTCCAGGAAAAAGCCAGACCTAATTAAGTGTCTTCAGAGAAGGGCATGGGCTCTGTTACAATGCATGATGAAATACCGTGTCATAATACATGGATAAGACCTTCACCTGGAATTTTAGAGATGAAGCAAGATGAAGTAAACTAATGTTTACTTTGACCTTGGTGAGATCATTTTATAGCTCCATTAACCCAGTTTTGAGGATAGTTTCTTCTTTGAAGCAGAATGCATTCTGATAATGAATTTATCTCATAATGAGTTATTTAGTATTATTCATCTGAATGCTACTGCGGGTATGTTAACAACAGTAGTTTTGGTTTTGGCAGAAATAGTGTTCAGATTGTTCTTTAAGATATTTGCCAGTGGATTTACCAGTTTTAACTGCCACGTGAGGCCACATCTTGCTTATGAAAGTAGGTGCTATCTAATCTTTTTTTTTTTTTTTTTTTTGAGATGGAGTCTTGCTCTGTCACCCAGACTGGAGTGCAGTGGCGTGATCTCGGCTCACTACAACCTCTGCCTCCCGGGTTCACGCCATTCTCCCGCCTCAGTCTCCCGAGTAGCTGGGACTACAGGCGCCTGCCACCACACCCGGCTAATTTTTTGTATTTTTCGTAGAGACAGGGTTTCACTGTGTTAGCCAGGATGGTCTCAATCTCCTGACCTTGTGATCCACCTGCCTCGGCCTCTCAAAGTGCTGGGATTACAGGCGTGAGCCACTGTGCCCAGCTGGTGCTATCTAATCTTAAGAAAGGATTTTTTTCCAGCCACTGCAAACAGGATTTGTTTCCCTGTTTGCAGTGGCTGGAAGGCATGCATCCAGTTTGTCTAAAAGCCTACCATTTCCCCCGCTTTTTGTGTAAGTTATTGTGTGCTGATGATAATATATGCAAGACTGTGCTAGCCATGTTAGACATTCTCATTTAATCCTCATAGCAGCATTATGACCTAGATAAGTACTATTATTATCCCCAGTGTACAAATGAAGAAACTTTCTATATATCTAGGAAATGTCAGAGCCAAGATTTGAATCCAGGTCAGAATCTGAGTCTAGACCAGAACTCTTATTGACTATATTATTCTCTAATGGTAATTCCCAAGTGGTTCTGGTATAATTTTAAGAAAGAAGGTGACAGTTACATATTTGGATTTAGTTTTCATGTAAAACCTTACATTTTTTGGCACTTTACTGTTTATAAAAACTCATTTGATCCTTTTAATAACTCCCTAGGAAATCAGGGAGGTGTCATCACCTACATTTTGTAGATGGAAACGGGGGCCCAGAGAAATGATTAGCTCAATGACTCACAGCTGAGAGTTGACCCAAGTCTTGTGACTCTGAGGGTCAATGCCACTTCCTATGTGCCAAGCCATTTTCAGGCATTTCTTTTCTATGTGTGGAAAATACAGGAAATCATTATTCCTGTGGGAGAGAACCAGTGGCAATATGTTACTGGGGAGTCATTTTGCACACGCTGACCTCTCTCATTTTGGCTGTGATTGGCTAGCCTTTATAAACAGAATTGATTAAAGTTCTTTCTCAGAACCTTTGTTGCTAGGAAATACCTTACAAAGAATTTTGGACTGGGCGTGTAGCCAGTTTGTTACATGCTTAACAAAAACAACAAACGTTAAAATTCTGTGTAGAGGTCCAAATTAGCAGACTTCTTCAAACGTTTTCCTTCATTTAGAAAATAAACTTTATGTTGTGGCTTTACACAAATGGTCTGAGTGTTGACCTGATTCTTCATTTTTGACCTTCCATGAATGTCTCCCAGGAGGAAACAGGAACAGAGCCTTTATGGGGCTCATTCCAAACCAGTTCAGACTTGTCGTGGGAATGGTTCACATTGGTAGTTGTTCTGTTATAGTTGTGTTTGCTTGTACGAGTTCTACTTCTTCTTTTTTTTTTTTTTGTTGAGACAGTGTTTCGCTCTTTTTGCCCAGGCTGGAGTGCAACGGTACAAACTTGGCTCACTGCAACCTCGGCTCACTGCAACCTCCGCCTCCCGGGTTCAAGCGATTCTCCTGCCTCAGCCATCCGAGTAGCTGGGATTACGGGCATGCACCACCATGCCCAGCTAATTTTGTATTTTTAGTAGAGATGGGGTTTCTCCATGTTGGTCAGGCTGGTCTCGAACTCCCAACCTCAAGTGATCTGCCCGCCTCAGCCTCCCAAAGTGTTGGGATTACAGGCATGAGCCACCGTGCCCGGCCCGAGTTCTACTTCTAGTTACTGGGTAACCGGGAGGCATCTATGCTTTTTACAGCTTTAGGCCACATTATTACAAGTTCACATGTGTGCAAGCTCTGTGGAACAATATCATATCTTTGAGTAGATATTAGTGTTTATCTGGGAATTGCCACTGTTTTTCTTATCTAGAAATAAAAAATTTCAGAAAGCTCTTGACCAATCTGTGGTTAAATCTTATAACCATTACAGCCTCAGCCTGTGACCTTTGAAAAGTTAAAGTCCTTGGGACTCAACTTTGTCATAAAATTGGGGATAATACTCTTGTAACTCACAGTTATGCTTGAAGGAATATATGAGAGATAGTCTTGATCTTTAATAGGGACACAGTAATAATTTCCCGTTCACAGTTCCTTCTTGTTCTTGGTCTTTTACTTGGTAAAGGTTTTATTTTATAAACTATATCTTTTTGTATCTTTTACCTCCACTTTTATACAGAGATTACATTTTTTAAATTAATTAAATAATTAATTAATTTTTTCTGAGGAGTTTCGCTCTTGTTGCCCAGGCTGGAGTGCAATGGCAGGATCTAGGCTCACAGCAACCTCCACCTCCTGGGTTCAAGCAATTCTACCTCAGCCTCCTGAGTAGCTGGGACTACAGGTGTGTGCCACCATGCCCCGCTAATTTTTTTGTGTGTGTTTTTAGTAGAGACGGGATTTCGCCATTTTGGCCAGTCTGGTCGCAAACTCCTGACCTCAGGTGATCCACCTGCCTTGACCTCCCAAAGTGCTAGGATTACAGGCATGAGCCATGGTGCCCGACTCTTTAAAAAATAGTTGTACAAATTTTTCAGTTCATTTAAAAATGTTGCTATAAGAACATTTTGTTTCTTATTTGAGTCGTTATCATCTTAGAAAGTTCTAAGAGGTGGTACCTGTTGGTTGCCTTTTGCTGGTTTTTTTCCTCCATTTTTTTCCTTCTAGCTTTAACAGTGACTACTGGGAAGTTCTCTCTCTGTCTCTGTCTGTCTCTCTGTATCTCTCTATCTCTTTTCTTTTTCTCCTTTCTTTTCTCTCTTTTCAGTGGGGTCTTGCTCTGTTGCCTAGGCTGGAGTACAGTGGTGTGATCTTGGCTCACTGCCACCTCAAACTCTGGGGCTCAAGTAATACTCCCACCTCTGCCTCCTGAGTAGCTGGGATTCCAGGCTGTACCACCGTGCCTGGCTTAGTCACTTTTCTTAATGTTTTTAAGCATTAAGATACGCTTTCTTCACAAACAGTTCAATGAATGAGAAATATCCTTGATTACTGATATTGCTTTTTCATATTTATCAGCCAAACCACTTCTGTACCAGAAAATGTGAAATAAGAAATCATGCTGAAGACATCAGCAAATATAAAAAGAATATTTTATTATGTTCTGGCCACTGTTAAATTTGAAGCTCCTTGAGACCAAGACTCTCGTTTTGTGTTTTTAAAAGTTCTGTGTGGTCTGTGACATTTCTGACCCTGCTCTATCCTTTTGAATGATCAGAAAGGCTTTCTTCAAATTTGCTTGGCCCCTCGACAATTCTTGTTTTGCTTTTCTGGAGATCGTTTTGATGCTTTTGGTTTCTCTTACATACCAAGGGGCTGTGTCTGTAGATATGATTTCCCTTTTGTAATTATATTTATGGTATATTGCCTAGAACTACATTTATTGATCAGACACGTTCGCTAGAACCTAACTGGAAGAAATATCCTGAAAAAATGTTCTAAAGCCCATCAAGTATTTGCAATTTATTTTGCTTTCCTTTTTTTGTAGCATGTTCTGTACTATTCAAGACAGTGCTTAATGGTGTCCCGTAATCTTGGTTCAGTGGGATATGATCCTAATGAAAAAGTAAGTATTTAAAAGATATTCTCAACAACTAAATTAAACTTATCATGGTTTTACTTTCTCGTCTCCACACTGTGTTCAGTGGACAGATGAGATTTTGTTAAGGCTGTGTGGTCATTGATCACTCTAGCATTGTGTGTTTCTATAGGTGCTCAGTCTTTAGGTATTCTGTTTTTCATTGTGGGCCACAGTCTGAATCTTTTTAATTTTGTATTTATATCTTTAGCAAAAATTGAATGCATTTACAATGTGTTTCCTTTGTTTCCAGCAGAATAACTAAGAAAACATTTGTTCTTAAAGACTGGGCATTTGAGAGATTTAATTAAACTATTGAGTTTTTCTTTCATTTACTTAATACTTTTTTTTTTTTTTGAGATGGAGTCATGCTCTATCACCCAGGCTGGAGTGCAGTGGTGTGATCTAGGCTCACTGCAACCTACGCCTCTGGGGTTCAAACAATTCTCCCACCTCAGCCTCCTGAGTAGCTGGGATTACAGGCGCCCACCACTGCACCTGGCTAACATTTATATTTTTAGTAGAGATGGGGTTTCACCATGTTGGCCAGGATGGTCTCGAACTCCTGACCTCAGGTGATCCACCTGCCTCAGCCTCCCAAAGTGCTGGGATTTCAGGCATGAGCCACCGTGCACCTGGCCTCATTTACTTAATATTTATATTATTTATTTATTTATTTGTGAGATGGAGTCTTGCTCTTTTGCCCAGGCTGGAGTACAGTGGTGTGATCTTAGCTCACTGCAACCTCCGCCTCCCGGCTTCAAGAGATTCTCCTGTCTCAGCCTCCTGAGTAGCTGGGATTACAGGTGCGCCCCACCACGCCCGTCTAATTTTTGTGTTTGTAGTAGAGACAGGGTTTCACCATGTTGGCCAGGCTGGTCTCAAACTCCTGACCTCAGGTCATCCGCCTGCCTCGAGCTCCCAAAGTGCTGGGATTACAGGCGTGAGCCACTGTGCCCGGCCTATATGATTCATTTAGATTGAAGGTAATTTTGTGTATTATAAATTTCAGGACAAGGGGTTTCTAATTAAAATGCTATTACAATAATGTTTGAGCCTTGTAGGGACTAGAAGAAGTGATTGGAAATAAAATATGGTTTCATGCCTTCATGGCAATGAAGGCATCGAAGTGGGCGGGAGTTTTGGTTAAGAAGGGATTGTTCAAGGTGAGTGTCATCAAAATACAACTGACAGGAATGATTATTTGAGAATGACATGTCTGAGGTATCTTCTGAATCATGTGCTGAAGTGCGCAATACTGCTTTCCAGATTCTTTTGAATCTGGAGGCCTGGAGGAAGAAAGAGTCTACATATCTTCAGTTCAGTAGAAATACAATGTGAAACACAGTTGCAGGGTGATATGGTTTGGCTCTGTCCCCATCCAAATCTCATCTCGACCTGTAATCCCCATGTGTTGAGGGAGGGAGGTGATTGGATCATGGGGGCAGTTTCTTCCATGTTTTTCTCATGACAGTGAGTTGGTTCTCACAGGATCTTAAGATCTTACAAGTGTTTGGAAGTTCCTCCTTTGCACTACTCTCCCCTGCTGCCTTGTGAAGAAGGGTCCTGCTTTCCTTCTGCCATGATTGTAAGTTTCCTGAAGTCTCCCCAGCCATGCGGAACTGGGAGTCAATTAAACCTTTGTTTATAAATTACCTAGTCTTGGGTAGTATCTTCATAGCAATGTAAAAACCAATTAATACACAGGGCAAATGTGATTTTCAATTTTCCTTTTTATTTTTTATTTTTGAGATGGAGTCTTGCTCTGTCACCCAGGCTGTAGTGCAGTGGTGTGATCTTGGCTCACTGCAACCTCCACCTCCCAGGTTCAAGCAATTCTCTTGCCTCAGCCTCCCGAGTAGCTGGGATTACAGGTGTACGTCACCATGCCCGGCTAATTTTTGTATTTTTAGTAGAGACAGGGTTTCACCATGTTGGGCAGGCTGGTCTCGAACTCCTGACCTCAAATGTCTTCCTGCCTCAGCCTCCCAAAGTGTTGGGATTACAGGCATGAGCCACTGCACTTGGCCAATTTTCAATTTTCTAATAGCCACATTAAAAAAAAGTAAACAGGCAAAATTAATAATATCTCAATATCTAAAATGTTATTTAAGTACATAATCAGTATAAAAAGTATTAACAAGACACCTTAGATTCTTTTTTTTGGGCCCTAAGTCTTCTAAATCCAGTGTATATTTTATACCTCTGGCATATCTCAGTTTGATTAGCCACATTTGAAGAGCCCAATAACCTCATGTGGCCAGTGGCTACTATATTGGATAGTGCAGGTCTATTGAATTAGTTATGATAAACTCCCTGTTATGAAAGCTGTAGTTTAATTTAAAATCTTCATCATAGGTGATATGCTTTGGGGTTCATGTATCCATGTGTTGCATTCCAATCTCGAAGTAATCAGCTATCCTAAGTGGCTACACTCTTAAGAGTAATTAACTAACATTTGTTGAAGAGGACACATTATAGAGGGGTGGAATACTACAAACGGTTCAGCCATCTTTCTCCTTATACACTGGTAGCCTTCCTCATTAGCGTAATAACTGTTAGAAGTGGGCTATCAGCCAGGTGTGATGGCCCACGCCTGTAATCCCAGCACTTTGGGAGTTTGAGGCCAGTGGATTGCTTGAGGTCAGGAACTTGAGACCAGCCTGGCGAAACCCTGTCTCTACCAAAAAAAAAAAAAAAAAAAAAACACCCCACAAAAATTAGCTGGGTGTGGTGGCGTGCACCAGTAGTTCCAGCTACACAGGAAGCTAAGTTGGGAGGATCACTTGAGCCCAGGAGGTCAGGGCTTCAGTGAGCCATGATTGCACCACTGTACTCCAGACTGCTAGGCTAAAGGGCAAGATCCTGTCTCAAAAAAAAAAAAAAAAAAAAAAAAAAAAAAAAAGAAAAGAAAAGGAAAAAAAGAAACGGGCTGTCATTGAGGAAGTTTGTGGTATTCGTCAATATATGTTATTGGCTATTGCTTTAGGGAAATTCTGTGCCTTTGTACTATTAGAATGTAATAATGTAGTTGGCCTTTAATTCTTTACCTTTAAGGATAATACTCGGGCCCGATCCCTAAATGAATAGTTCTGTGTTCAGCCACTTGTCTGGTGGATTCTTGATGGCTTAGTCTGACAGTATGGTTAGCCAAAGCAGAATATTGTTTTTTTTTGCCTATGGTGAGCCTTTCTTGCAGTCTTTTGGAGCCTTACAAAGTACAGGAAGTTAAGATTCCACTGAACTTATCAAGCAGGTTTTATGATTCTTTTTATGTCTTAATAAATGTTTGTATGTGTGGACAGAGTTTGGTCTGGTACTTGCTTTCATTATAACCTCATAGTGAAGTTACAGAAATAGCTAACTGACCTCCCACATTGGTGACCACTGGTAATTACTAAAAATAAATAAATGTATGTAACTGTCTGGGTTTAGCACATTTATTTATTTATTTTTGAGACAGAGTCTCGCTCTGTCACCCAGGCTGGAGTGCAGTGGCATGATCTTGGCTCACTGCAACCTCCACCTTCCGAGTTCAAGCGATTCTCCTGCCTCAGCCTCCCGAGTAGCTGGGATTACAGGCACACACCACCACATCCGGCTAATTTTTTTTTGTATTTTTAGTAGAGATGGAGTTTCACCATGTTGGCCAGGCTGGTCTCGAACTCCTGACCTCAGGTGATCCACCTGTCTCCACCTCCCAAAGTGCTGGCATTGTAGGCATGAGCGACCGTGCCTGGCCCAGGTTTAGCACATTTAAAGAGATACGAGGGATAAAGGTGTAGAAGTGGAATCTCCTTGGAATTCACTTAGCATGTTTCGTCATAAATCCTGAAATCAATTCTGCTCCCTGCTATCTTTGCCATCTCCTTTGCTGTGCCCTTGCCTAAGGTGACTGTGGAGAAACTGTGTTTCCCTCAGTGAGTGATGAATATTCTTTGGCACCTATTCATAGTACAGGTACATGTTCAGACTAAGTTGGTCGCTTCACCCTTCACTTGAGGGCTGCACTTAATCAGACCTTTCTCCTTCCCGGATTCCTGCTGTCCTTGTAACCATTCATTAAATACTGACCTGGTTTGTTTATACCTACTGTCCCAAGTGCAAGTAGACTTGGTCTTTGGTGTAATACATATTTGTTAAATAAATTGATTCTCGTTTGAATCTGTTATTAACTCATTTCTTATTCCACATTTTATCAGTGACTTACATCATGTGCAAATTATCCGGGTGAAATTTAATCATTACTGAAAACGTTATTTTTTTTAACTTGAGTTTTAACAAGCTAACTTGTTGTCTTATGTATGTTCATGAGAATAAGGAAGATTTAACTTATGGTAGCTTGCTTGGATCAAGACCATTAAGTTTCAGTTGGCCTTAAGTTAGTGTGAGCCAGTACAGTACTGTGTTGTTCCTGTCACACTGATGTGAGCTGGCTGGGCTCAGTGGCTTACGCCTACAGTCCCTGCGCTCTGGGAGGCCGAGACACGGGATTCCTTGAGACCGAGAGTTCCATATCAACCTGGGTAACAGAGCAAAACCCCGTCTCTTAAGAAAAAAAAAAGTGATCTTAGGTGTTATTAATAACATAGTGTTTAGAGCTTGCATTGTTATACTCTGATTACATTATATCATGATATTTCTGACATGAATACCTGGATGTGAACTCTCTGACTTTGCCACTAGTGAACTTTGTAAGTGATTTAAGGCAAGTGATTTGGCCTCATCAAGCCTTAGTTTTCTTATTTGTAAAACGGAGATATTATCAGAACTGACTTCGTGGGATTATTATGCTAAATATTGTCATCATAGCCATTACCTGATAGATGAGATAATGCACAGAAGAGATTCATCACAGTGCCTGCTGTATACAAAACGTGTCCTAAGTGTCGGCTGCTTAATGTCCTTAACTGAATTTTGCACATTTGGAAAGCAAGACTCAAAGCCCATGGATAGTGAGTAGCTGGGTGTAAACTCATGCCTGTCCTTTTCCAGAGCTGGTGGACTTACCCATTGTGCTGTATCCTTTCTCAGAAGAGTTGGGCAAGTGACCCAGTGTCCAGAGTTCTGCCGTCATTCCAACAAGTACCCAGTGCAGGGCCAGCTCAGTCCTCTTGGTCTCTGAATGGAGTGTGGTGCTAGCTATGGAGTTAGAGCCTGGGAGAGAGCATCTAAACCTAGGGAAGGGAAAGGAAGAAGGAGGGATAGAGAGAGAATGGGTTAAGAGAAAAATAACAACAGCAAAAAAGATCCTTAGGAAATCTTTTACTTCAGATGACATTATTAGTACAGTTATAGAGCAGCTACTGCCAAAGTTCTTCATTATCTCTTCTGGTACCTGAATTCTCATCTATCTTCAAGGATCCAGGATCCTAATTTATAGTTGTTTTTTCCTGAGTGTCTTCAGGGTGCCTTATGAGTGACTCTCCACATATAGGATCAAGTCCCAGTTCCTTGAATGGCATATGAGTCCTTCCATCATCTGGACTTTTTTTTATCCTAGCTTTATTTGCTACAACTCTCCTAAGCATACCATGCGCTTCAGTCATATTGAGAATTCCTTGTAGTTGCTTAGTGCTACCCTCTTCTTCCAGTGTCACGGCCTTTACACATGCTGTTCATGTGCTCCCTTCTCTGTGTGTAGCATCCTGCACAAAGCCTTATTAGAGCATTTAACACAATTTGTTGTGTTTGTGCCATATTTTACTTTGAAGTTGCCAAATGCACTTGATATTTACCTGTAATTGTTGATGCAGAGGGGCAGTTTTAAGGTTGGGTTTAATTGATTTGTATGCATATTCTTTTATAGGCATAGCCTACCTGGAAGAATATATAGGAGACCAGTAACAGTGGTTGCCTTTTGGGCAGGGACTTGGGTGTCTCTTCAGTGTATCCCCTTTTGTACTTTAAAAATTCTGAATTATATGCATCTATGATTTATTTAGAAGAAAATTTTATGTATGGAAGATTAATTGATATGATTAGTTTTATTGGGTTTTATGCGCTAATTGGTAATACATTAATAGCCCTTAACAGAGAAGATGTGTCAGGTGCAGGTATTTGTTTTGTTATAGCTTTTCCCCAGTTAGACAGATAGGGGCACACTCCTAAATTCATAACAGTCTGGCATGTAGCCCAAAGGGGTGAAGAACAGTAGCCATAGCTAATGCTGAATGAGTATATATTACATGCTAGACATTATTCTAAACACTTTAAGAGTGTTAATTCAAATCATTCTCACAACCTCTTGTGGCAGGTGCTGTTTTTACCCTTATTTTACATACCAGGAAATGAGAGGCAAGAAGGGTGACTTGTTCATAGCAGGACACACAGGAGGAGAACATAGAATGTTGGGAGTTCAGCCTGGGTGGCTTGGCTGCAGACTGACTCGTAATGACCATTCTGCTGCCTGAACAGAAATTAGAATGGGGATTCTTGCTTAATTCTTCCATTGTTATCATGATTTGTTGTATTCGCTGTAACAATTGCTTAATATGTAATTTCTAGGAGTGGTGTTTGTGGTGATTATCAGATGTGGTCTGTTTCACAGTTAATATTAACATCATATTTTAAAACCCATTTAAGAAAGTGTAAACATTGTGTTCTCAGGATATGCTTACTGTTTAAGAGGGGTTTACCATGACCATTTAAATACAGAAAAGTAGATGATTATGCATTCTCAGACCTGAGATGTGAGCAAGGCTCTGAGTGGCTTCGAGTTTTATCACATTAGAAGTTTACCTATTTTTAAGGCAGGGGCTTGGCTCGGGTTGGAGGAGTTAAGACATATATGATGTAAAGGTTAAACCAAGACCTAGCAAGCTTTTTTCACTTCTGAGATTCTGGACTTTTTCCTGTATGTTAAAATACTGCTCTAGGCCGGGTGTGGTGGCTCAGGCTTGTAATCCCAGCACTTTGGGAGGCCGAGGCAGGCGGATCACCTGAAGTCAGGAGTTCGAGGCCGGCCTGACCAACATGGGGAAACCCCATCTCTACTAAAAATACAAAGAAATTAGCCGGGCTTGGTGGTGCGCACCTGTAATCCCAGCTATTAGGAGGCTGAGGCAGGAGAATATGTTGAACCTGGGAGACGGAGGTTACTGTGAGCTGAGATCGTACCACTGCACTCCAGCCTGGGCGACAGAGTGAGACTCCATCTCAAAAAACAAACAAACAAACAAACTGCTCTAGGTTATATAAGAGTACTTTTTAAAAGGTCATTTATAACTCTAACTCTTCTTTTAGAAATATAACTGACACTTTTTTTCTGTAGTTCCGTTGAACTTAAAAATAATTCACAAATACAGAAATTACCGTGTGCTAATGTGTATTACATCCAAATTACTTGGAATGGTGTGTTTTGAAAAACGATTAGCTTGTACAATTTTAGAGTAGGAAGAAAACCTTACTAAATAGCTTTCCATTTGAGTGCTACCAGTTTATGTGGAAATCAAGGCCTACAGAGATTGATTTACTTAAAGTTAAATAGGTCATTAGTGGCAAAGCTGGACTTGGGTTTAGGTCTCTAGATAAACACAGGATACACAACTTCTCTACTGTTTGGTCTCAGCTGCTTCAAAATTTGGTGGTTATTCAAACTTAACATTGGATTCAAATGGTGTAATCTGCTTAGTCTGGGCATTTTTGGATATATGCACAATTAGGTACCTATTCTGAGTTACTGAAAATATGCCCTGTCCCAACAGAGATAGCAGATAAATTATACTTACTTAGTATCAGACTTCCCTTTGAAAACAACTCATGACACTTAGAATTTCCCAGAATTTAGAAAATAAATTGTCAAGTAATTTTGGCCAAAGTGTTTTTTTTGTTTATTTATTTATTTATTTTTTGAGACGGAATCTTGCTCTGTCACCCAGGCTGGAGTGCAGTGGCACGATTTTAGCTCACTGCAACCTCCGCCTCCCAGGTTCAAGTGATTCCTGCCTCAGCCTCCCAAGTAGCTGGGATTACTTGGGATTACCAGCACTTGGGATTACGGGCATGCACCATCACGCCGGCTAATTTTTGTATTTAAATTATTTATTTATTTATTTAGAGATGGAGACTCGCTTTGTCACCAGACAGGAGTGCAGTGGCGTGATCTCAGCTCACTGCAGTCTCCGCCTCCCGGGTTCAAGCCATTCTCCTGCCTCAGCCTCCCGAGTAGCTGAGATTAGAGGCGCGTACCACTAGACCCAGCTCCTTTTTTTTTTTTTTTTTTTTTTTTTTGTATTTTTAGTAGAGACAGGGTTTCACCATATTGGTCAGGATGGTCTCGATCTCCTGACCTCGTGATCCACCCACCTTGGCCTCCCAAAGTGCTGGATTACAGGCGTGAGCCACCGTGCCCAGCCTTTTTGTATTTTTAGTAGAGATGGGGTTTTACCGTGTTGGTCAGGCTGGTCTCGAGCTCCTGACCTCGTGATCCACCTGCCTTGGCCTCCCAAAGTGCTGGGATTACAGGCGTGAGCCACTGCACCCGGGCTTGACCAAAGTCTTTTAGTGTCTGAAATATCATTTGAAGATTTTCTTTTGGCTACAGAATATGTAGATACCCCCATTGTGAATACATTAACCTACTATGCTTTAACAAAGTAATTATAGAACCCGATCATATCAGATGAATTTTGTAGTTCCCTGGTTGTAAACGGTTATACTATTTAATAACCTATTTTAATATTACCCTAAGTATTTATAGTACATTTAATATTACTGTAAGTAATATAGTATTTAATGTTACTCTAGGAAGTAATGTTTATTAGGGTTATATTCAGTGTTGATGTTGGAAAAACTTGGTGTTTTTTGGTCTTAAACCATCGGTTTAAAAGTAACAATTTCTAATGAATGTGTTTTTTCTCTCTTCAGACTTTTGATAAAATTCTTGTTGCTAATAGAGGAGAAATTGCATGTCGGGTGAGTAGAATTTTCGTCTTATTTTCCATTTTACTCTGAAATTATTTATTAAACCCCTTTAAGTGTGAATCACTATTAATAGACATTAATATATTTTAAAATAGGTTATTAGAACTTGCAAGAAGATGGGCATTAAGACAGTTGCCATCCACAGTGATGTTGATGCTAGTTCTGTAAGTATATTTTTGCTTTGTTTAAATCAGGACTTAATTTTGGGTCAAGCAGAAAAAGTGAGACATACAGGCTTTTTTTCTTGGCCTGCACAAGATACATTCAAGTTTAAAAACTGTTTACTTGTTCACTGTTGTGTTAAGCAAAACGACAGTATCACAGTATCTTCTATATGTGCCGTAAGTATTTTCTTTTCATAGCTTTAAAAACTTAGACAGAAAAATTGCCAGGCTGATTGCTGGTCACCAAGTAGATTTAAGCAAAGCATGAGAAAATTTGAGTCAAAGATTAATGAAATGTTTACACAGTGCTCCCTTATGAGAGCACTTTCCCCCAGCATAGCTTCAGTATCACTAAGGGAATGCTACAATTGTTTAACCTTTCCTAAATGCTTCAACGTGTTCAGCTGAAAGTTTGACAAAAATGAAAGGTAGGCTAATGCTAATTGGATACAAACAAAAGAAGGTTTAGCATAAAGCAGATATACTTTTATTTGGTACTTTTAACACAGCAGGCCTTTTTTTTTTTTTTTTTTGGGACAGAGTCTTGCTTTGTTGTCCAGGCTGGAGTGCAGTGGTGTGATCTCACCTCACTACAACCTCTGCCTCCTGGGTTCAAGCGATTCTCCCGCCTCAGCCTCCGGAGTAGCTGGGATTACAAGCACCTGCCATCATGCCTGGCTGATTTTTGTATTTTTGTAGAGACAGGGTTTCACCAAGTTGGCCAGGCTGGTGTTGAACTCCTGACCTTAGGTGATCTGCCTGCCCCGGCCTCCCAAAGTGCTGGGATTACAGGCTTGAGCCACCACACCCGGCCCACAGCAGGGATTTTTTTTAGTAGTAATGTTATGAATGAGTAGAAAAAAATCCCATGGGGAAAGAATGTAAATTATTAAATCTTTATGGCATGAAATATAAGTAGTTGAATACTAATGCAAGCATTGTTTCTCATTGTCTCATACTACTTTTGATAATGGGACCCTTTGGTAGGGTCCATCAGTTAATGACAGGGATATGTTCTGAGAAATGCATCGTTAGGTGAATTCAATATTGTGTGACCATCACAGAATGTACTTACACAAACCTTGATGATACAGCCTAGTACACACCTATATAGTATAGCCTATTCCTCCTGTGCTACAAACCTGTGCAGCACGTGACTGTACTAAATACTGTAGGCAATTGTAACACAATGGTAAGTATTTGTGTATATAAGTGTATCTAAACACAGAAAAGGTACAGTAAAAATATAGTATAAAAGATAAAAAATGGTACACTTGTATAGGGCACTTACTGTGAATGGAGCTTGCAGGACTGGAAGCTGGTCTGGATGAGTCAGGGAGTGATCAAAGGCCTAGGACATTACCGTCACTACTATAGACTTCATAAACACTGTATACTTAGGCTACACGACATTTATAGAAAAATAGTTTTCTTTCTTCAATAATAAATTAACCTTAGCATACCATAACTTTTTTAAATTATAAACTTTTAAATTTTGTCTTTACTCTTTGACTCTTTCTTTTTTTTTTTTTTTTGAGACAGAGTCTTGCTCTGTTGGCCAAGCTAGAGTGCAGTGGTGCAGTCTTGGCTCACTGCAACCTCTGTCTCCCGGGTTCAAGCCATTCTCCTGCCTCATCCTCTCCAGTAGCTGGGATTACAGGCATGTGTCACCACGCTCGGCTAATTTTTGTATTTTTAGTAGAGACGGGGTTTCACCATGTTGGCCAGGCTGGTCTTGAACTCCTGACCTCAGGTAATCCACCTGCTTTGGCCTCCCAACGTGCTGGGATTACAAGCGTGAGCCACCACGCCCGGTTTACTCTTTGACTCTTTCATAATAAAACAGCATAAAATGCAAACACTGTATAACTGTACAAAAATGTTTTCTTTATATCCTTATTTTATAAGCTTTTTTCTGTTTTTAAAGTTTTTTATTTTTCATTTATTTTTGACTTTTTGAACTTTTTTGGTAAAAACGAAGACTCAAATGCACACATTAGCCTAGACCTGCAGAGGATCAGGCTCATCAAGACATCAGTAGGCATGGGATCACATCAAGTTAGAAAGCTTCTACACAGCCAAGGAAACAACAAAATGAAGAGACAACCCACAGAATGGGAGAAGATATTTGCAAACTACCCATCTGATGAGGGATTAGTAACTAGAATGTATAAGGAGCTCAAACAACTCTATAGGAAAAAAATCTAGTAATTTGATTAAAAAATGGGCAAAATGGCCAGGTGTGGTGGTTCACACCTGTAATCCCAGCACTTTGGGAGGCCAAGCGGGCAGATCACTTGAGGTCATGAGTTTGAGACCTAGAATAAATAAATGGATGTTTAACCAGCCTGGCTAAGATGGTGAAACCCTGTCTCTACTAAAAATACAAAAATTAGCCGCGTGTGGTGGCACACATCTGTAGTCCCAGCTACTTGGAGACTGGGGCAAGAAGCTTGAACCTGGGAGGTGGAGGTTGCTGTGAGCCAAGATCGTGCCACTGCGCTGTAGCGTGGGCGACCAGGCGAGACTATGTCCAAAGGAAAATAAAAAGGGGCAAAAGATCTGAATAGTCATTTCTCAAAAGAAGACATACAAATCACAAACAGGTATATGTAAAGGTGCTCGACATTACTGATCATTACGGAAATGCAAATCAAAAGTACAATGAGATAAAATCTTACCCCGGTTAAAACGGCTTTTATCCAAAAGACATAACGAGTACTGGCGAGGATGTAGAGAAAGAACCCTCATATGCTGTTGGTGGGAATGTAAATTAATACAACCACTATAAAGAACAGTATGGAGGTTTCTCAAAAAACTAAAACTATCATATGATCCGGCTGCTAGATGTACATCTGCTTCTAGGTGTACACCTAGCACCAGGGAAATCAGTATATGGAGGAGATATCTGCACTCCCATGTTTATTGTAGCATTTTTCACAATAGCCAAGATTTGGAGGCAACTTAAGTATCCATCAACAGATGAATGGATAAAGAAAATGTACATATGTACGGTACCATTCAGCCATAGAAAAGAATGAGATCTTGTCATTTGCAATAGCATGGATGGAACTGGTGGAGGACATGTTAAGTGAAATAAGCCAGGCACAGAAAGACAAGTTTTGCATGTACTCACTCATTTGTGGGAGCTAAAAATGAAAACAATTGGACTCATAGAGAGAGAGTAGAAGGATGGTTACCAGAGGCTTGGCAGGGTGTATGGAGCGGGAGGGGTGGGGATGATTAATGAGTACAAGAATATAGTTAGATGGAATAAATAAGATCTTGTATTTGATAGCACAACAGGGTGACTACAGTCTGCAGTAATTTGTGGTACATTTTAGAATAATTTAGGGAATAGAATTGGGATGCTTGTAACACAAATAAATGAATGATTTAGATGATGGCTACCCCATTTATCCTGATGTGATTATTATACATTGTATGCTTGTATCAAAATATTTCATGTACTCCATAAACATATACACCTCCTGTATACCCACAAAAATAAAAAAAGACATCACTAGGCAAATAGGAATTTTTCAGCTCCATTATTGGAGCTGAAATGTAGATGCAGTACATTACCGACCAAGCTGTCATATGGCGCATGATTGAATTCTGATCTACAGGTAGACTTTTCAGACTTTGCAAAAGTGGTTTCAAAAGAATTGTTGTTAGGTTTTTCTCATTTGTACCTTCCCTGAAGCAGATGTGGTAGTTTTACATTTTAGAGACTTTTCACCACTTCTGGCTGAAAGCAGTAGGGAATATACCAGAGATTATGATACATAATTTATAATAAAATTTACCAGACCCCACAATGGAAGCAATTGCACACTCAGTCAAAACTTTCTCTTACTATGACCTACTTTAGGTCAATTTCTAGAAAGATACTATAAGTAAAAGCAGGATAATGATGGTGGGAATGTCAAAAGTTTCATTTAAACCTCAACAGTAGGGTCAAATCTGCTATGTGGTTTCTGTTTCAGTCTCAAGGAGGCTGAAAAGGTGAATTCCTGTAACAGCATCTTTTGCATCCTCAGCACGTGATCACAGAGGTTACTATCATAGCTAATCAGCTTTATAATATCAGTAATATGAAAAAGCCATGCTATTCAGATGTATTAATTTTTGCATGTTTGTTTTCAAGAGGTGAGCATTTTAAATGTAACTTGGAGTAAAAAACTTTATAGGCTTTGTATGTTAATTTCACATGTGGAAATGTAAATACTATTCCAGTAGGAAAATACTGCAACAATTGATTGCAAAAGCTATTCATTGTCTATTATAAACAACTAATTTTTAAGGTAATTATGCAAGGAAAAAGATGAATGGATACTGCACATATCAACTAATAAGTCACACAAGGAAGGAAAGCCAGCTAACTTGCAAACAATTAATGTTTGATAGAAAAATGTTGGCTTTTAGAGATGATTATGCAGTTTACCTCTGTTGGTCCCTTCCCTCCAACATGTTCTTCAAAATTGTCTTCAGTATTCTTGGTCCTTCGCTCTTCCATGTGAATTTTAGGATGAGCTGGCCAATTACCCCCCTTCCCCAATTTTTAGATACCATGAACAAGATTTTTATAAGTATAACTTTTGCATGTCTTTTTGTGAACATAATTTTGATTTTTTTTGGGTAAATATCTAGGAGTGGAGTAGCTGGGTCTTAGGGTAGATAAGGAGTTGGCAACCTTTTTTTGTTTGAAAGTAAATACATTTTTGTCTGGATAGCAAATATATTTTAGATTTTGCAGGCCCCTGTGGTCGCTGTTACATATGCTTCTTTTTGTTTTGTTTTGTTTTGTTTTAACAACACTTTAAAAATGTGAAAACTATTGTTAGCTTGAGAGCTGTGCAAAAACAGCCCTTGGATCAGATTTGGCCAGTGGGTAGACAGTATTTTGCTGATGCCTAGAATAAATACATGCATGTTTAAATTTATAAGAAGCTGCTAAATAGTTCTCCTTCATGGTTGTATCATATTTTACTCCCTCCAGAAATGTCTAGGTCAGGGTGCTTTTGTGTCCTTGCCAACACTTGGTGTTTTCAGTCCATTTGATTTTGTGTTTTATTTTTAAGTGGTTGTGAAGCAGTATGTCATTGTGTTTTTAATTTTAGATTTTCCTGATGAATACTGATGTTGAGTACTTTTTTGTGTTATTGGTCATTCATTTATATTTTTTTCTGAAGCATTTCTTCAAACATAATGAAAAAAATTAGAAAAGTAGTACCAGTATATTGGTATCAGTTTACTGTTATATACCAGTATAACGGTATCTGTATACCCTTCACCTAGATTCAGCAATTGTTAACATTTTGGCTTGTTTGCTTTATATTTGTATCCATATGTACATTGTGTGTGTGCATTTTTTTTTTTTTTGGCTAAACAATTTGAAAATAAGTTACAGGACATGGATGAAGCTGGAAACCATCATTCTCAGCAAACTATCACAGGGACAGAAAACAAAACACTGCACGTTCTCACTCATAGGTGGGAATTGAACAATGAAGACACTTGGACACAGGGTAGGGAACATCACACACTGTGTCCTGTTGTGGGGTTGGGGGATGGGGGAGGGATAGCATTAGGGGAAATACCTAATGTAAATGACGAGTTGATGGGTGCAGCAAAACAACATGAGACATGTATACCTATGTAACAAACCTGCACGTTGTGCACATGTACCCTAGAACTTAAAGTATATATATATATGTAAAAAAAGCAGCATTAAAAAGAATCCCCTGGACAGGAAAAAGAAAAAAAAAGAGGCCGGGCGTAGTGGCTCACGCCTGTAATCCCAGCACTTTGGGAGGCTGAGGCGGGCAGATCATGAGGGCAGGAGATCGAGACCATCCTGGCTAACACGGTGAAACCCTGTCTCTACTAAAAATACAAAAAATTAGCCAGGCGTGGTGGCAGGCTCCTGTGGTCCCAGCTACTTGGGAGGCTGAGGCAGGAGAATGGTGTGAACCCGGGAGGCGGAGCTTGCAGTGAGCTGAGATCGTGCCACTGCAGTCCAGCCTGGGCGACAGAGCAAGACTCCATCTCAAAAAAAAAGAAAAAAAAAAAAAAAGAAAATAAGTTACAGACATTGTGGCATTTTACCCGTAAATACTATTCATCTCGCAGTAATAAGTATGGTTTTCTACATATCTATAATACCTTATGAAACCTAAGAAAATAACTCATTATTCTATAATATCATGTAATATGCCTACCACATTCAGGTTTTTCCAGTTGACCCCAGTTGTCCTTTTTAATATTTTTCTTTGATCCACAGTTCAATCAAGGTTCATGAGTTACATTTGTTTATTATACCTCTTTAGTCTCTTAATCTAAAATAGTGCCCCTATTCTCCCTCTTTTTTTGTTTGATTTTTATTATGTTGGCTTTTAGATATTTTGGCTTTGTATGGAATCTATTTTCTCATGAATAGATTCAGATTAAATATTTGACAAGACTACTTCATAAGTGATGTTCTTTCTTTTTTTCTTTTTTTTGTGACAGAGTCTCTCTCAGTTGCCCGGGCTGGAGTGCAGTGGTGAGATTATAACTCACTGCAGCCTGACTTCCTGGGCACAAGCGATCCTCCCACCTTAGTTTCCCAAGTAGTTGTGACTACAGGTGCATGCCACCACGCCTGGCTGATTTTTGTATTTTTTGTAAAGATGGGGTTTCACCATCTTTCCCAGGCTGGTCTTGAACTCCTGGGCTCAAGAGATCCTCTTGCCTTGGCCTCCCAAAGTGCTAGGATTACAGGCGTGAGCCACCGTACCCCAGCCAGTAATGTTATTTTTTTTAATAGTAATATCATAACAAGAGGTTCTTAATGTTGAATTGTTCTGTTGTTATGCTAAGTATGATCATTTGGTTTCATCAGGTCTTCCCATTATAATGGTACATTTTCTTTTTTTTTATTAAATAATTTTTGGGGTGAGTTTTTGAATCCTTGTGAATATTTTGTCCCTCAACCACCTCTCATCTAATGTTTTTGCATCGATAATGAAAATTGCCTGAGCCTGATTACTTTGGTTACATTTGTCTTGTTTGCTGTCTGTGGAGTAAGCTGTTGATTTTCTGCTCCTTTTTGAATCTGCCTGTTTTTATGTATTATCTTTTTTCTTATGTATTTGAGGCCTTTAGTATATTTATTTTTAGCATATTTAATTTAAAGAATCTATCATATTATTGTATTATTTCAAGTTTGTGGGTGTTTATTTCTATTCCTGACTCTTCCTCATAACATATTGTTTCCTCGCATGTTTAAATTTTGGTGTGTGATTCTATGTTTGGTGCTTTTGTTGTTGAATTTCAAGATGGTTTGGGTTATGGATTTGGCCAGGTAGGATAGGTGGTATATTTGTTTCCATCACACCCTCCAGGGTATCACTCATCTGGGACTAATTTTTATATTAAATTTTTGGCATAAAGATTGTCAAATTTTGAAGATAATGGGAAGAACAAAATGAGATTGCACACACACAGATACACACCTGTTGAATAGGCTCATGGTTTCTAATATCTAGAGACATTTTCGTTTACTTTGAACCACAGAGATACGAGCATAGGGTTTATCCTCTCTATTTCGTAGGTTGATTCCTCCCCCACAACCTTTCACTGAGAATGTAATCTTTGAGCCTCCTGGCTTTAGACAGAAGGGTTTCCTTCAAACCTCCAACTCACACGGGATCTGTTTCCTTTCTCTGATCGTTAAAACCCAATCTTCTAGATTATTGAGATTCCCACCTTCACTCTCCAAGACTGGCTCTTGTGGATGCAGACTGATTTTCATTTTTATATTATTTATTTATTTATTTATTTGAGCCGGAGTTTTGCTCTTGTTGTCCAGGCTGGAATGCAATGGCGCAATCTCAGCTCACTGCAACCTCCATCTCCTGGGTTCAAGCGATTCTCCTGCCTCAGCCTCCCGAGTAGCTGGGCTTACAGGCATGCATCACCAAACTACTGAATTTTCAGTAGAGACAGGGTTTCACCATGTTGGCCAGGCTGGTCTCGAACTCCTGACCTCAAGTGATCCACCCGCCTCAGCCTCCCAAAGTGCTGGGATTACAGGTTTGAGCCACCATGCCCAGCCAGATTTTCAGATTACTTTTTTTTTTTTTTTTTTTGAGACAGAGCCTTACTCTGTTGCCCAGGCTGGAGTGCAGTGGTGTGATCATAGCAAACTACAGCCATGAACTCCTGGGCTCAAGTGATTGTCCTGCTTCAGCCTCCTGAGTAGCTGGGACTACATGCACATGCCGTTGTGCCCTGCTTCCTTTTTCTTTTTCATCCCTTGTAGTTTTTTTGTGAGCCAAGCTCTTCATTTGAAGGATGTTTGTTATATTTAATCTAGGTCTTTAGATGTTTCTAAGGAGGATTTGCAGGTTATTTAGTTGGCTTATTGTTGGTTTGTCTTAAAACAATATGACATCCTATTCTTTGTTGAGGAAATTCCCTTAATTTCTTTGAGAAATAAAGACTGATCTAGAGCAGTCTTAAAGTCAGGCTTTCCCTAGGAAAACAATTCATTTATAATGATGAGATTAATGTGCCTGAATCCAGGGGATGAGGCTATAGGGAAGCAGTATAAAATACTCCAATGGGAATTGGTCAGGGCAGGAGAAAGCAAAATGGGAGTTAAGCCTCTTATTAAGTCATGAATTTTTTTTTATGTTTCATTTTCCAGGCCCTAGGAAAGCACGCTTATTATTCTCTGGGAAGATTTGTGGAGAATAGTTTATGAAGAGAAGACAATTCTAGTGCAAGAATGTAACCAGCTGGGATTTTGATTGATATTGCATTGTGTCTGTAGATCATTTTGGAGTGTATAGCTATCTCAACGTTTTTAAGTCTTCCTATCCATGAACATGTGATATTCTTCCATATTTAGGTCACTTGGATTTCTTTCAGCAATGTTTTGTAGTTTCATACTACTATAAGTGTAATTAGTTTTTTAATTTCAATTTTTTAAATTAGTTGCAAGTCTGTAGAAATACAAATGATTTTCATATAATGATTTTGATTCCTGTAAACTTGCTGAACTCTTTTATTAGTTCTAATAGTTTTTTAGTGGATTTCTTAGGTTTTTTTTTTTTTTTTTTTTTTTTAAAGATGGAGTTTCTGTCACCCAGGCTGGAGTGTCGTGGCATGATCTTGGCCCACTGCAACCTCCACCTCCCGGGGGTCAAGTGATTCTCCTGCCTCAGCCTCCTGCGTAGCTGGGGTTACAGGCATGCGCCACCACGCACAGCTAATTTTTTTGTACTTTTAGTAGAGATGGGGTTTCACCATGTTGGCCAGGCTGGTCTCGAACTCCTGACCTCAAGTGATCCTCCCGCTGTGGCCTCCCAAAGTGCTGGGATTACAGGTGTGAGCCACTGCGTCTGGGCCTTAGGATTCTTTTTTTTTTTTTTTTCTCTCTTGAGACCGAGTCTCATTCTGTTGCCCAGGCTGGAGTGCAATGGTGCGATCTTGGCTCACTGTAACCTCCGCCTCCCAGGTTCAAGCAATTCTCCTGCTTCAGCCTCCGGAATAGCTGGGACTACAGGCATCTGCCACCACACCCGGCTAATTTTTTGTATTTTTAGTAGAGGTGGAGTTTCACCACGTTGACCAGGCTGGGCTCAAACTCCTGACCTTGTGATCTGCCCACCTCAGCCTCCCAAAGTGCTGGGATTACAGGCATGAGCTACTGTGCCCGGCCAGGATTCTTTATATAAGATCATGTCATGTGTGAATAGAGATAGTTTTACTTCTTTCCATCTGGATGCTTTTTATTTCATATTCTTGCCTGATTTCTCTGGCTTTAACTTCCAGAACAATGTTGAAGAGGTGAGAGGAGGCATCCTTGTCTTGTTCTTCATCTTAGGGGGAAAGCATTCAGCATTTCACCCTTAAATTTGATTTAGGCTCTGGTATTTTCATAGACTTTCATTATCAGGTGGAAGAAGTTAATTGCTATTCCTAGTTTACTGAGGGATTTTTATCAAGAACAGGTGTTGCATTTTTTCAAATGCTTTTTCTGTGTTTACTGAGATGATCATGTGGTTTTTGTCCTTTATTTATATGGTGTATTGTTACATTAATTGATTTTTTTGGGTGTTAAACCAGCCTTGAATTCCTGAGATTAATCCCACTTGGTCATGCTGTGTAATCCTTTGTATATATTGCTGGATTCAGTTTGTTAGTATTTTATTAATTTTGTGTTCATATTTACAAGAGATATTGTCTGCAGTTTTCTTATGATGTCTTTGCTTGGTTTTGGTGTTAGTGTGATCCTGGCCTCATGAATTGGAAACCTTTCTCTCATCTTCTAGTTTTTTTGGAAGAATTGGTATTAACTTTTCTTTAAATGTCTGGTAGAAATCACCAGTGAAGCCATCTGAATCTGGGCTTCTCTTTGGTTAGTTTTTGATTGTTAAATCTACCTTTTTACTTATTGTAGGTTTTTTCAGATATTCTGTTTCTTTAATCAGTGTCTGTAGTTTATGTCTTTCTACAAATGTGTCCATTTCATCAAAGTTTCTAGCTTATTGGTATAGTATTTTCTTATTTTTATTTTATAAGGTCAGTAGTAATGTCTCCTCTTTCATTCCTAAATTTAGACATTTGAGCCTTCCCTTTTTTCTTGGTCACTGGCCTAGTCTGTTCAGGCTTGTTATGGATTGTCATAGTCTGGGTGGCTTATAAACAACAGGAATTTATTTCTCATAGTTCTGGAGGCTGATAAGTCAAGATTGAGGCACTGTTAGATGTTGTCCCTGGTGAGGGCTCCTTTCTTAGTTTCTTAGTGGAGCCTTCTTGCTGTGTCCTCACATGGTGGAAGGAGCAAGGGAAGGATCTCATTCATGAGGTCTCTGCCACAAGTGTTCTGAAATAGCATTCCAGAAGTACAAGGTGATACAGTTAGTCAAGAGCTATAAATTGGTGGATAGGAAAGGCAAAAATAAGAAGATTGTATTGAGTTTCTAGTTATACAATGAACTGAATAACTCCTTTTCTTTTGAGACAAATTCTCACTCTGTCGTCCAGGCTGGAGTGCAATGGCACCATCTTGGTTCATTGCAACCTCCGCCTCACAGGTTCAAGCATTCTCATGCCTCAGCCTCCCGAGTAGCTAGGATTACAGGTGCCTGCCACCATGCCTGGCTAGGATTTGTATTTTAGTAGAGTTGGGGTTTCACCATATTGGCCAGGCTGGTCTCAAACTACTGACCTCAGGTGATCCACCCTCCTCGGCTTCCCAAAGTGCTGGGATTACAGGCGTGAGCCACTGCACCTGGCCCTGAATAACTCTTTAGAAACAGAAAAAATCTCTGGTGGTTGGTTAAATAGTAAATATAAATAAATCTATAAATTTCCTATATATCAATAAGGTAGAAAATACAACAAGAAATGTAACCTCGTAGAAGCAATGGAAATGATAAAACACTGTATGATGTGAATTTAAAATGAAATTTTTAGGACTTACATGAGGACTTCTTATTTTTGTATAGGGAAACCGATTTTTAAAAATGCTCTTTTCTGTACATTTTCTATTAAATCCTAATATAACAACATAATGGGGGGGGATTGACAAAGAGTAAATATGCAAGAATAGCCTAGATAATTCTGAGGAAAATTGATGGGGAGTAGCCTAACATATTAAAATACATTTTAATACATTGTAAGTCAGCAAGAAGACATAGGTCTATGGAATACATTTGTTAGATTTTAGGCAGTGGGATGATGTGGGAGGATTTTTGAGTTGTTAAAGAGGGTCTCATGAATATTATGTGGATTTAGAAGACAAGGTAATTCTAGGATTGCTTGCCTCTAATTTACTGAGATTTTTAGGTATCTCAGAGAAGATAAGAAATATAAGGAATGAGAAATGTTTAATGGCTTTAGTGACTAGGAGTTTCTAAATGGACACATGGGCCCATTTCATTAGTTTGGTGAATAGTGAGAGCAAAGAATTTGGGAATTTAAGATTGTTGTACTTCTCCAAATGAATGTTTTAAGTATAAAGACTAGTATGTCTTTCCACAAAAATGGTAAAATATATTGTCACATTTATATCAAACTGCTAAAATAAGTTTTGATATTTTTTAAAAAATGAGATCTCATCAGGTTAAATGAAAAGAGTTGAGAATCTTCATTCCCAAAGAGGAAAATGATTCTGTATATCAACAGAATCATTCAACCTTTGACTGTATTCTCTATCTACGTTCCTAAATTGAACCTATCTATACATATTTTGTTGCTTTGTCTGTGTACAGTCATGTTGGATTTAAATGAGAAATATCTGATTTTACCACGTTGAAACAAGAACCTAAAATTAGGGAAGTATTCACTGTGACTCACATCTTACCCAGGCAGCCTGCTGTTGAAAGGATGATCCCTGGTGCGCACTGTAGTCTCAGCCTCAGGATTCTATAATGAGATTGAGTGGGGTTTCCTGTGAGCACTCTGGGGTGATTGACAGTAAGGTGAGGGCAGTCATCACTTTTTATGCCTACCCTTGATGATATGTCCCTGCTGTCTGGGGAGGGACCGAGGACGAATAGGACTTGGTGATGTCTAAGTAATTAGTGTATGTTGGTTCCAGCTGAACAAACTGGAGGGTAATGATCAGGTAAATGGAAATGGAACACATTAATGCAGACTAAGGTATAAAAGACCTTAGGGTTAAACTTTTCAACATTTTATGGGATTATTAGAATATCTTTATTTCATTTTTTATATTTACATGTCTCTGTATATACATACACTTATTTATATTTTTGTCAGTGTATCTTCAGTTTTACCTTAGATGTATATAGAGATGAAAGCAACTTAAATGTGAAAACCTCAAACGCATTTTTTCTCCTTTACATGATTTCAGAATATTTTCAAACTTTTTCTGTTTGGAAAGGAGTTAAGGTTCTTAATTAAACATTTTCTTTTTAATTTCACAAAAATTGTTAATGGACTTGTTTGGAGCTGATGCCTATCACTGATCCTCAAATAGGAGCAAATGACTAAAGTCAGGCTTGGAAAACTTTTTTGGGGTGTTAACTGAAAAGTATCAGGTGACCTTTTATTTGTGTGTGTGTGTGTGTGTGTGTGTGTACTTGAGAATGTTATATTTCAGTAACATTTTCTTAAACTGCCTTTTCTTAGTAAAGGATATTTTAAGATGATGGCTGTCCTGGTCCATGTTTCACAGTTGGTCTTAATTAGATCAGAAATATTTCCAGACATTTAGGTTGCAATAGGAAATCTATAGGATTCTTAATTTATTCTTACAAAAGGTATTTATAGTTGCCATTCTTCAATATTAACTTTCCTTATCAACAGCAAAAAGTCTTACGGCAAAGCCTCTGGAGAGTGACTGCAGTACTGCATTTAATGGGAAGGGAGGAATTGTTTGCCTTAGTATATGGTTTTGAATCTGGGAGTCTGGTAATTAGGTAATCAAAGGGTTTAAAAAATGGCATAATGGCTTTAAAACTTGCTATTGCTCACTTTTCTTATAAAACTTAGCTTTCAGAAATCTTTTTAGATTAAGAATACAATGTACCTACTATGCAAATTTAAAACAATAGACTTTTCATTAAAGAACTAACCAGGAGAAGAAAGCATTTAAGATGTGTAGACATTTCTTTTCCTTTTCTTTTTTTCTTTTATTGTCTTTGGAAAAACTTATTTTGCAGAAACAGTATACTGTATCAATTTTAAGTGTTTTGATTATCTTTGACTTGGCTAAATTATTTTCTCTGCATTTTTGGGTAAAATGGAATAGGATGGGATTCCTGGTAGGTATTTGTTCACATTAATACTATATTTAATTGGAGATCCTGCAGAATAGTAGCAGGAGGCTGAAGAGAATTATTTAGCATTAGCAATGGCTCGTCTGGGAGTTGTGGACTAATCAAGGCGCTGTAGTGTTAGTGGTGGGGATGATGGGAATTATGACGATTATGACATGTAAGCATGTCTGTGTACGAATTGGACAGGCAATGAGTTAATCAAGAAGTATGTTAAATGGCTCCCATGCTGATTCATTATTATCTACCATAGTGCCTGTCAGGTTGTGTATTTAAAAAACACAATCATTGCCAAATTCAATATGTATATGAGCTGAATTCAGCCATTGTTTGCTTTTCCATAAAATAACCTCAGATTTCCTTATATGTATAAAAATAGAAAATTGTGTCAACTGTGCTGTGATTTGTGTTTATAGTATGGTATCTTTTTTTTTTAACAGAGTCATTTAAACCTATGTTTGCTTTGCCCTTTCATATATTCGTGTAAATATTCTCTGGCTTGTTTTCTATGCATAAAGGGTTTGGGTTTGAAAGTGAAATTTATGTGTCTTTACTTTTCAAGATGAAAAAATAATTCCAGTATTTCAGAGACAAATTAATATTTAACACATGAACTATGGACAAATCAAAGCATGAATCTTTTCCACCATCAAAATGCTTGAATTTAAATTGGGGGTGGGGGTGGAAACCTCCTTTGCTGTAGCGGGGGGTCTCTTTGTGCCAGGTAGACAGACCCATTCTGTGCCCAGCATGGTTGGGGTTATCTGTCAGGAAACTATCTATTAGAAATGCTAGAAATGTATGTATTTTGGGGGAATGGAACTAATAAATTGAATTCCTTTTAGAAAATAAATTGAAATGCAGCATAAATCCATGAGCAAACTGGATTATATCTCTAGGCAAATTTAAAGAGTTATTGTACAGATGAACACCATTTTTTTTTATTATTGTGAGCACTGCCAAATTTAATAAAACTTTCTACCAAACTGTGACTTTCATGTATTAACTTAATTAAAGCAGTGTTATGGGTAATACTCAGTGTTAACCTGTGGATGGCTGTTATTGAAATCCATTATCAATGGAGTCAGTATTAGTGGTCAGCAGCATCAGAAGTAAAACTTGCAACCAAGACCCTCCCATGGGTGCTGTGAGCTCAGCAGGTTAAATTGTCAAAAACCAGTAAAGCTTCTTAAAGGACTGATAGCTTAAGCCACCCGGAGTTAAAGGTAAACTAGTCATTCCAGTCAAGATGGACTATGACTTTATTTAGCAGTCAGGCAAAAATTATATTTGGGCAGGATTTATATCAGTATCTTCATGTATGACTTATTCATTTGTATGTTCATGTACCTTGCTATTTAAATTCAATAAAACCATCCAGCTTTTTTTAATCTGTGGGAAGTGACTTGTGGATATTTTCTTTTATAAAACGTTAAGGAGATGTCTTAAGACTTTCTGAATTTTTTGTTAATAACTTATACTGAAGTTACTTTTTACTTATACTAAAATTTTAAATTAAGAAAAAAGTGAAATATTGTATTAATATATCTTTTTGGTTTTGTTTATTTTATAATTTCTGGTAAACTTAAACAACATGGTTTTAAAGGGAATTTATGTATTTCAGTGTAATTAGTACCTGCTGTTATGAAAAAGCACCTAATCATGGATTTATTTTTCTCTAAGCAGCTATTTGGGAAGGATCAGAAGTCCTATCTTACTGAAAAAGCATACATATAATAAAAGATTTGAGGGCCGGGCGTGGTGGCTCACGCCCGTAATCCCAGCACTTTGGGAGGCCGAGGCAGGCGGATCATGAGGTCAGGAGATCGAGACCATCCTGGCTAACACAGTGAAACCCCGTCTCTACTAAAAATACAAAAAGTTAGCCGGGCGTGGTGGTGGGTGCGTGTAGTCCCAGCTTCTCGGGAGGCTGAGGCAGGAGAATGGCGTGAACCTGAGAAGCAGAGCTTGCACTGAGCCGAGATCGCGCCACTGCACTTCAGCCTGGGCGACAGAGCTAGACTCCGTCTCAAAAAACAAAAAACAAAAAAAAAGATTTGATATACAGTTTACCTTATTCTATGTTCCAGTGTTTCTAAGGCCATGACTTAACTCATTTTTACAGCCTCCCTCATTCAGACTCCTTAGTGGAGGGAAAGGACATGATTATTCCAAATAATGCCTCTCACTCATTCAGAATCTATGGTGTACTGGAAAAGCACATAATTACATAAGGATTGAATTACTGTTACTGTTTTAAATTGAGAAAATTGGGGCTTCAAGTATAAAGCCAATCTTCGGGTTGCCAAAGATCACTGGGCTAGTAAGTAGTGGAGCTGAGATTCAAATTATGTGTAACTTCTAAGTTGTACTGTTTCCACTGTGCATGTTGCTTCTCATACTAAGTATGAGGAAAAGTCCCCTCCCACCACAAAACGAAGTGAAGTTTATTACTTTGAAGGCAGAGTTTTTATTAGTGCCTGTTGGAGGCTGGGTACTATGATAGGTACTGGAACTAGAAGAGTGACTGGAAGTGATAGGATTGCTGCTTTAGAGATGGGTATAGAGAAATAAAACATAAATAATTACAAATTGTGATAAGTGTTATGAGGGAAACAAGTTGTTGAGAGAGAATCATGGTTCCCTTCAGTAATAGGGTGCTCAGGGAAAGTCTTGCTGAGGGGTAAAATGTAAGCTGAGAATGATGGATGAGAAGGAGTCAGCCAGCTAGGCAGACAAGACCGCGTGCGCAAAGGCTCTGAGTCACCCCAGTCTGCTTCTGTCCTCAGTACTCTACTATAGAGTTCTTGCTAGTGTGACCACCAGTTTTCTCATGTTAAGTCCAGTGGACATTTTTCAGTCCTCTTCTGTTTGACTTCCCAGAATCTTTTAACACTATTACCCTTTTTCAGACACTCTCATCCTCTGGCTTTGGTGCCATTTTAATCTCCTAGTTTTCTCTCTACTTCTGTGGCCCTCCTCTGTGTCCCCTCTACAGGAATCACTCAAGGTTTGATTGGTGGGCTCTTCTTAAAATTGTTTTATTTTTTGTACTTTCTCTACCCTTACCCTGAAAGATGGCATTCTCTTCCACTTCTGTTTCTGTGGTTTTAATCAACCCTAGACTCCAACTCTGTTTTCTCTCTCTCTGTGACGTCTCTAGTTGAATGTTTTACCACTACCTCAAACCCAGCATTACCCAAACTGAACTTTGATCCTTCGGGCTTCTTGTATCTGAATCCTCCTGCAGAAGCACAAGATGTAGGAATTTATGTTCACCATCATTCTTTCTTTCATTTCTCATTTCCAATTTATGAGCAAGTCCTTTTCATAAATAATTTTGGAATCTAGTCACCTATCTTCACTTCGTTATTGCTTCTTTAGCAAGGTCTTTTAAAATCTTCTAGTGAATCTTTTAATCTTTTAGACTGATAAAATTAATTTCATCTGGGGCAGTTTATCTAATGTGAACTGTTTCAGTTTCTGAAGTTTTGTTTGATAGCGAATGCTTTCTTACTCTGTTTTGGAATTTTAGTTCATAGGCTCTTTTTTCTGGTGAAAGTTAAAAATGTTTATTGCTCTTCATGCTTCATCTTCTCCCTTCCCTTTGCTTCCTTGACCTTCCTCTTCCTCTCTCTTTCCTAGTTTCTCTCTCACCCCGGCCATTGCTGCCTCCCACCTTCTCCCTGACCAGTAGTTTTGTGGGTGCCCCCCCGCCGGCATTTTGGATTCCTAATCTACATCCAGGTCTTATGGTGATAGTTTGGACACATGGCAGATTAGTCCCAGCAGCTTGTTCAGATTTTGACCCTGAAGCTGTGGTTCTGCCTCCCTAGGTCCACAGTCTCCAGGAGTTGTAGTGAGCTGTAGTTGCAGACAATACTTGGTGGCCTCCTCTTCAGGCCAAGGGCAGTTCCTCTTTGGCCTGGTCTTCACCAGTGGCTCTGGCTCTCTTCTCAGTCTTGTGAGAACATTCTCGCCATCTGTACTTTGCATTTGGCACTTCCTGCTTCTGAGGAACCAGCCAGTGGTTAGCATTGTTATGCGTTTTTCTCCTGTTTTGAGTTTGTGAAATGTTTACCATTTATTTCTGCTTACCTGTTTTCTTAGTTTTCCTTTCTGGGTTTTATTGTCATTGTTGTACATTTGAAGTAGAGAGAGCTTTTGAAATATGAACTCACTGTGCCATCCTTTTTTTGTGCTAAATTTATTGAAGTCCACAAAAACCAGAGAAAAATGTCAGATCTCAAAATTGTGTTTTTGCTCAATTTCAAGCATCAATTTATCCAAGTTACCCACTTGATACCTGACTTGCCCTACTTAGCAAGTCGAGGCATTGTTTTGCTGGCTCTGGCACTCTGGCTATAGCCAGTCACTCACCCCACTTGGGATTGCTTCCTTTGCTGCTTGTTCCTGCTGCTGCTCAGTGGCAGCTGCCAAGTTGGAGTAGCAAAGGGAAAAGTTTAGTAGGCATCTTTTAGGAAGACAGAATGCTGTCTGGAGATGGCAGTGGTGGATTTATATCTGAGTCATTCATCTGAATTGGAACCTGTACAAAGGAAAAGAGGTTCTAGCTCAGATAAATAGATATAAATTCATTGTTGCTATCTTCAGGCATTCATTTATTTAATTAGATGCACTGAAAAGCACTCTCGAGGTGTGGGGACAGGGTGTGGTGTATCCAATGGAGAGTTTGTAGAAATTGTTAAGTTGAGGTACAACTGCTTATAAATAGTATTTGAAAATGTCTTATTTTGTAAACAACTGAGTATTTAGTTGATTGCAAATCTTCCTGTAAATCAATGATAGATTAGTTTAGTTTCCGGGTCTATAGTATATTCCTCAAATGGATAGTAGGTATTTTTGTAAAGGGGACTTTATAATTAAATATAGCAAAGTGTCTTCCGTGGACTGTATTAATTAAATGTTACAGATCCCCAGGCTGCACTGATGAAACTCAGCTGGGATGCTCTACATGTGATAGGGAAATTTGGTTTCAAAATTACACAACCTATTTGTGAAGGTTTCGTGTAATTTTTCTTTTCAGTAAGAAGTGTTTCCATGTATCAGTTTTTTTACATTTAAAAAAGTAATTTATTTTCAATTGTGGTAAAGTATACATAACATAAAAGTTTACCATTTTAACCATTTGTTATCAAAAGATGATGAGATCTGTGGAGGAAAAAATGGAGAGCTTTATTTTCTATAGAAAAAACTTGCAGACTGGGGAGGCATAGTTTTCACTAGTGAAAATGTTGCTCTAAAGAGAAAAAAAAAGGGGCTTGGCTTAAGTAGGGAAAGTTCTTGCCCTCATTCTCTGTGAGGTCTGTGCAAACGAAGGATTCAAGCTTGTTCGGTTCAGATTGAACCCTAATCTGGTGCCAGAAGTGTCTCTGTCAGATGTTCCTTCGAAAGGCTGGTGCAGGGGAGGTTTCTGCTGCAATTCTTCTTGGCCCCAGTCACAGGAACTGTTCTGGCTTAAGAACAGTTCTTAATCAAGAGCCGTGATTTCCAAGAACGAAGGGTGGTGACCACTCTTCTCTCACTCTGCTATGGCCGCTTGGACCCATTGTCTAAATGTGGGTATATTAGCCACAGGGAGTGCATCTCATCTGGAGAGCTTGCAGTTTTATTTACAATTTTATTTCACACATTTTTAAGCATACAGTTCAGTAACATTAAGCACATTCACATTGTTTTGCAGGATGAAAAGTTCTGGAAACGGGTGGTGG
Organism: Homo sapiens; assembly: GCF_000001405.40. NCBI lineage: Eukaryota > Metazoa > Chordata > Mammalia > Primates > Hominidae > Homo > Homo sapiens. The sequence goes on from NC_000013.11 coordinate 100,131,593, forward strand.
CGATGGTTTCGCATTATCAATTTTTACCTAGTATGCTTTTTTTTATACAGTGTTTTAAAGTGTTGGAAAAAACTTATGCCTTTACAGTATTTTATTATATTAGCTTATGTTCATTGTATGGGGTTGTAGGCAGTGACAGATACTCAACCTTTAACAAATACCGTTGAGCACTTGTTATGTGAAGATGCTCCACATCTTTTGAACTAGGCAGTTGTGGTTCCTGCACTCTTGTGGCTTCCAGTTCAGTGGAAGAAGCAGACATTTTATAATTACATACATTTATGACATTAGTGTAATGAAAAATTATAGGGTGTTTTGTAAGTGTGGAACAGGAGGATCTGAACCAGCCTGGGGAGTCAGGGAATGCTTTTTTGAGGAATTCACATTTTGGCAGAGACCTGAAGGGGGTGACAAGAGTTAGGTGAAGCTGGGAGAGGACAATACTAGGGCAGAATAGAGCTTGGTAATTTCCAGAAAGTTAGATAGGGCTAATGTACTCTTAAACAGGAGGCCTGCAGTGTTGTTCACAATGTTCACCTATATGTAGTTGTGTTTGTTTTTTAAATTTTTAAAAATTATCCTATAGTAATAGGATACCCATCTTTCATACCCTTCTGTGGATATCAGCACATGTGTAGATTATGTCACTACTAGCACAATCAGAATGCAGAGTAGTTCCATTACCCCTCAGACTCCCTTGTGAGTCATTACCCCTCAGACTCCCTTGTGTATCCCATTAGTGTCACATCCTTTTCCACCCTGACACTGGCAACCACGGATGTGTTTCCCATCACTATAGCATTGTCATTTCCACACAGCGTGTAACCTTTTGAGACTGGCTACTTTCACTCAGAATATGTTTTTGTGATTCATCCAAACTGTTGTGTGTATCAATAGAATGTTCCTTTTTTATTACCGAGTAGTGTTGCATTGTGTGGATGCACAGGTTTTTTTAAATCCATTTACCTGTTGAAGGACATTTGGGTTGTTTCCAGCTTTTGACAATTATGAATAGAACTGTTGTAAACATTTGTGTACAGATTCTGTTTCTCTAGTATAAATATCTAGGAGTGGGATTGCTGGTCATATGGTAAGTATAAGAAACTGCTAGACTTTTCCAGAGTTGCTATACCAGAATACAATGAGAGTTGTAGTGGTTCTTCATCCACTTCAGCAGTCTTGTCAGTATTTTTTTTTTTGAGACAGAGTCTCACTCTGTCACCGGGGCTAGAGTGTAGTGGCACCATCTTGGCTCACTGCAACCTCCACCTCCCGGGTTCAAGCGATTCTCCTGCCTCAGCGTCCTGAGTAGCTGTAGCTGGCATTACAGGCACCTGTCACTATGCCCAGCTAACTTTTTGTATTTTTACTAGAGACGGGGTTTCACCATGTTGGCCAGGCTGGTCTTGAACTCCTGACCTCGTGATTCACCTGCCTCAGCCTCCCAAACTGCTAGGATTATAGACATGAGCCACCATGCCCGGCCTCATTTTAACCACTCTAATATGGTTTGGAAGTAGTATCTCATTGTGGTTTTAATTTGCATTTGCCTAATGGTTAATGATGATGACCTTCTTCTCATGTGCTTATTTGCCATCCATGTATCCTTTTCAGTGAATAAGCTTTGCCTGTTTTTTAATTCATTTGTTTGTTTGTTTTTCTGTTGTTGAGTTTAGAGTGTTCTTTATGTATTCCGAATACAGGTCCTTTGTTGGATGTATGATTGGCAAATAGTTTCTTCCAGTTGGTAGGTTGTCTTTTTTGTCCTCTTGACAGTGTCTACTGCAGATCACTTGTTTTTAATTTTGATAAAGTCAGCTGATCACTTTTTTCATCTATAGGTTGTGTTTTACTGTCATGTCTAAGAACTCTTTACCTAACTTCAGGCCACGAAGATTTTCTTCAAGATTTTTGTAGTTTTGCCCTTTATTGTTAGATATGTGATCCATCTTGAGTTAATTCTCTGTAAGATTTGCAGTCGGTTTTTTTGTTTTTTGTTTTTTTGCATATAGATGTTGAATTATTTCAACACCATTCATTGAAAATAGTATTTCTCTATTGTGATGGTTAATATTGAGTGTCAACTTGATTGGGTTGAAGGATGCAAAGTATTGTGTGTCTGCAAGGGTGTTACCAAAGGAGGTTGACATTTGAGTCAGTGGACTGAGAGAGGCAGACCCACCCCCAATCTGGGTGGGCACCCTCTAATCAGCTGCCAGCGTGGCTAGAATGAAGCAGGCAGAAGAGTGTGGAAGGACTTGACTTGCTGAGTCTTCCGGCCTTCATCTTTCTCTTGTGCTGCATGCTTCCTGACCTCGAACATCAGACTCCAAGTTCTTCAGCCTTTGGACTCTTGGACTTAACTGGTTTGCCAGGGGCTCTGAGGCCTTCAGCCACAGACTGAAGGCTGTACTGTCGGCTTTCCTACTTTTGAGGTTTTGGGACTCAGACTGGCTTCCCTGCTCTTAGCTTGCAGATGGCCTGTTGTGGTACTTCACCTTGTGATCATGCGAGTCAATACTCTTTAATAAACTCCCCTTCATATGTACATCCATACTGTTAGTTCTGTCCCTTTAGAGAACCCTGACTAATACAATTACTTTTGCACCTCTGTCAAAAATCAAATGGGGTGATATTTGGATGGGTTTCTTGACTCTGTTCTTTTTCATTCATCTGTGTCTATTCCCTTGTCAGTACTACATAGTGTTAAAATTGGATTCCTCTACCTTTCTTTTTCTCCCCCCATTTTTCCAAAACTGCTTCAGCTATTCTGGTTCATTTGCCTTTTCGTATACATTTTAGAATCAGCTTATGTTTATGTACACACACAAAAAAAATCCTGCTGAGATTTTGATTAGAATTTTGTTGAATCTACATCAGTTTGGGAAGAATTGACATTTTCCACTGTGTTGAGTCTTCCAATCCATGAACATGGCATGTCTCTTAATTTATTTAGGTTTTCTTTGTTGGTGGTGGTATTCTTAGACAGGGTCTTGCTCTGTTGCCCAGGCTGGAGTGCAGTTGTGTGATCATAGCTCACTGTAGGCTTGACCACCTGGGCTCAAACCTCCCACCTCAGCCTCCTGAGTAGCTGGGATTACAGGCTTGTGCCACCATGCCCAGCTAGGTTTTTAATTTTTTTGTAGAGACAGGGTCTCCCTATATTGTCAAGGCTGGTCCTGAACTCCTGTGCTCAAGCAGTTCTCTTGCTTTGGGATTACAGGTGTGAGCCACCATGCCTAGCCTGTTTAGGTCTGCTTTGATTTCTTTCATTAGCATTTCATAGTTTTCAATATGCAGATCCTGCACATGCTTTGTTTTGTTTGTTTTTTGTAGACAGGGTCTTACTGTGTTGCCCAGGCTGGCCTCAAACTCCTGGGCTCAAGTGATCCTCCCACCACAGCCTCCCAAATAGCTCCCAACTGTAGGTACATGCCACCATGCCCAGCTTGTACTGTTTTGTTAGATTTTTAACCTAAGTGTAATTTTTTTTTGGAGACTCTTAAAATTGTATTGTTTGGCCAGGCGTGGTGGCTCGCATCTGTAATCCTAGCACTTTGGGAGGCTGAGGTGGGAGGATCATTGAGCCAGGAGTTTGAGACCAGCCTGGGCAACATAGCCAGACCCTGTCTCTACAAACAAACAAAAATATAGTAGGGTGTAGGGGCACATACCTGTAGTCCTAGCTGCTCTGGAGGCTGAGAGGGAGAATTGCTTGAGCCCAGGAGTTTAAGGCTGCAATGAGTTATGATCACAACACTTACATTCCAGCCTGGGTGACAGAGTGAGACTCTGTCTCTTTAAAAAAATTATTGTTTAGGCCGGTGACAGAGTGAGACTCCGTTATTGTTTAAAAAATTTTGGTTTCCAGTTGTACATTGCTAGTAGTAGAAGTATGATTAATGTTTGAATGTTGACCTTGCATTCTGTGATCTTGCTAAACTCATTAGTTCTAGGAGTATTTTCGTAGGTTCCTTGGGGTTGTCTATGTAGATAATCATGTTGTCTGTGAACAGAGACAGTTCGATTTTTTTTTCTTTATAATTTGTATGTCTTTTATTTTATTTTTTTCTGTTGCTCTAGTTAGGAATTCCAGTATGAAGAGGAAGAGGAGTAGCAGTGGTGCACATTCTTGCCTTATTCCCAATCTTAGTGGAAAAGTGTTCAGTCATTCAGAATTAAGTATGGTATTAGCTGTGGGTTTTTTGTGGTTGCTTTTTATCAGGTTGAGGAAGATCCTGTCTACTCCTAATCTGCCAATGAATGTTGAATGTTGTCTTACACTTTTCCTAAATCAATTGATATGATCATGTGGGGTTTTTTTCCTTTTGATTGTAATATGCTATTTTACGCTGAGCGATTGATTTTTTTAGTATGAAGCTACTTTTGCATTTTGGTTGTGGTGTATTGTTTTTTATATATTGCTGGATTGGACTTCTTAATTTTTTGTTAAGGATTTTTTACATCATTATTATGAGGGACATTGGTCTGCAGTTTTCTTTTTGTGTACTGTCTTTGGTATTAGCATAATGTTGTCCTTATAAAATTAATTGGGAAATGTTTCTTCTCTGAATGAGAGTGTATAAAATTGTTTTTTTTTTTTTTTTTTTGAGATGGAGTTTCACTCTTGTTGCCCAGGCTGGAGTGCAATGGTGTGATCTCGGCTCACTGCAACCTCCACCTCCCGGGTTCAAGTGATTCTCCTGCCTCAGCATCTCAAGTAGCTGGGGTTACAGGCGTGCACCACCACGCCTGGCTAATTTTTGTATTTTTAGTAGAGGTGGGGTTTCTCCATGTTGGTCAGGCTGGTCTCAAACTCCCAACCTCAGGTGATCCACCTGTCTTGGCCTCCCAAAGTGCTGGGATTACAGGTGTGAGCCACGCGCCCGGCCTATAAAATTGTTCAGAATTCTCCAGTGAAACCATCTGGGCCTGGAGATTTCTTCTTCAGAAGGTTTTAAATGACGTATTCAAGTTCTTTAATAGTTATTGGAGTATTCAGGTTATCTATCTTATTTTGAGTGTGTTTTGTTAGCTTTGTGTTTTGCCATTTTTGAGGAATTGGTTCATTTCATCTAAATTGTCCAATTTATGCACATAGAATTATTCTTAGAAACCTTTTATTATCCTTTTAATATCTGCATAGTTTGTAGTGATAACCTCTTTCCTTTCTTATTTTGGATGTCGTTTTTTTCTTCTTTTCTTAGTCTTTTTAGAGATTTATCAGTTTTATTGATGCTTTAGAATAACTAGCTTAGGTTGCATTGATGTCTTTTTTCTCTATTTTCTCTTTTAAAAATTATTGATATCTCCTCTGTTGTGTTCTTCCTTCTACTTTAGGTTTATTTTGCTTTTCTTTTTCTGGTTTGTAAGGTAGGAGCTTAGATTATTGATTTGAGATATATCTTCTTATTTAATACTATAATTTTCTCTCTAAGCACTCTAAGTGCATCTAATATTTTTTTTTATATATTGTGTTTTCATTTTTGTTAAGAATGTTTTCTGAGACTTCCTTTTTTGCACATAGGTTATTTAAAATTGTTTAATTTCCAAGCATTTGGAGATTTTTCTACTGTCTTTCTGTTATTTATTTCTAATACTAATTCTCTTTGTTCAGAGATCATATTTTGTATTATTATAGTTTTTTTCAGTGTGTTAAGTTCATTTTCTGATCCAGGTATGACCTGTTTTGTTGCATGTTTCATGTGCACTTGTAAAGATTGTGTCTTCTGTTGTTAGACTTCAGTACTGTATAAATGTCAGTGAGATACAACTGGTTTGTGGTATTGTCCAGTTCCTCTATATCCATGCCAATTTTCTACTACTTGTCTTTCTTTTGAGAGTCTTGATGTTTCCAACGATGACTGGGTTATTGTCTGTTTCTCCTCTCAGTTCTGCCAGTTTTTGCTTTATGAAGCACTGTTGTTAGGAACATACACATTAAGGATTATTGTATCTTTTTGGTGAATTGACCCTGTTACTATTAGGTAATGTTCTTCTCTATCCCTTGTAAATTTCTTTGCTCTGAAGCCTACTTTTTCTGATACTAACCTAGGCATTCCAGCCTTTATTTGCTTGATGTTTGCATCGTATTTTTTCCCATCATTTTACCTTTAAACTACATATGTCATTATATTTGATGTGACTCTCTTGTACACAGCATATACTTGGGTCATATTTTGACAATCTCTTTTAATTTGTATGTTTAAGTCTTTTTTTTTTTTTTATTTTTTTCGAGACAGGGTCTCACTCTGTCATCCAGGCTGGAGTGCAGTGGCGCGATTATGGCCCACTGCAGCCTCAGCCTCCTGGGCCCAAGTGATCCTTTCACCTCAGCCTCCTGAGTAACTGGGAACACCTCTAGCTAATTTTCTTTCGTGGAGTCGTGGTCTCCCTATGTTGTCCAGGCTGGTCTTGAACTCCTGGACTCAAGCATTCCTCTCATTTCAGCCTCCCAAAGTGTTGGGATTAAGGCATGAACCACCACACCTGGCCACTTTTATGTTTAATGTAGTTATTGAAATGTTTGGCTTTTGGGCTACTGTTTTATTATTTTGTTTTTCTATCTAGTTTTTTTCACTGTTTCACTCTTTGTGTCTTCTTTTGCATTATTTGAACTTTTTAAAAGTATTCCTTTGAAATTTATTGTGTTTATGACTATCTCGTGTAGTTTTTCTTCAAATTAATACTTTATTGATTATAATATACATACTTAACTTCCTATGGTCTATTGAAAATTCATATTTTACCACCTTAATTGGAATATGTCAGTCTTACCATCATGCAGGTATCTACATTCTCTTCTTATGTTATGGTTTTCTTACGTGTTATATCTGCATGCATTGAAAACCCCATCAGACAATGTTAAAATTTTTGCTTTCAACAGTTAAACGTATTTCAAAAGCAATGTTATCATTTCTGTTGCTCTTCCTTCATTCCTTATGTTCCAGATTTCCTTCTAATGTTATTTTCCTTCTGTCTGAAGAACTTCCTTAAGCAGTTTTAGAGCTGATCTGCTAGCAACTAATGCTCTTAGTTTTCCTTTATTTGAAAATGTCTTGGCTGGGTGCAATAGCTCACGCCTGTAATCACAGCACTTTGGGAGGCCGAAGCGGGTGGATCACGAGGTCAGGAGTTCAAGACCAGCCTGGCCAAGATGGTGAAACTCTGTCTCTACCAAAACTACAAAAAAATTAGCCAGGCGCAGTGGTAGGCGTCTGTAATCCCAGCTACTTGGGAGGCTGAGGCAGGAGAAAGGCTTGAACCAGGACAGTAGAGGTTGCAGTGAGCCAAGATCACACCACTGCACTCCAGCCTGGGAGACAGAGCAAAACTCCATCTCAAAAAAAAAAAAAAAAAAAAAAAGAAAGAAAGAAAATGTCTTTATTTCGCCTTCATTCTTAGAGGATATTTGCACTGAATATAGAGTACTGAGTTGACAGTTCTTTCTTTCCAGCACTTGAAAAACATTATGTCACTTCCTTCTGGTCTTTGTGGCTTCTGATGTGAAATCCATAGTAGTTTGAGTATCATTCCTTTATAGTTAATGTGTTGTTTTTCTTTGTTTACTTTCAGGAATTTTGTCTTTAATTTTCAGTGGTTTGATTATGTTTTCTGATTTCTTTTTGTTACCCTGTTTGAGATTCACTGACCTTCTTGAATATGTAGGTTTATGTCTTTTACCAAACTTGGGAAGTTTTCAGTCCTTATTAAAAAAAATATTTTCTCAGCATGGTGCTGAGAACATTTTTTTTCTTCTTTTCTCTGATAGACATGTATGTTAGACCTTTAAGTATTGTTCCATAGTCTCTTGTTAATTTTTTCTACTCTTTTTTTCTCTCTTGTTTCAGATTGTATAATTTCTGTTGATCAGTCTTCAGATTTATTGACTCTTTCCTTTGTCATCTGTAGTCTACCCTTGAGCCCATCCAGTATGTTTTTTTTAATTTGATTATTGCATATTTTAGTTTAAAATTTTCCATTGGTTTCTTTTTACAAATTCTGTTTCTTTTCTGATACTTTCAAAGTTTCCATTTGTTTCAAGAGTGTTCATAATTGCTTGTTGGAAAACTTTAATAATAACTTCCTTAAAATCTTTGTGAGATAATTTCAACATTTTTGTTACTTTGGTCTTGGTATTTGATTTTTCCTTCCCTGTAAGAGATTTACTTGGTTCTTGGGTTAATTTTAGATATTTTGAGTATGATGTTATGAGACATAATCCTCTGAATTTAGTTCATTTCTTTTTAGGATGTTAATATTTTTGTTTCAGTAGCAATTAACTTGGTTGGCTTCAGAGTGCACATTCCAGTTTTTTTTTGTTTTTTTTTTTCCTGTGGGCGGTGGGTCTTTGTACTCCTATACAGATCCACCCCACATATGTGTCAACAACTCATCAGTCTGGGATCTGTGGTTAGTTCAGTGTTTAAATTCTTTGGTATACTTATTAGAATTACATCCATACATGCCCAACCTAGGGATGAGCTCAGAAGTTCATAAACAACTTTATTGTGTCACTTCTCCATGCTAGCTTCTCCCATTCTGGTTCTTTAGGCCTTCACTTTTCAGTCTTCTTACTTAGAAATCTGAGGTTTTATTACCTTGCTCTGCTGTTCAAATTTTGTGTTTGTGTCCAGGACGTGTAAAGAGCACAGAGAGAGCAGAAAAAACCTTGGGGTTTTACCTGCCCTCTTGAGACTGCAGTTTCACTGATTGAAGAAGAATGTTTCTTCTCTCATTGTTTTGGCTCTTGCTGGCATCTATGTCTGCCTCTGGTACCACAGCCACAAAATTACTTGGGGGTTGGGGCAAAAAAGAATAGAGCAAAAGGAAAAAAAATATGGGAATTGAGATTTCCATAATGTTGTAAGTATCAGGAGCTCCCTTTCCTGCCTTTTGAGTGAGATGAATAGGGGTTCTCCTGGAGTTCTCTCCATCAGTGTCCCCATGCCTACTTTGCATTTCAGGCTTTTCCAAGGTCGGTCAGGGAGATCATGGGAGGAAAAGAAAATGATAAAACTCACCACTTGTTTATAGTAATTTGAATTCTTTTCTTCCTTGATCTGCCTGCTACTGTTTGCTTTTCCAAGTCTATAAATACTTGATTCGTGCATTCTTTTGAGGTTTCATAGTTGAATTCAGTGGGATAGTTGGGGTGGAGCATGCTTAGTCCATCTTACCTGCAGTTAGAATGGCCAGGGGTGTTTCTTGAAAGCTACTTAGAAAACAAATGTGGGAAGGAATTAGCAGAATGCATCTTTGCATCCTGTATACTATGTTGTGTATCCTATATTATGGTAAAAGTTTGGTTAGATAACAGAGGAAAATAAAGGAGGTTTTCATTGTTGATAGCACTATGTCCTAACCTTCATCTGAGGTTACTGGGAGAGAAAGGAAAGTGTTACAGCTAATTGCTTGAATGACTCAACTGCAGTAATATATAGTAAGCTGCTATTAATGATGCAGTATAGCTTGCCTCCTGTGGATGTTATTTTCTTTCCATAGGAGATAAACATTGAGAATCACAGACTTCCCAAAATCCAAACACTTTACCGTGACATTCAAGATCCATTCAAGTTCCTACTGATTTTTCTTCTACCATCCTTTCCCATCAGTCCCTTTTCATACACTTTATTTTCAAGCCATCTCACAGATTTCTATACTGGCACCTTTCACATTTCCACCATTTCGAATGTACTCTTTCTCTGTTAGTTCTCTCTCACTTTTTTTCATTTATTAGAAATCCAGTTTTATTGTTCAATAGCCAATTCTCTGTGAAACCATTTGTACATGTTATTTTTTATTACATTTATTTATTTATGTATTTATTTATTTATCAGACAGAGTCTCACTCTGTCTCCCAGGCTGGAGTGCAGTGGCGTGATCTCGGCTCACTGCAACCTCCACCTCCCAGGTTCAAGTGATTATTATGCCTCAGCCTCCCGAGTAGCTGGGATTACAGGCATGCACCACCATGTCCAGCTGATTTTTTTGTATTTTTAATAGAGACAGTGTTTCACCATGTTGGCCAGGCTGGTTTCAAACTACTGACCTCAAGTGATCTGCCCGCCTTGGCCTCCCAAAGTGCTAAGTTTACAGGCGTGAACCACCACACCCAGCCTTTATTACTCTTAATTGCAGTTGGTGTATAAGTCTTTCATACCAGACCAAACTCCTGGAGGGGTAGAGGACTGTGATTTATCATCTTTTTATACCTTGCTGTAATAAAGTATACCTGTAATAAATTTTTGAGTGGATCAGGGAAAAGAAAGGAAGTGTTCATGATTTAGTTAATGTTAAAGGGATATGATGGGTGGAACATCAAATAGTTGAATTACATAAGAGAGTGGAAAACAAAGGCAAGTACTGTTTAAATGGAATTAGGAACTAATGTTTTGGGAAATATGTTTCGATGACTTTGAGTGTTGGCAATAATACTTGGAAATTCATTTTTTCTGATCTTTTTATTATATACAGTTTTTCTTCCAGTAGGGCAGATTTTTTTTTTCTCTAGTCTTTTCTCTTCTGAGGGCCAGCTGCCACCTCCTATAAGGTAGAGTTTTTCTACCTTGTGCTGTCCAGATGTTTCTTTTTATTTGAATTTATTTATTTACTCTTTTACACAAAAGAGGCATGCCAACAGCTGCACTAAGTGTTCTTTCCTAAGCCAGCCAGATGTTTGGACTTGGAGAAAAGTTAGATTTTGAAATAAAAGACAGGTGGATTATAGCCCTTCATTCAACCATTCAGTTTTTCCTTGCCTATTGCTGCTGCCAGGTAGGGTGTCTTTAACCCGTCTTTATAGTACCTCTTGTCACAAATTTAGTTCCAGAAATTAAAGGACTAACTCCTCCTGAAATCTCTATGAGATGAAATGAGCCTTCTTTTTTTTTTTTTTTTTGAGATGGAGTCTTGCTCTGTCTCCCAGGCTGGCGTGCAGTGGCATGATCTCGGCTCATGCAACCTCCGCCTCCTGGGTTCAAGTGATTCTCCTACCTCAGCCTCCCGAGTAGTTAGGATTACAAGTGCGTGCCACGACATCCAGCTAATTTTTATATTTTTAGTAGAGATGGGGTTTTGCCATGTTGGCCAGGCTGGTCTCAAACTGCTGACCTCAGGTGATCCACCCGCCTCGGCCTCCCAAAGTGCTGGGATTACAGGCATGAGCCACCACACCCAGCTGAAATGAACCTTCTTACAGACTAGATTCTATGTGGTTGTCCTAGTATGAGGCTGGTAAGCTTGCTGACATCATGCTTGGGTTTTCATCTGATGAGGTTCAGCTGGTGGCCCAGCATAGCGTATCAGGCTCCCTGTGTATGACAGTGCCGCTGGAGATGGGTCATTCTTCGACTAGTAGGTGATTTGATCTCCCCTGATACATTTATGTTTTTTCACATTTTGGGCTCTGATTCTCCCCCTTACATGGGCTTCAATTCCAAGGAAGGTAGGAGTTGAGATACAGGTACCCTTCTGTTTTTCAATCCTGCTACTCTTGCTGTGTTTATCTGAGTGTGGTTCTCTTATACTCTGTAAACTAAGTCCCTAAAGAGGAACTTCTGTTCCTGGTAGCTGGACCTACTTAAGGAGTTGCAGGTAAATTCAGTGAATGGCATAGTCACTTTGGGTCTTTAACTATTGAGTTAAAATATCTTTGGCCAGGTGCGGTGGCTCATGCCTGTAATCCCAGCATTTTGGGATGCTGAGGTGGGTGGATCATTTGAGGGTCAGGAGTTTGAGACTAGCCTGACCAACATGGTGAAACCCCGTCTCTACTAAAAATACAAAAAAAAATTAGCTAGCTGTGGTGGTGCACGCCTGTAGTCCCAGCTACTTGGGAGGCTGAGGCATGAGAATTGTTTGCACGTGGGAGGCAGAGATTGCAGTGAGCTGAGATTGCGCCACTGTACTCCAGCCTGGGTGACAGAGCGAGACTCTGCATCCACAAAAAAAAAAAAATAAAAAAAAAAAATAAAAATCTTTATTAATTATTAGTCTTGGATGAATAGGAAGAAATAAAAATTGTTTCTTGAGCTCCTTCAAAGTACTTATTCTGTCTTCGGGTATAGAATGATTTTCTTTTTTGGGAAATGGGGAGAAAGAATATTTATTTTTGAAGAGAAAATAAAACACTTCTAGACATTTTTGTTTTCTTTTTGTTGTTGTTGTTTGTTTGGTTTTGAGTCAGGGTCTTGCTCTGTCACCCAGGCTAAAGTGTAGTGGCACGACCATAGCTCACTGCAACTTCCAACTCATGGGCTCATGCAATCATTCTGCCTCAGCCTCCCAAGCAGCTGGGATTACAGGTGCCAGCCACCATGTCTGGCTAATTAAGAGAAATTTTTTTTTTTTTTTGTAGAGATGGGGCCTCTGTGTTGCCCAAGCTGGTCTGGAACTCCTGGGCTCAAATGATCCTCCCATCTTGGCCTCCGAAAGTGTTGGGTTTACAGGCATGAGCCACCATGCCCGGCCCCAGATATTTCTGATGTCTTTAAATTTCATACCACTGCTTGGTGAAAAATGACTGTGCTAAGGAAAACTTCTTGAGCTCCGTAACTGCTTTTCATGATTACCTTCAATGTCTGGGAGCTAACTATACCAGGAAGCTTTTGAGTGGTTGATTTTGCTGCTATTTGTAATACTCATCTGATAGTTTTTGGTAAGAAACTAAACAGCCATATACCGTAAATCAAGAGCTGTCCTGTCTTTTGGGATCCCAGCAAAAATATTGGATAATGTGGGAAATGGAATCTGAGCCCAGAAAGCCAGCTTTTAGAGTTTCTAGGAATGCCATGATGTCTGCATAGATACTAGGAGAAAGATACTCACCATTAAGATACATAAATAGAGGAATGGCTGTAGTAATTTAGGACTGGTATGATCACTTTCATGTACTCATTTTTATATCATATTAGATGCTCACTAGATTAGTTGATGCTTTTCATGACAGTCTTAAAAATAAGTTTTAACTGATTAATTGTAGAAAACTATGTTCTTGTTTATAATCTTTGATTTTTAAATTAAAAATACATACACTATATATTTCCTATGTTAAGAAATGAAAAAATTTAAAAGTCCTGACTTATAATTAAGGCTGTTGGGATGAGCCAGACTTCATCTTCCTGTCCCAAATTCCCAGGGATGAGAAAAAGTTGAAGAGAAAAGACCTAAAGATAAACAACAAACCAGAATTTTGATGGAAAATGGTAAAGAGTACTCATGGGATCCTGGAAATGCTGGTCCTGGAAACAGTGAGGAATTTTGCAAGAGAGATGGCTGATGGGATCATGCCCCAGGAAACCCCAGTCTGAAACACAGATAGGAGAGGATGGCTGCAAAGATGGGAGCAGCTCCAGAGGAGACAGCCTTGAGCACAAGAAGTGACATCCAGCTAGGTGATTCTTCCACACTCAGTGTCCATGAGGGAGCAGATGATTCGTAAACAGGTAGAGCCATATCTTGGAATTCTTTAGTAGTTAAAAAGACTGAGGTGGATCTCTGTATATCAACAGAGAACATCTCTAAGACATTAAAAATGGAAAGAGAACTTGTGTAAGGACACATATGGTATAATGATACCATTAATGGTAAAAGAATCCCAACCTAAAATATCTTTATAGTTACCTATGTAAAAGCATACAGCATAGGTTCTCAACAGTGGCATTGTTCACATTATGGGTTAGAGGACTCTGTCATGGGCGACTGTCCTGCACACTAGAGGGTTTTTAGCAGCATCCCTGGCGTCTTACCCTCTAGATACTAGTCGTGTCCCCTCAGGCCCCAGTAGTGACAGCCAAAACTATCTACAGACATTGCCAACTGTGTCCTGGGGGACAAAATTGCTCCAAGTTGGGATCCCTTGGCATATATTGAAGTCTAATAATGCATATTCACCTGTTAAGTGATTACCGGAGAGAGACATTGTAATGGGGACAGGTGTGGTCAGTGGAGTTGTTAGCTTTATTTTGAATAAGAATGTTTAGGTATAACGGTAGGGCGCAGTGGCTCACGCCTGTAATCCCAGCACTTTGGAAGGCCAAGGCAGGCAGATCATGAGGTTAGGAGATGGAGACCATCCTGGCTAAGATGGTGAAACCCATCTCTACTAAAAATACAAAAAAATAGCTGGGCATGGTGACATACACCTGTAGTCCCTGCGACTCAGGAGGCTGAGGCAGGAGAATCGCTTGAACCCAGGAGGTGGAGGTTGCGGTGAGCCAAGATTGCACCATTGCACTCCAGCCTGGGCGACAGAGTGAGACTCCGTCTCAAAAAAAAAAAAAAAGTTTAGCTATTACATATATTTACATATATTACATGTAATTAAAAACAAAACAAAAGATAGTTTTGCTTTTTTTTTTTTGAGACAGAGTCTCACTCTATCGCCCAGGCTGGAGTGCGCTGGTGCAATCTCGGCAGCTCGCTGCAATCTCTGCCTCCTGGGTTCAAGTGATTCTTGTGCCTCAGTCTCCCAAGCAGCTGGGACCATAGATATGCGCCACCACACTCGGCTAATTTTTTGTATTTTTAGCAGAGATGGGGTTTTGCCATGCTGGCCAGGCTGATCTCAAACTCCTGGCCTCAAGCGATCTGCCTGCCTCCACCTCCCAAAGTGCTGGGATTACAGGCGTGAGCCACCGCACCGGCCAGCTTTGCTTTTTTATAAGATATCTGTTGTATTAAATTTAAAAATGGTTAATGGTGGCTGGGCGCGGTGGCTCATGCCTGTAATCCCAGCACTTTGGGAGGCCGAGGCAGACGGATCACGGGGTCAGGAGTTTGAGACCAGCCTGACCAACATGGTGAAACCCCGTCTCCACTAAAACTACAAAAATTAGCCAGGTGTTGTGGCACATGCCTGTAATCCCAGCTACTCAGGAGGCTGAGGCAGGAGAATCACTTGAACCCAAGAGGCGGAGGTTGCAGTGAGCCAAGATCGTGCCACTGCACTCCAGCCTAGGCAACAGAGTGAGACTCTGTCTCAAAAAAAAAAAAAAATGGTTAATAGTTAGAAGAAATACAGGTAGCTTACAAACGTGCAAATGTGCCCAAACTCACTAATAACCAGGAAAATGCGAATTAAAAAAATGAATCATTTTTCTCCATTACATTAATAAAATTAGAAAGATAAATCATGTTCAGTGATGGTGTAGTGTTGGGAAATTAATCTCTAATAGTAGTGTAAGTTGACCTAAGATTTTAAATGTGTAGTTTGTGGTATTTGTATTTAAATTAAATATTTTTCTTATAGAAATATACATATGTATGCAGATTGGCATGTTTAGGGAAGCTTATTGCAGCGCACAATACCTGCAAATTGGAACCATGTCCAATACTAGGAGAATGGTTAAATAAGTTATGGTTCATCTAGATTACTAGAAATACTGGGTAGCAGTTAAAAATTATGAGGTAGAATTCTAAAAAAAAAAAAAACTGAGTGATAAAATTAGTTGTAGAATAAAATGTAGTGTGATTCAGTTTATACCAAGAAAAATCTTAAACATGAAATAAAACTCTGCACCTTTATTTCTGCATATCCATATGAAAATGCTTAGGTAAGTTTGGAAGGACACATGCAAAACTGATCATGGCTGGATAACAGGAAATGGGACTAGGAGCCTTTAAAACGGGGCAGGGAATAATGGTTATCTGGTATCTATACTGCTTAAGCTTTTTTTCTTTTTAACCAAAGGAGTAACTCATACATTACTTGGGTAATTACAATAAAATTGAAAAATGTAAGAACATCTAAATGACTTGCTTTATATGCATAGTGTCATCATTTAGTGGCCTGTGTTGAGCAGTGATAGCTGCTGCTGGGGCTCTGGTAGGGCTTTAAGATCCCATGACTTTTGGTGGCTCTCCATATTTTGTGGAATTGGCATTAGCTGTTCATATGGTTTGGAAACACTTTTTTAAAAATATTGATTTCAGTGGAGATTATTTCCCAACCCTATTCCTAGAATTTCACTCTGTTATTGCTTCAGAAAGATGTATTCAGAAATATATGCCTGTGTATTTATGACTTCATCACTAGACTTTGAATGCATGTGTGATAGCTTTCTCTTTAGTAAGTGGAAATTAATCTTAAAGATTGCAAGCTAGAGCTGAGCCCACACTCTTACTGGTATTTTCTTGTTTCCTCCCCTAACCTAACTTGTCATAGTTTTTCTTAGGTAGTATTATTTATTTCTTTTTTTACTACGTAGTGACATTCTTCAAATGTATACTTTCACTCTGGCTTGTCCGTAATTGGCTGGAAATTGTGATGGATCTATATAGTTTTTTTTGTGTTTTTAATAAAATCTGTATAACATAAAGTTTACTATTTTGCTCATTTTATTTCATTTATTTAATTATTATTTTATATTTTTACAGATGGGGTCACACTGTGTTGCCCAGGTTGGACTCGAACTCCTGGGCTTGAGTGATCCTCCTGCCTCAGCCTCCTAAGCCGTGGGGACTACAGGAACTGGGCCACTGCACACGGCAGTTTTAGTCTTTTTATTTTTTATTTTTTGAGACAGGGTCTCACTCTGTTAGCCAGGATGGAGTGCAGTGGTGGAATCACAGCTCACTGCCACCTTAGCCTCCACTTGGGAAGCCTCTTGGGTCTGCCACTGCTTGTCAGAAACTTTTTACTCTGAATTATGTCATATCTCAGGTGTTTTTACCTAGTTATTTTGCACATTACCCTTCTCAAAGGCATTTGTTCAAGTTTTTCCTAAGCTAATGAAGGAAAACAAACCTGAGTCATCTCTTGGCTGTCACTCTGCCTCTCCTACTCTTTACATCCAGCCATATGTACAGTCCTCACCCCACCCACCCCACCCCTACTCTACTTTTTCCTCTGCTTTATTCCGCAGTCCTTTCATTTGTGGTCTGGTACCCACCAGCTACACTGACATGACTCTTGCTAAGGTTTTGCTTGAATACTTGATGTCTCCTTTCTCTCTGTCATTCCTCCCCTTCTCCCTTGATGCTTCTACTAAGGGGTCAGTGGTATGAGAAGATAGTTCTCCTCCTGCTGGTTTTCATTATTTTGTTGTTTACTGTATCGTCAGGAATGCATGCTTGCAAGACAAAGACTAAAACAAAAAACAAAAAACCCAAACAGCAAAAAAACCCCAAAACACCTTTGTTTTGGTTCCGAGATCGATTCAGTATTAGTTCCCTTTTGTGAAATGAAAACAGGATTGTAGAAAATGGGCTGGGAATTTTGCAACTGGCAAAAACGTATTCTCTTTTTTTCCTGTAGTTTAAAATTTTACCACTTTGAAAATCATGTAAGTTATCTTAGAAGAAAAATAGTAGTCCACTAATTCTACCATCCAAAATAACCATGAATAAATATGTCTTGGTGCTACACATGTAGTTTTTCAAAATGGAATCAAAGCGAATCTTTAAAAAAAATCATTTTGTTTTCTATGATCAAATTGCCTTTCTGGGAAAGGACATGCCAGAATGTTAGTTTTTTAAAACTTATAAAAGTATCTTTAGATACTTTGAATGAAATAGAAAGAGTTCTATTCTTTTTTTTTTTAGAAATAGGATTTTATCTGGTTGTTTGATTTTTTTTTTTTTTTTCAGTTATTCAAATGAAGATTGATGCAGTTGGCTTTCCTTTAACCTTTTAGTCTTTCAGGGTAATTTTCTTTCTTTTTTTTTTTGAGACTCCCAACAAGTTTATTATTTTTTAAATTGTGGTAAAATGCTTATAAGGAAACTTGCCATCTTAACTATTTTTAAGTGTACAGTTCAGTGGCATTAAGTACATTCACATTGTTGTGCAGCCATCACTATAATCTATCTCCAGAACTCTCTTCATATTCCAAACTGAAACTCTGTACCCATTTAACAGTAACTCCCCATTCCAGGCTCGCCACAGTCTCTGGCAACCACTATTCTACTTTCAGGATAATTTTCATTGGTTAGTAATGTTTGGATAATTTGATTAGATTTGGTGGATACTGAAGACTGGCCGGGTTATGTAAGCTGTTGCTACTTTCAGCCAAGGAGTGCATCTAGTCCGTATTACATCATCCTTGGAGTGTTCTACCCAGTGTCTTGCATTGAAGGACATCAGAAGGAAAACTCCTGTATTCTCAGTCGTGGTAAATAGTGTCCACTTCATTACAGATCTCCTTGAGTGATAGGTTTCAAAATATCTCTAGGCATGAAGAAACATTTCCAAACCTGCTTGTCTTCTCTACCTTTCTCAGTATGTACTAGTTTAGAAGGTATTCAAAATGTTTCACTGAGACCATTGAGTTTTATGCTAAATATAACATCTGGCCTAGCACTTTTTATCACTCATATGCAATCTATTTGATAAGGACAGGGACCAAATAGAATGTCTTTTTCAATGTATTTTAGGCATCTAATTGACTAATATGAAATTTTCTATTAATCCAGAGTTTTTAAATGCAGGCATAATTCCCCCCCACCCCGCCCGCAAAGATTCAGTCTTGCTCTGTTGCCCAGGCTGGAGTGCAGTGGCCTGATCGGCTCACTGCAACCTCTGCCTCCCAGGTTCAGCAATTCTCCTGCCTCAGCCTCCCGAGTAGCTGGGATTACAGGCATGCACCATTACGCCCAGGTAATTTTTCTTTTGTATTTTTTGGTAGAGACAGGGTTTCACCATGTTGGTCAGGCTGGTCTTGAACCCCTGACCTTGTGATCCACCCGCCTCGGCCTCCCAAAGTGCTGGGATTGCAGGCGTGAGCTACTGCACCTGGCTGCAGGCATACTTTTTAACCTATTTATATCCAAACATTTAAATTTATTTTTTATTTTTATTATTTTTAATATTTTTATCATTGTATATGTTTATTTATATTATTATTTCAAATTGTTTATTAGGTATGAATTTTACAAACTTTACTTATATTAGCGGTAACGGTGGAGCGGGAGAGTATTGCGCCTTCTCCAAGCTCCCCGGCGAGAACCACCAATAGTGTGGTGGAACTTACGGCCGTTTCCAAGGGCCAGGGCTCTTTTGGCCTGCAGATGTCAGCCCACACATCTCCCTGTGCTGTGGACTGATTTGGTGATCCATTAGGTGTCAGGATTTCTTCTGATAGCTTTATGGAATGGATCAGTGAGGATAACCTCAAAAAATTTGTATGTGGAATCTTCACCAACCCAGTAAGAATTCAGGACTCTCAAAGCCCCACAGTGGCGTCCAGCTTGCTCCTCTGCAACGGACTGAAGGCTTGGAGCAAACTTTAGCTGGTTAACACCATGATGGACAGGCTTGCCATAAGTTGCACCCTTAGGAACTGGGCGTTTTCGGCCACCACGGCAAACACGAATCCTATATATAACGTAACCTTGCTTGGCCTCGCAGCCCAGTCAGCGCGCTTTATCAGGCTGGGTGGGGCGGAGAGCCCTGTGGAGAGCAGAGAGCTGGCGGTACTGCCAGCAGCGGACCCTCAGAAGAAAGCGCATGACATCAGACTGCTGCTTTCTCCGTAGCTCCTGGATGTACTCGTATGCACCCATCTTGGCTTACCTGATGGCTGCTGCCAGACGGAAGAAAAGAAGTTTAATTTATTTTTTAAAAGTTAATAAAGAAGATGATTTTTCTCAGTCCTGTAAGATGAAAAACACATCTGTTGTTCTAGTTATTTGGAAATTAGGCTCATACGGGTAATAGTTGATGCTAGTAATTTTTCTCTGAAGAATAAAATAATTCAAAATAGAAAACTAAATGCTTGGCTGGGCGCGGTGGCTCACACCTGTAATCCCAGCACTTTGGGAGGCTGAGGTAGGCGGATCACCTGAGGTCGGGAGTTCGAGACCAGCCTGACCCACATGGAGAAACCCTATCTCTACTAAAAATACAAAGTTAGCCGGGGTTGGTGGCGCATGCCTGTAATCCCAGCTACTTGGGAAGGCTGAGGCAGGAGAATCGCTTGAACCTGGGAGGTGGAGGTTGCGATGAGCCGAGATCGCGCCATTGCACTCCAGCCTGGGCAAGAGCAAAAACTCTGTCTCAAAAAAAAAACCAAACAAACAGAAAACAAAACAAAACAAAAAAAACCCTAAATGCTTGATGGGAAAGCTAATAATCTGCTTTAAAAATCTCTATTGGTTTTCTGAGAACGGAGAAGTTTATGAAGACAAACTATACTTAGTGTTAGTATTTAAAATGCTTTACTTTTCTTTTTGAAACATATAGCCAGTAAATCCTGCTTAGTTGATTAGTGTACCTCAGTTTAAACTTTCCATGGTTGTTATGTATTTCCTTTGCCATTAAAATATATAAAAAGGAATTTATATTTTTCAAGATGTTGAAATTTTTGAAACAAATATATCTACTCAGCCTATGCAATATTAAGTCATTCTGCAGAATAGCATCTGCATTGCTTGAATATTGTTTGTTTGTTTTGTATTATTAAGCCAAAAAAAACACCTCACACATTTCATACAACAATGACAACAAAATTGAAATAGAGTTTCAAAAGTTTGTTAGATTGTTCTTTCCAGGTTGACTCTTAAGTGTCTCTTTAACTAAGGCAGTAGAGAATTCAAATGTTTTCTTTTGCATGGCCTTTTGCTACTAGTGACCCTGGGCTAGACTGTGGGCTTGTTGAGATGTGAATGTACCCTGCCCCCTGAAGTAAGATTTGTTCCTGCAAATGGAGGAAAAGAAGCCAACCAATCCTTTATAAACAATTTGTGTTTAGTCCTTCTTTGTAAAGTCCATAGCAGTTTTGACCTGCTTTTAATGCATGATTTATTCAATTGTTTATTGGAGCACTCTTTTTTTTTTTTTTTTAAACTGGAACAATCTTAATCACCCAGTAAAATATATTAGGCTCTGAGCTAGTTCTTGATAGGTTTATTTTATTTATTTATTTATTTTTTTGAGACAGAGTCTCACTCTGTTGCCCAGGCTGGAGTGCAGTGGCGCAATCTCGGCTCACTGCAAGCTCCGCCTCCCGGGTTCACGCCATTCTCCTGCCTCAGCCTCCCGAGTAGCTGGGACTACAGGCGTCCGCCACCACGCCTGGCTAATTTTTTGTGTTTTTAGTAGAAACGGGGTTTCACCATGTTAGCCAGGATGGTCTCGGTCTCCTGACCTCGTGATCCGCCCACCTCAGCCTCCCAAAGTGCTGGGATTACAGGCATGAGCCACCGCGCCCGGCCTAGTTCTTGGTATGTTTATAAAACGTTTGTGATAACATAGGAAAAATGTCTATTATGCTAGTTAAAAAACAAAAGGGTGAAAATTATATATGCGGTATCATTACGAAAGTGTATTTAGAGAAAAGACTAAAAATGTCAATACTATTAGGATTCTCTCTCTCCTTTTTACTTTTGAATGCATGTTCATTATAGAAATTTTGGACACATAAACACATGTGCCTATGTGTATCTTTTAATTTCTTTTCCTTGATAAACCACCAATTGCCATATGTATTGCCAAGATTAAGAAGACTTTATGTAGGTGTAGATTTTTACCTTAAACATAATGAAAAAAAAATAATAAAAGTTGCAACTTTTTGTACCTCAAAGACAATGGCTTTTAACATTTGATAATGAAAGTTATTAAGCAAGCTGCTATCCAAGTGTATCTATGAGTAAATAGCTTTAATCACATAACATTGGGCTAGGGGAGATTAAAAAAAGAATTTAAGGCGTAACCTTATGATCTGGTGGAGGAGAAATTGTAACTGTGCAAAGCAGTTAAAATGAGATTGTTGGGTAGATGAGATTATATGCTAAAATCTGCACTAACTACTCTCAGAGTTTAGATTAGAGGAGATTCATCCTAAATTGAAGTACTTGGGAAAGATCCAGTGGTAGATGTGAAACTTGGAGTCCATCTTCTATAATAGGTGGTATCTGAGGACAATAAAACAAGTGTGGATTTAAGTTTAAACAAAGACTTAAATGTATTCTTTTTAAAGGATTGTGAAGTACTCAATTTCTTTCTTACAGAAGAAAACTACAATCACAATTACAACAACAAAATTGACAGTAACAGGATCTGAAGTGGACAGAGGGCAATAGGGCAATAGAGGAGGGGGCATCCTGGTCTGAGGGCAGAAGAGCAACTTGAGGTTGGGGGCATACCAGGCAACGATAACCACGAGGAAGGCCTTGCTTTGAACACAGGGATATTTAGAAGCCCTTTGCAAGCAGGGCTGCTTTTCCCTACAATTGGTATTATTAAATAATTACCGAATGTATATATTTGGATATTTTATAGTAAGATATTGACCTGAAAATCCCTTGGGCATTTACCTGATCTTTTACCTTTCAATACTCAATATAATTTTTTACTAAAGTGGAAAATATTTATTGAATTGACAAAGAGAATTCTTAGCTTTCTAAAAGACTACTTTTTTAGTTTTTTAAGATCTCATTTAAAACAAAGTATTTAAAAATTATTTCATAACTGAAGACTCTAACAGAAATACTCAGGTATTTGCCACCTTTGACTTTTTTTTTTGGTAGAAGGTGGGTCATAAATGTTTAGGTATATGTTTGTGTTCCAGTTTTTATATCTGCCTTGCAAAATAATTGTAATCTGGAAGTTTCTGAAACTGGAAAGCCATTAGGAAATTAGGAAAAGTCATTTAAAAAGATAGTAATCCTTTCATCAGTTAAAAAGAATAGACTCCTTTTAGAACTAAGCAGTTTACTCTTTTTCATATTGAATGCTTAGCTTCTATTATGCAAAATAAATAGATTTAAACATTATAGAGTGAGTAGTCTTAAAAATGGAGCATACATTCCTGAATTTTGAGTAGCTTTAGAACTTAATACACATATCATTTCTTTTAGGAATAAATGTAAAATGGATGAAGATTGAATGTGAGAGTATTTAAATGATTCTCAAGATTTTCTGGTTCATGTGTTGTGATATTGAACTCTTTCTTTCGTCTTAGGCTTTAATTTGTGCCTGGTGCTGACCTGATGCTGTGCAGGGACACTCACTGCATCCCTCCATTCAGTCCCTCTAATTATCCCAACTTCCTGGGGAGCTTGCTTAGAACTGGGCATGAGTGCTCTTTATTAAAATATTGGGCTACCCTGGCTACATGTAACAAGGTAGTTTTTGATATCAAATTTATGTATTGATGAACGGAATAGGAAGCTAAAATTGTTTGCTGTGATTTTACATAAAGAGATAGGGGATATTATGGAAATTATTTGGTTAGACAATGAATTAGGCTGTAATAAATGAAATCATGGTTAATAGAGTTCCTGAGTTTATTTGTTGCATTGTTGCTTTTTAGTGCATACTCAAAAAGAAATACGACTCTATAAATGATAGGCAGAACAATCAGATTTGCAATTTTGTGTGTATTTGCAGATGATGGTAATTCTTTTTGCTGGGCGCATCTGTTAATGCAGAAATTTGTCTCCTCAGGTTCATGTGAAAATGGCGGATGAGGCTGTCTGTGTTGGCCCAGCTCCCACCAGTAAAAGCTACCTCAACATGGATGCCATCATGGAAGCCATTAAGAAAACCAGGGCCCAAGCTGTGAGTCTGAATGAATCTATCTACTGCAGCTGTTTCATATGTAGTGAGCAGAAAGCTAGAGTTTGTATTTAAAAAAAAAAATAGGAAAGAATGATTGAAAATGCTGTTGCAGTTAGTTCATGTCACATGAGTTAAATGTGGTCGAATTCGCTACTGGAAATCAAAGGCTTTGTAGCATCTGGCAGTGTTGGTTGCTGATCCTGCAGGTGGCTGCTGGATTCAGCTTTCACACCAGGGAGCAGTTTCAGTTCATTTCCAAATTTGCTAGGAAAAAAGAAATCCCAATTAGTTTTGAGTATTAACCCTTTCCGTGTAATAAGAGCATTTTAAAAAATTCTGTGTTATAAACAGGATCCAAAGACTGTGTTCAAATTCCATTTTAATAATTTAAAAATTACTTATACCTAGTACACTTCCAGAAATAAAAACAGCACATTTGGTAATTATTTTAGTTTGTTAATGTCAGTAGAATGCTCATAATTTACAAGGATAAATCATTCTCTCCACCCCCAGTTCTGTTTGAATAGAGTGGAATCCAAGGAAAAAAATGATTTCTGATATCAGAAACAGTGTTTTTTCTTCTATTTTCTTTTTTCTTTTTTTAATTATCAGAACTAATTATATATAGTGTTAAAAACTATGCAAAGTTATCTCTAAAACTGGATGGAAACATCCAACACCAGCAATTAAGCCTGGAGCGCTTCAATTAGCGCTCACATTTCTTTTGAAAGAAATGTTTTAGTAAGATGAATGTTTAAATAAAAAGCCTAATTCGTGAACCCATATTATAGATGTTTACAGTTTATTAGCACAGTTAGTGAAGGTAAAACACTTTAACCTTTTAACTATAGCTTGCCAAAATAAATATGTAGTTGAGTGTTGATAAAATGAAGTTGGTGGAATGAAAACTCTTCTTCTCTGATACAGTAGTTTAAATTCTTCTGTACCATGCTCATAAAGCTTAGTTCAGCTTTTTTTTTGTTTTGTTTTTTGAGATGGAGTTTCGCTCTTGTTGCCCAGGCCAGAGTGCGATGGCGTGATCTTGGCTCACTGCAACCTCTGTCCCGCCAGGTTCAAGCGATTCTCTTGCCTCAGCCTCCCAAGTAGCTGGGATTACAGGTGCCTGCCACCATGCCCAGCTAATTTTGTATTTTTAGTAGAGAAGGGGTTTCACCATGTTGGTCAGGCTGGTCTTGAACTCCTGACCTCAGGTGATCTGCCTGCCTCAGCCTTCTAAACTGCTGGGATTACAGGCAGGAGCCACTGTGCCCAGCCCGAGTTCAGCATTTAAAAGTCGCTGATACGTAGCTATTTCTGGATTATGATACTGGTTCCTTTAGAAATTTGACTCTCTTTTTAGCAGAATTATTTTACTAGAAGTATGTTCAACACTGGCTGATACTGAAGTGGCGAAATTTATGTTTGGCCAGTCTGGGAGAGCCAAAAATTACTTGATTGGATCAGGCTGGTAGATTGTAGCAATGTGGCTTGTGGGTGAGGATAGTATAAAGTAGTTGTGGATGGCAAAGTTTGGGGTGAGGAAGGAAAGAAGAGTAGACATTAGAAGAAAAAAAATTCAGAGCACAAAATAAAAGTAAAACCACACCTCCATTTTAGTTCAGTTTGATAGAAACGGCTTGTTGGTAGTTGCCGAGTATTATTAATGCCATCAGGAATAAAATGTGTTAGCTGTCCTAGTAGTCTGGGTTTTGGAAATTACCAGTTCGTGAGTACTGTAAAGAAAGGAGAATTTAGAGTTTTTCATCCATCTTTGCCAAGGTTCCTTTTACATAATTCTTTGATGCACCAGCCATTGTGAAATTCTCCAGAATTGTGGGCAAAGTTAGCCTCAGGAAAAGGAGAGAGAGTTTTGTTGAATAGTGTAGACAAATGCCAGTGGGCAGGAAGCTATGTGGGCATATACTCCCCATTGTGGTTAGGACAAAGGTAGTGTGTGGAAAATGAATCAGTTAGGACAAAGGGAGTGTGGAGAAAGTAAATATAAGAGGCAGTTTCTTGGAATTTGATTCTGATCCTAGAAATGTGAGTTAGAACTGATCAGTGTATAAGAGAAGTGTACTTATTCAAGGGCTCTTGAACAGTAAATATTAATACATAAATGCACTGTACATTTTGCTTATAAAGCTTTTGCAATATGATAAAATTGAAAGTGCTTTTTGCTTTCATTTCTAAGGTACATCCAGGTTATGGATTCCTTTCAGAAAACAAAGAATTTGCCAGATGTTTGGTAAGTTGGTAATGAACCAGAAACTGTTCATTTCTTTTTCAGAAAGCAGTGTGGTAGCATGGCTTTGTAAATGTGGGTAGTGATGGATTATAGAATTTTAATTAACCCAGCAGTTCTTTGAAAATTGTGACAAGTGAAGTGGTTTTAGTCTGAAACTCAACTGTTTATTTGAAGAGTAATTATAAAAACAGAAAAGTTTACAAAATCACCATTACACTGAATGAATGATACCTGGTTTATTATATACTGCATGATATTTGAATTAAAGTTAAAAACTTCAGATTTTTAACTGTAAATATGTTAGGGAGTTTAGTGAGTTATTGTAGTGATTTAATTATTTTGTGGCATTTAATATCAAATCTTACCAATGCCTCTATTTTGGGTGAAGTTGTTTTTAATGATCTAAATGTCCCCTTCCAGCTAGGTGAATTAACGTATGTTTGTTATTAAATTGATTTTTCCAGGTATATTTATAACTTCATTCAAGATGGTACTGAAACCTTATTTTTTAGGTACTAGAATATGATTTTGATTAATGTTTGTACATATGTTTGTTATTAGATCAATTATGCCAGGTACTATCTTAATTTATTCTAATATGTTATACTTGTTTCTGTGGCATACAGTCATGTGTTGCTTAACAGCGTGAATACATTCTGAGAAATGCATCATTAGGCGAGTTCATCCTTGTGTGAACATCACAGAGTCTACTTACAGAAATCTACATGGTAGAGTCTCCCACACACTTAGGCTAAGTGTGTTATAGCCTATTGCTCCTAGGCTACAAACCTATACGTGTTGCTGTACTGGATCCTGTAGGCTGTTGTAATACAGTGGTAGATATTTGTGTATCTAAACATGTAAACAGGGAAGATACAGTTAAAAATACAGTATTAGAATCTATGGAACCACTGTCATACGTGTGGTGCCTCATTGAAATATTCTGTGGAGCATAACTGTACTCGTATTCTGTTCTTCCACGGATTGGAAATTATTTGTGAATGTTGTTATTTTCTAGATGGAATTTCCACTTAAAATCTATAACTTTAACTTGAAACAATTATTAAGATCACAGAATTGTCTATTTGAACCACCTTGCTTTGTGGGTCCAAAACTAAGGCCTAAAGAGATATCCTGAGGGGGCAAATTACATGGACACATCCAGAGGTTCCAGTTTCCCAGGTTTTATGCAGCATATCTACATTTTTTTGTTTATATCCCTTTTTATTTTTTATCTTCCTTGGAATTTTGACCAAGATTCTGTTATTATAAAAACTATTTGAATATAATACTTAAATTTAGATGTGTATGTGTGTATATATATAATGTAATGTATTACATTTAAGTCCGTATAGATGAGAGGTCGGCACACTACAGTCCACAGGACAAATGCAGCCTGCTGCCTGTTTTTGTCAATAAAATTTTATTGAAACACAGCCATGCTCTTTCATTTATGCATTGTCTATGCTGCTTTTGTCCTGTGACAGCAGAGTTGAGTAGTTGTGACAGAGACCATTTGGCCTATCAAGCCTAAAATACTTTTTCTATGGTCCTTTATACAAAAAGTTTGGGAACTCCTGCTATAAATGAATATCCAAATCCAAATTATATGAGTAGGATAAGTGATGTGGTGCCAGTATTATACATTTATTCCTATACAGTTAATACATTTATTTATTTTATATATTATATATAATATTATATACAGTTTATGCATTTTTTCAGTTATTAAAAAAATGCTGCCTTTTTTTTTTTTTTTTTTTTTTTTTTTGAGACATAGCCTTGCTCTGTCACCCAGGCTGGAATGTAGTGGCATGATCTCGGCTCACTGCAACCTCTGTCTCCTGGGTTCAAGCTATTCTGCCTCAGCCTCCTGAGTAGCTGGGATTACAGGCACACACCACCACGCCTGGCTAATTTTTGTATTTTTAGTAGAGACGGGGTTTCACCATTTTAGTCAGGCTGGTCTTGAACTCCTGATGTCGTGATCCGCCCACCTCAGCTTCCCAAAGTGCTGGGATTACAGGCGTGAGCCACTGTGTCTGGCCAAAAAATGCTTCTTTAAAGTCTGTTTAAGGCCTTTGAGAAGGATATATTAATAAAAATGAATCCAATCTGGTTCCCGCGCAGAATGCTGCAGTCCATGGGTGCTATGAGTCCTGGGTGCTCATAGTCATGTTACGGAAAATAAGTTGATACACAAATAACTTCACTTCAGGGAAGAAAATACTGTGAGATAAGATCAATATCTTTGTAAATGAAAGTAAGAAGGATGATTTCCATCTGGGGTTCTACATTAGAGAAAAACCTGTAGAATATACAACCTCCTCCTTTCTTTCACACGAGTTTTCTTTCCAAACCTATTTCCCCATTTCCCTTTTATCAGTGCTGTGCCTCCACCCAGCCTGACTGTGCGCTGCTCCCATGCGTGGCTGGCTCTGCCCTCAGTGCTTTCCTCACTCTCTCTGGGTGGGTGTGCCTGGCCTCCCACCCACCGTGTCTAACTGCTGCCTGCCCTTGAAGGCACAGTTCATATGCAGCCTCTGCGGGGAAAGGGTTCTAGATCCTTCTGTTGAGAAGTAATTTCTTTCCTTGGACTTTTTGTTTCAGTTTGATTGGAATGTTTTTGTTTTTGGAAAAATGATTTGTGCTTTATCTGATACATTGTTTTTACTTAATATCCAGGACTAAAATGATTTTTTGATTTTTTTTGCATAACTGCTGTGTATTTGCTTTAGAAAGTGTACAATAGGCCAAATTCCCCCAATGTAAAAACACACCAAACTTTACAAGACTGATAATTTTTTATGCTGAGTTTACGCGAAGTGGGATTGGATTTTATACAGTCCCTGCTGTCCATGACTTGAAAAAGATCATGTGGGCCGGGCGCGGTGGCTCATGCCTGTAATCCCTGCACTTTGGGAGGCTGAGGTGGGCAGATCACTTGAGGTCAGGAATTCGAGACCAGCTTGGACAACATGGCGAAACCCCATCTCTACTAAAAACATAAAAATTGGCCAGGTATGGTGGCACGAGCCTTTGATCCCAGCTACGTGGGTGGCTGAGGCAGGAGAATCGTTTGAGCCCGGGAGGTGGAGGTTGCAGTGAGCTGAGATCACGCTACTGCACTCCAGCCTAGGCAACAGAGCGAGACTCTGTCTAAAAAAGAAAAAAAAAAAAAGATCATGTCTTTTTGTTATTGCTTAGATAGTTCATAGAAAAAACAAAGCTACACATAATCCTCATAAAAATAGCAATTTTCAATAATTTTAATGTGCTGAGCTAACAGATTTTATTTCCAAGCTGTTTTCTATTCTGTATTTTCCCTGCAGGCTTCTTTTATTATGAGCATTAAAGGACCATCCATGGGAGACTATGAGGATTGTTAGGATGAGGCAAAGACATCTTAACAGAGTTTACAAAGAGCTTTGAAACGTGAAACTACCTTCTCTGGAAAAATGGGATGTTGGCTTGAAGATATTTCTTAGTATTCTGTGTTTTCTTTCTGGTTTTTCTATGTTGTTTTAATCATATTATCATACCTTGTCATTTCAGGTAACATAGCATAAGTTATAGTAATTAGTTTCAAGAGAAACATATGTTAGAATTTGTGTTTTGTGTTTGGATCCTATCTGTGTACTTGAAAGATACACGTATATGTAGATGGATAGTGAGTTCCATCAGGATGCTCAGCGTTGAAAGCATAGGAGGGAACTGTGCTGAGCGTGTGAGGTTTGGCGATTGTGCTCTTTTATCTTCTTTCTTTCTTGAGTTTTTAGCAAGATAAGACATGTAACTACTGTAAAATGAGAGGTAATTTTTAAAATAGCCACTGGGTTAACCAAAAACCTTTTAAATAGCTGTGGCATCCAGTGTGGGCAAGGGTCACATAGTTTTGTTCCTGGAAGTGTAAATTGTTTCAGACCTCCCCCGGCCCCCAGAAATTTGCTAGTATTTATCAAAATTTAAAACATCTATATGTTCTTTAATTTAACAGTTCCACCCTTAAGAATCTCACTTACAAAGATATACTTGAGAAAATGTTCATGGTAAGGTGTTTCATAATAGCAAAATTTAGAAAGTGTTCAAAAGTAAAATGTGGAGAATGGTGGCTTCCCTGCAGGGTCATTGGTCCTCAGTTACAAGGCTGCAGTCCATGATGTGTTATAGTTTAAAGTGTGTTGTAAGCACTTTGTAACTAATACTAAAATTCTGAAGTTAGCAAGTTTGCCAGTGACTTTGTTTAACAATTTTTTTGTTTATAAAATAAAGTGGATTAAAAATGATCCATATGATACTCTACTCATTCATATTTGGACTTTTTTTTTATTTGAGTAGGAAAAAATAGGAGAGACTTAGACCTTGCAAGCCCAGGGTTGTTTATAACTCTTATTTTCACTATATGGGCTATAATCTGCATAGCTCATGGAAATACATTATTTTTATATATCGCAGCTTAAGAAGGGTTGAGAATTGTTACTGTAGTGTATTTTGTGTAGACATCATTTTAATGACATAAATTTTCTTATTAACATTATTATATTTTCCATTTTGGACACAGACCTTTGATTTTAGTATCTTAAAATTTTTAATTTTTGAGAATGTAAAATGCTAAGAAATTTAAGCACATGAAAACATTGAAAATTAGGATTTCTTTCCATCTTTGAACCTTCGAAACAAGACCCCAATTTAAGTCTTTAGAGGTCACCACTGTTACCTTCTGGAGCATGTGTGTCTGTATGTGTGTGTGTGTGTGTGTGTGTGTGTGTGTCTGTCTGTCTGCGTGTGCTAGAATTTTGCTATCATTTGTTTTGTAAGATACTCTTAGTTGCTTAAGTAGGACTTACTTTTTTTATATGAAAAGAAGTGGCATAGAACTTTTCTTATATAAGAAAACAGTGGTCCCTAGGCTTTTAAAAATAAGTATGGAATACCTACCTGCAGGTAAGTTATTTAATCTTTATGACAACTTATGATGTATTCTTATTTTTATTCTTGGTTTTATGGAAGAGAGAACAATCTCTGAAAGTTTAAATAAATGCCTTGTCCAGTGTCACATAGCTGGTAAATGAGAGAGTATGGATCCGTTGTTTAGTATATGTTCCAGACTGACTCTCAGATGCATTGGAACTGGGCTGGGCCGTTAGTGGTATTTGTTTTTGATCGATAGCTTTAGCTGGCATCTGTTCTTGCTGTTGGTGGAGGCTTCTCTCTTTCTGCTTCCTTCCCCTCTTCCCCATTGGTGTATCATCATAGAGATCTAAAAAGTAGAGTTGTTTCTTTTGTTTTTCTCATCTTGTAACTTGGATGCCAGTGAAGGCAAATCCTCACTTGGATTTGCTAACTTACTAAGTAAGGTAACTGAGTGAGCTTTGCTCAGTTAACTGAGTGCCAGAGCTACAGCATAGAGATATTGATGCCTTTAACCACTCGTTGATATTCTTAAGTGGAACTAATAAAGTCTCCCTGGATTTGGAGGAGAAAGTTCTGTGACTCCTTTTTCCTTTTCATAATAATTTTATAATATTTTTCTAGTTGTGACTTGTACATATGTGATGTTCAAAAGAATTGATAAGAACTAATGAATGCAACTTCATAAAACCCTTATTATGACAGAATATCTTTTGAAATGTTTGAGAACGTTTCCTTTCCTATATGTTGGCTTAAGGTCAGCTTTTAGAATATTTGAAGATTTTGAATGCGATGTGGAATACTAAATGCTCTAAAGTGAATGCCTGAAAAAGGAAAACTCTCCCTTTACAGTTAGGGAGTCTTTTAAGGATGTAGATAGGTCAGATACTTTTAGGGCTTGTGGGATTTTGGGGAGTGGTTTCAATAGGAAAAGTCTGGGATTTGATGAGGCTGGGATTTTTTTCCCTTTGCTTGAGGTTAAAACAGATTGAAGTGTTACGTTCTAGTTTTCCTATTACGCTCTCTCCTTACTGCCCTATGTATCTATTAGCTCATTCTGGAGTCAGAATGACAGCTAAATTCTTTCTCTGCCACTTAGTAGCTGTGTGATCTTGGACAGGTTGTTTAATGTCGGCCTCTGAAGATTGTGTTTTATTCTTACTATTTGCATGATATGTATTTCTCCATCTGTGATTTTATGTTGAAAATACTGTGTGTTTCTTGTAGCCAGGATGTAGTTGTGTCATGCTTTTGAAATAATTCTGATGGTCTCTATTTTTAAATTGTAGTGTTTAGACTATGAAGTTTTTTCTTCTTTAGTTTGCCTTAGTGTATTTTCTTAAATAGCAGCTTTATTGAGATTTAATTCATGTGTCATCAGGCTCACCCTTTAAAAGTATACAATTGAGTGATTTGTAGTATAGTCACAGAGTTATGTAACCATCACTGCTATGCAATGTCAGTAAAATCCATTAACATTTAATAAATGATCAAGGTGGTTGGATTTATGTCTAGCATTTTATTATTTGTTTTCTCTCAGTCTCCCCTTTTTTTCCTTCTGTTTTCCTTTTCTGACTTGGATTATTTTAGTAATTTTTGAAATTCCATTAAAATTTATCTATTGGATCTATCTATTTTTCAGTGTTTTTTCTAGGATTGCAATATCCATCCTAACATTTCATATTCTAGTTAGAGCTAATATGATACCATTTCAAGTAAAATGTAGAAATTTTGCGATCATATAGTCCATCCTCCTTCTCTTCCCATCACTATCCTCTATGTTATAGTTGTCATATGTATTTCATCTGCATGTATTATAAATTCTATGTGAAAATGTTATAATTTTGTTATAAACATGTTGAGGTGAGTTAGGACATTTCTTTAAATTGATCTGTCAAATTTAAAATATAGAGACAAATCTCTAGATTAAATATTTTATTTGAGAATCACAGAATTGGAATTTGAGACATACACATGGGGTCTTCAGTATATCCAAGGAACAAAGAGAAGGTTGAAGGTTTTATTAGATAGAAAAAAAATGTTACTGATTATTTTGAAAGAAAGTTCATTGGTACTTGAAAAGCTTTGGGAGCTGGCAGGCTCGGATAGGAGAGTGGCAGTGGTAGTTTAAAAACTAGTCTTAGAGTGATAGCAGGTTGTTTCAGCAGTTACTAGGTAAAGCTGGTCTTAGGGTTACAGCAGGCTGTTTCAGCAACTGGGCCTCTGGATAGTTCAGTTCTTGGAGCCTGTGCTATGTGCCCTGAGTGCTTTTTTCCCCTGACTCCTTGACTCTTATGTAGTTGGGTATACAAGAATGACCCAATTCATGTAATCAACTTTCACAGATCCAAATATCATTCAGTTGAAATTAAGACTCATTTTATTTTGGTCCATTTAAAAAATGTTGTCTTTTAAAATTACATATGTATTTTTATTGTGGTAAAGCAGACATAACATAAAATTTACCCTTTCACCAATTTTAAGAGTGTGGCTCAGTGGCTTTAATTTTATTCACAATGTTTTGCAATCATCAGCTCCAGAACTTTATAATCACCCCAAACTGAAACTGTACATATTAAACACTAATTCCCCATTTCCCACCTACTCCTAGCCCCTGGTAACCTTCCTTTTACTTTCTGTCTCTGTGAGTTTACCTATTCTAGGTACCTCACATAAGTGGAATCATATAAGATTTGTTCTTTTATGTCTGGCTTATTTCACTCAGCATAATATTTTCAAGGTTCATCCAAGTTCCTTCCTCTTTAAGACTGAATAATAGTCTACTCTGTGGATATACCATATTTTGTTTCTTCATCACCTGTTGATGGACATTTGGGCTGTTTGTACCTTTTGGCTGTTGTGAATAATGCTGCTATGAACACTGGTGTATAAGTATCTGTTTGGGTCCCTGCTTTTGCTTCTTTTTAGTATATAGCTAGGAGAGGAATTGCTGGGTCCTATGGTAATTCTATGTTTAACTTTTTGAGGTTCTGCCCTACTGTTTTCCATAGTGGCTGTACCATTTCTCATTCCCATTGTTTTATTGTTTTTAATAACCACCAAATCATGCCTTTCCTTAATGCAAGCTCTGGGTAATTAGTTGACTCATTGGATATTTGTAATGTCCGCTTTACATAAGTTTAAGAGGTTTAATTTGACAGTATCTTCCTAACCAATATGTTTATGCTTGTTAGTCTAGTGTTACTGCCAGAGACCTATTGCACAGACTTGTGGGAGTATTAATATTTTTTCCCCTCACATTTTCTTTAATGAAAAATTTAAGAAATACAGAAAAGTTTGAAGAATTGTACTACTACAAATGCCAGTAGATTCTATAATTAACATTTTCTTATTTGTTTTTAACATATTTATTCATTTGTGTTTTCCTCTACTCATCTATCAATCTCATTTTCATTTTGCACGTCAACTTAAGTTGTAGATAATAGTACAATTCACTCTCCTGTACACTTCAGCATGCAGTTTTTAAAGCAGAGTTCAGGCCAGGTGTGGTATCTTACACCTATAATCCCATCACTTTGGGAGGCCGAGATAGGAGGATCACTTGAGGCCAGAAGTTTGAGGGTGTAGCGAGCTATGAATCCAGCCTGGGTGACAGAGCAAGACCCTGTCTCAAAAAAATAAATAAGTAAATAAGTACAATAAAAAAATAAACCAGAGTTCATTATTCATTTACAGCTTTTCCAAGAAAGCCTTATTGAAATATAATTGCTATTCAATAAAGTGCACATATATAAGAAATTAATTGTACACTTATATGTGTACACTTATGAAATCATAATCACAATCAGAATAAAGAATGTATCCTTCAACTCCAAAGACTTCCTGGTGCTCCTTCGCTGGCTCTTTCGGCCACTTCCTAGCCTTCCTCTTCCCCTTTAGGCAACTACTGATCTGTTTTCTTATCATAGATTATTTTGCATTTACTAGAATTTTATATAGGTGGAATAACACAAGTTATGCTGTTTTTTGGATTTTTTTTTCACCCAGCAAAATTATTTTGAAATTGATGCATGTAATTGTGTCAGTACTTCATTCCCTGTTTTGTTTTGTTTTGTTTTGGAGACAGAGTTTCCCCTCTTTTGCCCAGGCTAGAGTGCAGTGGCACAACTTCCGCCTCCTGGGCTCAAGTAATTCTTGTGCCTCAGCTTCCCAAGTAGCTGGGATTACAGGTGTGCACCACCATGCCCAGCTAATTTTTGTATTTTTAGTAGAGACGGGATTTTGTCATGTTGGCCAGGCTGGTTTCGAACTCCTGGCCTCAAGTGAGCTGCCTGCCTCAGCCTCCCAAAGTGCTGGGATTACAGGTGTGAGCCACCGTGCCTAGCCTGCATTCCTTTTTATTGCTGCATTCATTTCTTTTTATTCCATTGTATGGGTTTACCACCATATTTTTAGTAGCCATTCATCTGTTGGTGGACATGTGAGTTGTTTCCAGCTTTTAACTACAACTAGAGGTGCTATGAACAAGTAGTTATGTGGGCATATGCTTTCATTTTTTTTTGGTAAATGCCTAGGAGTGGAATGGCTAGATCATTTGTATGTTTTATCTTCTTAGAATCTGCAAACTCGTTGGTACAATTTTACATTTCCGCC
This sequence comes from Homo sapiens, assembly GCF_000001405.40. Taxonomy (NCBI): domain Eukaryota; kingdom Metazoa; phylum Chordata; class Mammalia; order Primates; family Hominidae; genus Homo; species Homo sapiens. The sequence continues at coordinate 100,166,866 of NC_000013.11, forward strand.
AACAATGTATGAGTGTACTAGTTGCTCCACATTCTTACCACCCTTTAAATTTAACTGTTATACTATGTAGTGATGTCTTATTGTGGTTTTGATTTGCATTTGTCTGATGATTAATAATGTTGAGCTCATTTGCTTTATATCTTTGTCGATGTGTTTGTGAAGTCTTTTGTCCATTTTTAAATTGAGTTGCTTGTCTTATTTAGACATATTAGGGTTCTTTATTCTAGGAAAAATCTTTTGTCTGGTACATGTCATTGCAAATATTTTCTCCCATGATGTGGTTCTGTTTTCATTTACTCAGCAGTATCTTTTGAAGAGCAACAGCTTTTAGTCTTGTTGAAGTCCAGGTTATTAATTTTTTTTTCTTTTATAGTTTGAACCTTTTGAGTCTTAAAAATATGGGCCAGGTGCAGTGGCTCACACCTGTAATTCTAGCACTTTGGGAGACTGAGGTAGGTGGATCTCTTGAGTCCAAGAGTTCCAGACTAGCCTGGGCAACATGGTGAAACCCCATCTCTACAAAAAGTAACAAAAATTAGATGGGCTTGGTGGCATGCAGCTGTAGTCCTAGCTGCTTGGGAGGCTGAGGTGGGAGGATCACTTGAGCCTTGGAGTTTGAGGCTGCAGTGAGCTGTGGAGTGTTACTGCAGTCCAGCCTGGGTGACAAAAGAAGAATGTGTCTCAAAATAATGAATTATTTAAAAAAATAGATATATGTAATTTCTTGCCAAACTCAAGGTCACTGAGACTTTCTTGTTTTTTGTTTTGTATTTTTAATGTTTTATAGTTTTAGATCTCTGATCAATTTTGAGTTAATTTTTATATGTGGTGTGAAGTAGGGTCTAAATTAATCTTTTTTGCATGTGGCTATTCAGTTTGCTATACAATCTCTTGAAGAGGTTATCCCTTCCTCTTTGAATTGCCTTGGCACCCTTGCAGAAAAAGTAATGGGACATACATGTGCGATCTCGGCTCTCTGCAAGCTCTGCCTCCCGGGTTCATGCCATTCTCCTGCCTCAGCCTCCTGAGTAGCTGGGATTATAGGCGCCCACCACCACAACTGGCTAGATAATGAACTCTTAAAAATACTTTGTCCACACCCCCTTTCATTTACTCCCATGTATTACTAATCCTGCTGAGGCCGTCTTGGTGTGACCTCCTTCCTCACCACTGACCCCCTCTTTTCTCTCTCAGAACTTCCTTACTTTAACAATCCAGTTGAACACATATGCCACCTTATTCAGCAGTTGAATCTCAACCTGAGAGATTCTAGTGTTCATTCTTCAGTTCCACACATAACCATCGTGAGTAAGAGAGGCTCATTCCCATAGAAGGATGAGGTTTAAGATTGCTCCAGTCATTAACAGTATACAAGATGTCAGATAGCGTTTTACTGGGTCTAAGATAAATTAGGCTGTAACCAAGAATATTTATATATCAAACCAGCCTCTCCACACATCCCAATTATAAATTCTGGACAAAATAGAAAAAGCTACATAATACCTATGGGTACCAGAGAGCAGCCACAATTAGACAGAAATAGGAAGGCGACTACCCTTGGAAGGAGGAAATGGCATGGGGGCAGTTTCCTTTTTTGGCCTTTTTTGAACAGTTCCTGGAATGAATTCTGGAGTGTTCCATGTATGCATGGGTCAGATTCCAAGCACTCCAGCTGAGGCTAAAAGAACCAAAGAGAATTATTAGCTGTTACTTATGCTAGTATTGGGGGAAAATATTCAAGTTCTACCTAGGTGACTCTTGAACCCCTTTTGAAATGTGACAACGTAGCAGATGCTGTTGATGCTGCTGTCCACCCTTTCTGCCCGGTTGTTAGCGTCACCTTAGGTGACCATCCCTTCCCTGTGAGTCTCAGTGGTAAATTCTGACTAGTGAAATCCTGACCAGGATTCATTCTCTTCCTTACCAATGACCAGTTTATGGGAGGCTCATGGTCCAGTTTGATTCCTGGCAAGTGAGGGGACCTTTCAAGAAAAGGTTTCTTTTCATTGTGTGAAATAAGCCTTTTTAAAATTATTTTAAGCCATTGTAAACTGAGGGTTTTTATTGTTGTTGGGATTTTTGTTTTGTTATTTTAATTTTGGCCAAAACTACCGGGTTGAAAGACCAGTGTTTTACAGACTGACATTCTATTGAATCTTAAAATAGAATATAGCTTCTGATTCTTGTGTTAAGCTTTCTGAAGTAATTTAGAAACAAAACCCTCTATGGATTACATGGCAAAAAAGGCATGTTTCAACCATAAAGTAAATTGTTTTAAAAATTTCCCTTAATTTGGCCAGGCGCAGTGGCTCACGCTTGTAATCCCAGCACTTTCGGAGGCCGAGGTGGGCGGATCACCTGAGGTCAGCAGTTTGAGACCAACCTGGCCAACATGGTGAAACCCCGTCTCTACTAATAATACAAAAATTAGCCAGGTTGGTGGCGGGTGCCTGTAATCCCAGCTACTCAGGAAGCTGAGGTAGGAGAATCGCTGGAACCCAGGAGGCAGAGGTTGCAGTGAGCTGAGATCGTGCCACTACACTCCAGCCTGGGCGACAGAGCGAGACTGTCTCAAAAAAAAAAAAAAAAATCCCTTGATTTATGTAAGGATTAGTCACTTTTGTATGCAAGTAGAAGGCTGAACTCATGCTTTTTATTTTTTATTTTATTATTATTTTTTGAGACGGAGTCTTGCTCTGTTGCCCAGGCTAGGGTGCAGTGGCACGATCTTGGCTCACTGCAATCTCCGTCTCCCAGGTTCAAGTGATTCTCCTGCCTCAGGCTCCTGAGTAGCTGGAACTACAGGTGAGCGCCACCATGCCTGGCTAATTTCTGTATTTTTTTTTTTTTTTGAGATGGAGTTTCGCTCTTGTTGCCCAGCTGGAGTGCAATGGTGCGATCTCAGTTCGCTACAGACTCCGCCTCCCAGGTTCAAGCAATTCTCCTGCCTCAGCCTCCTGAGTAGCTGGGATTACAGATGCCTACCACCTTGCCTGGCTAATTTTTGTATTTTTAGTAGAGACGGAGTTTCACCTTGTTGACCAGGCTGGTCTCAAACTGCTGACCTCAGGTGATCCTCCCACCTCAGCCTCCGGAAGTGCTGGGATTATAGGCATGAGCCACCACACCCAGCCTGAACTCATGCTTTTTGATTCTTCTGTATCACTCAGGCTTTCTGGAGGTGCTTATTAACTCTTTGCTAGATTAGATAAGTTGCTGAATTCAAATTTAGAATTCTGGAAATAAATGTAGAAGGGATGCTTTGAGAAGCATCCTTGTGCTTTCATTGTGTTATGCTATTTTAAACTTACGGTAACTTCGTGATGTCTTAAAATTTATTTTCATTGATTTATTTGTATGTGACTCCTAAGCTTAGAATTCAGTTGGAAAGATTTTTGTTTTTGTTCTAGTGAAGGAAGTACATTGCTCGAGGATTTTTTTGGGTTAACTGAAGTAATGCTAGTTATCTCTGTTACATGTAGTTAATGATTCTTGTTGCCCCCAGATTTGTTCTAAACTTAAACTTTTAAATGCATGCTTTCTAAAACAGGCAAAGAAGCAGAAATAATGAAATGATCACTGGGGCTTTGTTTCTGTACTGGTCCTTATTTAAGGATATTACAATGTTCCTAAGTTACCATTTTGACTCATAATATGTGATATGCTAATGTTCCAAGCACAGAGTATTCTTTTCTGTATGTTTCCACTTCCCAACCTACCTATGGTGTAGCGCCTGTCTGTACCACTACGTGTGTGCATGTGTACATGTTCCTAGCTTTTTATTCAGTCCTTTATGTGCTAGTTGATTGTTGAGTGCAGATAAAAATAATGTGTTGTATTTCTTAACCACAATATTTGATTTATAAGGAAATATTTTGATAACAGCATTTATAGTAATATATGCTCTTACTGATTAGAATGCCACAATTGATAGAAAATATATTGGATGTAAATTAGTTACATATTTACATAATCTATACACAAGTAACAGCATATTTTGTCAGCATAGCGTACAGTAGCCATAAAATAAGAGTGGGTGATACAATAGAGCATTGGTTCCCAGTATGTTCTGTGGTACCTGGGGACTCTTGAGACCCTTTCAGACACTCTGAAGTAAACAATTTTCCATAATAGTTTTTCCTGCTCTCATTCTCTGAGGATTGTGCAGTAGAGTTTTCCATGTAACAGTAGAGTTATATGATATATGTTATCACAGCAGATTGAATGCAGGAACCAGATTTGAGAATCCAGCTGTCTTAAGCCACATGTTAAAGAGATTTGTGAAAATGTAAAACATTTCTACTCTAATGAATTTGTCATAAAAATGTTACTTCTAATTGTTAACATTAAATGGGCTATTCTTTTGAAATACATTTTTAAAAATTTCTTAATTTTAACATGGTAAATATTGATATATACAACATGTATAAGCCAAAGCTCCTTGAGATTGTCAATATTTAAAACTGTAAAGCCCAGAAAATTTGATAGGCACTGTCCTGAAAGGTGACTGGGTAGCCTCTTGAGATAGGGTGATGACAGTCTTCTCTGAGAGTGTGGCCTTTAAGCTGAGATTCTAGACAGAATGAGCATGCCTCCTCTGACTACTATGCCCCACTCCACTTCCACATTCTTTTTTAGCCTTAGTATAATTACTTCCATGTCAAGTCAAGGACTTTTACTCATTCATTTCTGAATTCCTGTTGCTTACCACTTTACTTACTAGTCATTAATAATTCTTTACGGCCAGACGCAGTGGCCTACGCCTGTAATCCTAGCAGTTCGGGAGGCTGAAGCCAGAGGATCACTTGAGTCCAGGAGTTCAAGACCAGCCTGGGCACATAGGAAAACCCCATCTCTACAAATAATTTAAAAATTAGCTGGGTGTGGCTGGGCGCGGTGGCTCACGCCTGTAATCTCAGCACTTTGGGAAGCCAAGGTGGACAGATCACGAGGTCAGGAGATGGAGACCATCCTGGCTAACACGGTGAAACCCTGTCTCTACTACAAGTACAAAAAATTAGCCGGGCGTGGTGGCAGGCACCTGTAGTCCCAGCTACTCGGGAGGCTGAGGCAGGAGAATGGCGTGAACACAGGAGGCAGAGCTTGCAGTGAGCGGAGTTCTCGCCACTGCATTCCAGCTTGGGTGACAGAGTGAGACTCTGTCTCAAAAAAAAAAAAAAAAAATATTAGCTGGGTGTGTTGGCATGCGCCTCTGGTCCCAGCTGCTTGGGAAGCTGAGGTGGGAGGATTGCTTGAGCCCAGGAGATGGAGGCTGCAGTGAGCTGAGATTGCACCACTACACTCCAGCCTGGGTGACAGAGCAAAACCCTGTCTCAAAAAAAAAAAAAAAATTTACCTTTCAGTGGAATTATTTATATACATTTCTACACATGAGACAAACTTTTGAAGGAAGTTTAATGTCTTTGGTATTCACATCAAACTAATTTGACATATATTTTTATTTAGTTTTTTTTAAAAACAAATATTTTTTAGGATCTGTTATTTCCTATTAAATTCCTTTTACATGAAAGATCATAAATTGATTTTTAAAAATGACTTCTAATGTTAATAGGGCTTTGTCTTTTAGACATATTTGTTAATGATAAATTTGTTTCTGTAATTTTTATGCTTTGTAGCTTTAATTTGGGCCCATACGTAAAGACTATGTAGTTTTATTATCATTCCTGCCGTCATCATCCTTGATCATACCATTTAAAAGCAATAGAAGTTTTAAATGGAGTAGTAGAGAAAGACAATCAGGAATTAATGAGTTTAGATAAAATAAGAGTACAAGCAAACAAAGTTGATTGTGGCCATGTTATGAATGCGTGAGATTTCAACTTTTAACAAATTAATAACTTTTTTTGAACACTTAGTGTGTGCCAGGCACTATTCCCACCCCTCTGCATGTACTAACTCATTTGCTCTTCCTAGCAGCCCTATAGACAGGTACTATTATTTCTGCTTTTCAGGCGAAGAAGCAGAAGTTGCTCAGGATCACACAGCTGTTAGTGCCAGGGCAAGGATTTGAACCCCGTCATTACCATGCTCATAACTACCGGACTATGCTACCTCTGAAGAAGAGATTATACAGCTTGTTGTGGCACAACACAAAACCTTAAAATGTTTTCAGCTCTTTTTTTTTTACCCATCCTTATTTTTTCCCCATATGACTATTATTTATTCAGCCTTTTGGTATCTAGCTTGCAGAATATTTCAGGGTCCCAAAGGGACTATATAAAGAGCTGTCTGTAAAAGTTCTGCTTTCCTCCCAAAAGCTAGCAGTGGGAAAAACAGGCAGGAGAGATAAGGTGCAAAGCACAGGGAGGAAGAAAGAGAATAGTGGAAGCAGCAGTGGTGATCTGTAGTGGTGTCTACAGTGTGCTGGTTCTGGTTGAGTTGGTACGGGCAGCCATGTCAGCAACCAAGTCTTCACTTGTTGGAGGACTCGCTTTTTACATGCTCTGGCTGGGATGGTTTTAGTTACTAGGATGTAGGGGACAGGAATAACGGCATTTGGTAGAGATTCAAAACAGCAACCAGGGATGACGAGCTGCAGACATTGATCGATATCAAGTAAATAATAAGAGATAGAAGATAAAACAGCTCTCAGGTGCCAGAAAGCAACTTGGTAATGGAGAAATACATATCCTAGAGAAAGGTAGACAAGTGTATTTATCCTCTCAGGAAATTACCTGGATAAGTGTACATTTCTGCAAAGCAAAATAGAGTCAAGCTCCTGAACTCCTGCTGCATAGGCTGGTAGGTGTTAATGGGTGTCTGAATGGAGAAGGATGAGGACTTCAGGTTTCTAGTAAACTTAAATGTGATATGGTTTGGCTGTGTCCCCACCCAAATCTCATCTTGAATTGTAGCTCCTCTAATCCCCACGTGTTGTGGGAGGAACCTGGTGGAAGGTAATTGAATCATGGGGGGCAGGTTTCTCCTGTGTTGTTCTTGTGATAGTGAATCAGTTTCATGAAATCTGATGGTTTTATAAATGGCAGTTCCCCTGCACAAGCTCTCTTGCCTGCTGCCATGTAAGACATGCCTTTACTCCGCCTTCACTTGCCACCATGATTGTGGGGCCTCCCCAGCCATGTGGAGCTGTAAGTCAATTAAACCTTTTTCTTTATAAATTACCCAGTTGTGGGTATTTCTTCATAGCAGTATGAAAATGGACTAATACATAATGATTCCCTTGTTTGGAGGATTGTCAGATACTATATGAAAAGCGGTTTCACATGTGCTTAAAAAAACCTGTATATGTGCCTTATGGTGTCATTATTTCTAATTTATAGATGTAGAAATAATAATATTTAGAGAAATAAAATGCTTTTTCTAATCACATGCCAGTAGGAGATCAGCAAGCTGGGACTAGAACTCAGGTTATTTTGATTGAAATTCTTTTTTACGAAGCCCTGAGGGTTCTAAAAAGCTCGAGTTTCACTGTGAACCATTGTATGGAAAACTTAAATGTAGCCAGAAACCACATAGAGAAAATAACCAGGTTTTAAATGTTTTATAGTATAATATTTGTTGTGGTACTCTTTTATGGGCTTTAAGAATCTAGTATGCTGGAGGGCTGGGGTGGCTCACGCCTGTAATCCCAGCACTTTGGGGAGGCCAAATCAGGCAGATCACTTGAGGTCAGGAGTTCAAGATCAGCCTGGCCAACATGGCGAAACCCCGTCCCTACTAAAAACACAAAAATTAGCCAGGCATGGTGGCGCATGCCTGTAGTCTTAGCTACTCAGGAGGCTGAGGCAGGAGAATTGCTTGGACCTGGAAGGTGGAGGTTGCAGTGAGCCAAGATTGCACCATTGCACTCCAGCCTGGGCAACAAAGCAAGACCCCATCTCAAAAAAAAAAAAAAGAAAAAAAAAGAAAGAGAATTTAGCATGCATTTAGGTAACCACAGAGATAAAATCATATTCAAATGTGCTTGTATTATGAGTATTACTCTTCTTTATGAGTATTCTTTGGAAAAACTATTGTCACACAATAACATATTAATTATATCTTTATTCATTTACCATATTTGAAATTCTCATTAAAGTTTTAAAATGTATTTTAATTATAAAAATAATTTACTTAAAAAGTTAATAAATACTAGATGTCTGTTCACACTTCATTTTTCCACTGTAAGTTGCAGATTAGATTATGATGAACAGACTATAATCTTCTAATATTCTGTGCCCTAGTAAATGAGTCCTTGCTTATGTAAGTCAGATATTTTGTTATTTTGATATCTAAGTAATTGGTTATTATGATTTATTTTTTTCTTGACAAGCTTCTGAGCTTTGTTCAGTCTTGTCAAGTCCCTGGTGAGTTTTAGATCTCTGAGTCTAGAGTTTGTTGATCGAATTAATGAATAAACCAATAGATTAGTACATTGTTGATTTTTTTTTCCCCCAAACCTTAGATCCTATTTGCTCTCTTAGGAAACTGTTTGAAAGTATTGCAACTTTTAGAGAAGTTTTGCAAATCTTAGCCACATGTCTACTAATGTTTTGCACACTATTTTTAGTTGATGAAATGTAAGCAATTTATATTTGTCTTAACTTTCCATCTATAAGGTAGTGAGAGTGGTGACAGGCTGCTCTGTTTTGCAGCTAGCATCTTTAATTGATGTTGAATTGTGGCTTTCCGTGCACACAGGGTTAAGTGAAAAGGTTGCAGTCATCTAGTGAGCATTTTCCTTTAATGTGCTCATTAGTGGTGGCAAGTCCAGGTTTCAGCACATGTCAGTAATTTACATTTCATTGTGGAGAGGCTGCCCTTGTTCAAGAGTTGTTTCTAAGCCTGATGAATATATATTGGGAATAAACAGAGTAGAAGAATTGAAAGCCAAATACCCTGCCAGGCCTTTCAGTTGGTTCTGAAGCTTCCAGTGGATCTCTGATTAGCAATGCATAAAGCAGGATGAAAATGCAAAGATGAGGCCTACAAAAGTTGTCGCAGGTAGCTTCTCCCCTTAAATCCTCTTTTTGTGACTGCTTTTCCATTTCATCTTCTCCAAATTCTTTTTTCATGGCAGACTTCGTTAAAGTGAAAATACTCTGTGTTAGACGTAAGATGTGAATACTACAGGATCTACCTGGTTCCTGTACCCCTTCTAACTATGAAGCCAAGTCTGATCGTTATGCAATGAGTTTTCAGAAGCAAAGGGCTTGATAGGCCTCGGTTCTTAGGGATCAGATGATTGTGATTGGAATCTTTGTGATGATTCCTTCTGGGACTCATTTTTTCCATCTTTGCCTGATTGGTAGGTACCAGCTTGTTCTGGCTTTTGAAAGCTTGCATAGATCAGTAAAGAATAACTGTGGAGGCTGTGGTCAGTGTTGTTGGGGATAGAGACAGGACTCTGAAATTGTGGTGTTTGGGAAAATCCAGAAATTTTCTTTTTGTAGAAAAACTTCATATATTAAAATGAAGCATTTTTGGAACTTGGGATTTGATTACAAGTTACTTCATGCATAGATGGTGTAGCTTTAGAAAACTCAGGCCTAGCTGTTTTTAGAAGAAAATGTTATAATTCTTTATACATTTTAAGTTTAATTATTTACATGTGTATAAAAATTTGGGTTTATTGCAAGAAGGTACGTTTTGATATTGCTGTTTCTGTGTGTTTGTATGATACATCTACCCATGTATCTGTCTACTTATTTATCTTTGTGGTGCTAGTCAAAACTTGCAGCTTAAGAGAATTTGTTCAGAATTGGTGGTTAGAATCAAAAGTGAGTGAATTTATGACTTACATTATTGAAAAACATTGACAAATGTCAGGACTCAAGTCCGATTTTTATTATTTTACTGTAAATCCAGTTAGATGTGATTTAGCACTTGGATCATTTAAATATAAAGGCATGTTAGTCACAGTTTAAGTCTTTATATTAGTTTTTTTAATTAGGTAGAGTTTTAACAGAGGAGCAACATGGAAAATGTTTATGTGTATGAGGATAAAAATGCAAGTCTTGAGAATATTAGTTTAGTAATGTTCTGATTAGTGTTTGTAGCCTTTGTAAAAAATGTAAATTTACCTTCTAGATGACTACTTGAAACTGTTGTTTTTGGATGCTTGCCAGATAAAAGCCCTGTGGGATTAAGTTCTGGTAAATCGCTTGCAAATTTGTGAGGGATATCAGTGACTTTGAGTGTTTAACTGTCCAAGCTGTCATCTACATGCGTCCTATCACTGCATTGGGTGAAAAAATTAAGTTTCTCAGCCAGTTAGAATTAAAGGTGACATCTGCTTTTAATTGGTGTTTTATTTTCTTCCAAGTCAGTAAAAATTCAGTAAGACATGAATTATCAAATTTTGCAATGCTAAGCAACTTGTCAAGTGACAGTAAGCACTACCTTGAGCAGTTGTACAGATGGGAAGTGTTAAAATGTTGATTAATCTTCCAGAGTTCTGATTATGAGAAGACTAAAGCTTATATCATCATTGCCAGCTTTCTAGTGTCAGAGTAGTATTTATTTGTTAATTTTGTAGACCTTTTTCAATTACTGACAAATTGTGTCTTGCATAATGAAAATTTTACTAGTTTTAATAAGACTTGGTCTATTAGACTAAGGGTCATAGATGGCAATGTAGAATTCATGTTTCTGTTGTCTATTATTTAGTAAACATATTAGATTCTTTTTAGTAAAAAACTGAAAAAAATCTAAACGTGAGCTTTAAGTTTTATTCTGTTATACACATTCATCCTGTGTTGAGAAGGGAGTATCTGTTTGAATCTTGGCAAAGGAAGTCTTGCCTGGGCCCCCTGTTGAAAAAGAAAATGGATTATTTCTGTTTTTACCATTTATAAAACATTTTAAGATGTAAAACATAAGGACGAAAAAAATCATCACCTTCAAGTAGTCCATGTAAAAATAACTCAAGTCTTCAAACATTCTCAGAACTAAAAAAGACCAAAGAAAATATTCCCATCATACTGATTATGTTTCAATTTTCTAGTTACTAAAAATTAGAACATGGCACTAAGTAGACTATATAAAGTATGTCTTTAAAAATTCAACTGTGAAGGAGATCTTTTTTTTTTGATAATCATTAATATGAAAGTGAAGTTTCTCTTTTCCCTGTTATAACAGTTCTATGTAGTAGTAGAGGTAGAATTCTGAATTGAAGGTGGTTAGGACTTATAGCAACATTTCTGGGATGAGTTTTTCAGTATTCCCAGACTTCAATTTAATTCAGGGTTTCTTTTTTGCTCTCCACTTATGAATATGTGATAAATATTTTATGTAGTCGTGTACTTTTGCTATAGAAAATCAGTGGATTATTTAATTTGATTCAGGAAATCTACCCTGTATGGTTATTTCGATGTTGGGTAGATTTTATTTCAACTTAAAACGTAGAAAAGATGCTTAGGCAAATGATCTAATAGTTTTAGATACATTTGGTAACTTGTATCTTAAACCCCAGGGCCAAGTTTAGCAGTCTTACACATGTTTAGAAAATAGTTGAAAAATAGAAAATTTAGGTCTTTTTAGGTAAACTATACAAAACACTTTTATAGTCATTTTGATGCCTGATAACTTCAGGGTTCATTGCCCCTGTACATTTTTCAAATTATTTGCTTCTCAATCCATAAGGCTTTAATTTACCCCCTACTGACAAATCCCAAATGGGTTTTTAAGAATTTTGAGAGTGGTCTGCTGTAGTTGTGCTTCAGCACTGGCTTCAATTGCTGACACAGAATCTCTTAAGATGCACCAAATTTAGAAGGATAGGAGGTTCAGGCAGCATTTCCTCTGGCAAATACTAAGATTTTATTTGCGGAGGGTGGGGACGGAGATACAGAATTACTGTTTTCTGTAATATTTTTCTTTCTTTGATCCTGTTTTAATGCCTGTTTATTAAAAAAAAATAATTTAGACACAAGATTTAGCCACATTTTTTTAATTAATTAAAATGTGTGGGCCGGGCGCGGTGGCTCATGCCTGTAATCCCAGCACTTTGGGAGGCTGAGGCGGGCGGATCACAAGGTCAGGAGATCGAGACCATCTTGGCTAACACTGTGAAACCCCATCTCTACTAAAAATACAAAATATTAGCTGGGCGTGGTGGCAGGCGCCTGTAATCCCAGCTACTCGGGAGGCTGAGGCAGGAGAATGGCATGAACCCGGGAGGTGGAGCTTGCAGTGAGCCGAGATCGTGCCACTGCACTCCAGCCTGGGTGACAGAGCGAGACTCCTTCTCAAAAAAAAAAAAAAAATATATATATATATATATTTGTGCTTGTTTGGATGGGCTTTTTTAATCTTGAATTTTATAGAATAATAAAGTTAAGTATTTGTACCTTGACATACCCTAACACAATTAAGTATTGCTTCCATAAATAATTTTGATCTTATAATAAACATACCTTACATACTGACGAATAATATTAACACAAATGTATACTCCCTTAGAGGTGCTCAAAATGACTTTCATGCCACCCTTCATGCCTGCTGGGTTTTAAGGCATAAGAGAAACAGATGATTTCTGCATTTTACTGGAAAAAAAAGACTAAAATGTACAGCTAGTATTGAATTGGGGTAATAATCTGCCACTTTTTTGCCCTTCAATGCTGTCGTGATCTTTTAGGGAAGTGAGGTCATGGTAGACCCGCTTGTTAATCATTTCTGCGTTTTCAGCTCAGTTTGGTCATGAATACTTGACTTGCTACCTATAGTCTTGCTTCTGTTTGCCTCTTTGCATGCAGCTCCTTAAATTGTTTAAATTACCATGCTTTCTTTATCATGTGATCCTGTCATCTATTGACAATTGATTGGATCAAGGATTAGTGCCTGACCCAAGGCAGACATCTACAGAAGGGTCATCCTCTTCCCACAATGGTTTATTTTCCTGTCTGTGTGTGTGTGTGTTTGTGTGTGTGTGTACGTGTGTGTGTGGTGGTCATGAATGGTGGTGGTGCCAAGAAGGTTGTGACATTTGACTAATAACTGATGATGAGAGAAGCAGCCAGCACTTGGAGATCTAGAGTAAGAGCTCTCCAGGCAGAGGGAATAGCAGGTTTAAATGTTCTGAGGCTGGAATGAGATTTGAGACATAGAATATAGAGATTGGATATAGAGAAAGGAACTGGTGTGGCAGGAGAATCATGAATGAGAAAACACGTGGTACAAGATGAGGTTGAAAGGGTAGGTGGCTCAGGGCAGATCAGTTAGGGTCATTCTAAGAAGCTGGGATTTAGGTCTGAGTGCATTGGGGAGCTGCTGGAGGAGTTTTAAGCATGTGGTGCACTTCTGTATCACTTCTGACCTAATGTGATGCACTTCTGTATCACTGTAACAACAGTGCATATCAGACTGAAGAACTATGTGATTAAGAACACTTTGCTACATAGGAGCAGAAAAATTTAAAGAAGAAACAGTGCCCTAGAAGAAGTTAAATTCTCTTGGGCATCCACCTGTAGACGTCCTCACTCCTTAATTTGTCCTGCTGTTCTTAGCATCATAGCTCTCTGTGAAAACAAAGCTATCTTCTAATTTATACTTTGCAAATCATTTGCTTTTCCGTAAACCCCATTCTTGCCTATTGGGGTTAATCTAATACCAAGATCCAAGATTCCTCTTCCCACAATGGTTTATTTTCCTCAGGCTGGATTATTCAGTATTGAAAAACAGCCCCATAAGACAACCCATGGGAACCATTGACCATTCAGGTCCTAAGAACAGTTAGAGTTAGGGGGTAGGTGTGGATACAGAGGTTGTATGTATGTGGTATTCCAGTTTAAGGTGGCCACTCTCTTCTGATTTCTTTCTCCTCTGATTTTGTCTCCTCCGATTTCTTTCCCCTGGTATTAATTACTAATACGCTTCTTTGACTTTCTGTCTGGCTAGTAGGTGAGGTTACGTTGCACAAATGCTTAAATGAATGCATGTATATTGGCATCCTTGTATATGGGCTTATGTTTGCACACAAATACTCAAATTCCAGTGAAGTTTGCTTTGCCAACATCCTTTCCACCACAGGTGATTTGTGGAAGCCAGTCAGGATCATTTTATCTTCCCTGACAATTATTGATTCAGGGATTAATCAAGGCTTAAGCCATTGTGGGCCACTGAAACATGATGAAAGGCTTTCCTGGGATTCCTGGAAAAGGAACCTCCTTATTCTTAAGAGAAAGACATTGGAAGCCAGGTTCTCTTGCATTCTCCCCCACCCACCACCTTGTGAATGAGAGAGCTTAGTTGCTGCTGGCAGCCATATTGTGACCATGAGGGTAGCTAGCCTGAGGGTAAAGCTGACTTACAGAATAAGGCAGATCTGAGAGAATGGCAGAGAAATCCAGAATTGGGAGATATATTTTTGGAAGAATTTCTGTCTAAAAGTGTTGGTGGGGTATGTGTTATGGCAAGAAGAGAGCTGGGATGTTTAATGGGTTAACAGCATTTTGTTCTTTATCATATATTTATTGAAAAATTTTCCTATCCCATTGTGCTAGGCACTGAGGAAATTATTTAAAAAATAAAGTAGGGCACAGAACTTGCCTTTCCAGGAAACTCATTTACAGGTATTGGGTTTTGATTCTTTCTTTCTTTCTTCTTTGGAAACAGGGTGTTGCTCTGCCGCCTAGCCGGCCAGGCTAGAGTGTGGTAGGGTGCTCATGGCTCACTGCACCTTCTGCCTCCTGGGCTCAAGCAATCCTCCCACCGTAGCCTCCTGAGTAACTGGGACTACAGGCGTGCACCACCATGCCTGGCTAATTTTTGTATTTTTTGTAGAGATGTGGTCTCGCCATGTTACTCAGGCTGGTCTCGAACTCCTGGGCTCAAGTGATCCGCTTGTCTTGATTCCTTGTATAACTGCCCCTTGTATTGGATTTGGGGACTGAAAGAACACTTAGTTACTAATATTCTTTTTTTTGTTTTTCTTTTTCTTTTTTTCTTTTTTTTTTTTTGAGATGGAATCTCGCTCTGTCGCCCAGGCTGGAGTGCAGTGGCGTGATCTTGGCTTACTGCAACCTCTGCCTCTGTGTTCAAGCGATTCTCCTGCCTCAGCCTCCTGAGTAGCTGGGATTACAGGCACGCGCCACCACACCTGGCTAATTTTTGTATTTTTTTGTAGAGATGGGGTCTCGCCATGTTTCTCAGGCTGGTCTTGAACTCCAGGGCTCAAGTGATCTGCTTGTCTTGATTCCTTCTATAACTGCCCCTTGTATTAGATTTGGGGACTGAAAGAACACTTAGTTACTAATATTGTTTTTTTCTTTTTCTTTTTTTTTTTTTTTTTGAGATGGAGTCTTGCTCTGTTGCCCAGGCTGGAGTGCAGTGGCTTGATCTTGGCTTACTGCAACCTCCACCTCCCCGTTCAAGCGATTCTCCTGCCTCAGCCTCCTGAGTAGCTGGAATTACAGGTGTGCGCCACCACACCTGGCTCATTTTTGTATTTTTAGTAGAGACGGGGTTTCACCATGTTGGCCAGGCTGATCTCAAACTCCTGACCTCAGGTGATCCTCCTGCCTCGGCCTCCCAAAGTGCTAGGATTACAGCACTGTGCCTGGCCAGTTACTAATATTCAGTTTTAAATTTTAGAAACCTAGTACTTAAAGCACATTAAACTTTGCTTACTGTGGAACCAGTGTCAGGGCTGTGAGTTGCCTTCAGTGATGTTGCTGGGTAGCCAGGCTTATCTGTGCGTTATACGTGGGTGCTTTGAGGAATCCAACAATGAGAAGATAGCTAGCCTTGAAGACAGCACTGGAAGCAGAGAGTAGCCAGCAGTCAGTCAGTCTTCTCTCTGAGTTTATGCTCCATTCTTTGAGGTGTTTCTGCAAGCCTCTCTGCTTTCCACCTCTGCTTGTCTGGCTTGCGGCCCTGTTGGAACATGCTGACTTCATTGCTCCTAAGCCTACATGATATAGACCAGGGATCCTGAAAAGAGGAAAGCCTCTTTTTCTCTCTGTCCCCATGCCCCATTCCTAGGAAAGGGACCCTGATAGGTCTAGTTTGGGCCAGCTGCCTTTTGCCACTCCCGTCTGTTCAGAGAGCAAGATTATGCCATTCACAAGGTCTACAACTGAAGAGGTCTTTTGCTGAGTTTGGGAAAAGGGCAGTTCAGGAAAATCAGACTAACTCTGCCACCAAATGTCTCTTAAACCACATAATTATGGGACAGTATGATAATTGCAGCAATCAAAGGCTGTTGAGTGTTGTGTACAGGAAGGTAGTGGTTAACTCTGGTAGGTTGGGGGTTGGGTACAGCTGAAGAGAAGATTGTCAAACTTCACATAAAGGGTCTGTGTGTGTGCGTGTGGGTGCATGCATGCGTGTGTACGAAGGATTCATGAGGGGGAGTATTTTATATTGGTGTAGGTGTTGGTTTCCTCCCCAAGAATTTATTCCTATCATAAATACTCTCTGTGCCCCTGTGACAGTTTCATAACTGTGGTATCATTAGCGTTACAAAGTACAGAAGACAGAATAAAATCATGGACTTTTTGAGCTGGAAAGACCTTGAAACTTATCTAATTTGTTTGACATACATCTTTTGATGTGGCAGATTCTGGTAAATATAAAGACAAAGCAGGTTCCCTACCCTGAAGAAGTTTATAGGGGGACTACAGCAGGGAAGAAATACTGGGAGGAGTTTCTCTGATTCCCAGGAGAGGATAGCTGGCCATCGGGGGAAGTCAGATGACGAAGTCATCCATTTTGATGGAGGAGATGTGCCCAGAAAGGCTTCATGACGAAGGTGGCATTTGAAGTAGGTCTTGAAGATAGGTAGTGTTTAGGCAGGGGAGATGATAGAGGAGAAGAATGGGACACACAGGTGGAGGGGACATTCCAGGAAGGGGCTGTAGTGTCGGGATGGCAGAAAAAGGGGTGCTGCATTGAGCCATGAGCTGTGACAGACCTTTGAGTGTAAGAGTGTAAGAGTAAGCCCGGAAGGCGAGGGGCCCTGGGTACTGGGCTTGAATTTGTTTATACCATTCAAGCTTTCCAGAAAACCCCTGTGAGCTTTGAAATGCTTCAGGGGAGCATTCTGTGTGAGGCTGGCTTTTTCTGCCCTTTTCCTCAATTCAGCAAATGGCAAGAAACTTGGTATCATCTTTGCCCACCTTTGCTGTTAGGCCGTGTGCTAGTCTGTTCTTGCCTTGCTATAAAGAAATGCCTGAGACTGGGTAATTTATAAGAAAAGAGGTTTAATTGGCTCACGATTCTACAGGCTGTACAAGAAGCGTGGTGTCATCTGCTTCTGAGGAGGCCTCAGGAAACTTACAGTCATGGTGGAGGGCAAAGAGGAAGCAGGCACGTCTTACATGAACAGAGCAGGACTAAGAGAGAGAGGGGGAAGGTTATAACTATAGTAGTTATTGCTTCCTGATAGATAATTTGTTTGTTTCTCTTTCTCCTCTGCTGAAATACAGCCTACACAACCATAGGAGTTCCTGTCTCTTGATTGTTGCTGTTTCCTCAGTACCTAGGACAGTGTCTGGCTCATATATATTTGTTTAATGAACAAATGAATAAGAGATGGGTTATTTAGCTTTAGGCCATTCATGGAAAGTTTAATACCATAAATTCTCTGTTAAGTAGGCAGATATTTATAAATACAGAAATGGCTTCTAAGGTGTCTCCGTAAGATAGCTATTCAACTGTTGCACGAGCTTATGATGACTGGAATCGTACGCCCTTTCATCATATAGACCAGCATTTGGCAGGCTTTTTTTCTGTAAAGGGCCAGATAATAAGTGTTTTAGGCTTTGTGGGCCATACTGTCACAACCATTCAACTCCATTCTAAATACTCAGCTCTTCTGTTGTAGTGTGAAAGCAGCCCTAGACTATAGGTAAATGAATGGGTATGGCTGTGTTTCAATACAACTTTCATTATGAATACTTAAATGGGAATTTCATGTAATTTTAACATGTCACGAAGTATTACTCTGCTTTTGATTTTTTTCAACTATTTAAAAACATAAAAAACCTTTCTTAGCTCATAGACTACAAACGTGGTGGGCTGGATTTGGCCTGTAGGCTGTAATTGGCCAGTACTTGTTATAGAGCTTTCTGTCTTCCTCATCTTTAATGGTTAGAAAATTCTTCATTGTATTAACTGAAATCTATCTGTTTAGAATATTTACCTATTTTTTCAGTAGTGAAATAGGACATATATACCGAAAAATGCACATAATGTAAATGTACAGCTTTACAAATTATTGTGGGCACCCACATAATATTACCTAGGTCAAAAAGTAAGACAAATGTCTGCACCCTAGAAGCCCTTTGCATGTTCCCTTCAAATGATGCTCCTTCCTCCCATCCCAGGAACACTGTCCTAACTATTATGGGAATCATTTTCTTGCTTCTCTTTATACTTTCACCTCCTTAATATGCATCCTATGACCCTGGAGTTTAGTTTTGCCTATTTTTTTGAACTTTCTATAGATAGAATCATATAGTTAAAAAAATTTGCTTTCTGTCTTTGTTTCTTTCTCTCTTTTTATCTTTTCTTTCTTTCTAATATTTTCTTTTTTTCTTTCTTTTGACAGTTTTGCTCTGTCTCCCAGGCTGGAGTGCAGTGGTATGATCATGGCTCACTGCAGCCTCACCCTCTTGGGCTCAGGTGATTCTCCCACCTCAGCCTCCCGGGTAGCTGGGACCACAGGCACAAGCCACCGTGCCTGGCTAATTTTATGTTTTGCAGAGACAAGGTCTCACCATGTTGCCCAGGCTGGTCTTGAACTCCTGGGCTCAAGTAATATGCCTGCCTTGGCGCCTCCCAAAGTGTTGGGATTACAAGTTTTCTTAAATTTCTTTTTCTTTTTTTTTTTTTTTGTGAGACGGAGTTTTGCTCTTGTTGCCCACGCTGGAGTGCAATGGTGCGATCTCGGCTCACCGCAGCCTCCACCTCCGAGGTTCAAGTGGTTCTCCTGCCTCAGCCGCTCAAGTAGCTGGGATTACAGGCATGTGCCACCCCGCCTGACTAATTTTGTATTTTTAGTAGAGATGGGGTTTCTCCATGTTGGTGAGGCTCGTCTCGAACTCCCGACCTCAGGCGATCCACCCGCCTTGGCCTCCCAAAGTGCTGGGATTACAGGCGTAAGCCACTGTGCCCGGCTAAATTTCTTTCAGTAACATTTATTAGTTTCCTGCTTAGAAGTATTGTGCATTTTCACTGTATTTATTATTAGAAGTTTGAGTCTTAAAAATTATTCAGTTTTCTCTTTGATTTCAGTCTTACCATTCCATCTAGTTAAAATAGCTTTGAATCAATATTTTATCATTCTTTTTCAGCATTGGTTCATCATTGAATTAGGCAATCAGTGTCTTTGTGTGGCGTTATACAAGTATTTAGTAAAAATATCCATTAGGGAAGGGCCAAAAGTAGAGTAGGGCTTTTTAGTTAGACAAAAATGGACTATTCAATGATCTGGATATGGCGTTTGAAACAATTGTGTATCTGTACAAATATATTTAGTTTAATACACACTTGTCTGTGTTGTCCATAAGCACACATTTGAATATGGCCACGAGAAAGATTTTGGGTGACCATGTGGATAAAAAAATTATTTGGTACAGTTATTTCTGCTAATGGATGGGGAATGTATAGTAATATGGAAAGTACAAAATAGGGGCCGGGCGTGGTGGCTCATGCCTGTAATCCAGCACTCTGGGAGGTTGAGGTGGGTGGATCACTTGAGGCCAGGAGTTTGAGACCTCCCTGGGCAAAATGACGAAACCCTGTCTCTACTAAAAATACAAAAATGGTTCAGGTGTGGTGGCACGTGCCTGTAGTCCCAGCTACTCAGGAGGCTGAGGCAGGAGAATCACTTGAACAGGGAGGTGGAGGTTGCAGTGAGCCAAGATCGCATCACTGCACTCCAGCCTGGGTGAGAGTGAGATTCCATCTCAAAAAAAAAACAAAAAAAAAAAGAAAATACAAAATAGGGATAGTGTAGAAGAAATCTGAGAATGTTTTCTACAATTTAATGTGTATCACCTAGTAACTATATTTAATAATACTAGATTTATATTCTCTTAAGTATATGCCAATTGAGAATTGTGCAGTGAGTTCAGGGATGCTGTGAAGGAATTATTTTCAGAATTCAAAATTTTCAATGGATAATTGAGAATTAATTGCAATGATGAAACATATGTAACATGTAGTAGCTTATGTAAACATTAGTGTTAGATTAGATTTGTAAAATTCCTAGTTTTCCCAAAATATTTGAATTATGCTGTAGAAAAGTCCAGGGACTCACTCCTGCAACCCTAAATGTAGCTATACTGATACAGGATTTGGCAGCCTAATAGATGTAGGGTTGGAGCACAAAGAAGTTTAAAAATACTCCATTCCATGGATGTTTAATAGATTTATACCTGTTGATTATTAATTTTTGAGTTTGTGGATTAGGTATTATCCTCCATGATTAAAAAAATTGGAGAAAGAGGATAATCACTGTAAGAACGAATCAAGATTATGACTTTGTATGTTCAGACCAACATGGGAAGAAGAAATTCTTGGTAATACGTCAATTGGGATCTGCGATAGGCTGGAGAGGTTTTTGGGCAGATATGGGAAATAATGCTATTTTTAGTCTGTTCACTTTCATCAAGCTGACCACAAGGTGGGGAATAATACATTATATGAGGTCTGGATGACCTGCGATATCATCCAGAGTTATAATAGAGAATTATATTACTTTAAAGAATGTATTTTTTAAATTTGGATATTTACACATGAGTTAGAGTCAAACAGTGTTTTTATAGCTATATCTTGACTAGTTATGCCAACAATAATTATTTTTTAAAATTGTTTCTCAGTACTGTAAGGTTCTTATTTTATTGTTGAAAAAAACTTATTTTAAGTTCAGGGGTACATGTGCAAGTTCGTTACATAGGTAAATGTGTGTCATGGGGGTGGCACTCTTTTTATTTCAGTAAATTTTTGGGAAACAGGTGGTATTTGATTACATGAATAAGTTCTTTAGTGGCGATTTCTGAGATTTTGGTGCACCAGCCACCCAAGCAGTGTACACTGTACCCAAGGTGTAGTCTTTTATCCCCCGCCCCCTTCCCACCCTTTCCCCCAAGTCCCCAAAGTCCATTGTATCATTCCTATACCTTTGCCTCCTCGTAGCTTAGCTCCTACTTATGGGTGAGAACATACGATGTTTGGTTTTCCATTCCTGAGTTACTTCACTTAGAATAATGGTCTCCACTTTGGGAGGCCGAGGTGGGCGGATCACGAGGTCAAGAGATCGAGACCACCCTGGCCAACATGGTGAAACCCCGTCTCTACTAAAAATACAAAAAATAGCTGGATGTGGTGGCACATGCCTGTAATCCCAGCTACTTGGGAGGCTGAGGCAGGAGAATCGCTTGAAGCCGGGAGGTGGAGGTTGCAGTGAGCCGAGATCGTGCCACTGCACTCCAGCCTGGCGACAGAGCAAGACTCTGTCTCAAAAAAACAAAACAAAACAAAACAAAACAAAACAAAAACACAAAGAAAGAAAGAAAGAATAATGAATTCCATCTGGATTGCTGCAAATGCCATTTTTTCATTCCTTTTTATGGCTGAGTGGTCGTATTCCATGGTGTAGATATACCAGTATTTATCTACTCGTCAATTGATGGGTATTTGGGCTGGCTCCATATTTTTGCAATTGCAAATTGTGCTGCTATAAACATGCATATGCAAGTATCTTTTTTGTATAATGATTTATTTTCCTCTGGGTAGACACCCAATAATGGGATTGCTGGATCACATGGTAGTTCTACTTTTAGTTCTTTAAGGAATCTCCACACTGTTTTCCATAGTGGTTGTACTAGCTTACATTCCCAATAGCAGTGTAAAAGTGTTCCCTTTTCACCACATCCACGCCAACATCTAATATTTTTTGATTTTTTGATTATGGCCATTCTTGCAGGAGTAAGGTGGTATCTATTGTATTGTGGTTTTGAATTGCATTTCCCTGATCTTTAGTGAGCATATATTGAAGTTTGTTGGCCATCTGTATATCTTCTTTTGAGAATTGTCTGTACATGTCCTTAGCCCACTTTTTTTTTTTAAATTATACTTTAAGTTCTGGGGTACATGTGCAGAATGTGCAGTTTTGTTATATAGGTATACATGTGCCATGGTGGTTTGCTGCACCCATCAACCCGTCAGCTACATTAGGTATTTCTCGTAATCCTATCCATCTCCTAGCCCCCCACCCCCTGACAGGCCCCGGTGTGTGATGTTCCCCTCCCTGTGTCCATGTCTTCTCATTGTTCAACTCCCACTTATGAGTGAAAACATGCGGTGTTTGGTTTTCTGATCTTGTGATAGTTTGCTGAGAATGATGGTTTCCAGCTTCATCCATGTCCCTGCAAAGGACATGAACTCGTCTTTCTTATGGTTGCATAGTATTCCATGGTATATGTATGTGCCACATTTTCTTAATCCATTCTATCATTGATGGACATTTCGGTTGGTTCCATGTCTTTGCTACTGTGAATAGTGCCGTAGTAAACATACGTGTGCATGTGTGTTTATCGTAGAACGATTTATAATCCTTTGAGTATATGCCCAGTAATGGAATTGCTGCTTAGCCTACTTTTTGATGGGATTGTTCATTTTTTTATTGCTGATTTGTTTGAGTTCGTTGTACATTCTGGATATTAGTCGTTTGTTGGATGTTTAGATTGCGAAGGTTTTCTCCCACTCTGTGGGTTTTCTGTTTGCTGATTGTTTATTTTGCTGTACAGAAGCTTTTTAGTTTAATTAAGTCGCATCTTTTATCTTTGTTTTTGTTGCATTTTCTTTTGGGTTCTTGGTCTTGAAGTCTTTGCTTAAGCTCTTTGCCTAAGACTTTGTCTCTATATTTAAAAAAATATATGTTGCCCAGGCTGCTCTTGAACTCCTGAACTCAAGCAATCCCCTTGCTTTGGCCTCCCAAAGTGCTGGGATTACAGGCATGAGGCACTGTGCCTGGCTGCATTATTATTTTAAATCCATAAAATCACACCTTTTTCAGCTTAAGATCATTTCTAGACTGTCCTCTCACTAAAAATACCCTGGAATCAATATACATGTTGTTAGTTTGAAAATTCTTTGCTAGGTTGAACAGCCATATTGGAAAAGTACCAAATCCCTTTAGGGTTTTGTTATTGGTAATATAAAGAGGACAGAGAATGTATTTCAAATTAGTTGTCATTTCATGAGGTGTTGCCCTTCATTTCTTGGCAGGTCTTAACTAGAATCTAGCCTCCTCTTATAATAGTTGAAAATGTGTCATGACTAATTAATATGATACAATGAGAGCACTGTTTTCTGATTAATAAGGTGGGTGGACCTTATGAAATGTTATCTGAAGATCACGCACGTAATCTTTGATGGCTGTTATTGCGTTATATTGACTTGTGATTCCTGTGTGTTCAACTTCTAGTGTGAATAGTAAGGCCAAAAATTCAAAAGGGCTTTTGAAGTTGATTTGTAATTAAATAGCATTATTAAAATAAAGAGTCAAAGCATTGTCAAGTGTGATAAATTCAGTGTCAAAACTGAGCCTTTAAAACCAAAAAGCGTGGCTGGGCGTGGTGGCTCACGCATGTAATCCCAGCATTTTGGGAGGCCTGGGCAGGTGGATCACTTGAGGTCAGGAGTTCGAGACCAGCCTGGCCAACATGGTGAAACCCTGTCTCTACTAAAAATTAGCCAGATGTGATGGCATATACCTGTAGTCCCAGCTACTTGGGAGGCTGAGGCGGGAGAACTGCTTGAACCTGGGAGGTGGAGGCTGCAGTGAGCCGAGATTGTGCTATTGCACTCCAGCCTGGGCGACAGAGCGAGACCCTGTCTCCAAAACAAAACACCAAAAAGCTCATGCCTGTTATGCTAGCACTTTGGGAGGCCAAGGCATGAGGATTGCTTGAGCCTAGGAGTTTGGGACCAGCCTGGACAAAATAAGGAGACCCCATCACTACAAAAAGTAAGAAAAAGGGGCTGGTCGTGGTGGTTCACACCTGTAATCCCAGCACTTTGGGAAGCTGAGATAGGTGGATCATGAGGTCAGGAATTCGAGAACAGCCTGGTCCCATGGTGAAACCCCATCTCTACTAAAAATACAAAAAAATTAGCCAGGCATGGTGGTGTGCGCCTGTAGTCCCAGCTACTTTGGAGGCTGATGTGGGAGGATGGCTTGAGCCCTAGGTGTCAAAGCTGCAGTGATCACACTACTGCACTCTAGCCTGGGCAACAGAGAGAGAGATCCTGCTTCCAATAAAACAAAACAAAACGCCCTCCTCAAATCAGAAAGCATTCTCAACCATAGTACTTCCAAGCACCCTATTTGTGTTAGAAGTGTTTAAGGCAATGATAAAGTCAGTAAACTATTTCAAGCTGTTGGAAGTGCATCTCAGCACACGACAGTTGTGATTTCATAAGCTTCTTAAGGTTTCAAGTGCACAGCATTTTACCGCAGAACTATTACTGTCTCAGGAATGAGGCCCATGGAACACAGGAAAATTCTCCACCCAGGGAGGAAGGCTGGGAGGCCTCAGCAGCCAATAGTGGTGTGACTGAGACTCTGGAGTCCCTTCACACTTGTGTCGCAGCTTACTACGGGTCACCTCCGTCCTAAGTGTCTTACATTTATTAATCATATATCCTCACAGATAGGGAAACTGAGGCACACAGCAGCCAAGGAACTCGTCCAAGGCCAACCAGGTAGTATATGGTGGAACTGGAGTGAAGGCAGGCTCCACAGTCCCTGTTCTTAACCTTTATACTCCACTGCTTCTAATTCCTTACTTTCTTTTATACAAGAATATAATTTAAAATCCTGCCCAACACTTGTTTTGTAAGATTCTAGTGGCATGGGAAGTGAGGGGTTACAGTTGGTGTCAGTCATATTTCAAATGGCTGGGAATAGGGGTGATAACATACACCCAAGGAAGTCACGCTGGCTGCTACAACATTGTGAGAATATCATTCTGCTGAGATTTTACGCTTGCTGGTAGTTGACATAAAATGAAGCTTAGTCTATTATATACAATGCCAGCTTTTTCCTTCATCAGTTACAAGGCTTGACTTTAATGAAAGGAGAAGACTGCATTTTCAAGTTTGATCTAGAAGGCTATGAAGGCTCTGGTTGGAATTATTGAGAAAGACAAATCTCAGGTGATCTGAACGTGTTAAATTGTAAGAGTACTTAATGTGAATTGGAGGAAGCAATTCTCTGAAGCAAAGGGGGAGGAATTTGTATCTTGGAAAGAATTGCCTTTGTCTTTTATTATTTATGCAGTTGATAATTGCAATATTGCCACTTCACATATGAAAATATCATTGTAGTAAATTTATGTAGAGTTGGCTAACAAAGTTCCCATCCATCTTTGCTTTAGTTCAATTGCCATTAGTTTCCCAGAGTACTTTCTAATTCCTCTACCACAGTACTCATGCTTTATTTTGATTTTAATTGTGTTATATTTTCTCTTCTAGTTAGTCAAATAAGCGAGGTCCTGGTGCACCTCTGTCTTGTCCATCATTGAATTCCTAGGCTTACCACAGTGCCTGACGTAGAGTTGGTGTTGGCAGCTATTTGTAGGATGAATGAATACATGACTGTGTTAAGCAGACATCAAAGGCGTATAAAATTGAAATCTAGTTGTTGTAAGACTTAAAAAGAGAGGAGATCCTTATAGATGAGTGCTGGTTGTTTGCAGGATCATTATTATTCTCTGATGATCAAAAAACTGTTTACGCATGCACCAGTAGTCCCAGCTACTCAGGAGGCTGAGGCGGGAGGATCCCTTGAGCTTGGGAGGCAGAGGTTGCAGTGAGCTGAGATCACGCCACTGCACTCCATAGAGCCAGACCCTGTCTTAAAAAGAAAAGAACGGTTTACAGATCAGTGAGAGAGGTGTTTTCCTAAATATTTAAATGTTTGCTTGCCCATGCTACTTTTCCAAATCCTAATTGTCCTTTTCCCCCTCAAATGCTCCTTCCTTTGTGAAGCCGTCCTTGATTCCCTTGTTGGACTCTGTTCACCGTGTCTGATTTTTACCTCTTCTAGTGCACTGACTATTCTTACCGTGTATTGTTTTTATTTTTTGGTACATGTGTTGTTGTTTGTTCTACTAGACTATAAACTCTTGAGTGTGAAAACCATGTCTACTTAACCAGCCTGCTTCCGAGAGTGAAAAGGGACGCTAATCAGATAGGACACCGAGTAATAGATGTGTTCAAGGCTGTGCGAGGCAAACCTGATGGCTGGTTACTCTCCAGTAATCTTTAGCTTATTGAAAAAGCAGAGGCCACTTGCACCTGTTTACAAGCAGGTGAGATGGGCCTGAGAAGGTGATTGAATTGCAGATTCAAAACGCTGGTTTGTGTCTTAGTCTTATCTCTGTCACTTCACTAGTCTAATGACTGTGGGTAATTTATTTCATCTTGAAGACCCTCATTTTACTGACATGTTAAGTAGTGATGACCATTTATTTCCTGCTGTTTCTTAGGCCCCCTCCTTTTTGTGTTTTGAGGAAGAGAAGATATAAAAAAACGCCCTTGAGAGCTGTGAAGTGTCATAGATACTACAATATCGTTTTAGAATCAATTGAAGACTTTCTAACTTTGTAAACAAATTTGAATCTGATGACTGAAATGCTAATCTATAAAATGGTTTTTTAGTAATAAAGTGAGACTTAATACAGTGCTTTTAAATAGTATGAAATAAGTAAATAAATATTGTAGTTTTTGTTAGTATCATTATATTCCTTGTTCTTTTAATTCATTTTTAAACTTAGAATTGTTTCCTACAGATAAACAAATGTCAGCTTGGGTCCATCTACTACATCTTATTGTCACTTTCACTTCATTGCATCATTGCTCTTAATCAGAATAAAGGGTGAATTTAGCAGGTTGTAGGGTTTGAGTAGTGCTAAGTATTGTGAGGAATTGTGCTCAAGGTAATTAATTATAAATCATAGTCCGGGTGCGGTGGCTCATGCCTGTAATCCCAGCACTTTGGGAGGCCAAGGCAGGCAGATCATGAGGTCAGGAGATAGAGACCATCCTGGCTAATATGGTGAAACCCCGTCTCTACAAAAAAATTATCCTGGCGTGGTAGCGGGCTCATGTAGTCCCAGCTACTCGGGAGGCTGAGGCAGGAAAACGGCACAAACCTGGGAAGCGGAGCATGCAGTGAGCCGAGATTGTGCCACTGCACTCCAGCCTGGGTGACAGAGCAAGCCTCCGTCTCAAAAAAAAAAAAAGAAATCATGATCTCTGCTATTTTAATATTTTGCTCAGTATTTGAAATAAGCTTTATAATGTAGGCTATAGTAAAACACAGCAATTAAGTGCTTAAAACAAGAATATCCCAACTGTAGGTACAGCATACTTTACCTAAACTATATGACTCTTATTTCTATCCAGCAATGGGATCAAAAACTTGATGCATTTCAGAAAACACGAGGTTAAGCAAGACGTGGGAGGATTTTGACTTGTGGTAAATTTTGAAAGAAATTGTAAATATTTTCAAAGAAAATAGAAAAAGCACACAATTCAGAGAATATACAAAGCCAATTAAAAAGTTGTAAAATTATTATTATTATTATTATTTTTGAGACGGAGTCTCCCTCTGTCGCCCAGGCTGGAGTGCAGTGGTGCAACTTCAGCTCACTGCAACCTCCGCCTCCCGGGTTCAAGCAATTCTCCTGCCTCAGCCTCCCGAGTAGCTGGGATTACAGGCGTGTGCCACCACACCCAGCTAATTTTTTTTGTATTTTTATTAGAGACGGGGTTTCACCATATTGGCCAGGCTGGTCTCGAACTCCTGACCTTGTGATCTGCCCACCTTGGCCTCCCAAAGTGCTGGGATTACAGGCGTGAGCCACTGCGCCCGGCCGTAAAATTAAATTTAATATCTGATCTGACGGACTAAACAAAAGATCTCTTGCCTTTCACCAGTTTACCAGCTTTCTGTTCTTTTTCACTCTTAGTTCACTAAGTGTGAGTGGACTGTGAGGCATGAGCAGGAAGGGGTGGCATTGGGCATTTACAGCAAGAGACCCTCATGCTAAGTGAAGTGTTATCAAATCTTCATTTTTTTGCTTATACTGTAAAATTGCCAATTATATTCATAGTTATTGTAAGTTATATTCCAAAGTTTAACTGGAAAAATATTATTTTGCAACCAAAAAGGTACCAATTAATATTCCTGTTCATGAAACAATAAAAAGAATTGAATCAGGGAGAAATGAAAACAGCTCATTTTAAATATTCAAATTTAAAATGATATAAAATAGGGATATAAAATAAAAGCATTTTATATGAGGTATAGAGGAAAGAAATTACAACTTCAAAACAAATCCTTGTGATCAGCTTCCATGAGGAGGACCTTAGCAATGTATACCAAATTTAAATGTGAAGCTTCTTACCTTCTTCTTACCTCATCTTCTTAAAAGATACATCTAAAAGAAAAACTAAAATTTGTATCGATATGTTTAATTAAAGCATTATTGTTATTATTATGTAAAGCAGAAAGAAACTTCTGAAAAATAGTTGAGTGATACATTTAAGCATTTCACCTAAGGAAATTTAGTGTTATTTAAACTGATTAACAGTATTTGGCAAAGTATTTTCATTAGCGTTCTAATATTAAAGCTAGCATTTCCTTAAAGGAGGGAGGCTAAAATTCATCCCAAAGCTTGTTTTTGTTAACTCAAATTTTCTCAGTGTTATTGCTGAACAAGTTACTGAATTTTCTCTGGGTATCTTCTATATTGCCTTTCTTTGATTCTTGTCAGTGCAACCAGTCTAAGGTTTTACATGATAAAGGAAATCTGTGGAGCTAATCCTAGAAACCTCTTTCTATTTTCTTACCTAACACCTCCAGGCACAGAGAAGACAAAATACTTCATTTGCATTCTTAAACATTAGGAACTCAGAATAAGTCTTTCAACTGGAAATGTTATTGCATCTACATTTCCCGAAGAGAAAAAGGTTAACAGCCTACTCAGGTTTATGTTAACTCATCTCTTTTTAGTATCCTGATGTGCACAAAGAGTGAAGAATGTGAGGCTTACCCACCCAGGCTCTTTCTTCTTTACAATCAATGAGACTCTGGAAGTGGTATCAGTGCTGATTACAGGGAAATAAAAAGAAAAAATCAAATATGCACAAAAGAAATGGAAAACACTAACATACTTTAATCTTAGTCTTCTAGGAATAGAAAGAACATTTCCAAAATTAATAACGAACATAGTAATTCAAATTTTTTAAAATAAAAAGTTTCCTCCATAAATTTGAAAAGCTTACCAGGAAAGTACAAAGATATTGAGATTTATAGTTTGTTTGTTGAAATGGTTTTTATTAAAGTAATCAATACCAAAAAACTCTTGTTTGTTCTAAGTACCTTGGTCAGAAACCCGAAACATTTAATAAAAGAAATTGAACAATTTTTTGACTTAATGTTTGCTAAAAAGTAGAAATGGAAATCATTTAATTGCCAGATATTAAAAACAGAAAGTTTTCTATTGCTGTAATACTCACTCCCCATCAGTGTAGGAGAAACAAGGTTTTATATTTAACTATAATATATTCCTTAAAATATACTTAAGTGGGAAACTTAACTTCTGCCGACAGTTACAGTGGGGAAAGTTACCACTGTTCTCTTTCCCTAACTAAATACCGTACATAGCTATCATCTGGAAGTAATAGTATTACTTCAGTGCATTGTGCCAGTAGACACTTAATACAGAATATACTTTAGACTAAATGAAATCCAGATCCCAGTAATACTGAAACAGAAAGACACAGGTTCCTTTGGTTAAACTAAGTCATAGTGTACAGTGTACTATAAATTAAATACAGTTTGTGAGTATGTCATTAGATTTTAATTGAATTTGCAATTAGCATCCCAAACATTTAAAAATCGTGTGGGTTTATAAGTTTTTACTTTTGAATTTTAAAATAATAGAACCTTTACCCCCTTCCACTACCCATCTCCCATAGCAATCACATCCATTTATGTTCTTATCCTAATGAATCAGCTAAATTGGGTTTTAATTTACAATGAGCTGGTAAGAGTTAAAGAAAATGACTCCTATAAATGTAGTAGGTGAGAGGCTGAGGGCATCCTCTTCTAGGTTATTCTGCTCCTTCCTACCT
This sequence comes from Homo sapiens, assembly GCF_000001405.40. Classification (NCBI taxonomy): domain Eukaryota; kingdom Metazoa; phylum Chordata; class Mammalia; order Primates; family Hominidae; genus Homo; species Homo sapiens. Next base: position 100,196,983 of record NC_000013.11, read on the forward strand.
TTGTTGATGCCCCACAGTCAATGTTGGGGAAAATTAATTAGGATTTATATTCCAGTCTTCTCTAATGTGTTGTCACCATTGCACAGACTCAGGACTTCCAGTGCAGTGTTGACTAGTACCAGTGCACATCCTTACCCAGGGGACTGGAACTTACCCAGGATCACAAAAATGACACTAGGAATGTTTCTCCCCTCTCAGCATTCAAATGTTCTCCTTATCTTTTATTTTTATATATTTATTTTTGAGACAAGATTTTGCTCTGTTGCCCAGGCTGGAGTGCAGTGGTGTGAACATGGCTCACTGCAGCCTTGACCTCCTGGGCTCAAGCAGTCCTCCTGCCCTGGCCTCCTGTGTAGCTGGGACCATGCCTGGTTAATTTTTAAATTTTTTTTTGTAGAAACAGGGCCCCACTGTGTTGTCCAGGCTGATCTTGAACTCCTGGGCTTTACCTTTTATTATTTTAATTTAATTTTATTTTTTGAGACAGAGTGTCGCTTTGTCACCCAGGCTGGAGCACAGTGGTGTGATCTTGGCTCACTGCAACCTCTGTCTCCCAGGTTCAATAGATTCTCCTGCCTCAGCTCCTGAGTTGCTAGGATTACAGGAGCATGCCACCATGCCCAGCTAATTTTTGTAGTTTTAGTAGAGATGGTTTCACCCTGTTGGTCAGGCTGTGATCCAGGCACCTTGGCCTCCCAAAGTGCTGAGATTACAGGCATGAGCCACTGTGCCCAGCCTTATCTTTTATTTTTAATGATTATTGTTTAAAGTACACTGAGTTCAGGTTAAAAACCAACTGCCAAAGTAAATTTTAACACCTAAAAGCTGGGAGAAGGGGCCATTCTTCTTTTATGCAGTAACTCTTTGGAGTCCAGATACTAACATGCCCCAGATTTCATCCTGGTGCTAAACTGACTTGTTTTCCAATTAAAAAAAATAAAAGTCTGAGTAATATTGCGTAGGAGTACCAGAAATGGCCTTGTTGGAAACCAAAACTATTTACATTCGTTAAGAAATCTGTTTGCAGGTGTGTCTGCCACATTTACAGCACAGTGTACAGCTCCTGGCACTCAATACACAGTGTTGCACAGCTTGCCGCAGGAGCATAAAGTGGAGGTAGTAAAAAGGTAAGGAAGAAAGAGGGAGGAGGATGAGTTGTTCTCTATTCATTTGCTTCTCATTTCATCACTGATTTGGTGGTACCCAGACCTTTACAGAGCCGGTCTCCATAATACTGGTGCAGGTGGCCTGATGCCCAGTTTCTGTTGCTCAGATAATGCAGTCTCATCTCGTCTGTGATTTCAGCAGCACTCATGGCAATGGGAACATTCTTCTTCTTTGCAACCCAGGAGTGAGATTGAATCTCTGATTAAAGAGCAAAGCTTGAGTGTTTTGGACATGGTAATGCTGCAGAGGTGAGTTCCTGTTCTGGCTGTCCATGTCCAAACAAGTGAAACAAATGTTTTCATACTTTGCAGTTGCCACGTTCATTCATTCATTCATTCATTCATTCATTCATTCATTCATTCATTTTTGAGACGAGTTTCGCTCTTGTTGCCCAGGCTGGAATGCAATGGCATGATCTTGGCTCACTGCAACCTCTGCCTGCTGGCTCAAGTGATTCTCCTGCCTCAGCCTTCCGAGTAGCTGGGATAACAGGTGCACACCACCATGCCTGGCTATTTTTTATATTTTTAGTAGAGACGGGGTTTCACCATGTTGACCAGGCTGGTCTCAAACTCCTGACCTCAGGTAATCTGCCCGCCTCGGCCTCCCAAAGTGCTGGGATTACAGGAGTGAGCCACCACACCCGGTCTGCAGTTGCCACATTTAACCTTTAGTGCTAAGTAAACATTTCACCATGGTTCACTTTGTACAAAATGAGAATCTTTACTGAAGCATCCCAGCCAAACATAAGAATGTACTTTACAATTTTTTTTTTTTTTTTTTTTAAGCCTAAAGTCCCTGGAAGAGGCTGGCAAACTGGCTTGAGAAACACTTCACTGGGCATAGAGCTGCTGAAGCTGCTCCTAGTCCGTGTGTTGATTTCACTCCTATAAGTTGGTGGCTACTCTGAAATAGTTTTCAAAATTTTTATTGTAAAATAAAAGGCAGTTACAGGAGAACTATACAAAAGAAACCTATGGCTTAATGAACTATTATAGGGCGAACTATTTTGAAATCATGAAATAGGTCCAGACGCAGATGTTTACCCTGAATCCTGGAAAGCTGTGTGACCCATCTCAGTGCTAACCTCCGGCCTCTCTCTAAACATACCCATTCCTTTGGCTTTTATAGTAATCATTTTTTTTTGCGTTTAAAAATAATTTTATTGTCCAAATGTGCCACCTTGGACACAATATTTAAGTCTTGTCCATTTATTTTTAAATTTGATAAGTCTTTAAAATCTTAGTCTGTAGGCTCCTCTTGCTTCCTTTTCTTCATGACTTATCTGTTGAAGAACTTGGGTGTTTGACTTACAGAGTCTTACCCCAGTCTTGACTTAGCTCACTGCATGGCGATGCTATAGCTCAGTGGTTTCCCCCATTCTTGGTGTTTCCTACAAATTGGCACTTGAATTCAGAGATGGGATCAGACTTGGATTTGATGCCTTTGATGAAGACTATAGGAGGCACATAATGTCTTTTTAGCTCTTTTTAAGATATAAGCAGACTTTGATGCTTACTGCCCATATCTAGTAATTTATTGGATTACAAAATTTTGGTAGTTTAATGCTAACATTTTTTTCATTAGTTAATTGGAATATATTTAGAAAGAAACCCTTCTTCTCATTTACTGTTTTATTACCACTGGTACAATTCATATATGAGAAGCAAGATAAATGCTTAATTCTTTACCTTTATTTACTATTTCTGAAGTAATGATTGGTTCCTTATCATCCCTCGAAGTTAGCCAATTCTTTTGAAGAAATCACTATGAAGTCATACTGTTGAAATTACTGTGAAGTCAAGTTGTTCCTCTTTGGTCCGTGGGGCTTAAGTTGACTCACGGGTCTTTTTGACTTGACCTCATAATCTTCTCTAGCTTCCTTACTATCTGATCTGACAGGACATTCCAGGCTCATGTTTTACATTTTCTGTTCCAACTCTTTATTTTTATTTATTTATTTATTTATTTTTGAGACAGAGTCTCACTCTGTCACCCAGGCTGGAGTGCAGTGGCGCAATCTTGGCTCACTGCAAGCTCTGCCTCCCGGGTTCACACTGTTCTCCTGCCTCAGCCTCCTGAGTAGGACTGCTGGAGCCTGCCACCATGCCTGGCTAATTTTGTTTTTGTATTTTTAGTATAGATGGGGTTTCACCATGTTAGCTAGAATGGTCTCGATTTCCTGACCTCGTGATCCACCCGCCTTGGCCTCCCAAAGTGCTGGGATTACAGGCGTGAGCCACAGTGCCTGGCCTTCTGTTCAACTCTAATCAGCCATCTTTTCAAAATGCCTTGGCTTCTTCTAATGGTATTTGGAGATCACAGTTGGGGTACTAGGCATGGTCATTGCTACTGATTGGTCATTTTAAGCCTTTTTAGTTGCAGGCTAGGAAAAAAAATATACATATATATTAACAGGTTTTTAACATATACGTTTTATGTTATATATGTATATTGCTTATAATACAATATGTTATCTTAACTATATTATATTAATAAAATATATACCATATGGCAATATATTTACTATATAAATATGTTTAAATATAATGCCAACCCTAACCCAAAATAGGGTATGTATATAAAACAAATTTATATTATAATAATCATACTGTATTAATAAAATGCACATAACATTTTTCTCATATATAATGTATATAACAATATAGAAGTATAATTAAATAAAGTCTACATTTTATGTGAGACAAAACAACTCCTGTGTTCATAGCAATATTTTCCATTACAATTCAAAATTGCAGAACTTTAACCTCTTTGTTGCCTCTGTGTATCTTCATTCTTCTGGATTCAGAATTCTGACTCTCAAGGATAGGGGAAATGACAGAATTAGAGTATCTCACAATTGCTTATTTGTCTTGTCCTGTGCTATACACAGAGCAATCTCAGGATAACAATGTTAATACCACTACCAATATGATTACTAAAAACATTAAAAATGTATTTGTACATAATCTTCCTGTAATATTAAAAAAAAAGTTGTACTATATCTATATTGTCAGAAAATGTGGCTGTTATCTATAAGGTTTTATATATATATCTCCTTAGCTTTCATTTAGTTTTAGCTCTACAAGTAAATCCCGACTCTTTTTGTTGATATCTCTTTTGTCATTTTAGTTTCCTGAAGCTCATTCTCTAGTACAGGAGTGGGCAAACCTTTTCTGTAAGGAGCCAGAGGGGAAATATTTTTGGCTTTGTAGGCCCTATGATCTCTGCTAGTACTCATTCTTATTCTTATAGTGAGAAAGCAATCACAGACAGTGTAAACTATGAGCATGGTGGCTACGTTTCAGTTTCATATAATTTTTATGTGTAATGATACAGTATTTAAAAAAATTTTTGCCTAACCCCCACCCCCAATAATTAGTAAAATCTTTTCTTAGATCATGGACTGTACAAAAACAGGCAGTGAGGCTAGGTGTGGTGGCTGTCACCTGTAATCCCTGCATTTTGAGAGGCTGAGGTGGGCGGATCATCTGAAGTAGGAGTTTGAGACCAGCCTGACCAACATGGTGAAACCCCGTCCCTACTAAAAATACAAAATTAGCTGGGCGTGGTGGTGCATGCCTGTAATCCCAGCTACTTGGGAGGCTGAGGCAGGAGAATCGCTTGAACCCGGGAGCTGGAGGTTGCAGTGAGCTGAGATTGCACCATTGCACTCCAGCCTGGGCAACAAGACTGAAACTGCGTCTCAAAAAAAAAAAAAAAAAAAAAAAAAAAAAAACCAAAAGCAGGGAGTGAATGGGCCAGATTTGGCCTACACACTAGTTTGCAAACCTCTGTTGTATTGGACTTCTCAGAGTTTATGAGTTCTTGCATGTTGTTAAATTTTCTCTGCCTTTCATAGTTGCACTGACTTCTATGGATTTAAAATTCTTAGCTTGACTCAGCCTGGTGGCTCATGCCTGCAATCCCAACACTTTGGGAGACTGAGGCAGGAGGATCACTTGAGGCCAGGAGTTTGAGACCATCATAGGCAACATAGCAAGACTCCATCTCTACCCAAAAAAAAAAAAAAAAAAAACTGGGCACAGCAGTACACATCTGTAGGCCTAGCTACTTGGGAGGTCAAGATGGGAGGATCACTTGAGCCCAGGAGTTTGAGGCTGCAGTGAACTATAATGGCACCCCTGCACTCCAGGCTGGGTAACAGAGCAAGACCCTGTTCCACGAAAAGAACATAAAATTATTAGCTCATACTTTCTTTCCTTGAATTTCTTACTCAAAAGAGTTTATTATTCCATTTTCTTTTGGTATAAAATGTTGCTGTCAAAGTCTGATGATTATTTAAATTTCTCTTTTGTATAAGTTACCTATTCCTGTTTTTTTTTTTTTCATTTTCTTTTACTTAAGTAATATTGCTAGAATTTTTCTTGGTATGTTGGTCATCCTGGAATGAATTTCTCCTGTAGTGTGGTCTTTTAATATGTATTTTTAGTTCAAGTAAATTTTCTTGAGTTGTATTTTTAATATTTGCTCTTTTTTTTGCTTTGGTTCTCTTCAAGGATTCCTATTATTCATATGTTGGATGTTCTTTTTTATTTTCAATATTTCTCATCTTCTGTATTATTTATTCATTTTTTATATTTAAATTAAATATTTTTATTTTCAATTTGTCTTTCTCATAAGGCATTGTCTGTTTTCCTTATTCACTCTTACATTCTTTGTAGCTGTTTTCATTTCTGGAATGATTTTCTTTTTCATTTCTAGTTGTATCCTGAGTTCTGTCATCTCATTTCTGAGCTTTTCTAAATCTGATTTATACTATTTTATGTTATGTGTCACTTAAAAATGTCTTTTAACTTGTTTTGAAATATTAGATGATAGGCCAGGTGCGGTGGCTCACGCTTGTAATCCCAGCACTTTGGGAGGCCAAGGTAGGCGGATCACGAGATCAGGAGTTCGATACCAGCTTGGCCAACATAATGAAACTCCGTCTCTACTAAAAATACAAAAAAAATTAGCCGGGCGTGGTGGTGCGCGTCTGTAGTCCCAGCTACTTGGGAGGCTGAGGCAGGAGAATTGCTTGAACCTGGGAGGTGGAGGTTGCAGTGAGCTGAGGTCGCGCCACTGCACTCCAGCCTGGGTGACAGAGTGAGACTCCGTCTCAAAAAAAAAAAAAAAAAGAAATGAGATGATAGTTTTGATCTATTGTATTGGTATGTTTTTCTCCTGTGCTTTCCTGCCCTACATGGATGTTACTCTGGTCCCTTTTTCTTTGCCTTATAAAAACATTGTATTGGGGCCAGGCATGGTGGCTCACGCCTTTAATCCCAGAACTTTGGGAGGCCGAGGCGGGTGGATCACTTGAGGTCAGGATTTCGAGACCAGCTCGGCCAACATGGTGAAACCCTGTCTCTACTAAAAATATAAAACCATATTAGCCCGGCATGGTGGGGGGTGCCTGTAGTCCCAGCTACTTGGAGGCTGAGGCAGGAGAATTGCTTGAACCCAAGAGGCGGAGATTGCAATGAGCCAGGATTGCACCGCTGCACTCCGGAGTGAGACTTCGTATCAAGACAAAAAACAAAAAAAATTATGTTGGATTTTACCTTGATATTTTATTTCACTTAGTTTAATGTGTAAAATTGGTTTTTCTCTACATTTCTTTTTAAAGAGCCATGTATTTTAAAATCAGTGACTCATGTCCAAGAAGTTCAAACACGAGTAGAGATAGCAGGAAGTGGTTTATTCTGAGGTCTTGAAAAGAATGAATTAACCCTGTAATCTCCCCAGTATTCTTTTTGATGTTCCTATTGACATCACTATATTCAGTGGGTGCTCCTTTCTATCTGCTACATTAGTTTTTGAAAGCTTTCTTTCTGACTCAGTTTATCTCATGTGCTAACTTCCTGAACCAATCCTGGAACTGGCCTTTTCTACCAGAAACACTCTTTTCTTTTATCATGGAATAGTATTAAAAACCACAATCTGGATCTTTTGGACAGTTCAGCTGTTTTTCCGTGGCTTTTTTTTTTTTTTCGAGACAGGGTCTTGCTCTGTCATCCAGGCTGGAGTGCAGCGGTGCAGTCTCGGCTCACTGCAGCCTCTACCCGCTGGGCTCAAGCAATCCTCCTACCTCAGCTTCCTGAGTAGCTGGGACCACATGGGACCACAGGTATACACCACCATGCCTGGCTAATTTTTATATTTTTTGTAGAGAAAAGTTTTTGCCATGTTGCTCAGCCTGGTTTCAAACTCCTGAGCTCGTGCAGCTCACCTGCCTCGGCCTCCCAAAGTGCTGAGATTACAGGCGTGACCCACTGTGCCCAGCCCCATGGCTGTCTTTTTCTTCTGACCCTGGTTTTGTAGTTATCCAAGTAGCAACTCTTGGTAAGCCTAAAATCTATACGCTTTAAAATCTGAATTCATAATATAGCAATTTACTAACTTGTGGTATTTCTAAGAATGAAATATGTATCATACATTTTAATTTTTACAATGATTCTTTCTGTCCTTCATTCCTGACATAAAGCCTATGGTAAATTAAATCTCATTTCCTTAACATACTGCTCAAACCCAACCCTTTCCCCCATTCTTCTATTAAAATTTGTCCAGAACCATAGAGTCACAGAATTTAGGAAATGAGTAGAATTTTGGAGCAGTGATTTCAGCTTTTCATAATTTCTTTCTCTTCTTTTGTCTTGCTGTGTTGCCCATGCTGAAGTGTAGTGGCTAGTCATAGGTGCCATCATAGCGCACAACAGCTTTGAACAGTATCTGGGCTCAAGAGATACTCCTGGCTCAGCCTTCCAAGTACCTGGGACTACAGGCACACTTGGCTCATAATTTTTTTTTTTTAAATGAATCACTTTAATGATGAAAAATGCCCACTTTTTGTGATCATAAGACATTTACTTGTATTCAGATATTATATGTATCATGCAAGGTAAATTTAAAAGGACCTTAAAAAGCATATTTTTGGAAACAAATTTAGTTGCTATTGCATAACAAAAAACTTACAGTGATTAAGGGAAACTGATAATTAGATGGATAACAAAAAATACCGGGTTAACAGAAGAGTATCGAAGGTTACTAGTGGATAAAATCTGGCCTTTTATTCTAAGTCACACCGCTGCCTGGTCAAGAACTGAAAACATTTGAAACATGCTCCATCACACTGCAGTTACCATACTCTCTTATCCTGACCTCATCCTTTTTGGTTACAGATTTATGGGAGCCAAGAGCCTCTAATGTTGCTTTCTCATTTTGCTTTAATTACTTTTAAAGGCCAATCTAGGGAGCACTTCCAAAACACATTGATAAAAAGGAAGTTAAGTCTTTGAAACATTTGTAGTTATCCAGCATACTACTGGCTATTTTTCTTTTGTATTGGGTGGGACAAAAAATAGTCACTAAATACTTGATATAAGCTTTTTTTTTTTTTTTTTTGACAATTTTACATTTTTGGGTGAGTAATTTTCCTCAAATTAGAATGCACAAGAAAAATCTGGTTAATCAGTGTTCCAGGTCGTTGGGCTCCTGTTAATCAGAAGTTTTACTGTATAATCATAATGTATTTTGGATGTTCTCATTTATGTTATTTCTTCAATTCTTTGTGTGGGTACTCTGATTGCTTGATTACATCTGCCTGGCATAGTCGTTTTTAAAGCAGCATTTATAATAAAATTTTCCATCTTTGCAAGTAAAATGAGAATATGGAAAGACAATTGATGGTTGAAGCATGATTGTTTCCTCTTGTCTTTACTTAGTGTTTAGTGGGTTTCAGGTTTTGGATAAAGAGAAATGAATATGATTATTGTCCTGGTCCGAAATGATTCATGTATCCACCTGGAGACGTAGAGTTGATAGAGGTGTAGGCTTACCTCTATTATCTCCTCATACAGAGCAGCGCTACTTCCTACGTATGTGCTTTACATTTTTGGGGATTTGCATAAGATTTTTTTTTTCCATGAAAATAAGGTTCTACTAAAACCAAATACAGAAACATTTGATAGAGAGATACTTTATAAGCACCTCTTAGGGCTGAAAGGGTTTCTTGTCTAGCATCCTGCCACTTGTAACACCAGCAAATTCTAGGCATTTGGGTTCCTATAATATTATTTTAGAGTCCTGTGGACCTAGCTATCTTATTATTCTAGTGTCCTCTTTTTTTTCTGGAGACAGAGTCTCACTCTGTTGCCCAGGCTGGAGTGCAGTGGTGCAATCTTGGCTCACTGCAAACTCTACCTCCCAGGTTCAAGCAATTCTCCTGCCTCAACCTCCAGAGTAGTTGGGATTACAGGCGTGCACCACCATGCCTAGCTGATTTTTGTATTTTTAGTAGAGGCCACTATGTTGGTCAGGCTGGTCTCAAACTCCTGACCTCAGGTGATCTGCCTGCCTTGGCCTCCCAAAGTGCTGGGATTACAGGTGTGAGCCACTGTGCCCGGCCATTCTAATGTCTTCTTTTTATCAAGACTTCTGGAGAGTGGACAAAAACTAACAGTTGTGGCACTCAACTTGGTGCTTTATATTATTATTGATGGGGTTTAGGACATGCTACTCCCAAATTTGGCACCTTGGCATATAAGCTGAAGGATTTGGAGAAAACAGCAGAAGCACGAAGGTCTCTGACCTTCCCCTTCCTCTCTTCCCTGAAGCAGGTCCTAAGACCTAGGAGGGACTTTCTGACCTTCTCTGAACCAGATCCTAAGACCTTCATGTGAGAGATGCCCTTCCTGTATCTGGAAGAGAGGAGCATCCTCATCCCCATAGAGAAAAGGACGCAGAGTAATCTGAGTAGTTTCCCCCAGTTTATGATACTTACCTCTTGCTCTCCGTGCTATCATTTCTCCATAACTCACCAGTCCTCATCAACCCTGTATAAAAACACTCAAGTTTAACTGTTTCTTTGGATTTTCATTTCCTTATGCAGGCTCCGGTGTCACGTACAACTTACAATTAAGTAAATGTGTATGCTTGTTTTTTTGGTAAACTATCTTTTGTAATAGGTGCCCTAGCCATAAACTTAGAAGGGTAGAAGGAAAATAATAGTTTTCCTCCTGTACATTATTTTATTTAATTCTTTAATCAAACTTAAAAGTCAGATATTATCCACATTGTCACTCAAAGAAATGGGTGCTTTAGACTCAGGGTCTAAAATTTCCCTTTTCTTTTGTTTTGCTTTTGGGTAGGAGAGAAGCATACCTCTTGAATTTAAAGACATTGGCTTTTCTACTCATTTTCTCTGAATGATTTCATTCACAACTTTTATTTTTGTATTTATTTTTTTGAGATGGAGTCTCGCTCTGTCGCCAGGCTGGAGTGTAGTGGCTCCATCTCGGCTCACTGCAACCTCTGACTCCTGGGTTCAAGCAGTTCTCCCACCTCAGCCTCCCAAGTAGCTGGGATTACAGGCGCATGCCACCACGCCCAGCTAATTTTTGGTAGTTTTAGTAGAGACGGGCTTTCACTGTGTTGGTCAGGATGGTCTCGATCTCCTGACCTCAAGATCTGCCCTCCTCGGCCTCCCAAAGTGCTGGGAGTACAGGTATGAGCCACCACACCCGGACTGCCATTCACAGCTTTTAATTCCGTCCTGTATTTGATGCCTTTAAAAATCTGTATTTTGGCCAGGCGTGGTGGCTCATGCCTGTAATCCTAGCACTTTGGGAGGCGGAGGCTGGTGGATCATGAGATTAAGAGGTCGAGATCATCCTGGCCAATATGGTGAAACCCCATCTCTACTAAAAATACAAAAATTAGCTGGGCGTGGTGGCGCGCTCCTGTAGTCCCAGCTACTCGGGAGGCTGAGGCAGGAGAATCGCTTGAACCCGGGAGACGGAGGTTGCAGTGAGCCAAGATTGTGCCATTGCACTCCAGCCTGGTGACAGAGTGAGACTCTGTCTCAAAAAAGAAAAAATCTGTGTTTCAGCCTGGACTTGTCTAATAACCCCTATACCTCTATATCTGCCTCCTGAACATGAATACTTGACTATTGCAGAGGCCTGTCAGCTCAGCGTGTGCAAAGTTGGAGTCATCATCTCGCCTCTTAAATATTTATCTCCTTGTATATTCTTTGTGTTTATTCCTTGTTCTACTTCTACTTCCTGCTCGGGGTGGGTTTAATCCTCTTGGTCATGATGGCCAGGAGAGCAGTCCAAGCAACAGGCTACTCAGCTGCCCTGGTCACCAGGAGAATGAACCTTTTTTCCCAAGTCAAGATTCTTTGCAGGCAGCAACGCTAACATGGAATGAACAGGTGATGTAAAAGTGATATACAAATATGCAGTTTATTGTTTATACCAACTCTGACAAGGTCGTAGGACAATCAGCAGTTAGGCGCCTTCCTCGAGGAAGGCCTGCATATAGGTCTGGTTTTTCCCATTTTATATTTACCTTCAGTTCTTTATGTAATGACTTCATCCTTTATCTCAGCAAATACCCCCATTACTTTTCTAGACCATGCCCTGTGGTGGAGCTAATGGCATCATATTTTGTTCTGTCTCTAGATCTATTTAAGTCACTAGCTTTTTTTTTTAAATTAGAGTGGCATAAACAAGAGAGGTAGATCCATTGTCAAGGTATTCAGTGTGGTTTGTGCAGAGTGGTTTTGATTGAAACTGAACTCTACCCAGTTAAATTCCCACTGGATTTTTGACTCATCTTTTATAGTCACAGGATGCAAACATGTACTTTCTTTTGTCTATTTCTCTGAGGTGTCAGTGATCTGTTCACGTTTCCTGGAAATTGTTGATATCCTGTTGTCTTCATCCATGTTATCTCCTGTGTTTAGCTCAGAGCCTGGCACAGAATTGGTATTCAGGAAATATGGATATTTGTGTTATACTAGGCATTATGCTGCAGGCTATTGAGAACACAGAGATTTATAAGGTGTTTACGGGTGACCTTACTGGCTAGATTAGGTGGTGTAGGACGTTATATACAAATACAGTGTCATAGAGTGACTTTTCCGAGGCACACTGTTTACCCAGAAGGAGTTCTTCAGTGCTTTTGGTTGTTTTCATTTGACTTTGTTGCATGCATCTATCCACACATGTACTATATGCAATATAGTATTTTAATGTGTTGGCTCAAAAACTGTTGTTTCTGCAATAAAAATAATTAGAAAATACACATATGGGCTTTTCTTTTATAAAATTGTGACTCCACATCATGCTCCGTAATGTTCTTGTTATAAATTTTGACTTGTTTTTCTCCACAGGCAGCAGAAGATGTCGTTTTCATTGGACCTGACACACATGCTATTCAAGCCATGGGCGACAAGATTGAAAGCAAATTATTAGCTAAGAAAGCAGAGGTTAATACAATCCCTGGCTTTGATGGAGTAGTCAAGGTGAGAAGCTACTTTAACTTTTATTGTATATGTCTTCAAGTTAAACATTTTGTCAAAAGTATAAGATAAAATGTAACTATTGCTTTTTTGGGATATACACACACACACACACATATGCACGCACATACATACATGTATATATGTTTAAAAAATCAGTGTTTTTACATTTATTTATTTATTTATTTGAGATGGAGTCTTGCTCTTGTCGCCCAGGCTGGAGTGCAATGATGCAATCTCGGTTCACTGCAACCTCTGCCTCCTGGGTTCAAGCGATTCTCCTGCCTCAGCCTCCCGAGTAGCTGGGATTGCAGGTGCCTGCCACCATGCCCAGCTAATTTTTGTATTTTTAGTAGAGACAGGGTTTCACCATGTTGGCCAGGCTGGTCTCGAACTCCTGACCCCAGGTGATCTGCCTGCTTCATCCTCCCAAGGTGCTGGGATTACAGGCGTGAGTCACTGCATCCGGCCAGAAATCAGTGTTTTTAACTGGATTATTTTATTATTTTTAGAGATGGAGGTCTCACTCTGTTGCCCAGGCTGGAGTGCAGTGGTGCAGTCATAGCTCACTGTAACCTTGAACTCTTAGGCTCAAATGATCCTCTCGCCATGACTCAAGAATCCCTCCTTCTTTAGCCTCCCAAGTAGCTAGGACTGCAGACACACACCACCACACCTGACTAATTATTTTTATTTTGTAGAGATGAGGGTCTCACCGTGTTGCCCAGGCTGGTCTCAAACTCCTGGGCTGAAGTGATTCTCCCGCCTTGGCCTTCCCAAGTGTTGGGATTACAGATGTGAACCATTGTGCCTGGCCAACTTGGATTGTTTTAAATAGCATAAGTTAAAAAGAGTGAGAAACTGTTTGAGCATTGTATTTAATGAATCAGCAGTGACTCAGACTTTCATAGGAAAAAATTTGGTGATTAAAAAATGTACTGTCAGATCTCTGGACTGCATTTAATAGTGGTATGTGTTTCATGTGTTAAACATTAAGAGTTTCTCTGTATATCTTTATCTTGAGCTTCTCTCCATGTGCATAATATGTAAGTTAGGATCATGTTTCTGGTGAAAGTGGTATAGCTATAGGTAATTGTATATTGCAAACATTTAGCAAGGGCCTTCTGCAGCTGAAGGCTTCTGAGGGAGAAATGCAGAAATTGAAGTATGCAACTTCTCCTTTTCCCATGAGAAATTATTCTGTTTTTTTCTAGTTAGAAGAGAGTCCTCATGTAGAGTTTTAACCTTGCGATTTGACTTAGCCTGCAGGAACTCTTCATTTCAGCATTTCGTATTGTTACTTTTGGCATTCTGTGTTGGGTTGTTCTTCATTGTGCAAGATCATTTCATGCATTAGAGGACGATTAGAAAACTTGCCCCCTAGTTAATAAATATCCTCAGCTTCTTGCCCATATTTACCTGCATTTACTTTTATCTATGTGTATCCATGTTGTTTCTTCCCACTTGTTACAAGGAAGAGGTGTTCCACATCCTCTGGAAAGCCAGTTCCTCCTCCTACGCTCCAAATGTATTCTTTATAGCCTTCACAGGCTATGGTTTTACTGATTATCTTTTCTCTCTTCTGTGTCTTAAAATTCTCCTCATCTTTTAGCTCCTTTTGTTATCATTGCTATTAAAAATGCTCAGTGAACAAATGTGTTGGTCACTCAGTTATGTGGGAAGGATGTGGTGATGAGATACACATGATCTGCGTATCATAGTTCTCACAGTTTAGTGGGAAAGAAACAAACATTTCTTCCATTCGTAAAGCACCATCACCCCTATCACTCTACAGCTAGTTGCCACCTTCTTTCTCTCTTCCCCTTTCAGTGCCAAAGCTCTTAGAATTGTCCTTCCTCACTTTCATTTCTGTATCTTTCACTTAATCTTTTCTTGCCGTCTAGCTTCTTTCCTCATTCCTACTGAATTTCTCTTGCAAAGCTACCAGCAACCTCTTCCCTTTGTTAAATCAATATGTAATTTTGAATTCTGATCTTATATCAATCTTTGAGCAACATTTGAGTCTCTTGGTCAGTCCATACTTCTCTCATGAGATACTCACTTTTGGCACATTACTCAGTTCTAGTTTTTGTGTTTTTTGGCTTTTTTGAATGCCATTCTTAGATTCCTTCCCGATTGTTCTTCCTATCTTTGTTCCTTAAATGGGGGTTTTATTCTGGGTCCTGAGTAGGACATTTCCTCTTTTTATTGTGCTAACTTGCCCTGGGCAATCTTACTTTTTTTCATGGCGTCAATTGCCACCTTTTCTTTTTTCTTTTACTATTATTATTATTTTTTGAGACAAGGTCTTGTTCTATCACCCAGGCTAGAGTGCAGTGGCATAGTCATGGCTCACTGCAACGTCAACCTCGTGGGCTCAAGTGCTCCTCCCACGTCAGCTTCTTGAATAGGTGAGACTATAGGTGTGTGCCACCACAGCTGCCTACTTTTTTATATTTTGTAGAGACGGGGGTCTCACTATTTTGCCTAGACTGGTCTCAAATTCCTGGGCTCAAGCAGTCCTTCCCCTCGGCCTCCCAAAGTGCTGGGATTACAGGCATGAGCCACTACACTTGGCCTATTGCCACTTTTCTGACCAATCTCAAATGTATGTATCTGTTCTGAACTTCAGGATTACATATCCAGTTGCTTCTTATATAGCTCTCACTACTTGATGCCTCTGAGGCACCTTGAAACTAACAATTAAAAGCTGAACTCATCTTTCTCCTGAAACTAGAGATTGGTACTATAGCCCATGCACACCTATTTTTATAAATAAAGGTTTATTGGAGGGCAACCATGTTCATCCCTTTACATATTGTCTGTGGTTGCTTTTCCACTACAGTGGTAGAGCTGAGTAGTAGACTCAATATGTGGAGTAGACTCAACTACATGGGACACATAGTAGACTATGTGACTCACAAAGCCTAAAATATTTACTTCCTGATCCATTAAGAAAAAGTTTGCCTATCCCTGCTCTAAAATTCTTATCCTTCATTCTTTTCCGCCTAGGAAGGTGGTGGCTAGAAACATAGAGTAATTCTTAACAAATGCGACTGTGGAGAATTCACTCAGATAGCTTTCTAATCCATTTACTTCTTTCTTTGCCCGTACTAACCAACCCCAGATTCCAGCTACTATCATCTAGTCTGGATTACTTCATCTGCCTTCTAATTAGTCTCCTTGTAGTCATTCTTGCTTCCATCCAATTAATTTTTTAAAAATTCTTCACCTCAAGTATTTATAATGTCTTTGTGTTACAAACAGTCTAATATACTTTTAGTTATTTAAAAATGTACAATAAATTATTGTTGACTGTAATCACTTTGTTGTGCTGTCGAATACTAGATCTTACCCATTCTATCTAACTGGACCCATTTTTGTACCCATTAACCATCCCCACATCACCCACCCCCACTCCTCCCCACTACCCTTCCCAGCCTCTGGCAATCATCATTCTACTCTCTATCACTGTGAGTTCAACTATGTTAATTTTTAGCTCCCACAGATGAGTGAGAACATGTCAAATTTGTCTTTCTATGTCTGACTTAGTTCATTTAACATAATGTCCTCCAGTTCCATCTATGTTGTTGCAAGTGACAGGACCTCATTCTTTTTGGTGGCTGAATAGTACTCCATTGTATATATGTACCACATTTTAAAAATCCATTCGTCTGTTGATGGACATTTAGGTTGCTTCCAAATGTTGGCTATTGTGGATAGTGTTGTGGTAAACATGGTAGTGTAGATATCTCTTTGATAGACTGCTTTCCTTTCTTTTGGGTATATACCTAGCAGTGGGATTGCTGGATCATATGGCAGCTCTATTTTTAGTGTTTTGAGGAACCTCTATACTGTTCTCCACAGTGGCTTTACTAATTTGCATTCCCCCCAACACTATACAAGAGTTCCCTTTTCTCTATATCCTCGCCAGCATTTGTTATTGCCTGTCTTTTGGATAAAAGCCAATTTAACTGGGGTGAGATGATCTCTCATTGTATTGCATTTCTCTGATGATCAGTGATGTTGAGCACCTTTTTATATGCCTGTTTAACATTTGTATGTCTTCTTTTGAGAAATGTCTATTCAGATCTTTTGCCCATTTAAAAAATTGGATTATTAGATTTTTTTTCTTGTTGAGTTGTTTGAGCTCCTTATATATTCTGGTTATTAATCTCTTGTCAGATGGATAGTTTGCAAATATTTTGCTCCCATTCCATGAGTTGTCTCTTGACTGTTGATTTCCTTGGCTGTGTGGAAGCTTTTTAACTTGATGTGACCCCATTTATTTATTTTTGCTTTGCTTGCCTGGGCTTGTGGGGAATTACTCAAGAAATTTTTGCCCAGACCAGCATCTTACAGAGTTTTTGCAATGTTTTCTTTTGGTAGTTTCATAATTTGAGGTTTTAGGTTTAAATTTTCAATCCATTTTGATTTGATTTTTGTATATGGCAAGAGATAAGGGTCTAGTTTTGTTCTTCTGCATCTGGTTATCCGGTTCTCCGAGCACCATTTATTGAAGAGACCGTCCTTTCCCTAAGGTATATTCTTGGCACCTTTGTCAAGTGAATTCACTATAGATATATGGATTTATTTCTGGGTTCTCTATTCTGTTCTATTGGTCTATGCCAGTACTATGCTGTTTTGATTGCTATAGCTCTGTAGTATAATTTTAAGTCAAGTAGTGTGATTCCTCCAGTTTTGTTCATTTTCCTCAGGATAGCTTTGCCTATCCTGGGTCTTTTGTGGTTCTATATAAATTTTAGGATTTTTTTTTCTATTTCTGTGAAGATTGTCATTGGTATTTTGATAAGGATTATATTGAATCGGTAGATTGCTTTAGGTAGTATGGACATTTTAACAATATTGATTCTTCCAACCCATGAATGTAGAATCTCTTTGCATCTTTTGTGTCCTTTTCAATTTCTCGCATCAACGTTTTATAGTTGTTTTTTTGTGTGTGTGTGTGTGTGTTTTTTTTTTTAGATGGAACCTCGCTCTGTTGCCAGGCTGGAGTGCAGTGGTGCAATCTCGGCTCACTGCAACCTCTGCCTCCCGGGTTCAAGCGATTCTCCTGCCTCCGGCTCCCTGGTATCTGGGACTATAGGCATGCACCACCACGCCCAACTAATTTTTGCTTTGTTTTTAGTAGAGACGGGGTTTTACCATGTTGGCCATGATGGTCTTGATCTCCTGACCTTGTGATCCACCCACCTCTGCCTCCCAAAGTGCTGGGATTACAGGCATGAGCCACTGAACCTGGCCTATAGTTTTCATTGTAGAGACCTTTCACTTCTTTGGTTAAGTTTATTCCTAGGTATTTTATTTTATTTTATTTTATTCATAGCTATTGTAAATGGGATTATTTTCTTGATATCGTCTTCACTGTTGGCATATAGGAATTCCCATCCATTAATTAATGATACTTCAGTTTGAGTGACCAAAAATCCAGATTTGATCGTATGCCTATCTTTAATAACTTTTGAATGACTACTCATATAAATGTTTTAAATGGTTGGATTTTGCTTAGCTCTCCAAACTGATACTGTGCCAGTCTATCCTTTGCATTGTATGTATCCGCCATACTTGACATCGTTCAGATTCTTGAAACTTATGTGCTTAGTCATATCTGCTTCTGTCTTCATTCCTGATTGTCTCTTAGTCATTGTTTAGGTCTTGGCTTAAATGTAAATTCCTCACATAGGCATTCCTTAACTGTCTTCATTAGATTAGGCTCTCTGCTGTATTTTTCCTTAGGACCCTACACTTAACTCATCACATTTTAAATCATTTATTCATTCATCTATTCAGTAGATATTTACCAAGTGCACGCAATTTGTCTGACACTGTTTGAAGTGCTGTTGATATAGTAGTGAACAAAAGAGACTGAACATATTTTTATGCCCTCAAGGAGCTTACACTATAGAAGGAAACAGATGATAAATAATAAAACATATGTTCTATGTTGAAACATAAGAGAAAAAGACTGCTGGAAGGTGGGGCTATATTCACAATTTTATATACAGGCATGTCTTCATATCTACAAGGGATTGGTTCCAAGACCTACCCCCTCAGATACCAAAATTTGTTGATGCTCAAGTGCCTTATATGAAATGGGGTAGTGTTTGCATATATCCTACGCTCATCCTTCTGTATACTTTATTTTATTTTTTATTTTTATATATTTATTTTTTTGAGGTGGAGTCTCACTTTATTGCCCAGGCTAGAGTGCAGTGTCATGATCTCGGCTCACTGTAACCTCCGTCCACCCTGGGTTCAAGCAATTCTCCCACCTCAGCCTCTCAAGTAGCTGGGATTACAGGCATGCACCACCATGCCCAGCTGTTTTTTGTATTTTTAGTAGAGATGAAGTTTCACCACGTTGGCCAGGCTGGTCTTGAACTCCTGACCTCAAGTGATTCACCTGCCTTGGCCTCCCAAGTGCTGGGATTGCAGGTGTGAGCCACTGTGCGCAGCCCTGCCGTATACTTTAAATCATCTCTAGATTACTTATAATACCCTAAAACAATGTAAATGCTATGTAAATAGTTGTCCCACTGTGTTTTAAAATATGCAGTATTTTAATTTTCCTCCCTTTCCCTTCCCCTTCCCCTCCCCTTCCCCTTCCCCTCTCCTTCCCCTTTCCCTTCCCCTTCCCTTTTTTGGGTTTAATCCATGGATACAGAACCCAAGGATATAGAGGGCCAAGTGCATGTTTAGCAGACCATCTAAGGAAGTGGCAGGACAAGTCATGTTGCTATCCTGGAGAAGAGCAAAGCATATTAGGCAGAAAGAATAACAAGCGCAAGATTGTTGGTTGAGGTTGAAGTGTACCTGCTACTGAATAAACACCGAGGAAGCATGTGATTGGAATCATCGAGAGAGACAATTTAGAGATAAGGTAAAAAAAGATAATGGTGTAGTAGGGAGCTTAGATTTTTAGGGCCTTACAGGCCATTTCAGTATTAGGTAAATGTCTCCTTCCTACACGGAGCGTAAGCTTCTGATGGCAGGGATGCTGCTCTCTTTATTACTGTATCACATGCACATGGTGCCTGACATATTGTCAGTGCTTAAGTCAATGCTCAGTCAGTGCTCACTAGGTATTTGTTGAATGAATAATATTCTAGGAGATAAATTTTATACATATACTCATTTTATATACGTTGCCATTTAGTACATATTGTTTAGTCACATCTATTAGAGGCACCAAAAGAAACCAAAAACCAAGAGAAAAAATTAAAAGACAATAGAAACATATCCACATATGCTTCAGATATTGGAATTGGCTGAGATAACTACGATTTATATGCTAAAGAAATCCAAGGAAAATATGGAGAAAATAGATAAGTATATAAAGAATTTCATCCGGGTATGGTGGCTCATGCCTGTAATCCCAGCACTTTGGGAGGCCGAGGTGGGCGGATCACCTGAGGTCAGGAGTTCAAGATCAGCCTGATCAACATGGCGAAACCCCGTCTCTACTGAAAATACAAAAAATATTTGAGTGTTGTGGCAGGTGCCTGTAATCCCAGCTACTCGGGAGGCTGAGGCCTGAGAATCCCTTGAACCTGGGAGGTGGAGGTTGCAGTGAGCCGAGATCACGCCATTGCACTCCAGCCTGGGCAACAAGAGCGGAACTCTGTCTAAAAAAAACAAGAATTTCACAAGAGAATTTGAATCTATTTTAAAAATTAAATACAAGACTGGGTGCAGTGGCTTACGCCTGTAATCCCAGCACTTTGGGAGGCCGAGGTGGGTGGATCATGAGGTCAGGAGTTCGAGACCAGCCTGGCCAGCATGATGAAACCCCGTCTCTACTAAAAATAGAAAAATTAGCTGGGCGTGGTGGTGCGCACCTGTAATCCCAGCCACTCGGGAGGCTGAGTAGGAGAATCGCTGGACCACAGGAGGTGGAGCTTGCAGTGAGCCGAGATCATGCCACTGCACCCCAGCCTGGGTGACAGAGCGAGACTCCATCTCAAAAAAAAAAAAATTAAATAGAAATTCTGTAACTGCAAATATATGAAAATAAGGACTTTAGATAGACTTAACATTGGACTCAACCAAGCAAAATATAGTATCCATGTTATAGCATGTATCAGTTTTTGTGTGTGTGTGTGTGTGGCTGAGTGATATTCAGTTGTATGAATATGCTTCTTAAAAAAATCCACCTGAGGTCAGGAGTTCAAGACCAGCCTGGCCAACATGGTGAAACCCTGTCTCTACTAAAAATACAAAAAAATTAGTTGGGCGTGGTGGCAGGCACCTGTAATGTCAGCTACTTGGGAGGCTGAGGCAGGAGAATCGCTAGAACCCTGGGGGCGGAGGTTTTTTGTGTGTGTGTGGCTGAGTGATATTCAATTGTATGAATATACCACTTAAAAAAATCCATCTGAGGTCAGGAGTTCAAGACCAGCCTGGCCAGCATGGTGAAATCCCGACTCTACTAAAAATAGAAAAAAATAAGCTGGGCGTGGTGGCAGGCCCTGTAATGTCAGCTACTCGGGAGGCTGAGGCAGGAGAATCACTAGAACCCTGGGGGAGGAGGTTGCAGTGAGCTGAGATGGCACCACTGCACTCCAGCCTGGGCAACAGAGTAAGACTCTGTCTAAAAAAAAAAAAAAATCCATTCATTAGTTGAAAGACATTTGGGTTACATTTTGACCATTGCAATTAGTATTGCTACAAATATTTGTATGCAAGTATTTGCTTATATATTTGTTTGTTTTGAGATGGTATTTCACTCTTGTTGCCCAGGCTGGAGTGCAGTGGCGTGATCTTGACTCACTGCAACCTCTGCTGAGTTCAAGTGATTCTCCTGCCTCAGTCTCCCAAGTAGCTGGGATTACAGGCACCCACCACCATGTCTGGCTATGGGTTGTTTTTTTTTTTTTTTGTATTTAGCAGAGACGGGTTTTCACCATGTTAGACTGGTCTTGAACTCCTGACCTCAGGTTATCCACCCGCCTTGGCCTCCCAAAGTGCTGGGATTACAGGCGCGTGCCACTGCGCCCAGCCATATGTCTGTTTTTTAAGTTATTTGGGGTATGTACCCAAGAGTGGAATTCCTGGGTCATGTGGTAATTCTTTGTTCAGCTTTTTGAGGAACTGTCAGGCATCCAAACCTTTATGTACTCCCTTCCTCTTGTATAATCCACTCCTCTTCAATTTGGGTAGAACCTGTGAATTGCTTCTCTAACTAATAGAATATGGCAAAGGTGATGTGATATTACTCCCTTAATTAGGTTGCATTATATGGCAAAAGTGATGGGATGTCACTGCATTCAATTACATTATGTGGCAAAGTGGTTGGGTGTCACTCTTGTGATTATGTTTCATTATATAGTACTTGATCTTAACAGACTAGAGAACAAGATTCTTTTTGCTGGCTTGATAAAGTAAGCAGCCATATTAAGGAAGCCTACTTGGCAGTGAATGGTGGGCAGATTCTAAGGATCTATGTAAGGACAGTCTCTACCCAAGAGCTAGCAAAAGGCTGGGGTCCTTCATCATGCAGCTACAAGGACATAATTCTGCCAACTACCTGAAAGAGCTTGGCAGCAAATTTCTCCCCATTTGAGTCTCCAGTGACAATGCAGCCTGGTTCACTCCCTGATTGCAGCCTTGCAAACCCCTGAGCAGTGTATGATGAAATTATTATTATTATTTCCTTATGAGGTCTTGTCCTCTTTACCTTTTTGTTTTAGACATTTGTGTGAATTTGGGTAGGGGTTTGGATGTGTCATTATGAACCTTGATCTACTCAGCCTGAATATTTCTACCAGTATAATTATATATTTTTTTGATGAGGAATGTTGCCTTTTTGATATCTTCAATTTGGACTTGATTTATTCCCAAGAATACTGATGTGTCACTGTCCAAATTATTTCTGGCTTGATGATGAATGGTGGAGTCCTCAAGGGTTCAAGGAAGAGACCATCAGGAGAGTGTTTGATCTGGAAATTCTGTTTACACGGGAGATTTTTCCTTATGAAATTAGTGAATGTAGTGTCTCCTAGGAAGGGAATGTTTCTTGGCTAAAGGTCCAAAGGTGACCGTTGTGTGCTGGGACATGGGAAATGTGACGGGTATTATCCATATCTGTCAACTGAGTAGTTTGTTGATTCCGAGGGAGAGCTTGTGGAACAATGGCAGGAATTAAGGTAAATATACTGCCACCCATATCAATAAAATTTTTACTTGTTTCTCCGCTAATAATTAGTGAAAATTCGTCTTGTGAGTTGAAGAGTAAAAGGAGAAATGGGTACTTGATTTGCTGTTAGAACATTTGCCTACTATCATTTTTTCCCAATTCTCTTGAATAAAACAGAACAATTATTTTTCCATTGTAATTTCTTCTTACAATCTCTGCAGGTTTCTTTATCAAAAGACTGGTGTTTAATTTTTGGAGTGGGAGCATCTAGTTTTATCTTCAAGGGTATCATCTTATTCTGGGTCTTATACTGCCTTTGTTTTCAGGCTCTTTTGAAATGTGTAATATGGAGTTACATTGTTTGACAATGTGGTGCCTTCCCAGCCAGTTTTTGCTTGTTTATAACATTTTCTTTTTCTGGCTTAAGGCTGTTCACAAGAAGTGAGGAAGGAGCTGGGGTCACAACTACTTGAGGGCTTACTCCTGAATGCTAACTGAAGGTAGTAAGAGCCCACCCTGGAAGTCTGCAAGGGGCTTATCCTTCGTCTGCTAGAACAACTGAATTAGAGTTACCTGTTTTCACAGGAAAGATTTTGGTAATAGCCTTCAAAAGACCGTGTCCAATATTTACAGTTTCTTTTTTTTGTTTTTGTTTTTTTTGAGACAAGAGTCTCTTTCTGTCACCCAGGCTGGAGTGCAGTGGCGCAATCTTGGCTAACTGCAACCTCCACCTCCCGGGTTGAAGCAGTTCTCCTGCCTCAGCCTCCCAAGTAGCTGGGACCACATGTCTGAGCCACCATGCCTGACTAATTTTTTTTTTTTTTTTTTTGGTATTTCTAGTAGAGACTGGGTTTCACCATGTTGGCCGGGTCTTGAACTCCTTACTTCAAGTGATCCACCTGCCTCGGCCTCCCAAAGTGTTGGGATTACAGGCATGTGCCACCGCGCCCCGTCATTCACAGTTTTTCTAAACCCCACTGGCTTTCTGTGCATTTGGGGTCTGAAGTCACTCTCAGGATATTTGTTTCCCCTTTCTAATAGGTCTTCCTATTTCCCTCTCCTTGCTCCCCACTTTGTAACTATCCTTGGTGAAATGATGCCATTTATAAAGAGAAGACCATGAATTTGCATTACATATTTAATGCATTTAAAGAAACAGAAGTCTGACTCTGAGAGACCACAGACTTAGTCTGAGCCAAACTCATGGGAGTCTCCTAATGGCATATTGAATATGTTGTTTGTGCACCTCCTGTCTTGGGCTCACAGCCTAATGGTTGGCCATCTCTAACTGCAAACCTGACAGTGCCTTGTTGGTTTAAGATTTGGAGAGACTGTCTCTCCTAGGCCCAGACTTCCATGGACAAAGCAAGTCAAGACAGAGGAAAATACTCAAGGTTCCCAGGTAAATTGTGTTCTATTTGGATGATGATCTGATGAAACCTTCTGAACTCACTGGCTTCTAGAGTCAGCATGAAAATGGGCTTATGAAACCTATGCCTGTCTTCTTTCAGGTGAACTTTGACTTATGGACTTAGAATAAAAAATGTTGAGGACAGTATATTAGTAATATGGGAGGTTTCTTCCAATATTAAACATTTTCAAATGTGATAAGAAATTCAGTGGGTCTTTATTCCTACAGTTGTTGAAAAGGAAATTGGACCTCTACCCAGTGTGACTCATCTCACCATTGTGGTTGGGGAGACCCCTGAGGGGGTCGCTCAGTGGGCCTCAGAGAAGCATGCAGATGCCAGATCTAAGATCTTGAACTGTGGCTTTTAGTGGGCTTCGAACATGTGTCTGTGGGTAATACACTTGGTTTTGCTTGTTCAACAGGTTATTTTGGTTATCTTCTTAGGAGGCTGCATCTGAATTTGCAGCCTCTGTTCTAGTAAATTTGGAAAATATGGAAAGGTAGACAGGAGAAAAGAAATCTCATCTTTTCAGTTTTTTTCCTTGTATGCATTAGATGATTTGTAACATCCTATTACACTCTCAAATGATTGATTCTCATTATCTGCACTAACGACTATTTCTGAATTTGTGACGCCACAGCTGAACCTGCAGGTTATAGTTTCCAGATAAGCATTTACAAATAATTTTTAAGGAATGTCCTTTTGTTTCCCTGGGAAATTTTTTTTTTTTTTTTTTTTTGAGACGGAGTCTCACCCTGGAGTGCAGTGGTGCGATCTCAGCTCACTGCAACCTCTGCATCCCGGGTTCAAGCAATTCTCCTGCCTCAGCCTCCCGAGTAATTGGGATTACAGACATGAACCACCATGTCCAGCTAATTTTGCATTTTTAGTAGAGACAGGGTTTCGCCATATTGGCCAGGCTGGTCTCAAACTCCTGACCTCAAGTGATCCACCTGCCTTGGCTCCCCAAAGTGCTAGGATTATAGGTGTCCAGGTGTGAGCCACTGCGCCTGGTGGAAATAATTTTTTTTGAGACAGAGTCTCACTCTGTTGCCCAGACTGGAGTACAGTGGCACAATCTGGACTCACTCCATCCCCGCCCCCTGGGTTCAAGCGATTCTCCTGCCTCAGCCTCCGGAGTAGCTGGGATTACAGATATGCGCCACCATGCCTGGCTAATTTTTGTATTTTTAGTAATTAGTAATTTTTTAGTAATTTTTGTATTTTTAGTAGAGATGAGGTTTCACCATGTTGGCCAGGCTGGTTTTGAACTCCTGAGCTTGGGTGATCCGCCCTCCTCAGCCTCCCAAAGTGTTGGGATTAGAGGTGTGAGCCACCGTGCCTGACTGGAAATAATTTTTAATACTAGTTTTATTTTTAGTTTGTTTTTATTTCTGATACAAGAGGCTGTACATATTTTTCTTTTAAATTTGGCTATTAATTTAGGTTTCTGGTATAGTGACTCCACATTCACTTGGAGCTACACCATTCACATTTACTAGTTTAGATATATTGAGTATAAGATTACTTTTGAGAGTATCTATGCAGATAGAAGTTTGCTGATGGAAATAAATAGTACCGAATTTTGGAATATCTTGGGTTTTTAGCAACAGTTTTTCATTGGCAGAGTGCATATGCCAATTACAGGTAATTCTGTCTTTTAAAAAATGTTTAGTGTTCTTTAAAATTAGTCTACAGTGTTTTTAAGACTAAAGTCTTTTCCTTGATAACTATATTCTATTTTTTTTCCCCAAGTAGTTTCCACCAGTTATGATACAATTTTAGTTTGTTACATTTCTCCTTCAAACATTTGTTCCTTTCTTATTTGAATATGTAGGATGTTACATGGAGACAGTTTACCCATACCCCTTTAAAGCATTGTGTGCAGTACTTCAGTGGTCTTCTGCAACTCTTCTTTTTAATGGCTTATTAATCTGTCCTTGAATCATCCTTTTCCTTAGAGAGAAACTAATGTTTTAAAATGTAATTATCAAGTAATCGTTTGGTATCAAGTATTTGCCTTTAACAAATTTAATTTTATTCAACATTTCATTACCTTGATCTCAGGAACTGGAGAGCAGAGTGAAAGGCATGCACATTAAGATATTGGAGACAGGAATTGGGATCACAGCTTTTTTTTTTTTAAATCAATGAATAACATGCCACAGATCCTGCTTTCAAAGAGCTTAAAGCCTTCTGTGTCCGGAATTGGTGGGTTCTTGGTCTCACTGACTTCAAGAATGAAGCCGCGGACCCTCGCGGTGAGTGTTACAGCTCTTAAGGTGGCGCGTCTGGAGTTTGTTCCTTCTGATGTTGGGATGTGTTCGGAGTTTCTTCCTTCTGGTGGGTTCGTGGTCTTGCTGGCTCAGGAGTGAAGCTGCAGACCTTTGCAGTGAGCATTACAGCTCTTAAGGTGGCACGTCTGGAGTTGTTCGTTCCTCCCGGTGGGCTTGTGGTCTCGCTGGCTTCAGCAGTGAAGCTCCAGACCTTCGCGGTGAGCGTTATAGCTCATAAAGGCAGAGTGGACCCAAAGAGTGAGCAGCAGCAAGATTTATTGCAAAGAACTAAAGAACAAAGCTTCCACAGTGTGGAAGGGGACCCGAGCGTGTTGCCACTGCTGGCTCGGGCAGCCTGCTTTTATTCTCTTATCCGGCCCCACCCACATCCTGCTGATTGGTAGAGCCTGGTGGTCTGTTTTGACAGGGCACTGATTGGTGCGTTTATAATCCCTGAGCTAGACACAAAGGTTCTCCACATCCCCACCAGATTAGCTAGATACAGAGTGTCAACACAAAGGTTCTCCAAGTCCCCACCAGAGTAGCTAGATACAGAGTGTCGATTGGTGCATTCACAAACCCTGAGCTAGACACAGGGTGCTGATTGGTGTATTTACAATCCCTGAGCTAGACATAAAGGTTCTCCATGTCCTCACCAGACTCAGGAGCCCAGCTGGCTTCACCCAGTGGATCCCGCACCGGGGCTGCAGGTGGAGCTGCCTGCCAGTCCCGCGCCGTGCGCCCGCACTCCTCAGCCCTTGGGTGGTCGATGGGACTGGGCACCGTGGAGCAGGGGGCGGCGCACATCAGGGAGGCTCTGGCCCCACAGGAGCCCAGGGAGGGGGTGGGAGGCTCAGGCATGGCGGGCTGCAGGTCCCGAGCCCTGCCCGGCGGGAAGGCAGCTAAGGCTGGGCGAGAAATCGAGCGCAGTGCTGGTGGGCTGGCACTGCTGGGTAACCCAGTACACCCTCTGCAGCTGCTGGCCAGGGTGCTAAGTCCCTCATTGCCCGGGGCCGGCAGGGCCAGCCGGCTGCTCCGAGTGCGGGGCCTGCCAAGCCCACGCCCACCCGGAACTCCAGCTGGCCCGCAAGCGCAGCTAGCAGCCCTGGTTCCCGCTGGCGCCTCTCCCTCCACACCTCCGTGGAAGCTGAGGGAGCTGGCTCTGGCCTTGGCCAGCCCAGAAAGGGGCTCCCACAGTGCAGGGGTGGGCTGATCAGGTCCCTCAAGTGCTGCCAAAGTGGGAGCGCCAAGAGCGAGCGAGGGCTGTGAGGACTGCCAGCACGCTGTCACCTCTCACTTCTTCAGGAGGACTGCAAGTATTCAGGCAATTGACTACATTTTGATAATGCTAAGCTCAAGGCGCAGGGGCCTATGCATATAGGATGGGCATGTAACCTAGTTTTAGGTATCATTGCAGATTTTCCAATGGAAATGATAGCTAAGTGAAACCTCAAGTCTGAGTGGTAGTGAGTTAGCTGAAAAGTGAGATTGATGATGGACACAGCTCTAATGTCAGTGAAAACATCTTATTGCAAAAGCCTGGAGGTGAGAGACAGTGAGAACTCTGGAAAACTGCAGATTTGTAGTATGAGGGGCTGCAGTTAGAAAGGGAGCTAGAGAGAAAATTAGGATCCAGATATGTATGGGCTGGAATGTGATGTAACTTATTTTGAAGGCTATTCTTGTGGTTTGGGGAGCCTCTGAATAATTTCATGCAGAAGAGTTAACATGACAGAATTGTGGCATTAGAAAACTCATTTTGGTTTGTTGTGTGGAAAGTAAATTGGAGCATGGCAAAACTTGAAGTTGGTAGACAAATTAGGATCCTCTTCTAATCCAGGATAGAAACGGTAGACCCCTAAAATAAAGTATTGTATGCAACAAAGTAGATGGTGTTGAGAAAGATAGTGGAAGTGGAATCCATGGGATTATGTGATCTGTTCAATGTCAGGTGTGAAGTGGAGGGAAGGATCATTGATGATTATTTTACTGCATTTGGTTGTAATACCTATTAACACACCAGTTTCAGAAGAAATTTATTTAATGTCCTTTAGTTCTAATTGTTCGTTAAGAGGAAATAGTAATACCCGTTTACACCACAGAACAGAGTATGGCCGTGTATTTGAATGAGTTTTGTAAATTAGGCAGTGTAGATTTAAAGTAGTAATTGTTTTTATCACCTAATTGGCCAGACTTTAAAAACTGTACTCTTGCTTTAGCAGAAGGAGGCAAATAACTAAGAAAGCTAGTGTGAAGGAAATCATTTAAAAAAGACCCTAAAAACAAAAACCAAAAAATTGGAGACAAGCTGTGTCTCAGCAATTAGAAAGTATAACATTAAACATTAGTGTATTTGTCCCTGCTAAACCAAGAATAATCAGTTTTCCTGATGAAGCCTCAAAGGTTTTATATTTTGGAAAAAAAGACTCAATTATTTTTACTATGCTGTTTTTACAATGATAGAAAAGTGTACTAAATTTTAGAAAGCTTTTTTTTTTCTTTGAGACGAAGAGTGTCGCTCAGTCACCCAGGCTGGAGTGCAGTGGCGCGATCTTGGCTCACTGAAAAGCACCACCTTCCGGTTTCAAGTGATTCTTGTGCCTCAGCCTCTCAAGTAGCTGAGTTTACAGGTGTGGGCTGCCACACCTGGCTAACTTTTGTGTTTTTAGTAGAGATAGGGTTTTGCCATGTTGCCCAGGCTTGTCTGGAACTCCTGGTCTCAAGTGATCCACCTTCACGACCTCCCAAAGTGCTGGAATTGCAGGCATGAGCCACTGTGCCCGGCCGAAAGATTTGGAAGTATATTAAAACAGAAAGAATCTTCTGCCTGACTTTGAGTTAACTGGATTATGTGGAAGCTAGAAAGCCATTCCTGAGCCCAGGATTGTTTAAAAGTTTCTGCTTTACTTTATATATGAATGCAGAATAGTTTGAGGACAGCTTTTAGGGTACAGATATAACTCTTACCTGTAGTGTCTTGAAACAAATTATTATTTTTTTTTAATAAACAGTCACTGATTCCCTTCTAGAACCAGCTGTAAACTCCTAAGTGGCTTTCATATGAATGGGTAGCAGGATTCTCATCCACAGAATAGAAAATTAAGGATTGGTAAGTAGGCAGTAGCAAGTGAGAAGGATGTCTGAATCATGAATGGTGGTCGGCGTTGACACTAATACCACTATCAAAATGTATGGGTGTTTAGCATCTGGGAAGAATGATTCGAATGTGCCTGTCTTTGTTGTAGTGTTTTCTGCGCTTCCTTGTGTTTTGCCCTGTTCACCAGCAATACCGAGTTCGTAGATCGTCTGATCCAGTGCATTATAAGAGAGGAAGTACATGTTTTTTCCAGTATTGTAGCGCCAGGGTTAGTTCTATGTTATCTAGGTTCAGAAGATGAGTAATGACACAGGATATAACAAGTAAGGCCAGGCAGGGAAGGTACCAACATGGTAGTTTGGGGTGGCGGGCTGCCCATTTTCTCATAATTACTAACCTTAATTGAGTACCTACTGTGGGCCAGGTGCTGTTCTAATGTGTTTCAGCCTTGACTAATTTCATCTTCTTAATAACCCTATGAGATAGATACTGTTATTATGTCCATTTTACAGATGAGGAAACCGAATACCAGAGAGGCACTCTAGTAACTCAGTCACAGTCACAGAAGCAGTATTGGAGCCCAAGCCTTCTGGCATAGCGCCTGTGTTCTTTTTTTCTTTGAGACGAAGTCTTGCTCTGTCGCCCATACTGGAGTGCAGTGGCACTATCTTGGCTCACTGCAACCTCCGCCTCCTGAGTAGCTGGGATTGCAGGCATGCGCCACCACGCCCGGCTAATTTTTTTGTTTTTTTTTTGGTAGAGACGGGGTTTCACCATATTGGCCAGGCTGGTCTTGAATTCCTGACCTCAGGTGATCCGCCTGCCTCTGCCTCCCAAAGTGCTGGGATTACAGGCAGGAGCCGTTGTGCCCAGCCCACACCTGAGCTCTTAACTGCAAGGCTTGGTTACCCCACAGGCCATGTTCTAGGTATTAACAAATAAATGACATTTGCAGAAAAGGCACCAGATTTTTGTTAACTCTTTTCACGTTTTTTCTGGTTAGTTTTTACTACCATTTAGTTAGTTTTTGTAGCATCATCCACCACTCCCATCATATTCACAGTTAAATAGTACTTTTTACTGTTACTATTCTTGGGTTGGGTGATAGAGCCCACTTAATGTGAGTTGTTTTGTAATAGAGGAATAAGAGGAATAAAAGAAATGGGTACTGGTTTGCTTGGTTTCTTTCCCTTTTCTCCGTTTCTTAAGCTACTCTTTTGGCATTGTATTCTTAGTACTTTCCTGTAACTCTTTCCCCATCGGTGCTCAAAAGAGTTAAATAGCTTCAGAACCTGAGTGTGCCTTCCCTCAGGACAAGCTGGGATTACAGAAAGAATGGACCACCAGGTAGTTTATCACTTAGAAGAATAGAATAAAATGATATCATTGGACTCTTTTTTCCCTACCTCCTGATTGGAAACCATCAGGAATACCATCATCTGAGCATTGTTGCTGACACATTTTTAATTTTTTTGTGTACTTTTTGTTTTCTCAATTGTATTACTTGTGATATGAAAATAAAACTATTCTAAAGACTTCAAATGAAAAATTTTTAAGGGAAAATGAATAGCATCAAATTTGTTTTAACAATTCTGCTGAAATTTTTATATTTGACTTTTTCTTTTTTTTTTCCAGACAGGGTCTTGCTCTTTCACCCAGGCTGGAGTGCAGTGGTGCCATCTCGGCTCACTGCAACTTCTGCCTCCCGGGTTCAATCAATTCCCCTGCCTCAGCCCCCGGAGTAGCTGGGATTAAAGGCGCATGCCACCACGCCCAGCTGATTTTTGTATTTTTAGTAAATATGGGATTTCACCATGTCGGCCAGGCTGGTCTCGAACTCCTGACCTCAGATGATCCGCCTGCCTCAGCCTCCCAGAGTGCTGGGATTACAGGCGTGAGCCACCATGCCTGGCATATTTGACTTTTCTTCCACTTTGGGGAGGATTATTATGTAATGTGTCAGAAATTTTCTTTTAATAAATTATAGGATATTATTGAACATTATGTTAACAGAGTTTATTGTTCTAAGCCCTTTCATATTTTCATGTATTGTGTGTCATGTAATCATAGATGTGAGAGCTGTCTTAAGAATATTTTAAAGAGTGTTAAGAATAATCAGCTCCACTTTTTCTTCAAATATTGCCAAGCTGTATTTGTGAAGAGATAATGTTGTTTTGTTTAAAATATATTTATTTTATATAAATAAAGAACAAAGGCTGGGCGCGGTGGCTCACTCCTGTAATCCTAGCACTTTGGGAGGCTGAGGTGGGAGGATCACTTGAGGTCAGGAGTTCGAAACCAGCCTGCCAAGATGGTGAAACCCCATCTCTACTAAAAATACAAAAAAAATTAGTCATACGTGGTGGTGTGTGCCTATAATCCCAGCTACTTGGGAGGCTGAGGCAGGAGAATCGTTTGAACCTGGGAGGTGGAGGTTGCAATGAGCGGGGATCGCTCCATTGCACTCCAGCCTGGGTAACACAGTGAGACTCTTTCTCAAAAAAAAAAAAAAAAAAGCACAAAGTATATTTAGTAAAATAAAGTTTAACCTTTTACATTTTTATGAAATAAAGTTTGATATCTATACATTGAAATGAGCTGCTTTCTTTTGTTTTGTATTATAACTTAAACTTGTGGCTTTTCAATTTGAAAACTTATTGCCATGTAGAATTTGATTTTTTTTTTTTCCTAATGCAACACTTTACTTAAAAATTATGGAGTAGAACTATATTTTTTAGAAGAGCAGGTTTTACAAAACCTAAAATTCAAACTCTGGAAGTTGCATGATGTGGTGGAAGAAGTGCTGGACTGAGAATCCCAAAAATATTGGGCTTGGTTTTGCCCAATGCCAACAGTATTTCACTGAGTGCACCTTGTTTTAAACTGAAGCAAAACTGAAGTGTAAAAAGTAAAGTAGAGGTTCCTCTTCAAAGACTTTCCTCCCCATCTAATTAGGAATAAATAGTAACTTCTCTTAGAAGCAAAATTTATTCTAAGACCTGTGCTAACATTCTTAAATATCTGCTAGCTGTAATAAAGAAATCAATGTACTTTATGTTCTCAGCTCCCACAATTTAGCCTAAATATTTGCCCTGGCATGCTTATACTGGTCCAAGCAAGCATTAAGTCATAGCCTGTTCCTCTTCCTTATTTGAAGGTGTTTTTACCTTTCTCAGTATTCCACAAGTTACTTCCTCCTTCCTTTGTTCTCCTCTGCCGTTGCCTCTTTTAAAAAGTTCTATGTTGTTAGCCAATTGGGACAAATACAAAATGTGAGGTCCTGTTCCAGCCAATGGAAACCGGACACAGCAGTAGGGTGGGCGCCTCAGGTTATAAATGACCCTGTCTCCTTTGTTCAATGTACTCTCGTGGCAAAACTGCTGGCGAATGTACCCTTTCTGCAGAAAGTAAACATGGCCTTGCTGAGGAAATTAAATTTATGTTCCAGTGCTGTTTCTTTACGGCACTGGGGAACAAGCATTTCTAACAGAAGCCTGTCTGGTTCTGAGTCCCTGCCCTGAACCCCTGCCTTTGGATGTCAGTTAACTCACTTATAAAACCGCTGCTCTGGAGATGAATAGTTCTGTTGGCATTTGTGAGATTGTGTCTTATCCTAACAGACTAATTTTTATGGAAGCTGATGCGGATAGTTGTTTATTCATGGAAGAAATAATGTGTTGATTGCGTTAATTTGCTAAACTCTGGGGATTTAGTAGAGAGTAAGACAGCTAGTTGTTGCCCTCATGAAGGTTAAGTGTGAAAAGGGCTGCATAATTGCAGGGCGTGGTGTATGTGTTCATGTGGCAATGATACCTAGCCAGGTGTGGGAGGACTGGAAAGGCACTCTAAAGAAAGTGGCAGGCTGGGCGCGGTGGCTCATGCCTGTAATCCCAGCACTTTGGGAAGCCGAGGTGGGCGGATCACCTGAGGTCAGGAGTTAGAGATCAGCCTGGCCAAAAATGGTGAAACCCTGTCTCTACTTAGAATACAAAAATTAGCCGGGTGTGGTGGTGTTTGCCTGTAGTCCCAGCTACTCAGGAGGCTAAGGCAAGAGAACTACTTGAACCCAGGAGGCAAAGGTTGCAGTGAGCCGAGGTCGTGCCACTGCACTCCAGCCTGAGTGACAGACTCCCATCTCAAAAAAAAAAAAAAAGAAAGAACGTGGCATTAGCTGAAACTGGAAGCATGCCACCCTGGACTCTGGGAGGAAATGGTCATTTTCCTGTCACCCAGACTACTGCCTCCCAGCCTGACTCTTCAGATCCCTCTTGCCTCTCAAAGTGTTCATTTGTTTGTTCATTCATTCATTTATTCTTCCAACAACTGTTGGTTGAATAACAACTGTGCCAGGCGTGTGCTCGGGATTTGAAATACCTAACTTGAACCAGCTGGACAAGGGTTTCTGTCCTTATGGAGCTTACATTTTAATGGGCTAGGGAGGTGCAGAGGGTGGACAGTGCACATCATAAGTAAGCAGATGCTATGCCAGAATTCTCCAGCCTGCAACCAGAGCTAGCCCTTCATTTCCTTGCTCTGAGGCTACAGTTCAGTTTCTCTCATGTGGCTGTGAGGCCCAGCCTTCCCCTCGCCTCTCTCTTCAGGTCCCAGACACTGTTTTTCACTACGCTTCTATTTCTAAGGTGTCTTTTCAGTTACCACGCCTGAGAAAGTTTTCAGGAATCTATTTTTGGATTAGAGATCCCCTGTTGTCACATGCCCTCTTTAAAACTTGTACATAACATGCACCACATAATCATTCCTTAGCTGCTGTGTGGCTGTATTTAAGGTTTGTCTTTTCCACCAGCCTGTAAATTACCTGTTGGCCAAGATGATGTCTTTCTTGTTCCGTCCCGTGTCTTCAGGGCCCAGAATTGGGCCTATTGTAATAAAAGCTGGTTTGGTAAAAGGGGAGAGAGTTACTGGCTGAGGCTGGCTGAACTGAGAAGGCTGTGCAAGGCTGGGGAGCCTGCCTGGGCCTTGGGCTGCAGGGTAAGATGCAAGATGAACAGGGGTGGGGCTGAGACTCATGCTTAGGCGGACAGGATCAAGTATTGAAACCAGCCTAGGGAGTTCAAACTTGGTTTTGAGGCAATGGGATGTCATGAAAAGCTTAAGTGATTTTGGGGACTCCTAGTTTGTTTTGATAACATTTAATATTCTCAAAATCATTAATAATTTGATAACTTCAGGCATGGCTGATTTAATTTTTAAACTATGAAAATATGAAGTATGAAATTATGATTCTTATGGTAAAAAAGTTCAACGTGTACCTAAGAGCATACAATTTTAATTTCCCTTTTCCTACAACTTTTAATCCTACCTTTTACATTTATTTATTTATTTATTCTTAAATATAGACAAGGTCTTGCGATGTTGCTTAAGTCAGTACAGAACTCCTGGGCTCAAGTGGTCTTCCTGCCTGGGCCTCCTGAGTAGCTGGGATTATAGGCCTGAGTTACCATGCCCGGCTGTCTGTCCTACTTTTGAGCAGTAAATTGGTTTCTGTAGCTGTCTAATGCTTAAACTTTCCTGTGCGTTCAAATGTGTATTTCTGTCTTAATGTAGGTAAGGTCATACGCTATGTACTCCAACTTGCTACCCCCGCCCCCAGTATATACTTTATTTTGCTTATTTTTACAGTGTAAGAGTTACTCTCTTAAAGCTTAATTGTCATTTGTCATTGCCTTGTATAGAACCAAGGCATCTTGGACTGTGTACCAAATCCCATAAGATCTGGCCAGAACAGGGCCACGCCGTCCATACCTCCTTATCTTGTGCTTTGCTGCCACTTCCTTACTGTGTTTCAGCTTTAGCTGCCTGATATTCTTTCCCTATGAAATTGCTTCCTCATCTAGGATTTTTATATGTGTGGTTCCCTCTGTCTAATGTTCTTTCTCCCTGATCTTTCCATGGTAGCTAGCTGTTTATGTTTATGTGTGTGTGTGTATGCGTGTGTGTGTGTGTGTGTGTGTGTGTGTGTGTGTGTGTGTGGTTTTAGAGACGGAGTCTCACTTTATTTCCCAGGCAGGAGTGCAGTGGCGCCATCATGGCTCACTGCAGCTCTGACCTCCTGGGCTCATGCAATCCTCCTGCCTCAGCCTCCCAAGTAGCTGGGACTACAGGTCCCACCACCACACCCAGTAATTTTTGTATTTTTTTGTAGAGATAGAGATCTTGCCATGTTGCCCAGGCTAGTCTCAAACTCCTACCCTCAAGTGATCCTCCCATCTTGGCCTCCCAAAGTGCTGGGATTACAGGTGTGAGCCACTGTGCTTGGCCTGGCTAGATGTCTTTATCCTTAGGTTTAAAATTTTACTCCAGAAGGGCCCTTTCTGAGCAGCCTGTCTGAAACAAGTTCTCCCTAGTATTCTTGCCTGAGTACTCTGTTTCTATGTAACATTTATTTTAGTTATCAATTGATTTGTTTATTTTCTGTTTCTCTCATTAGTTTGTAATAAGCTCCATGAAGGCAGAAGATGTATTTCATGTAGTGTTGCTGGGCAGATAGTTATTGAATTAATGTATAAGTGGTTGAATAAGAACATATAGATCAACTGCATTCTTTTTAAAGGCTAATATTTCATTTTATGGATGTACCAGTCCTTTGTTGAAGGCTTACTAAATTGTTTTTCAGAATTTTTTTCTTATTAAAACACCACCAACGAATTCAAAATAATGAATTTCTTTGTATGTCTCTCTGTGTTCACTCATGTGGGTATATCTGTAGGATGACTTCCCAGGAGTAAAATTTCAGAACAAAAGATAACGTGTCCTCAAACTTTTGGTAGATACTGACAATTTCTTTTTAAAAAGATTATCCCATTTTCTATGACACCAGTAATATGAGAAGTATTTAACTTTGTCATCCTGGCCATTATCAGATTTTAATTTGCTAGAGGAAAAGTGAGATCTCATTGTTTTAATTTGTATTTCTGTAATTAGGAGCAAGGCTGAGCACAGATATTGTGCTTCTGGAACTGTTTTTCTGTGAGCTTTTAATTTAATCTTTTGTGATGATTGTTGGTCCTTTTTTTAGTTGATTCAGAGTTTGATTAAAGTTTTTTAAACTTATGATGTTATAGGCAACCTTTACAGTGTGATGTCACTTAGTGCCATTGAATTTGGAGCTATATAGGGCTTTTTATCTCTTCAAAAGTAATTTTGTAGAGCCTGATAATAAAACTTCATGTTCTCAAAGACCATATTGGGGCTGAGTGTATAATATTTAGTAGTTTATTATTGAAACAGTAATAGAGATTTTAATGTCCAGTGCATAATAGGTCCTCAGTAAAGTATTTTTGGATGAATGAGTGACAAGTGAAAAGTTAATTTTTAAGGCAGCTTGATTTTATTTGAAAGTTCATTTAGAAGAATCTAATTTTCATAGTAAGAAGACTTAGCATGCTGTTAAGTTGAAAGATAAGCTTGCTTTGTGGCATGCTATAGAAGTGTTGGATTTGTGGCAGTGGAATTTTTAATTTGCTGTGTCAGATATAGATATGGCTTTATGTATCCATACACACCCAGCTATAACATGTATATTCAAATAAGTGACAAAATATGTCTAATGAATTTTTGAATTACCTTTTAAAACTTGCCTGTTAGTTCTCTCAAGTGATGAACTTTTTACAATAGCAGTTTATTTTCTCTCATCACGTTGGAAAGAAATGTTAAAAGTTTTCTTCTAGGTTTATTATAATCCAGTCTTCATCAGCCATCACTCTTCCTGTATTTTGTTCAAGAGGCACTAATTGTTCGCATTTGGCAGGTTTAACACTTCCTGACAGAGAGGCTATTAAGGGGAAGTATTCTCCAATAACTGTCACTGGCTGGAACAAAGAACCTTCCAACTCAATGTGTGGAAACCACTAACATTCTTAAATGACCCTTTTCATGGATTTTCATCCCTTTAAGCTAAAGTTTGGAGAATGTAGGGTCAGCGAAAACAGCAACGTGTAATAAAGCAGTAAACCTTGATTTTGGAAGGCATAGGGTGGGAGATATAGATTTATCTCTGACTTGAAAACAATTGTTATTTGGAAAATCTCATTAGCAGATGTGACTGCTTGGAGTAAAAAAAAAAAAAAACAACTTAAAACTGATGTCGCTTTCAGGACCCCTTTGAACTTAACAAGCACCTATTTGTGGAGCAGACTGGCTAATGAAAGGAAATTAAATTTTTCTGACAACTTCCCCTGCCAACCTCCTTATTCAGGGGATGTTATTAGGTACTGAAGAACTTTAAAGAAGATTTTTTTTTATTAGACATAAGTGAACCAGTTATAAACATCCCCCCCCGCCCCCTTCTCGGAGGATTCTGACATGGTTGCTCTACATTTTAAACGTATTAGCTTAAAAGCTTAAAAAACACTGGGCTTCACTTCAGCATTTTAGTCATTTTCTAAAAATTCAGTCACACTTACCAGCTGTGGTTTCAAAACAATATTGTCAGTCTTTGTGGTAGTTTAGTTTGTGTCACTGAATTACACAAACACACACACACACACACACACCCCACACATACCCACACACACGAAGGAGGCTTAGATTTCAACATTATCTTTATTGTTATTTGGGGAAATGATTCAGCAGTGTCCTGTGTTGGATGTGTTAGGTGAGGGTTAATGATCAGTGAAATTACTTAGATTCAAGGGAAGTTTTTGTCTTTTCATCTTCTTAGAGGTAGAAGTGGCATTGGTTAATATTTAGCAATAACTAATCCTTAAATGGATAAACTTTTACCCCTTACTGTTTAGGAAGGTATTTTCTTTCTTTTGCTTTTTGGAGTTTTTTCCTCCAGTAGTTGGTTCGTTGAAATTAAAGTTTTTTTTTAATTTATGTAACAAGATACAATTGTAGAGATAAAATATGTACCTGAAAAAAAAAAAAAAGAAAGAAACAATAGAAAAGAAAAGGTAATGCAGATTACCAAAAGGATTTTTTGGAACAATTCGTAATTCCTGTAGGTACTGGAAATTAACTTTCATATTTCTGCAAAATCGATCAACTACTCCCAAACAATAGAGAATCAACTCCCCCTGCTGACAGAATCTAGGAAAACATGACACATAATATTGGACAGAAACAAGCTGGCTGCGGACAAGCTTTAATGACCTGATTTATGATTCAGTATTGATTGTAAACATCTAAATTCTGCCATTAAATTCCGGCAACTGCACCAAATCATTGGCAATTCTGGTAGTGCTTCCTGCCAGCTCATTTCAACTGCTTTGAGTTTCTTAATATAATAATGATGAGGTAGAATTTACATTCCACTTATGGTATTAATTTTACATTTCTCTGAATGAAAAGGGTTAGAAGGTAGTAAAATTGAACATTAAATGAATCGGAGGAGACAGTAGTGCAATATATGACTGCCCTAAAGACATTGTGCAATGCCTCATGGGATTAATGTTGAGTCTCATTTCCTGCTTTTACAGGATGCAGAAGAAGCTGTCAGAATTGCAAGGGAAATTGGTAAGTCCTTAAATTAACTTTGGTAGGATTTCTGTGTCTTTCAGCAGATACGGTTGAGTCAACAGGTAATAAGTAATTCCCATAGAGCAAATAATACTTTAATAGTTTTAGATTTTGATTACTTGTTGCTCTGGAAGAATGTATCAGTTGAATTGCCAAATTCTATTATTAAAGGAGACTGTAAAGAGTAATTTGACCTTAACTATACATAACTCTTTTGTAAGATGAGATCACAGGCTAATTCAAAGAAGGAATTGTCTTAAGAATTCTAAAGATTGGATATAAGTTTAATGTCAATTTATATGTACATAGTTGAATGTGGTTTGTTAAAATTAAGAACATTTGGATTAAAATGAAGATACCATATGTGACATAGTTCTTTAAGTTTTTGCCTTTTGCTAAGATGTTAGGTATCAACTTAATCTTGTTAGATGGGAAAGATAAAATAGATGTGGGAAATTAGAACTGAATGATCTAAATTGGAATAAAAGGTAGACTGGAGGAGTTTTTAATGGCTGTTTTACATGTACTTGTATTTGGGCAGTGTTTCCCAACTTTTTAATTTCTTTTCTTTTTCTTTTCTTTCCTTTTTTTTTTTTAAGATGGAGTTTTGCTGTCATTGCCCAGGCTGGAGTGCAATGGCACGATCTCCGCTCACTGCAACCTCTGCCTTCCAGGTTCAAGCGATTCTCCTGCCTCAGCCTCCCTAGTAGCTGGGATTACAGGTGCCTGCCATCACGCCCAGCTAATTTTTTGTATTTTTAGTAGAGATGGAGTTTCACTATGTTGGCCAGGCTGGTCTCGAACTCCTGACCTCAGGTGATCCACCCGCCTCAGCCTCCCAAAGTGCTGGGATTACAGGCGTGAGCCACCGCCCCTGGCTCGCAACTTTTTAATTTTAAAAATATTCTTGGCGGTCATGAGAACTATTTTTGGTATCTGCTAATTGAGAAAATGTGTAAGGGCATGCTATTATATGGATTAACAATATTGTTAAATAACTTTGCAGGTTTAATAATCAAATCAGTAATTGTATACATTTGACAGAAATTTGTACAGATGAGAGAAATTAGGCAATGCTTGTAGGGATCCCAGCGTCTTCTCAGCATTCCTGTACGCCTCAGTCCAAGCATCTCATCGTGCCACACGAACATTTCTGTAGGCCTGTTTTCTCACTAAGATTATTTAGATCTATTTTCTGCCTCTAGAGAGCATTTGATTTGGCAAAGCTCATATAGTTGTGATATGTAGAAATATCTTATTGGTCTGGAAGTGATCACTTGTACTAGTAAGCGTGTTCTTTGCAAATGGGACAGTCTAACTTAGCAGGTCTTTAGTGACCTGAAAAGCAGTTTGGCTTATTGCACCCTTGTTTGTAGTTGGTACTGTCTAAATTATTTGGGCTTTGCCCATCATTAAGTGTGTTTTGTTGTTTGCTTTGCAAAAATCTATCTTATTGATATAGGTCCTGGATTTAAGACCAGACCATAGAAAATCTTATTTTATCTGACTACCTCATCTCTTCATTTTTTTTTTCAGAATCATTAACATTTCAAAAAGCCTATCAGTACTTCATAGGAACATTTGCTCGACTGCTAAATAAACTGGACTATATAGAACTGATTCTGTGGTTTCTTTATGGAGAAAAATCAAAAGTTTCTGTTCATGGTTTGAAATCACTGGTATTCCTCATTGCCTAAGAGGCATATAATATACCTACTGGCTTTTGAGGATAGTTTTCTAAAATAGTTTAATTCCATCCTGTCAGACATCTTTACATTTAAAAAGCTCTTTTTCTAGTTCTAGGTTAGATATTATTATCAACCTCATTGGATATAATAATACTGTTATTATTATTATTACAGTATCTACATAAAGGACAATATTTAGAGAAATTTAGGGAAATAAAGGGATTAGAAGAAAATTTACAGTTACACTGCAGTGCCACATTTTGAATGGTGAATTTTGGACTTGCGAGCATTCCCTTTGTGTAAATAGCAGGCCGTGGATTGCTTTGCTTCCTTTATGCCTTTTCTTCCACTTTCTTTCTTTCTTTCTTTCTTTTTTTTTTTTTTTGAGACAGACTTTTCACTCTTGTTGCCCAGGTTGGAGTGCAGTGGTGCGATCTCTGCTCACTGCAACTTCTGCCTCCCGGGTTCAGGTGATTCTCCTGCCTTCACCTCCTGAGTAGCTGGGATTGCAGGCACACACCACAATGCCAGCTAATTTTTTTGTATTTTTAGTAGAGACGGGGTTTCACCATACTGGCCAGGCTGGTCTCGAACTCCTGACCTTAGGTGATCTGCCCACCTCAGCCTCCCAAAGTGCCGGGATTACAGGCATAAGCCAGTGCACCTGGCCATTTTCCACTTTCGTTATAACCTGTCACCTTTAAGATAACCAGCTCATCATGATGGGCCTCTGTCTAACTAGTTCTCATCACTTTGCTTTCCTCCCTCAATATTTTAATGCTGTGCTTTACCTCCTTTTCATTTTTTATTTTTTCCTACTGAAGTTACCTAATCTAATCTAAGTCTTTTTTCTTTGTACTTGGGCACATCCTTTATGACTCCTTTCTCTTTCCTGTCCTTCTTCTAATTCTTCCCCAATTACTCTCTCTTGCTTGTGAAATAAATGATAGCAATCATGGCTATTAAGTATAAGAGTACTGGTGTTTTGCTTATACTGAAAGAAAGGGAAACCATAAAATTTGAGGTAAAATAAACCATAAAGAACTAGGGTCATCAGCTCTTACAAAGCTTTTAGAATTTCTCTGAAAATCTCTTCTGAATCACCTCAGAAGCCTCGCATAAAATCTTTTCCTTGAAGTGCTACTTTCTAAAGTAAATTAAATTATGTTTTATTAAAGTCTGTTGGCTTTCTGTGTTGTTTGATATTTCGTAAGTTTTTTACTACTGATTTTATTGAGATATATCACATTTTAACTATGATTATGATTCCATGTGAAAATGTGTTCCTAGTTCTAAACAACTGATTTATAATCAAACCTTTGAACCTATCCATTTGTAAGTTGTTGATTGTCCATGTGTTATACCTATTCATAGAGTTCTCT
Organism: Homo sapiens; assembly: GCF_000001405.40. Taxonomy (NCBI): domain Eukaryota; kingdom Metazoa; phylum Chordata; class Mammalia; order Primates; family Hominidae; genus Homo; species Homo sapiens. Next base: position 100,238,952 of record NC_000013.11, read on the forward strand.
CTTAATTCTTTCTGTGTTATGTGATGAAAATGAAGTTTATCCTGTTTTATGTGATTTCCTCCTCTCTCATGTCTTTGCTTTTCTTCTGGAAACATTAATCTATGCTGCCAAAGTAGGAAACTCACTGTATTGAGCATTGATGAATTAAGTGCCTTTTACATAATGGTAACTCCAGTTTATGGAGCATTTCTTCCTAAGGCCAGGCACTTTGGAAATGTTGTTTCTAATGCTAATTCTTGGGTTTAATCATTTTTGTTTACATTTAAGGAAACTAATGATTAGAAATGGTAAGTAATTTGCTCAAGGTCACAGAACTATCGAGTGGTGGACCCTGGTTTAAATTTAGGTTTATTTGACTCCAAAGACCACAGACTTTTTATTATACTGTGTCTAAACCAATGGGATTAGAGGATGGCAGCTAAAATTTGAGCGACTACTTTGTGTAAAATACTGTAAGGTACTCAAATGTGTTATACATGGAATTAAAGAAGCAGACAGTCTCCTATCCTTGATGAGGTGAGAGACAGTTAAGACTTAATATGTTACTTGTATGTATTTGTTTTTTGGACTACCTAGTTTCTCTCATTCTTGTTCCTGATTTTTTACTTTGACCTATCTAAGTTGAGAGATACAGAGCTATTGATCCTCAGTTTGTCTTTAACCTCAATGATAGACAACAGTAATCAGTGAGCTTGATTTCCATTGAAGTTTGATCTTTTTACTGGGCCAAAGGTCCTTAATACAATCAAGTCAAAATTGATTCTTGAAAGGAAAATAAATTGTGAATCTAAAACCTGTCCTTTAACAACTTCCAGATTATTCAGATTCTTTTCCTTTGCTTGTCTTTCTCACAATCACAAATCATGCCCAATTTAAATAAAAACTTTTTTTTTTGATCCTCAGGTCTACCATACTACAAACCTACTTCTCCCAGAATTTCCAAATCTCAATAAATGTCACCCCTTTCAGTCAGGCCAAAACTGAGTCTCTCCTGGATGCCTCTTTTCCTCATCATCCTGTTGTAAATACATCAATAGGCATTGTCAGTTCATCTTATATACACTGTCTTCATTACTACCACTCTCCTCCAAACTACTTTTGTCTTTTGCAGGGACTGTGGCAATAGTTTCTTTACTTCATTTCTTAAACATTTCACATAGCTGACAGTGAGATATTTAAAATCTTTAAAGAACAAGGATATATTTCATCTCATCCCAGCCCATTTCTGCTTTAAATTCTGTAATGACTCCATTGAACTTAGATAAAAATCACAATTCTTTACTCTGACTACTATCCCTATGTAATTTGACACCTGCTTTTCTCTCCAGTCTTATTGTATACTACTCCCTTCTCTGCCTCCCATACTTCAGTCACATTAGCTTACTTGAACACAGCAAATTTCAGGGCCTTAGGATAAGTTTTTTTTTTTTTTTAATCTTTTGCGGGGTGAAGGGGGATGGCAGGACCTAGCAGACTCTTGCTGATATCTTCACAAAAATAGCTCCTTGCAGTCTTTCATATCTTAGCCTAAGTATCATGTCTTCAAGAGAAGATTCTCTAATACTGCCACCCAGTCATTCTCTGTCTTATAACTATTTTCTAAATTTCTGCATAGTATTCATGATTTGCAGATTTTTTTTATTCATAAACTTTTCTCCAAGTATTTTATTTTGAAAAATTTCAATCATACGGCATTTTGAAATAATTGTTACGGTTTATACTCGTATACCCAACACTAAGATCCCACTATTAACCTTTTTCTAGATTTGCTTTACCACTTATCTGTTCATATACTAATCCATTTTATTTTTGTTGCATTTCAGAGTAAATTGCACAACCAGTATATGTCCCATTAAATACTTCAACATGTGTTATTAATTGAATTCAGTATTTGTATACAGTTTTGTTATTTTGATGCCAAATTTGCACACAATATAATGTGAACAAATCTTAAGTGTGTATTTGTGGATTTTGACATATGCATATATATATATAACTTAGAATCCCACCAAGGTGCTGAACATACTATTTCCCTGGAGATTTCCCTCATGATCCTTCCAAGTCAGTTCTCGCCTACCCCCTGGCCTGCAGGTAACTTGTTCAGATTTTTATACTAAAGATTAGATTTTTAAAAATTAAGATAAATTTTTAATACTATACAATTCAGCCTTTCAAAGTGCACAATTCGGTGATTTTTTGTGTATTTACAAGGTTGTGTAACTGTAATCACTATCTAATTTCAGAAGATCTTCATTACTCCCCAAAGAAACTCTGTACTCATTAGTATGTACTTCTTATTTTCTTTCCATCTAGTCCCTGACAACCATTAATTTACTTTGTGTCTTGTGGATTTACTTATTCTGGGGATATTTCATATAAATAAATGGAATCACAACATATGAACTTTTGTGTCTGGTTTCTTTCACACAGAATAGTGTTTTTAAGGTTCATCCATGTTCTACCGTTTATCCCTTTTTACGGTTGGATAATTTTCTATTGTATGTACATGCCACATTTTGTCTGTTTTTTATTTTTTTGAGATAGGGTCTCGCTCTTTTACCCAGGATAGAGTGCAGTGGTGTGATCCCAGCTCACTGCAGCTTTAATCTCCTGGGCTCTACTAATCCTCCTGCCTTACCCTCCTGAGTAGCTAGGACTACAGGTGTGTGCCACTATGCCTAATTTTTGTATTTTTTTGTAGTGGGTTTTCACCATGTTGCCTCAGTTGATCTTGAATTCCTGGGCTCAAGTGATCCACCCACATTGGCCTCCCAGAGTGCTGGGATTATAGACATGAGCCACTGCACCTGGCCTTATCTATTTATTCATCTATTGATGGACATTTGGGTTGTTTTTACCTCTTGGCTATTGTAAATGGTACTGCTATGAACATTTATGTCCATGTATTTGTTTGTATACCTGTTTTCAATTATTTTGGGTATATTCTTCGAAGTGAAATTGCTGGGTTATATGGTAATTCTATGTGTAACTTTTGGAGATACTAGCAAATTATTTTCCATGGTGGCTGTCCCATTTTACATTTCTACCAAGAATATATAAGGGTTTCAATCTCTTCATATCCTTGCCAACCCTTGTTATTTTCTTTCTTTTATAAGGAAAACTATTGCCATCCTAGTGTGTGTGTAGAATAATATCTTATTGTAGCAGAGGGAAGAATAGATTAAAAAAAGTGACTCAACTATATGCTGTCTATAAGAAACTCACTTTAGATGCAGAGACACAAATAGGTTGAAAGTGAAAGGAAGGAAAAAGATATCCCATGTAAATAGTAACCAAAAGAGAGCTGGGGTGGCATACTAATGTCAGACAAGATAAACTTTAAGTCCAAAACTATTCTAAGAGACAAAGAAGGGCATTTTATATTGATTAACAATTACAAATGTATATGCACCAGGAAACATGGCCCTAAAATATTTGAGATAAACATTGACGGAATTGAAGGGAGAAACAGACTAATTCTACAATAGTAGTTGGAGACTTTAATAGCACACTATAAGTAATGGATGCAACATCTAGAGAGATCAGTAAGGGAGGGAATAGAGGACTTGAACAGCACTATATACTAATTAGACCTTATGGATATATAATGACCATTCTACCCAATAACAATATAAGGCACATTTTTCTCAAGTAACTATTAAAAGAGGAAAGGAGTGATGATTGAGTTAAAATAATTGTTAAAGAAAAAGAAAATATAATAACAAACAGGAGCAATATCTCATAAAGTGTTGCCCATGACTCGCAATGTTCCCAAGACTTAGTTTGATATAGAAATATTTTTCCCCGCATGTACTGATTTATATTGATGGATTGCTCTTTTCTTAAAATAGTATAGGATTCTCTGCAATATATAAATTTTATTTTTCTTTGCAAATGATTGCTTTATATTAATTTGATTACTATTTTATAGTAAAATTTTTGTTGTGGTGGTGGTTGTTTTTTGAGACAGAGTCTCATTCTGTTGCCCAGGCTGGAGGGCAGTGGTGTGATCTCAGCTCACTGCAACCTCTGCCTCCTGGGTTCAAGCGATTCATCTGCCTTAGCCCCCACTTAGCTGGGACTACAGGCATGCACCACCACGCCTGGCTAATTTTTGTATTTTTAATAGATACAAGGTTTCACCATGTTGGCCAGACTAGTCTGAAACTCCTGACCTCAAGTGCTCCCCCTGCCTTGGCCTCCCAAAGTGCTGGGATTACAAGTGTAAGCCACCACATCTGGCTGGTTACTATTTTGTAGTAAAATTGACCATGAGTTAGTTTTCTTTGTATTTCTAATACTTAATGCTTGTTACAGAGTATATATTCAGCAAGTGGTTATTTGGTGAATAAATCAAAATGAAATATGTATATATATGTATAGAAATGAATTAAGCAATCACATATTTAAAGTTCTTTTGTAATATTTATAGACCAGAATTTGACTATAATTTTCTCCCTTTTCCCCCTTAATCTTCAATTTTATAATAGAGATACCTGGGGAAAAAAAGGAATATTAAGCAAAACATGATAAACTTTCAGCAAATAGATAATTGAAACAAAATGATCTAGGATTATTCAAATAAATTCAGTATATACTTGTTAGTGACTACTAGTCATCAATTCTTGTAGGCTGTCCTTGTGTTCATTAGGCTGGACTAATAGAAATTTATAGGAATCTAAGATTCAAATGTATGAAAGTCTTTTACTGAACCTTATTGCCTTTACACCAGCCTGTTCCCATGACATCTTATGTTCTTTGAAAGTCTGGCTCTCCCATTTGACTTATTTTACTATTAGTCTTCTGATGTAGTGTGTCTGCCCTGTCTCTGCGTAGTGTGTGGGGGCTATATGGTAGTCCTTTCTTTTCTGCCCTGGCTGTTTGCCTTTGCCTATTCTTCTCATCTTCCTTTTGGCATAATACAACATTTTTTTAAAAAGTTACTTTTGTTGCTTATATACAACCAATAATTCATACTTAAGAGGGATAAAAATATGTGGCTAAGTCAGGAATCTTTTTATTTTGTCTATTTCATGCAGCTTAGAAAAATTTTCACATGTTATATATGACTCTGGGGTTAAGGTTATATGGAAGAAACCTTTGCAAAAACATTACAATTTATACCTTCTTCACAATCTTACATCTTGTTAATTTATTTGCCAATTTCGTCTTCAGGAGAAGACATTTAATATTTAAGGAGATTGAATAACGCCTAAGGAAAAGTTATGTTAAAGAAAATGGCATTAAAATAATCTATGTGAAATCCATTAAATAATGAGATGTATATTTTGCTGTTTTCCTATTATTGAAGTGATGTGGTCATTTGAGATTAGAATGATATTCCCTGGGAGACAGGAACTTGTGTTCTGTGGCTTTTTTTCTTCTTTCTTTTCCAATGGGTGCTTATATTTTCTTTTATTATTCCAACATGCACATTTGGGTTTAAGCATAATTTCACAAGTTCTTTTTCTGTCTTTTACTGTTAAATTTGCTGTTTCTGTCTCCCTTTATTTCTCTCAGTCCTTCATCTTCTTTCTCTTGTTTTATTGTTAGTCATTCGTGAATACCATTTTTTTCCTTTTTCTATTACTCTGTTGGAAAAGGCTGTGCATAACATTCAGGCAGGAATGTGGAAACACATTGTAATGTGAAAAAAACATTGCTTTTTTTGTTTGGAAACTTCCTGTGTGTGAAGCGTTTTGCTCTAATCTGGGCACTGAAATGCACTGATTTCCGATCCCTGGAGCAGAGTTAGGGATCTAGTATTTTTATTTGCCTAAGTAGAGAGAAATAGGCAGGCAAAATCAGTTTTTCCTTTCTCTGCCAAAGAAATAGTGTCATAAAATAGTGTCATGTATTGGTTTGTTTAGTGTATAATACATCTGGATTATATTTTTGTAGGTACTGAATATTGATTCTTATTTAAATATGTTTATATAGTTATTTGTATATATGTGTATGACAGACTGAGGAAAGGCTGTGTGTGTGTGTGTGTGTGTGTGTGTGTGTGTGTGCGCAGTAGTAGAGATGTGGATAAATCATAGACTCCAACATATATATGTTTACTAGTTACTGGATAATTACAGACCCCAAATAGTATTGATGCAAATGTGCATCACCTCAGTCTGAGGTCTGCCAACTCGAATGATACTCCAAAACTAAACTGATAATGATGAAACTAAATATAACTATTTTGTGATTTAAAGAGAGCAATAAAATCAGTGGAAAATTATGATCAAATAAAAAATGAGTAATGCATTGATAGTAGAGTGTATTTCCCCAATTTGTTTGAATTTAAACTGTTTCCTTGTTTGTATCTACAGCAGGAATTTTTCAGTGTTAGTCACATGGTGCATGGCAGCCAAATTTCCCAGTAGATTCTGAACTAGATTCCTTGGAAAACTCTAGTAATATGCTAAATTTAATTGGAGTTTGTGGAGTTGTCATTAGTTCACCAGACCTCGACTATACCACATTTTTACAGCCCCTCTCCTGTCACTTTAAACAACACAGATTTAGTTTTTCTTCATTCTGTGTGTTCAATTCTCATTCGTCAGGTTGTAGGGTGAGAAGGAGGCATTTTGTTCTATGCTATCCTTATTCAGTGGCTAAGGCTGATGGAGTTTCCACCATCTGCAATGTCATAGATTACAGAGGCAGGACACAGAAAAGCCTCAGTTTTGGTAATCATCAATAAGACATTCTTCATGACAAGGTGTTTACTATTATATCTCATTGTGTGGCTTTGAAATTTGCAGATTGTCACCACCATCTCCTAAATATTTCTTGAATTTATCTACTTCTCTGCATTTCTGTTGCTATTCTCTTTGTTTAAGGTAGTGTCATCCCTTGCCTACATCACTGTAACAGCTTTTGAAATGTACTCCTCTTATCATAGCTTGTAATCCCTTGGAGGTAGACTCTGGAAGCTTATTGGGGGAAATAATTTTGGGACCAATACCTGAGGGGGAATGAAGGAAACTGAGCCAAGGGAAAAGTTGAATTGATTCTCTCTCAACAAAGCCATCAGCTAATAATTTAGAGAGCTGTGAATATTTGTTGGTCTTTTTTAGTTGTTCCAAGTTCGGGCAAGAGGATTCAGCCTTTATACACCTGTATCAACTATCTAGGGGGTGTGGGCTGCCCCTAGGAAGGGGCATGACCTTAGGCAGAAAGCCGAGGACAAGTCAGCTTTTGGTTGACAATACTTACAACAGTTGGGGCAATGTCCTGAACTAGGGATCTGGGCAGAAAACTGTACTTAATAACTTTGAGATATATTTTTCATGATTGTTCATTTCTAAGTAATTTCAGATTTCTGCTATGATTTTGACTCATATGTTATTTGGTGATGTATTTTAATTCTTTAATTTTTTGAGATAGAGTCTTGCTCTGTCATTGAGGCTGGAGTGCAGTGGTGTGATCACGGCTCACTGTAGCCTCAACCTCCTAGGCTCAAGCGATCCTCCCACCTCAGCCACTGGAGTAGCTGGGACTACAGGCACATGCCACCACTTTTGGCTAATTTTTGTTGTTGTTGTTGTTTTTGTATTTTTTGTAGAGACAGGGTTTTGCCATGTTGCCCAGGCTGGTCTCAAATTCCTGGGCTCTACTGATCCTCCTGCTTTGGCCTCCCAAAGTGCTAGAATTACAAGTGTGAGCCACCATGCCAAGCCTAGTGATATATTTCTAAATAACTGAAAAAAAAATAGTTTTTTATTATTATTGATTTCTAACTTAATTGCTTTGTGGTCAGAGAGTATCATGTTTTTCATTTAAAAATCTTTCAGATTTGATGAAAATTGCTTTATGGCTAAGGAATAAGTCACTCTGATACATATTCTGTATGTTCCTGAAAAGAGTGTATATTCTCAAATTATTATATGCAATGTCTTATAGAAAACTCAAGAGGTCAAACCTACCTATTGGGATATTCAAAACTTCTAGTGAGTTTTTTTTTTTTTTTTTAATTAAGACAATGGAGTCTCACTCTGTCACCCAGGCTAGAGTGCAATGGTGCGATCTTGGCTCAATGCAACCTCCGCCTCCCGGGTTCAAGTGATTCTCCTGTCTCAGCCTCCTGAGTAGCTGGGATTACAGGCACCCACCACCATGCCCGACCAAGTTTTATAGTTTAGTAGAGATGGGGTTTCACCATGTTGGCCAGGCTGGTCTCGAACTCCTGACCTCGGGTCATCCGCCCACCTTGGCCTCCCAAAGTGCTGAGATTACAGGCATAAGCCACTGCGCCCAGCCTGTGTGGGTTTTTTTTTTTTTTTTTTTTGAGACAGAGTCTCACTCTGTCGCCCAGACGGGAGTACAGTGGCATGATCTCGGCTCACTGCAAGCTCCCCTCCCAGGTTCACACCGTTCTCTTGCCTCAGCCTCCCAAGTAGTTGGGACTACAGGTGCCTGCCTCCACGCCCGGCTAATTTTTTGTATTTTCAGTAGAGACGAGGTTTCACCATATTAGCCAGGATGGTCTTGATCTCCTGAGCTCATGATCTGCCCGCCTCTGCCTCCCAAAGTGCTGGGATTACAGGTGTGAGCCACCGTGCCCGGCCTTTTTTTTTTTTTTTTGAGACAAAGTCTCGCTCTGTCACCTAGGCTGGAGTGCATTGGCACAATCTGGGCTCACTGCAACCTCTGCCTCCCGGGTTCAAGCAATTCTCCTGCCTCAGCCTCCCGAGTAGCTGTGACTACAGGTGCCTGCCACCACACCTGGCTAATTTTTTTGTATTTTTAGTAGAGATGAGGTTTCACCATGTTGGCCAGGCTGGTCTCGGACTCCTAACCTTAAGTAATCCGCCCACCTCGGCCTCCCAAAGTGCTGGGATTATAGGCATGAGTCACCACATCCAGCCTTTTTGTGATGTTTTTGGATATCTGATGGACCTATATTTGAAAAAGTGATTTTCCAATTTTTCCTTGCTCGTTAGGTTTTGTCCCTGTTTAGATAATAGGTGTATTACAGTGTATCGTGTTTCCTTGGCTATCAAAACATAATGACCAATTTTTGTTTTCAAGTCTAATTATGATATTAATATTCCTAAACAAGCTTATTTTTGTTTTATCCTTGTATCATTCTTTATCTTTTTCATCTGCCAGTGAACTGTTGTTTTAGGTGTGTCTCTTGTAAGTGCACATCTAAATTTGGACTGGATTTTTATTTTATTGTTTTTCTATTCAGCCTGCTGGAGCTTGTCTTTTAGCTGGAGAGTTTAGTCCATTTATATTTATTGTATTTAAAATTATATTTTGATTTATTTATATAATCTACTTTTTGGGGGTTTTGTTTGTTCCATTCTTTGGATTCTGTTTTCTTTCTTGGCTTCTTTTTGATGACGACTTTAAAAAAAATGTCTCTTGTTCTTATTTTATGTCCCCTTCCCATTCCTCCCTCCACTATGTTGGAAATTTTATACTCTATTTCTATTGTTTCAGTGCTTGCTATAGAAATTTCAACTTGGAGACATTCCTTCAGGTGTCCTTCATCTTTGGCAACATTTAGTGTTGTCAGTGTTTTGGATTTTAGCCATTCTAATAGGCACATAGTAGTATCTCATAGTTTCAGTTTGCAGTTCCCTCATGACATATAATATTGAGCATCTTTTCATGCTATTATTTGCTATCTGTGTTTCTTTTTTATTGAGATGTCTCTTCAAATCTTTTGTTAATTTTTCAATTGGGTGGTTTGTTTCCTGGTTGAGTTTTAAGAGCTCTGTGTATTTTGGATACAAGTTCTTTCTTAGGTATGGGTTTTGTAAATATTTTCTCCCAGTCTAGAACTTATGTCTTTATTCTTTTTTTTTGAGATGGAGTCTCACTCTTGTTGCCCAGGCTGGAGTGCAGTGGCGCGAGCTTGGCTCACTGCAACCTCCGCCTCCCGGGTTCAAGTGATCCTCCTGCCTCAGCCTCCTGAGTAGCTGGGATTATGGGCACCCGCCACCACGCCTGGCTAATTTTTTTTTTTTGTACTTGTAGTAGAGATGGGGTTTTGCCATGTTGGCCAGGCTGGTCTCGAACCCCTGACCTCAGGTGATCTGCCCACCTCGGCCTCCCAAAGTGCTGGGATTACAGGCATCAGCCACCATGCCCGGCTGTGTCTTTATTCTTTTAAGAATGTTATTTGGGCTGCAGAAATTTTTATTTTAATGAAGTTAAATGTGCCAATTTTTAATGGTTTGTGCTTTTGGTGTTATATGTAAAAACTCATTGCTAAACCAAAGTCACCTAGATGTTCTTCTATTTTTTCTCTAGAAATTTTATAGTTCTGCAATGTATATTTAGGTCTGAGATCCATTTTGAGTTAATTTTTGTGAAAGGTATAAGGATTGTGGCAAGATTAATTTTCTTGCATAATGAATATCCAGTTATTCCAGTACCCTTTGTTTGGAAAGACTATCTGCATTTAATTGCCATTGCTTCTTTGTCATAGTTCAGTTGACTGTATTTGTGTGGGTCTACTTCTGGGCTCTTGAGTAATTTGTCTGTCTTAGACAATACCATACTGTCTTGATGTCTGTAGCTTTATAGTAAGTCTTGAAGTTGGGTATTGTTAGTCTTTTGAATTTGTTCTTTTTCTTCAATATTGTGATGCCTATTCTGGGTCTTTTCCTTTCCATATAAACTTTAGAATCAGTTTGTGGATATCTACAAAATAAATTGCTAGGACTTTGATTTTAATTGTGTTCAACCTATAGATCACGTTGAGGAGGATTGATATCTTAACAATATTGAATCTTCCTATCCATGTACATTGATTATCTCTACATTTAGATTTTCATCCATTTCTTTCGTCAGAGTTTTGTAGTTTTCCTCATAGATACACTGTATGTATTTTAAGATTCATGCCTATTTTATTTCTTTAGTGCTAATGTAAATGTCACTATTTTAATTTCAAATTCCAGTTGTTCACTGCTGGTATATAGGAATGTGATAATCTTTTGTATATTAATTTGTATTCTGTAACCTTACTATAATTGCTTATCAGTTCCAAGAATTTTGTTGTTATTGCTGATTTTTTTGGAATTCCTTCATAGACAGTCATCTTATCCACTAGTGAAGACAGTTCTATTTATTCCTTTCCAGTCTGTTTACTCTTTATTTCCTTTTCTTAACATACTTCATAAGCTGGAATCTGCAGTCAGATGTTGAATAAGAGTTGTAAGAGGGGACATTCTTGTATTTTTCCTGATTTTTGGGAGAAGGCATCCAGTTTCTTGTCATTAAGTGTAATGTTAACTGTAGGCTTTTTGTGTATATTCTTTATCAAGTACAAGAAATTTCTCTTTATTCCTAGTTTGCTAAACTCAGTGATTGTTGATTTTTGTTAAATGCTTTTTCTGCATCTATTTATATGATCATAGGATTTTTCTTCTTTAGCCTGTTAATGTGATGGATTACATTAATTGATTTTTGGATGTTGAATCAGCTTTGCATACCAGGATTAAATCCCATTTGGTCATGGTATATAATTCTTTTTATATATTATTGGATTTTTTAGTCATTTTAATATCTAAAAACTTAATTTTAAAATGTTTGCTTTTTTCTTATTTATCTCATCATGTTTATTTTTTTCTCCAAATCATTTTACCTGTTTGTAATAGCTGTAACTTATAATAGTATTTGTAACAACTGTTTTAAGAGTCTTCATTTCTGGGTTTCTTTCTGTCAGCTATTTTCCTTCTGATATGAATCACATTTTGCATCTTTACCTATCTCTTAATTGTTGATTGGATTCTAGACATTGTAAATGTTACATTGTGTGTTTGGATTTTGTTACCTTTATTTAAAAGGTATAGATGTTTAGTCTGGCAGGTACATTAATTTTGTTTAGGTTAAGGCCTTTTAGGCTTTAAAAAAGTTTTCTTAGGGCAAGTCTAGCATAGTCCTTTCTCGTGTTCTGATTAAACAAGCTTGTATTATGCTGTCTCTCTACCCGTCACACTTCCTGTCCTTTGGTTCATAATTTCTATTTCATTATACGTCTATGGTTTTTTCGTAGTATAATGTAAACCCATGAAAGATGTAGGCAGGAGAGAGATATAATAGTATATATACCTTAAGAAAATTTCACTGACCACTATGTGGCTTGGATGGGGGCAACTGTAGTAGTGGGGAGTTCTGCTAGTAGGCCAGTACAAGAGTCCTGGACTGCTGGTAGTTTGTGTAAGTATTATGATTAAGTATTATGATAACTGAGATAAAGAAAAGTGAATAGATTTGATCTTTTTAAATAAAGAATTTATAAGAGTTTCATACTATCCAGCAGTTGTGCTCTTACACATAGATCCAGGAAGCTCATATACAAAGTTCCAGACAACAAGTACAAAAATATTCAAAGGACCATTGTTATATAAATAGAACAGGTTACAGTCTGAATGTTCATTCACAGTGGAATGGATAATGCTGCAGTATGTTTGTAGGTGACATAGATTACAGCAGTAAAAATAATGACTTACAGCTGCTCAGATTAACTAATAGATTTACTTAGTAACTCTTACTTTGCATGTTATTCTTTAGGCAGTTTCAGCCACTGCAGAAACAACAAAGAAGACAGGCAAAGATCTTTGTCTTTATGTTTTTTTAATCATTGTGCAGTGAACAATGTAGATATTGACTAAAGCAAGAATCATTAAAGTTCATTTTTAATAATGGGTGAAAATTGTTTGGATATAGGATCATCACAGTTTCAAAGTATCAATCTACAGATTATTTGCTAAGAAAAAATGGCATACTTTCTGTGAGGAAATTTAATGGATGCCATCTTAAGTAATCAAGCTTTATCAGTTTGGGATAAATTGACTTTTTATTTTACTTTTGATGCGATGGAAGAACTCGAGGATACAATATCAACTATGTTGTATTTAAGATTTGTTAAACATCTTGAATTTAATGAGTGAATAATCAGGTATATTCAAATTGTGGAATATTCTATCAAACAACCACCCTGGGTTCTTCAGAAATATCATGGTCATGAAGAACTCCCCCCGCCATCAGCACAAAACAACAAACACAAACCCACACTTTCCCTTCTGGGGAGGCTGAGGGGGTTCAAAAGGCAAGTGAACTACTTTACATTAGAGGAGCACAAAGAAACGAAACAAAGCAATGCGTACTATCTATGTAATTCTCATGAGCAACTTTCATCTGGGGATTTCCTTCCTTTCTGTCCTAGTTCTTTCTCGGAGTGGGGTGTCTTTTCTCTTCTGAGGTCCTATTACCCATATCAGGGCCTATTCTATCCATCTAGAGGACTGTTCAACTTCCTGAAATATCTTTTGTTTTCTTTTTACCTTGGACCTTTCCTTGAGGAAACAAAGGCCTTGTAGTTAATTATAGGTGTTTTGCAATTGGTTATTTAAAGAAGATCCCCATTCCCCATCACATCTCCTTGATTCATGAGAGATTTCTGATTAGTACCGCTGGATTAGGAATAAGACATTTTCTAAGAAATACTTTTCTTTTCCCTTCTTTTTATTTTTCCTTTCCCATTAGTATATTCTATGAAATTTTAATTCAAGAAATTGTAGGTGAGAAAACCACATAAGATTCTTTATTATACAGCGTACCACTGTTGCATCAATAGGGTGTCATTTTATCAGCTTTTAAGTTACCAGGTTGTGCTACCATGTGTGGCTTGGGTTTTGCTTGAAAAGTAAGGTTATTTATTGTGTCTTGAGTAGGTAAATGTGACATTATCAGTTGGTCAAAAAAGATAATTCTTTTTAACTTGGAATCCATAACTAAATGGAAAATCTCCTAAGCTCCTAGAATCTTCCTTCATTCATCCCCTTATCTTCCACATCCAAACTGTCGCTAACTCTAGTCTTTGTCTTTCTCTCTATCTCTGTTGCTAGCTGGACTGCTGCAAAGGCTTCCTCATCAGCTCCTTGTTTCTACCTTTGCCCTTTCACCATTCATTCATTGCACAGCAGCCAAAGTGATCTTTTAAAATGCTGTATTAGGTACTTCCCTTTCCTGTATCACACCTTCCAACTTGTTCCTTCTGTCTGGACTCATCCCCCCTCACTGATTTTCAGAGTGCTCGCTCTATCTTGTCATTAGGTTCTCAGTTTAAATACTAGTTTTCTCAGAGAAGCATTTTCAAGGAGCAGTAACCCTGTCACTCTCAGTTACATTTATTCCCTCCGTGTTATAGCAGTCATCACTATCTTACATTGTGTATAAGACATACATGCACTTATTTATTTATATTAATATGTGTATATACATAAAGAAATACTGCAGCCTTGACCTCCTGGGCCCAAGCTGTCCCCCCAGCTCAGCCTCCCAAGTAGCCGGGATTAGAGGTGTGAGCCACTCCACCCGACTCAGACATATATTTAGATGCATGTATGTTTGTATATCATTGTCTGCTAGATAGCAGGGAGTTTTCTGAATCGTTGGCCTTTGTAGCCTGCAGAGAGCCAGATAAGGCTTATAGTGTATATTCAGTAAACATTTTTTAAACTGATGAATACAAATTTGATAGTAGAGTTAGAAAGAAGGCTGCTTGCTTTGTGGTAGAAAGTAAGACGCACTGGTAGCTGGGAGGTGAGGGACCCAGAGAAGATGTCCTGTCCTGCACTTAAACCTGCCCTTGAAAACTGAGTCCAGAAAAGTAGCAATGGAAACTTTGTAGTACTTTGCTAACCTAAGTTTCTGTATTTTCTTCGTATATTTTGTCATATAGTATTAGTAGATTTCTTTTCGGAAGCATTAGTGCCTCTTTTATTGTGCAGAAGAGAATAAGGAGTGGAGACTGTCTCTGTGTTGGAGGTTCAGTGTCAGTAGGGGAGTCACTTCTGTGTCTGGGGTGAGGTAAGGTAGTAGCAGTAAGCATCCCATGAGAGGACCTGGAAGGTGAGGAAAAACTTGGGAAGGGCACTAGAGCCTGATTTTTTTTTTTTTTTTTTTAAAGCAGTCTCTTCTACTAGGACTTTCACCTCCTTTTACGAGTAGAATTTGTATTTTGTTATGCTCTGTGTATTAGTCCATTCTCACACTGCTAATAAATACATACCTGAGACTGGGTAGTGTATAAAGAAAAAGAGGTTTAATGGGCTCACAGTTACACATGGCTGGGGAGGCCTCACGATCATGGTGGACGGTGAATTAAGAGCAAAGTCATGTCTTAACATGGCACCAGGCAAGAAGAGAATGAGTGCCAGCAGGGGAAATACCAGACACTTACGAAACCATCAGATCTCATGAGAACTCACTCACTATCACGAGGACAGTGTGGGGAAAACCGCCCTCATGATTCAGTCACCTCCCGCCAGGTCCCTCCCACAGCACATGGGGATTATTACATTTCAAGATGAGATTTGGGTGGGGACACAGAGCCAACGCTTATCATTCTGTTTCAAACATATGTCAGCTGAAGAATACAAAATTAAACAAATACAGTATAGACAAGAGTCAAGCACAGAAGTAAGTGCTCCAGTGGATGAGAAAATGTGAGAGAACATTAGTGGAAATTTCATGTCCAGATGAGGTGAGGGGTAACAAGTACCATCAACTTGATCATTTCTGATTTTTCCAGGAATGCCAACTTTTGACTAAATATTTTTTTCCTTCCACTTCCCATTTACTTATCTTAATTAGAGTGGCAGGGACACAAGAAAGTAGGGATGAGGGACTGAACTGTTGGATATTATTTAACATTATCTGTGTGGATTATTCTTTTCCCTCCTCTTCAGATTTCTAAGTATTGTTTCTCCATGGTGTGGTGACAGCATATGTACTGCCTGAAATCGATTTGGCATAAGAAGTTGAGTAGAAAACCTTACTGTTACATTATTTCAGAATATAGCTCAATGGTTAAATTAAGAGTTAGTATCAGCCAGGTTCAGTGGCTTATGCCTGTAATCCCAGCACTTTGGGAGGCCAAAGCGGGAGGATTGCTTAAGGCCAGGAGTTCCAGACCAATGTGGGCAATATAATGAGACCCCCATCTTTAAAAAAAAAAAAAAGAAAATTAGCTGGGTGTGTTGGGGTGCACCTGTTGTCCCAGTTACTGAGGAGGCTGAGGTGGGAGGGTTGCTTGAGTCTAAGAGGTCAAGGCTGCAGTGAGCCAAGATCACACTCTGCACTCTAGCCTGGGTGACAGAGCGAGACCAAAAACAAAAAAGCTAGTCTAACTTGCATCAGTTTCTTCCTTCCTCCCAACATTTTTCTGTTTGGCTTGTGAGATTTTGGTCAGGGAATCTTGCCTTCCTGGGTTACATGTATTCACAGGTCTAATGCTGTGATGCCAGCAGCACTGGGAGACCACAATGCCTTATTATATATTGTCCTATTCTCTAATGACTTCCCACCTTTTCTGAGCATCTGATAATTTTTTGTTGATAAATTGTTTTATGTATCTTGTTTCCCCAGCTTGTTCCTTGTGAGCAAGAATGATTTCCATGTCATATTTTGAAATTCACAAATCACTGTATAGTCCAGGGTCCTTAGTAAATGACTAAAATGCGATTAGTACTGGAACCAGAAAAACTGCAAATTTCCTAATCGTCAGAGGGAACTGAATGTAGTGGAGATGTGGGCTGTCTCTCAGCTCTTGTGGCTTCCTGTTACATGGATAAATGGTTTGTGATGATGCATTGATAAAATATTTTTTTGAGAGGATGGGGGTAAGGATCTATTAAGTTGTTGTAAACAGGGTTTTGCAGGTATACCAGTTTCAAATTTTTAGATTGCGCTTTTTCACTCCCGTAAAACAGGCTAATTCTTCTCTACTGATTTCATTCTGATTATTTTATGCTTGTTATTGTGAATGAGACAAATACCATTCTTGCCATTCTCATGCAGGATTAAAACTCGTGCATAATCTCTTGCAGAATCAAGAATCAAAGCATGCACAATCTTCTATGCTTTGTCCCCATCTATGTTTTCTATTGTGTTTTCCCCTACCATCCTGCAGATAACTCTGTACTTCAACTGAATTGTTTCAGTCATTCCTTAAACTTGTCCTATAATCTCCACCTCTGTTTTCCCCACTATTCCTGCCTGAAATGTTCAAGTCCTGCTCATTCTTCATAGCATCATTTAAATAGCCCTTTCTTTTTTTTCTTCTTTGGAAACGGAGTCTTGCGCTGGAGTGCAGTGGCGTAATCTTGGCTCACTGCAATCTCCGCCTCCCAGGTTCAAGCGATTCTCTTGCCTCAGCCTCTGAGTAGCTGGGACTACAGACGCACACCACCACACCCAGCTAAGTTTTGTATTTTTAGTAGAGACGGAGTTTCACCATGTTGGCCAGGATGGTCTTAATCTCCTGACCTCGTAATTCGCCCACCTCAGCCTCCCAAAGTGCTGGGATTACAGACATGAGCCACTGTGCCCAGCCTAAATGGCCCTTCTGATAATACACTTTTCTTAATTATTTTTCTCTCTACCTCCCTGTGATCCTTTCTGTTTTGAATTGCCAGTGATAGAACTATTTGGGTCCTTTGCTTTTCTCTTCTTGGATTTGAAGGCTCCCAGTGTAAGAGCATGTTCTTTATCTGTCTTCTCAGTGCACTGAGCATTGTTTCAAAAATACCAGCCCATATAAACATCATGAACAGAAAAAAATTTTAATTGAATTAATTATAAAACGCTTAGGAAGCAGGTGCCATTTTAACTAAGTTGAAGTTAAAGAGTGATGTTTTGTGGTTTGGGGTTCAAAAGGTCTATGACATTTGGCCTTCTCTTCCCTTTTCCTCTAAGGATCCTATAGCTTGAGTTGAGTGCCAGTAGAGCATTACAGGCCAGGAAGGATCCTGTAAGGGCTCACTGAGCTCTTTTTTCTTCAGAAAAGATCATAAACAAATGGTCCCAAACATAGGAGTATCTCTACCTTGTTTTTAGAAAACATCTAAAGAAGGAGACTTGTACACTTTTCTTGATAAATCGTTGTAAATGACTCTTGCTGTCAGAAGTTTTACTGTATAATAACTAAATACTTAATCATGTAACTGATGACAATTTTATGAGTTTAAAACTTTAGCTGGAAGTGTGCTTTGTTTTGACCTTACTTTGTATTTTCATAACACCCTGTTAATGTACGGAACAGTGGAATAGCTTCTCCATTGATACCAGTGAGCCCTGGAGCTTCTGCTCCAGCCCATAGCATCGTAGCCAGGTTTGGATTTTCCCCAATACCATCATGTCACTTCTTGCTAATAAAAGCTGTAGGGGTTGTCTGTGACTCTTCAGATGAAAATACCTTAAGTACCTGAAAATCACCATTTTTGAAAAAAGGGAATTTGTTATGCATGCAAACCTCAGTTTTGGAGATGTTTCCTGGTGCTATTATAAGTTGTTTCTTATATCTTTGATTACTTAATACTGTACTTCTGTTTTTGGAATCCACTGTTAATTTATGTGTGTTTTCTTAGCTTTTATTACTGGGGAAAGTGTTATGTTTATTGGTACAAGTACCCTTTTTTCTTTTAAAATGGTCACACTCTCATTTTTTAAATACATCATTACACTGGTGTTACTTTCCTGGTGTTATTTTCCTGACTCTAAAGAAAGGAACTTTTAAATAAATTAATTATTGTTTTCTGCGTTATTGAACATGTGGTCAATTGTCATGTTCATACATCCCAATGATCAAAGTCTGAACTTCTGTCTAATTCTTCCCTGCTGTTAGGCTACCCTGTCATGATCAAGGCCTCAGCAGGTGGTGGTGGGAAAGGCATGCGCATTGCTTGGGATGATGAAGAGACCAGGTGAGAGGCTGTCCAAAATATACTTTTGATGAAAATTGCAGTTACCAGAGTTTTATTAAACTGACAGGTAAACAGATACCAAAAGCATAATGGAGTAATTACAGTAACCATCTAATTTTTACACTTTTGAATGGGAAAAAGATTGAAATTATGTGGAAACCTTCCTTATTTATATTTTGATGATGATTATCTTATTATAGAAAGGGTTTTACTGTTTTAAACATTAACAAAGGATTTTCTTTTTGTTTTTACCGTATATTTTTAAAAATTACAGTCAGGATTCTATTTTCTGGGCATAAATTACTAACATTTGGCTATATAATTCTAAATGTCATCTAAAGATTTAAATCAACTATATTTAAAAGCAGTTATAATTTCATTGAGACTTAATGTATTACCTCAATATGTAGTTGCTTTCCTTTGCTAGTGCATAAAAGTAGTGAATTACTTTGATAATTTTAGAGTGTGAAATATATTCTTTTTCCTTGAGTTTGAAATTACTGTGTCCTTTATATGGAATGCGCTCTTATTATAATTTAGAATACTTTTTATGGCCCAATCTCAGAAGTTACACAGGTTTCCCTCCAGTGAACACAGCTTCTGCTCAAATTCAAGGGGAGGGGACTGAGTCTTCACTTCTTCATGAGAGCGTGGGCAAGATTCTTAGAAGAGCACGTGGAATGGGAGATACTGTTGTGGCCATCTTTGGAAAAGACAATCTGCCACAGCCCGTTTTGTGGGAAAGAATGGTATCATAAAGAAGTCGAATACAACTTAATGGTTTTGCAAGAGATGTGTATTTTGTGGACTTCAATTTTTTTCTCATTGTTTTTCTGTTTTGCACAGTACTTACATAGCAATTTCACTGAACGCTTAGCGCTTATTTTTCATTATTCATCTTAGGATCTCAGGTTTCTTATCAGTCATTTCTCCAGGGCTACTGTTAGTAACTTACTCTTTTATGGTGCGGATTACTCTTTATAGTTTCTTGGAAGTGAGGTTTGCTGTGCTGCTGTTGATTTATAAATTTTAATTTACAGCTTAATATTTTGAGAAATCACTATATCCATTCATATATTAGGCATCATTTTGTAAATAATTTAGCCCTTTCTTGCCAAGTAAATAGCACATTGATTCAAAATATGTTTATAAAATTAATAAAAATACATGAATAATTTTCTACTTAAAATATTACTCTCTTCAGCTTGATAAATAAACCATCTCAGAAAACTTGTTGAGATCAACACAGGCGTGCCTATTAGATTTAATAATACAAGCTCCTCATTTTAAGAAGTTGCTCTATGTCCCTTATTTATTTGGGAAAGTCAAAACTACCTAAAAAGGGAAAGAACAGTACTGCAAACATGCCTATGCTTGTCTTTTGGAGCCACTAACCGTGAACACCATACCACAACTTATCCACCCCTTCTTTTCCTCTCTCCCTCTCGAGGAAGTAATTGGTTTTTACATAATCCACAAAGATTTCATTTTTCAGGTACAAAGGAAAATTTGGTAGCTTAATTACTTTATTCCTTTATCCTAAGGGGTGTCTTTTTCTTGTAACATCTTTCCTATGTTTTTTGGGGGGAAGTAGCATCTATGACTTGTCTTGGAATCTGTAGGACATCTGAAAGATTTTTTTTAAAAATGTAATGGTTTTTTTTTTTTTTTTTTTTTTTGAGACAGAGTCTCTCTCTGTCGCCCAGGCTGGAGTGAAGTAGCACGATCTTGGCTCACTGCAATATCCGCCTCCTGGGTTCAAGTGATTCTCCTGCCTCAGCCTCCCGAGTAGCTGGGACTACAGCTGCACGCCACCACACCCAGCTAATTTTTGTATTTTTAGTAGAGACGGGGTTTCACCATGTTGGCCAGGATGGTCTCGATCTCTTGACATCATGATCTGCCTGCCTCGGCCTCCCAAAGTGCTGGGATTACAGGCGTGCACCACTGCGCCCAACCTTTATTATATAGTAAATTTGGGTGAGAATTATGAAGATTGTTGAAGGTTCACTTAGATATTTTCATAGTAATCTCTGGCTTTCTTTTCCCTATTCAAGTTTAAATGAAGCGTATGGCATGATTGGGAAACTGATTGTGTCTATATTTTTGAATATCCCCACTAAGACTTTTGGCATTGTGAGTGCAATTTCTGTTTTATTTTTGTATTCCTAGCATCTAAAATATATCCAGGCACAAAGTTCAGTAAATACTTATTGAATGAATGTATAATTGAATGTCACCAGTGATATTCATAATAGAGTTTCCCATGAGTTCTAAAATAGGTTGTTGGCGATGCTTTCAAACTTGCTGCTTATTTTATTTTGGTGACTTTGACTTTTTACTTGTGGTGTTCTGGGTTTAAATGCAAAATGAAAGATCTCAATCATTATAGTGGAGGCAAACTGTAAAGTGCTATATTTTTTCTTTCTGTTATTATATCCAATCTAATAAAAAGTTGATTATATGGTATCGAAAACTAATTCATTTTGCTTCCAGTTTCTTTGAAGTTTGCAGCCTCCTAAGATTCCCCTAAATCAACAATGTAATGGAGGACTTTATTCCCCTAAATCAACAATGTGATGGAGGACTGAGAAAACCTAATACCTTTTCTCTGAGACCTCTGAGAAATGAGTTTTTTGCAATGTTTTGAAATTTGTCTTCTAGTCAGTTTTACCTGCAGTGTTGTACAAAAACAAGCAAATTAGTTGTGTGTGTGTGTGTGTGTTTTTTTTTTTTTTTTTGAGATGGAGTCTCGCTCTGTTGTCCAGGCTGGAGTGCAGTGGTGCGATCTCGGCTCACTGCAACCTCTGCCTTTTGGGTTCAAGCGATTCTCCTGCCTCAGCCTCCCAAGTAGCTGGGACTACAGGCGCACACTGCCACGCCTGGCTAATTTTTTGTATTTTAGTAGAGACAGGGTTTCACCGTGTTGCCCAGGCTGGTCTCTAACTCCTGAGCTCAGGCAATCCACCCGCCTCAGCCTCCCAAAGTGCTTGGATTACAGGTGTGAGCCACTGCACTTGGCCACAAATTAGTTGTTTCCAATATTACTAGGTGGACTGTAGGATTAAATGATATTATTTTAAAGTTGTAATAATTAAAACGCATCTTAAGTGTACCAACCTGGATTACTATATGACAAGGATTATCATTAAATTTTTCTATTAGTAGTCTGTCATCGCCAAAACTAGAAGCAGCTTTTGAGATGAAAAACCATCCTTTAAAAAAAAAAAAAAGGAAGAACGGTCAGACTAACAAAACAAATAGAGCAATAGGGCTGACATCATTAAAGAAAACACAAAACAAGCAAATCAGATAGTTGTTTTTTATATTACTAGATGGACCATTTGCAACTTAAAGGACTGGAAGAATTTGGTTTCAGTATTGTACATTAAATACAGACATTTAGTCTTCAGATTAAGAAACTTTATTAAATATAAAAGGAATTAAAGCACAAAAATAAGCAAATTGGATAGTTATTTCTAATATTAGTAGATGGACCATTTGCCTCTTAAAGGATCGGAAGAATTGGCTTTAATGTTGTACATTAAATACAGGTATTTAATCTTCAGATTAAGAAACTTTATTAAATGTAAAGGAATTAAATTTTATATGCTGATTATATCAATGGATAGAAGGCAATATATGCTCAATTACTTTTAGGCAAGCAAGTTTGGGTTTTTTTTTTAATTGTTTTTTCTTTTCTTTTTTTTTTGAGATGGAGTCTCACTGTCACCCAGGCTGTAGTGCAGTGACATAATTTCTGCCCACCGTAGCCTCTGCTTCCCAGGTTCAAGCGGTTCTCCTGCTTCAGTCTCCTGAGTAGCTGGGACTACAGGCATGGGCCACCACAACCAGCTAATTTTTGTATTTTTAGTACTGATGGGATTTCATCATGTTGGCCAGGCTGGTCTCGAACTTCTGACCTCAGGGAAGCCACTGTGCCCACCCAAGTTTGCGTTTTGAAAAGATTGGTCAAATGAGCCCTAAATATTTGAATAATAGGCATATTTTAATAGTAATGATTTAAATTAGTTTGTAAACAAAATATATAAAGCAATAATTAGGTCCATATTTTTATTTTAAAAAACTATACTTTTATAATTACTATTTTTGATCAATTTTATAGAAGATAAAATTGTAATGATCTGTGTGGGTGTATGTGGGAGGCAACTGCATTTCAAGATGTGGATTTAAAATATTAAGCAGTGTTCTTAAGAATCTTCCTGTTGGATGTTCAATCTCAATGAGTGTATTTGCTGTAGTTCCACTCCAGTCATGCAGGTGACTAGACCCTTTACATTTTTCTTTGCATCTTCTGACTTCTGAATCAAACAGATGTTTTTTTATATTTTTGCTAGTGGAATTAAGGTATATTATGGTTGAAGAAATGGAATTAATTTTACTTGCTCTGTATGGTTTATTAAAATATCATATTTAGGCTGGGCACTGTGGCTCACACCTGTAATCCCAGCACTTTGGGAGGCTGAGGCAGGTGGATCACCTTAGGTCAGGAGTTCAAGACCATCCTGGCCAACGTGTTGAAACCCTGTCTCTACCAAAAATATAAAAATTAGCCGGGCGTGGTGGCACACACCTGTATTCCCAGCTACTCGGGAGGCTGAGGTGGAAGATTCACTTGAAACCCGGCAGGCAGAGGTTGCAGTGAGCTGAGATCCTGCCACTGCACTCCAGCCTGGGCGACAGAGTGAGACTCTGTCTCAAAAAAAAAAAAAGTGATACTTAGCAGTTGGTAAAGTATCGGCATTCCTGTTTCAATGGAAAATCTAGGATCTGAGAAGTTAAATAACTCATCCATGGTCACAGAGTTAGTGAGTGGAAAAGTCACAGGTCAACCAAAATTAACTTAGTTATTTGTATATTGAGTAAAGGTTTTTGCTTTTTTCAGAATAAGCCAAAATAAATATTTAATCGATTGTGTTTTCTTTTATAATGATAGCTCTATTTGTTTTGTTAGTCTGACTCTTCTTCTCCTTCTTCCCCTTCCCCTTCCCCTCCCTCTCCCCCCCTCCTCCTTCTTCCTTCTTTTTTTCACAGGGATGGTTTTAGATTGTCATCTCAAGAAGCTGCTTCTAGTTTTGGCGATGATAGACTACTAATAGAAAAATTTATTGATAATCCTCGTCATATAGAAATCCAGGTTGGTACATTTAAGATGCTTTTTCATTATTATTTTAAAATAATATCATTTAATCCTATTGGAATTATCTTTTCTTCCATTTAGAATGATTGTGAGTTGTGCCTTTAGAATCTGTTGTACTTTCCGTTAAAGTGCTAGGATGTTGGTTGGGATTGGGAATGATACAAAAATCTACCTCCAAAAAATGCATTCCTAAGATAGCCGACCAGGCTAATCTCCTTCCAAGACTGGACCATTATAGGGCATTTTTTAAAAAAGAAAAGTGCCTGACCTGGACTCCTGTGCTACTTCAGTTTACCAAATGTCCGTGTAGCTTGCTGTGACAGGTGTTCTGCTAGGAGCTTGTTGTATAGAGATCTGTAAATCATTTCTTCTATTCAGTTTAAGATATTCATCCTTAAAGTGGTTACGTAGGGGCATAGATTTTGGCAAAACAAAATGGGTTTTCTAAAATAAAACGGGGAAGAAGACAAGTCTGTTGAAGTTTTCATTTGCCTGTTGAAAATGCCTTCATGCTAATTTTATACATTATGACTATGAATTGATATGTAATAGCTAAAATTGATAAAAACAAATGTCAAATTAGAAATAATGAATTTTAAGTATTTTTTTAAATCTTAATTTGGTGTGGAGAGGGAACCAGATAAATAAAAGGTTATTTGCTGACCTTATATTTTCTGACAGGGGCATGATACAAAAAGTCCTAGATTCTGTCAGTTTATTCCTTAAGTTTAATGGTCACTTTCATAGATATTATTTATGGGTGGAAAATCATCATTTCAATCCTCAAATTTTCTAAAGTGAGAAAAAATATCCAAACTTATATAATCAGTTGGATGTTTTACAACATTGAACACAGTTTCTTTCTGAGGCTAGCAGGCTTTGTTTTTTGCCTTTTTAAAAAGATTTTCTAAATTGATATATCACATATAATATCTGTATATCATATAT
The DNA here is from genome assembly GCF_000001405.40 of Homo sapiens. Lineage (NCBI taxonomy): Eukaryota > Metazoa > Chordata > Mammalia > Primates > Hominidae > Homo > Homo sapiens. The sequence goes on from NC_000013.11 coordinate 100,263,783, forward strand.
ACGGTATCTGTATATCATATATACAGTATCTGTATATCATATATATGGTATCTGTATATCGTATATATATATATGGTATCTGTATATCGTATATATATGGTATCTGTATGTCATAGATACAGTATCTGTATGTCATAGATACGGTATCTGTATGTCATATATACGGTATCTGTATGTCATATATACGGTATCTGTATGTCATATATACGGTATCTGTATATCGTATATATACGGTATCTGTATATCGTATATATACGGTATCTGTATATCGTATATATACGGTATCTGTATATCGTATATATACGGTATCTGTATATCGTATATATACGGTATCTGTATATCGTATATATATGGTATCTGTATATCGTATATATATGGTATCTGTATATCGTATATATGTGATATCTGTATATCATATATGTGATATCTGTATCTCATATATATGTGATATCTGTATATCATATATATGTGATATCTGTATCTCATATATATGTATATATATATACAGTGAAATCCATAAATCTTAAGTGTGCAATTGAAGACAATTTCTATACACACACATCTAATTGTGTAACAACCATCCAGGTCTAGATAGAGAATGTCCCATCACACCACTTCCTAGTCAGTCCCTACCTGTGGCCGCCAAAAGTAACTGCTGTTCCTATCTGATGTCAGAGATTAGTTCTTAAATTGCATAAATGAAATCCAGTGATATAGTCTGTCACGTCTTCTTTTTCACACATCATCATATCTTTGAGATTCTTCCCTGAGGCTCTGTTGTCCTTTGCTTCTAAGAATTGCTCTGTGATCTCCCATTATTTGACTCACCTGCAGTTTATCCATATTGTTGTTGATGGATCTTTGGGTTTTTAGTTTCTTTATATTAGAAATAAATTGCTGTGTCTTTTTATGAACATATATACATCTCTAGGATAGACTGAGGAGAGGTATTGTTGGATTACATAGTAAGGTTATTTTTAGTTTTAGTGGGTACTCTGGTTGTGCTAATGTATACTCCCACCAGAAATACATGAGAGTTTCCATTGATGCCACCCCTGCCAACGTGTGATATTTTCAATTTTTGAAAACATTTAACCATATTAGTGGACTTACGATGGTATGTCTGTTTAATTTGCATTTCCTGGATGAGTAATGATGTTAAGCATCTGTTTATAAGTTTATTGACCATTTGAATGGCTTATTTTGTGAAGTGACTTCTCAAACTTTCATCCTTGCCTTCCTTTTTCAAATTAGATTTTTAAAAATTACTGGAGTGTCCGAGTTCTGTATCAATTTTGTTTATGAGTCCTTTGTCAGATGTATGTATAGTGTATCCTTCTCCCTTCATGCGGCTTGCCTGTTCACTTTGATAATAATGTCTTTCAAAGAACAGAAGTTCTGAATTATAGTGAAGTCAAGTTTAAGTCTACTTTGTGTACCCTAGTTAGGAGTTTTTTTGTTTTAGGTATGATATTTAAGTCTGTTACTCTCCTTTACTTATTATTATTTTGTTTGTTTGATGTGAGGCAGGGTCAGAGTAATTTTTAAAATTCTGATATCCACTTTTTCCAGCATCATTTATTGCAGTGACCTTTTGTTGCATATTAAGTGAGACTTCGTCATTGTCTTAACTATTTTGCTTTTATAATAAATCTAGAAACCTGATTCTGTAAGTGATCTAAATGTATTGTTTTTCTGCAGATAGTTTTCATTCTCTTTAGGTTCTTTGAATTTCCGTGAAAAGTTTAGACTTCACCTGTCAACCTGTTCCCCCTACGGACACCTACGCCTACACCCACCCACTCCCACCTCTACCTCCACTCCCACACACCCCATCTGATGGGAGATTTGTATTTGGGTCGTATTGAATCTAGAGATTATTCTGGGGAGAATTGACATCTTAACAATGTTGAATTTTCTTTCTTCCCTCTCTCCCTCCCTCCTTCGCTCCCTCCCTCCTTCTTTCTGACAGAATTTTACTCTCTCTCCCAGGCTAGAATTCTGGATATTTTGTGAAGGTAGACCAGATTTTCTAATAGATGGATGTTATGTACAAGAAAAAAAAATAAGGTGATTTTAGGGTTTTGGCCTAAGAAATGAGAAGAATGGAGTGGGCTTTTACTGAGATAGGAAAGACTGTGAGATGTGCTTGTTTTTGAGGGAGGAAATCAGGTTATAAAGTTGGATAAATCAAGGTTGAAATGCCCATTAGATATCTAAGTGTAGATGTTGAGTAGACAGTTGGCTATTTAAATCTGTAATTTAAGGGAGATATTTAGATTGTCCTTCTTGTAAGATCGTAGGGGCAGAATTAATTTTGTCCTTCACTGTATTCCCCATCTAGCACTTGTTCACACTACTGGAAGACCACTTAGGTAGGCTGTTTTATCTTTAACTAGTTGAATTTCGTAACAGGCCATGAGGTCCTTAAGGGTAGAGAGTAGGTCTTACTCATTTGCTGTCCCCAGCAACCAGACCATTGTCTTTGACATTACTAATACTCAATAAATGTTTGTTATTTTGTGTTAAATAATTACATACCTAGATCAGCTTTTTAGTTTATTTTATTTAGCCATGGCATACAGCCTGGGTGATATTTTTAAACATAAGTGAAAATGCCTCCCAGTTAATAGGCCACACAGATGTTCTCATATCTCATCTATACTTAGAAGGGTTTTTAATTTACTTTTCTTTAGTTTTCACTTATTTATATTAAGTAATTTATGCACATGATAAAGGGTAATTAATAAAAAGTAAGCATCCCTTTTACTCTATTCTAAGTCCTCTAGTTTCTGTCCCTAAATGCAGGCACCGTTACTGTTTCTTGGCTATTCCTCCATACATAGTCTAAGAAGTATATGTGTGTATGTCACCTATTATTTTTCACATGAGCCATTATATACTATGTCCTTTCCACAATGAAACTGCACTGGTAGTGTGAATGGCACCTCTCTTTGTGGCATAAACCAGTATTTCTCAACCAGGGCACTACTGGCATTTCCTGGGTTGGGTCTAGGGATACCAACAGGCTTGCATTATGTGACATTGTCTATTATAATAAAGCTTTTTCAGGAAGCAGTATAGCTTAGAGATTTTTCTACATTCAGTACGTGTAAACCTATAAAATTTTTAAAAAACTCATGATGCATTTAAGGATTAACTTCCCTTAAAAGCAGTATTTATTTATAATGTTTTCTGATTACATGGCTTCCTCATTTATTTAATGGAATAAATAATCAGCAAATCATTTTTGTTGAATGCCTAGTAAGTGCACAGAATTTTTAAAAAATGAACTGGGAGACTATACAGAATTTAGAGAAGAACAAACTCTTGATTCTGTATATGAATCTGATATTTTATAGTTGGAAATATTTCTGAGAATTCTTGGTTATTTTGGCTTTATTTCTTGGAGACTGTCTACTTTTACTTTCTTGTCAACTAGAATTTAAAAAGAGGTTGAGAGTTATTTTAATGATTTCAAATATTTTTAGATTTACTTCATGCAGCCACCTTTGAGTCTTAGAAAATTCCAGCTTATTGGCATTTTATTGCTGTTATGTTTTCCTTCATTGCTTGGAATCATTCTTGAGTTTCAGAAAGGGTTTGTTCCTAAAAATTAACTTTACAGTCATATATTAACTATTTATTTTACATTTTACCAATTATAGCCATGATCTTTATTTGATTTTTTTCAGAAGCCATATCAAATATTAAGATTGATATTATCTGCTATTTATAATGCACAAAGAAACAGAATGACTTGTTCAGAGAAGTTGCATAGCTGTTTGGAACTAAAATTAGTGCCTGGTCTTTGGGCTTCTAAAACAGATCTTACCTCTGTAAACCTAATATATGTATTCAGAAATATAAATCAACACCTTAAATCTGAAAATAGATTGGTCCGTTTCTGAAAATCAGATGTTCTAGGCAAAAACTTTAATGAAGAGCTGCTTTTGAGTTTCCAGATTTAGCTGAAAAAGATACATGTTAAATTTGAATTTCAGATTAACAATGATTTTTTAAAATCACTGTTCCATGTAGTACTTGGGACATAGCTAGAAAAAAATTATTCATTGTTTATCTGAAATTTAAATGTAGCTGGATATCTTGTATTTTATCTGGCAATCTCAGCTTATTTTCCATTACAGGTTGAATGTATCTCTTAACTGAAATGCTTGGGACCAGAAGTGTTTCAGATTTCAGATTTTTTTGGGTTTTGGAATATTTGCATTTATACCTGCTGGTTGGGTATCCCTAATCTGAAAATTCGAAATGCTCCAGTGACTGTTTCCTTTGAGCGTGATGTCAAAAAATTTCAGCTTTTGGAGCATTTTGGATTTCAGATTTTCTGGTTAGAGATGTTCAATGGGAAAAACTATTATGTTTGTATATTAACTCCAGACCTTTAGCAGTTTCCTAGAACAAAAATAAACCACAGTACAGACATCCATAGATAGATAACAGATTACATATTGGGTGGAAATGCATACAATGTCATTTCCCAATCAACAGACATTTAATAATGTTAACATCAAGCAGATGTTTGTAATAAAGCTGCGGTGGCACTCCTCAGCAACATTGACATCCAGTGTTTATCCCCTTCACTAACACTCAGTGTCCTTCACAAAATTTGTACAACTGATTCTGATGTTTTACTCGTTGTATTTGAAAGGTGATATGAACACTTTTTCCTCAAATCTTTTTGATAAAAATGTTTTATTGAGCTTTGGAGTAATAAATATAGTTTTCCTTTGTTAACATGAATCAAAATAATGTTTTGAGAGGTATGTATATACTATGAAGTTTGAATATTAAAAACCAAGAGATGTTGCATGCGGAAAATATTAACCATCATCTACTTTGTGGGTGTGGTTATATGGTTTTTCAAATGGTATTGCTCTTTCAGGTTCTAGGTGATAAACATGGGAATGCTTTATGGCTTAATGAAAGAGAGTGCTCAATTCAGAGAAGAAATCAGAAGGTGGTGGAGGAAGCACCAAGGTAAGTCTCCTAAGAAACATTTATAAAGCGGCTGCTTTTATGCATTTCATTCATTCATTCATTCATTCATCATTCACTGACGCATGCATTCAGAGACAGGGTCTCACTCTGTTGCCCAGGCAGTGGTGCAATCACGGCTCACTGCAGCCTCCACCTCCCAGGCTCAAGTGATCCTCCCAACTCAGCCTCCCACGTAGCCGGGACTACAGGTGTGTGCCACCATGCCCAGCTAATTTTTGTGTTTTGTAGAGATGGGGTTTTGTCATGTTGCTCAGGCTGGCCTTGAACTCCTGGCATCAAAAGATTAGCCCACCTCAGCCTCCCGAAGTGCTGGGATTATAGGTGTGGGCCACTGCTCCCAGCCACATTTCTTTTTTTATTTGTTTGCTTTATCAGCTACAATTGCACTAATGTTCATGTAGACTCTGTTACTGCATATTTTTATAATTAAGAATTTGTTACTTGATTTCCTCAGTGCTTTAATGTGTAAAAGGGAGAGAATACTTGAAAAAGAAGTGGGTTTTTATTAGAGGAGAAAGTTGGGTAGACAGCCAACTGTGACTTCTGCAGGCTTCTAGGAAGTATGGAACCTGATGGTACTTCACGGGATTTCTGAGATATATGCCTTCTAGACTTTCATGTTGGTGAAGGGTTCATAAAGTTGGTCCTGAATTTATCCTACCATGAAAGGCTTCTGGAGTGTGGTTCTTGGAAATTCCTTGAATTATCAGAGCCACTTTGGGTACTTCTCCAGGGCATCTTTCATGAGTTTGGTGTATGGGGCCTCATTTCTCATTTGATGCTAGGTTGCTATTTGTATATACTCTGGTATTCTCTTTGTTCTTAAAAATCCTCAGGTGAGTGTTCCTAGTAATTTTTAATTACCAGACGGTAAGAAGTATAGCTTATTGTAGCTTTAATCAGCAGAGCTAGCATATCTTGATATAATGCCTATATAGTTTCTGAAAATAGTAAGTGAGAATGTGAGTATATTTTTAATCCCGGAGTAATGGTAAAAATTCAACTCTATTTTAGTTACATTGGTTTTTAAAAATATGGCATGGTGTTATTAGTTTTAAAACATGGACCCCAAATCCTTTGCCATTTTTCTCTTTGAGCAGTGAGGGGAAGGATCATTGTTCCCTTTTCTTGATTCTGTGCTCTGTGAAGGCTTGACCCGTAGACTACTTAGAAGTGATGCTGTGCCAGTTTCCAGCCCAGGCCTTGGGAAACTGCCAGCTTCCGCTTCCTGTTCTCATGGGATGCTTGTGCTTACACACCAGCCAGTATGCTGTGAAGAACTGTGTAGCTTACATAAGATGTGGCCATCTAGTTCTCAAGGCCCAGGAACAGGATGTAAGAAGGGAGGAAGAAGAAAAGCCAAAGGGAATCCTCTTCCTGTGTCTTTAGGAAGATCCTGGAAGGTGCTGAAGCTAATTACTTGGTGTTGATCTGAAGTTAGACACTTAGCTAGGGAGACTTGTTAGTATCTTTTTCTTAAGAAACCATGTGCTGAGCTAGAACTAGTACTGTAGTACTGTAGTATGGAGGAAGGGGAAAAAGGATACCTGTGGAACAGTAAGAGTCTTCAACACACATGTCTTGCAATTTTCTGTTTCCTTGACTGATTATCAATTCCAATTCAATTAACACTCTGTTTTTAGTAAAAACCTACTCAAGTGTTACCTGGGATAGAAATCTTTCCCAGACTGGGAACCTTGAATCATAAAATGTGTTTGTTTTTTCTCTTTGTCTAGAAATACAAACTTTTCATAATGAATACCTTATCTACTTATTTAGAGAAAAAAAGGAAAATATACAGCAGTAGGAATCAAAATGAAAAAGCTAGAACTCATCATTAATACTGACCTGATATGTATTTGTACACTGTGAAATGTTAAAATAAATGGAATGTGTAGTTTTCAGTTCCTGGAGTAAGAATCGGCTGGGCATGGTGGCTCACACCTGTAATCTTAGCACTTTGGGAGGCTGAGGTGGGAGGATTGCTTGAGCCTAAGAGTTTGAGACCAGCCTGGACAACGTAGTGGGACCTCATCTTCACAAAAAAGTAAAAAATCAGCTGACTGTGGTGGCATATGCCTATAGTTCCAGCTACTTGGGAGGCTGAAGTGGGAGGATTGCTTAACCCCAGAGGTCGAGGTTGCAGTGAGCCGACATCATGCCACCAGATTCCAGCCTGGGTGACAGAGCAAGACCCTGTTCTCCCCCACCCCCCGAAAAATAAAAATAAAAAAAAGAATCTACTAATGTGCTTTGAGGGCAATGCTAGCTAGGGTCACTCATATCTCTGGATATCTAGCAGGGCTTTTGAAAAGGGCAAGGGCAAGATCAAATAGGAGAAAGATAGTTTCACAGAGCTGCACTGAGATTCTCCAGATGTTATGCTATTAATTGTTAGTTGGGGTTTTTTTTAGTTGCATTAATTTTGTCAGCCAGTTATTGTTGAAATGTCATCTATGTCTATACATTAGGTTAATGCAAACTATATTATAGATAATTCATAACACTTGAACCCATTGATTTATTGTAACTTCACCAAAAGGGAGACAGTAGGAAGTACACTTCCCACCTGTGAACTCTTCCCCCTCCCCCACCCCAATCCAACTTGAATATATTCAAGGCTCTGAGTCTAACTAGCAATCTATATGAAATAGAAATGTAATATGAATGTTAAAAGACACCGTGGGGTTGCATGCAGTTGAACCAAGAATGTGAGAAATAAGACAGTAAAATGACCAGATCCTTGGCCAGAAAATGGGGAAGGGGCATTACAGATTAAAAGAGTCTTAAGATACAAAAGCCAATCAAATGCAGTTTTGGACCTTATTTGGATCCTGATTCAAAGAAATCAGCTGTATAAAGATATTTATGAGATAGAGAAATTTGAATACCAAGTGGATATTAAATGCTTTTAAGGAGTTCTTGTTTTTTGTGTAGTTGTGTTACAAAAGGGTACTTTATCTCATAGAAACAGACATGTATGTTTTTAAAAGTGAAATGATACCTAATTTGGGATTTACTTTAAAAACAATAAAGGGTGGGCCTGGTAGAGAAGTGGGCAAGTAGCATAGATAAAGCCAGAGTGGCTATGTATTAATAATTGCTATATATTGGAGGCAGCTTCATGCAAGTTTTTTATACTATTCCATAATAAAGCTTTTATAGCATGTCATCTCAATCCTGCTCATTTGAGAATAATTTTAATCCACAAGTAGAAAAGTAGTTAATGTTTTGTTTCTCAGAGCCTTTCTTTCATAGAAGCAAAATCTGTGAAAATGCAAAGTGGTTTGATGATATTTTTTTCAGGGTTTGTTGAAGTCATTTTAGCTTAACTTGCCTGCTTGAAGGTGGGTTTGGTATCTTGAAGCCAAACGTGCAGGATTTAGTGGATGTATTGCTGATTCTTGTTATTTGTGGCAGTTATGTTCTCTAAAGTCACCTTGATTACTGAATTAGTGAACACTGAATAATTTCCCCTAGGGGAAATACAGGGTTAGGTTCCTGCGAGCCTTTGCTTATAACATTTTCCTCAGTGGATTAATACATAATTTTGTTTTTTGTGTATTTCTCATTTAATATCTGTGGTTGATTCATTAACAGTGAACTCACAATCCTGGCCAACAAGACTATAACACGTGCCTGAGTAAAGCTTATCCCACACACATTTTCTCCAGACAGTACTTCATGGCCTTCTTGCACATGGGAACCCCAGACAGCACCTAAGGACAATGCTTGATGGGCCATTTCACACCATGAAATGACACACACACACACACAAATGCAAAAAAAGTGACACTAAACAGACCTTGAAAAGGATGCTTGTTATAGTATGAGCATTGAAACGAGAAGGGAGAGCATCACCTTGTTCAGCCTTAGCATACTGGAGTCTCAAATTTTTCACCTCTCTGCACTTGTTCACAAAGGACCATGAAAGCGCCTTAAGTATTGATTTTGGGGTTACAAATAAATTTCAGCAAGTAGGCAGATTTGTAAATATGGACTACATGAGCAATGAGGATTGATTGTGTATGTTAGATACTAATAAGTTATTTTTCTCCCAGTTTTTGGCTCGAAGCAATTCTGAATATATATGTTAAATATTAGAAGTTGAAGAGTAGTTATATATTTTGTGAATGGATTGAAGTTGCAGAGTAATGTGAAAAGTTCAAATGTTTTATACAAATCTAAAGTTGACTTATTTGAGCATGTTATGCTTAATAATATAGTCAACATATATTATAAAACATATATAAAGCACAATATTTTGAATTCTTAAATTGGTATAGATGATCTATATCTGAGTAAACTTTAAGAAAATGTTTATGTAATGCACACAAAAGATAACTTGATTTTTGTCCGAAATGTAGACAAACATTTTTTTGTATATGTAGCATTTTTTTGGATGCGGAGACTCGAAGAGCGATGGGAGAACAAGCTGTAGCTCTTGCCAGAGCAGTAAAATATTCCTCTGCTGGGACCGTGGAGTTCCTTGTGGACTCTAAGAAGAATTTTTATTTCTTGGAAATGAATACAAGACTCCAGGTAACAACAACTGTTATTTATTCCTCTCCATGCCTCTGTACTTTACCCTTCCTTCTCCACCCTTTTTTGTTTTATAAATGTTAAAAAATTAACTCCATAAAGTGTTAAATAAAGATTTAGTTTTTATGCTTGTGCTAAGACATCTGTTAGGAATGACGGATAGTATCCCTCTAAAGTTCAATGTCTAGACCTCTGCTTTGTCACTGTTAATACTTTATGTTGGAAATACCACTTTGTTTTTTTCTTGAACCTTTCTAGATGAACTGTATTTGTCAGTGTGTATGTGCTGTTAAGAAAAATTACTCTAGATATTACAAATAGGAAGTGATACAGTGATTGCAAAATCTTTGGAAGGATGGAGGAAGGAAGGGTACCCAGAGTGAACTTCGGTGGTGACTCCCACTGCTGTACCACTCAGCCAGGCTCCCAGAGGAACCGGCACCTCTGCCACAGTGAGGACGTTGAGAATCAAGTGGCTGCCCTTGGAACTGTTGGCTTTGGGGGACATAACTTCCTTAGTTCTAACCAAATCTCAGGAAGCGACTGGCGTTGTAACCGGTGGCTTTATTTCCTTCCTTCTTCCCTTTTTTCTTTCATTTAAATTGTGAACTATACAGAAACATACATAGAACACAGGTGAATAATTGAATGTATTATTATAAAGCAAAAATCAATGTAAACATCAACTGGGCCTAGAAGTATTTACAAAACAGCCAGCTCTTTTTACACTAGCCTCATTTTCTTCTCCTTCTCAATGATTCTGATTCCCCCTCCATCTTCCCTAGAGCTGTCTCCTATCTGACTGACTTCTCAGAACCTTCAGTTTTCATATCATTCTTCCTTTGAATTACGCATACCTAAGCAGCATTATTACTTTTGTTTGTTTTTTAAAACTATATTAATGGGATCGTATAGTATTCGTTCTTTTGTGCCTGGCTTCTTTTTTCAGCATGGCATTTGTGAGATTTGTGCTATTTCATGGAACTCCTGTATGATACATTTTCTAAGAAAATGCCACTATTTCTTTATCTGTTAGATTTCTGTAGATAGTTTATTTCCAGTTTTATGGAATTTGTGTTAGTTTGCTAGGACTACCATAACAAATGATCATTAACTATAGCTTAACACAACAGAAATTTGTTCTCGTACACTTCAGGAGGCCAGAGTCTATCATGCAGGTTCCAGCCGAGTGGGTTCCTTCCTGGGGGGTTGGAGGGAGAATCCACTCCATGCCTCTCTCCTGGTTCTGGTGTTGCCGACAGTCCTTGGTGTTCCTTGGCTTTGGCAGCATAACTCTAATCCCTGCCTCAGTTGTCATATTGCCTTCTCTCTGTGCATCTCTGTGCCCAGGGTTCCCGTTTTCTGTAGGGACACTAGTCACATTGGATTCAGGACCCTTCCCATTTAGTACGGCCTCATCATACGTGATTTCCTCTGCCAAGATCCTGTTTTCAAGTAAGGTCACAGTCACAGGTTGTGAGTGGATGTGAATTTTGACACGACACTCTTCAGTCCAATTCACCATTCAAAAAACACATATGGCCTACAGAGATAAATAGATTAGTACTTGCCTAGGACTGGGGTGGGTGAGTGGGGGGATTATGGGCTGATGGCTAAGGGGTGGAATAGGACAGGAGAGACTGAGGAAGGCATACTTATGCCTGAAAACAGTGTCAACTCTTCTTCCGTTAGGCCCTTGGGGGAGGGGGTGGGGGGGGAGGGGGTGTTGAGTCACTGCAGGCATGAGCTGGGTCGAGCTTAAGCCTTCCTGCAGTGGTTTTCTCACGTGCACCAAGGGGCCGCTTGTGGGATTTCTGCATGCCTGCTTCATCCTGAGCTTGAGGGCTTGCCTCTGACCCTGTGCTTCATGGGAGCCGTGTCTTCATGCCTGTGCCTCTTTCCCAGAGGGAGACTCCTGTGGGCCCTGGTTAGCCCTACCATGGGTGCAGGAGGGCTGTTTTCTGTTCGCTGTGCCGTGGCGGTAGACCGTCCTTGTGTCCTTGAACTTTGAGGTGAGTTCAGTAGTGGCCCTGCTGCTCCCCAGCCGTGGGGAAGCTGATGTTCTGGGCTCCAGGTGGATTTCTGCCTCTTTCCTGATGGTTATCTTTTGCGTGCTATGGCTTTCTTCATGCTTTTACTCTCGACCTACCTGTTTGAAGACAGTTCACGTGTGCCTCTGTAAGCAGTGTATAATTTTTCAGCCCAGTTTGATATGTTTGTCTTGTATCTTGACCATTTGCTCCTTAGAAAGTTGACAGAAATGCTGGTATTTTTGAGTTTAAATTTCTAATTTTTAAAAATGTTTTCTTCTTGTCCAATCTCTGGCCTTTTTCCTTTTTTTTTCTTTCTTTTGCAGTATTTATCATTTAATTTTTTCCTGTACAAGTTTGGGGGTTATAAATACTGCTGATCTTTTGGTAGAACCTCTACATTACAACACACATCCTTAATTTATCAAAAACTGATAACAGTGTCTTTTCACCTGAGCTGCCAGACTGACAAGGGAGCTTAGAACATTTAAAGTCCGTTTACTGTCTCCTGACTTGGGTACAATTATCCCCCGAGGCCATTTCTCTTATTATTTTAGTCATCATTCATTCCATTCCTCCCACATATTTACCTTTCTTTGTCTTTGTTTCTGGTAGTTTCTTTTAGAGGTTTACTTGGGACAATCTCTTTTTGTTGACAGCCAATGACTTTATGTTGCCTTGTTCATGAAATGCGTTTTTACTCTTCTTAGACGTCTTGGCTGTGGGCCGTGGCTCACCCCTGTAATCCCAGTGCTTTGGGAGGCTGAGGTGGGAGGATCCCTTGAGCCCAGGAGTTCAAGATCAGTCTGGGTAACATAGTGAGAACTTGTCTGTACCAAAAAAAAAAAAAAAAAAAAAAAAAAAAAAATTAGAAATCTTAGTTTGGCCAGTATTTTTTTCAATTTATTGAAAATATTATTTCACTGTTTCTGGTGAGACTTCCCCACTCATTCTGCATTCTGCTTATTTGGACATAATTGATTTTTCCTTTTGGTAGCATTTATTAATTTCTGTTTTTGTTAGATTTCCTTTAACTTTTTGCTGATTCGTGTACATGTATACATGGAATTCATTGAATATTTTGTCTGTAGATTAATGTCTTTTAATTTTTTTTGGAAATTCTCCACCATTATTACTTCTGGAACAATCTCACATACACAGATGAATAAACCTATAACTTTCATTTTAGACCTCCTTAATATATCTCTTATGTTTCTTATGCTCTCTTTGATATTTTTCATCTTTTTTGGATAATTTCTTCTGTCTTTCTTACCTTCCCTTATGCTGTATTTAATTAATTAATCACCCATTGAGTTCCTGATTTCAATTGTTTATATTTCAGTTCTGAAATTTCTATTTGGTTCTTTTAAAAGTATGATTCATTGGTTTTTATCTTTTCTTGTCTCCTATTTGAATTTTCAATTTTGACTTTTATTTTTTGAACATAATTAACTTATTTGTTTTGTAGTACATGTCTGATAATGTTGACATGTGAAGTCTTATGACTACTTGTATTAACTGCTTTTTATGCTGTTTCTTGGTTCTGCTGTTGAGTTCCTGTTGGGCCTTGTTATTATACTGTCATATACAGTTATTTTAAAAATTGTTATTAATCAAAACCTAAGATGATGGATTCTTTCTTATAGAGATTTTTCAAATTTTTTTCTGCCACATGCCTATGGACAGTAGTATTTGTGACTACGGCAATCTAAGCTCAAAGTGTAAGGCTCCTTGAACTCCTGAGGGGATACACAGCCCGGTTGCAGTTCTAGAGAATGGTTGGTTTTATTCCAGTTCAGTCTTATCTTGAGGTTGCATTCCTTTATGGTGCCCACTAAAAGTGGGGGTAGTTTATCAAGGTTCTTTGATAAACTGATACTTTGGTGGCCTCTTATCTTCGTGGTTATGCTTTTGATTTGTTGATGCCACCAAAAGTATAGCTTATATTCATAGTCCTTTTTTCCTGGAATGGCAAATGACGTTAGGGCAAAAATGGTGTTGAGTGTTGGGTTTGCAAATCTGTGTTTTCATCTTGGTTTTGGCTGATCCCTTCCTATATTCTTACCCTGTGATGTTTTTAAGAAGACCTCCCCCATCTCCCATTCCCCACCAGTTGTTTTCTAGTCCCCAATAAGCCCAAGTTCCAAGCTGAGTGGCTTTAGAGGTACATTATGCCTATAGATTAAATAAGTTTGTGTCCTGACTCTCAACACCCCCCAAAAGCAGTGAGCGGGCAGTGGAATGACAGTCTGTGCCTCACTGCTATCTCACTTTTCCTTTCCAAATCTCATGCATTTGCACATCCAGAACCTCATGCAGTCACATGGAAACCTCAGCTGTAAGGGAGTCTGGGAATAGGCTTTTTAACCATCTGTATTCTGCAGTGTAAGAGTATACCCTAGAAGGAGTTTGGAGGGAAAGTTCAGTGCCAGCCCACCATTTTCACATGAATATAATCACCAAAATTTTAATCTGTAAGTTATATGTAAAAAGTTAAAAACATTGCTGTATTTTCATTGTAAAGTATAACTGTCAAATAATGTGGCTGATTTTCCTTAAGTATGGCAAAAGTGATCTATCTAGATGCATTTTGAGACTAGTATTGTAAATACTTGTAGCATTTTATAGGTAGTAGCTCAGTAGTTGTTGCTTAAAACTCATACTTCCTTTGAAATCACCTTTGTAGCCTATATTTTATTTTGTGACTATCTTTAGAAGTGACAGAATTTTGCCTTTTGAAGGTTAATTTGATTTTGATTAAAATGTATCTTTATAACTAAGTATGTCTAATTAGATTATTAGCTGGGAAATCATGTTTTTGGTTAAAGTGAAGACTTTATTTTGTCATAATGAGAAAAATAGCTTGTAATTTGATTCTGAAGACAATTTGAGACGACTGCAAAATATTTGTATTCTATTCTAGACCAAAGAGATCTGAGATTTTTTAATTGAGGTACTTATCAGTATTTATGGAATTGACAAATGGGCAGTTTGTTATTCTGTTCTTGTGTTATCTTTTTTTCCATTTGTTTCTGGCTCATTTATCTCAGGTTATAAGTTTGTTCAAGTTTGTACCATGGTTGTTTCTGGTATAAAACCCGATAGTTGATTTTTTTTTTTTTTTTAAACAGAGTCTCACTCTGTCACCAGGCTGGGGTGCAGTGGCGTGATCTCGGCCTGCAAACCTCCGCCTCCCGGGTTCAGGCAATTCTCCTGCCTTAGCCTCCAGAGTAGTTGGGACTATAGGTGCGTGCCACTACGCCCAGCTAATTTTTGTATTTTTAGTAGAGACAGGGTTTCACCACGTTGACCAGGATGGTCTCAGTTTCTTGACCTTGTGATCCACCTGCCTGGGCCTACCAAAGTGCTGGTATTACAGGCGTGAGCCTCCGTGCCCATCCTGTAGTTGATATTTTTATCGAATAATTCTATGCAGTTGGTCAAGACTATCTAAGTACCTATGTTTTGTGTATTGGATAGCTTGCTAGGAAATTATGTTCTATACCCTCAAAAAATTATAAAAATATTTCAAGAAAAAAAATCAAATTCACAAAGATTTTGTCATATTACCAGATCTAATATGACAAAAATTGTGAATCATTAACTCATAATGATATGAATCAGTGCTATAGAATGTCATGTCCATGTTCGGCCTGAAATTGCCCCACTTCTCACCGGTGGTCTGGGCCCCACACTGTGAGAAAATATTTCACTAATACCTGCGCTTAGCAAACGTCCCAAGGTCTCTGACTGATTAGAGCTCTTGTTCACGAACAGAGCTCTGATAGTACCTAATGCTGTTAAGCGTGCTATTTTAATAGCATTCTATGATATTTAACATCATACTTTGAGACATTTGTCTCCCATGTAGTGTTTAATCATATTTTTCTCTCTTGTGGTTTACTTCCAGTGACTGTGATCCTGTCAGTTACCAGAATAAGTTAATTTTAATTTTTTAGAATGTATCTGTGTGATAGGGGGTATTTGATGTGGAGGATATAATTAAATGGGAGCATGAACAAAGAATTTTGGACTTCATATGTGTTCAGAAAACTATTCTTACATATTCCAAAGATTTCTTTCTGATATTGTTTAAACAATCCAATTTGTTTTTTTTTGAGACGGAGTCTTGCTCTGTCACCAGGCTGGAGTGTAGTGGCACGATCTTGGCTCACTGCAGCCTCCACCTCCCAGATTCAAACAATTCTCCTGCCTCAGCCTCCGGAGTAGCTGGGACTACAGGCGCATACCACCACGCCTAGCTAATTTTTGTTTTTTTAGTAGAGATGGGGTTTTACCATGTTGGCCAGGATGGTCTCGATCTCTTGACCTCATGATCCACCTGCATCGACCTCCCAAAGTGCTGGGATTACAGGCATGAGCCACCGCGCCTGGCCCAAGTGTTCTTTTAATAGTAGACATTCTCTTTCAAATTTCTTTACTAACCTTAAATTATAATACTTAAGGCACATTCACCAAATTCTTTATCTCCCAAGATATATGTTATCTCTAATTAGTGTTTCAGTTTGAACTAGAGGGCTATAATTTTCTTTGTTCTTTTTTTATTTTCTTTGAAATTTCCTGATTGAACTTTCACTTTTTCCAGCTTCAGAACTGTGTTTTGTTTTTGTTTTTGTTTTTTTTTTTTTTGGTAACAGAAATGCATCTTCACTTTCTACATTTTCTTAAGAGTGAAATTTGAAATAACAATACAGTTTCTCCATAAAGAGATGCAACACTAAGAAAGTCACCGCGTTTGGTGCATTAATAGTTGGTTCCGTTGACTGGTTTTGTTCTCAATCTGGTCACAGTTTATGTAACTGAATTACCTTTGCTATCTTCACATATTTTTGCTTTATTTTTTTTAAGTCACTGGTTTTCTGTTGCTTAAAGATAAAATTTAAATGCTTTTGCATCACAACACAAGCTTTTTTTTTTGTAGCCCTGATTTTTCCCCCAGAGTCCTGTTTCTTGCCAGTGCCGATCTCTGTGTATGAATTGCAAGAGACTCCTTTCTTTTTCCTGAAGGTGCCTTTCAGTTTGACTTCTTTGTGCCTTGTATCATGCCACTCCCATTGCTTGGAATGTTCTCTGTTCACCTCTCACAGTGAACACTGAGCTATGTATCTACCTGCACACCCACACCACACACACCTGTCTCCCCTCTCTGACCATACTTCTCCCTCATCTCACCTCTCTCCACATTTGAAAGATGGACAGCTAGATGGAGAACTACTCTACGGACACTAGGATTTTGTTAAAATGCTATTTTATTGAAGTGTATTCTAGTAGTCCCCCTTATCCATAGTTTTCCTTTCCAAAGTTTCAGCTACACACAGGGTCTACTTCATTTCAAATATATTAAATGGAAAACTTTAGAAATAAACAATTCATAAGTGTTAGATTGTGCACTATCCTGAGTAGTGTGATGAAATCTCACACCATCCTGCTCCATCCTGCCTGGTACGTGGATCCTCTCTTTGTCTGGCATCTCCATGCTGTAGACACTCCCTCTCCATGAGTCACTTAGAAGCTACCTCACTGCAATGAGACATGATGGTGCCACTGCACTCCAGCCTGGACAGAGCGAGACCCTGTCTCTGAAAAACAAACAAACAAACAACAACAACAAGAAAAAACAGAAGGAAAAAAAAATCCGCCTCGGTGATCACATCGACTGTATGATACCTCAGTGCTTATGTTCAAGTCACCTCTACTTTATTTCATAATGGCCCCAGCATACAAGAGTAGTGTTGCTGGCAATTCACATATGCCAGAGAGAAGCCATAAAGTGCTTCCTTTAAGTGAAAAGGTGAAAGTTCTAGACTTAATAAGGAAAGAAAAGAGTCATGTGCTGAGGTTGCTAAGCTCTGCGGTAAGGATGAATCTTCCGTCGGTGGCATTGTGAAGAAGGAAAAGAAATTTGTGCTACTTTTGCTGTCAAAAGTCAAACTTCAAAAGTTATGGCCACAGTGCATGATAAGTGCTTAAGATGGAAAAGACATTAAATGTGTGTGTATAAGACATGAATAGAAAAGTGTTCTAATTGACAGCAATCATGTTCTATACTATCCACAGTTTCAGGCATTTGCTGGGGACCTAGGAACATGTCCCCCAAGGATAAGGGGGGACTACTATATATGCAATTTGCTGGGATAATTTTAGTTTCTTATTTTGTTGAATGGTAATACTCAGAATTTATAATACTTTGTTTAAAAAAATCTAGTGGTTCATAAGAGTCTACAATGGAAAAGTTACTCTCCATACCACACTTTTATCACAGCCATTTATTTTTCCTCTGTTGAAGCAACCTTTGTTTTTTTTAACATACTAATTTGGGAGTATTCCATGCCTAATTTAAAGCATTATCTTTTTCATTTTAATGACTTCTAATAACCTGTCATAGGGATGTAACAGTCATATAATTTCACCAGATCTCTATCGATAATTTTTCCAGTATTTTGCTATCCCAAATAATGCAATTATGAGTGACCCTTTATATCCACTTTGCACGTGCAGAAGTAGAATTGCTGGGAATATATGTGCTTTTATAAATTAGTTAAGTATTATCAGTTTACCTCTTAAATGAGAGCTTGTTTCTTCTCTCCCTGGCCAAAAGTGTTTTTTGCCTTTTGATCTTTGTGTGATAGTGAAAAATGGTATATTGTTTTCATTGTTTATCATGAATTTTTCTTTATAGATTCATTTATATTTCTGTGAATTGACTATTAGATCCTTTGCCCTTTGGGTTTTCTTATTGATGTGTAGGTATTTGCTTATTGTTGGGGGAAATTAGCCCTTTGTGATATTGTCAGAAAGGAGGGGCTTTGTGAATATTTTCATAGGGCTACAGGGCAGGTGCTTTCTGAGCAAAGACCCTGGCAGTTGTGAGAGGTGACAGCGTGCTGGCAGTCCTCAGAGCCCTCGCTCGCTCTCGGCGCCTCCTCTGCCTGGGCTCCAACTTTGGCGGCACTTGAGGAGCCTTCAGCCCACCGCTGCACTGTGGGAGCCCCTTTCTGGGCTGGCCAAGGCCAGAGCCGGCTCTCTCAGCTTGCAGGGAGGTGTGGAGGGAGAGGCGCAAGCTGGAACTGGGGCTGCGCTCGGCACTTGCGGGCCAGCTGGAGTTCCAGGTGGGCGTGGGCTTGGCGGGCCCCACACTCAGAGCAGCCGGGCAATGAGGGGCTTAGCACCCGGGCCAGCGGCTGTGGAGGTTGTACTGGGTCCCCCAGCAGTGCCAGCCCACCGTGCTGCACTATGGCTTGGCCCCAATATTTTCTCTCTGATGGGGAAAAATGGCCACCTGAGGGAAGTACAAATTACAATACTATCCTGCAGCTTGACCTTTTCTGTAAGAGGGAAGGCAAATGGAGTGGAATACCTTATGTCCAAGCTTTCTTTTCATTGAGGGAGAATACACAGCTATGCAAAGCTTGCAATTTACATCCCACAGGAGGACCTCTCAGCTCACCCCCATATCCTAGCCTCCCTATAGCTCCCCTTCCTATGAATGATAATCCTCCTCTAATCTCCCCCCGCCCAGAAGGAAATAAGCAAAGAAATCTCCAAAGGACCACAAAACCCTCCTGGCTATTGGTTATGTCCCCTTCAAGCTGTAGGGGGAGGGGAATTTGGCCCAACCCGGGTACATGTCCCCTTCTCCCTCTCTGATTTAAAGCAGATCAAGGCAGACCTGGGGAAGTTTTCAGATGATCCTGATAGGTACATAGATGTCCTACAAGGTCTAGGGCAAACCTTCGACCTCGCTTGGAGAGACGTCATGCTACTGTGAGATCAAACCTTGGCCTTTAATGTAAAGAATGCGGCTTTAGCTGCAGCCCAAGAGTTTGGAGATACCTGGTATCTTAGTCAAGTAAATGATAGAATGACAGCCGAAGAAAGGGACAAATTCCCTACCGGTCAGCAACCCATCCCCAGTATGGATCCCCACTGGGACCTTGACTCAGATCATGGGGACTGGAGTCATAAACATCTGTTGACCTGTATTCTAGAAGGACTAAGGAGAATTAGAAAAAAACCCATGAATTATTCAATGATGTCCGCCATAACTCAGGGAAAGGAAGAAAATCCTTCTGCCTTCCTCGAGCGGCTACGGGAGGCCTTAAGAAAATATACTCCCCTGTCACCCGAATCACTTGAGGGTCAATTGATTCTAAAAGATAAGTTTATTACCCAGTCAGCCACAGATATCAGGAGAAAGCTCGAAAAGCAATCCAGGGCCCTGAACAAAATCTAGAGGCATTATTAAACCTGGCAACCTCGGTGTTCTATAATAGGGACCAAGAGGAACAGGCCCAAAAGGAAAAGCGAGATCAGAGAAAGGCCGCAGCCTTAGTCATGGCCCTCAGACAAACAAACCTTGGTGGTTCAGAGAGGACAGAAAATGGAGCAGGCCAATCACCTGGTAGGGCTTGTTATCAGTGTGGTTTACTAGGACACTTTTAAAAAGATTGTCCAATGAGAAACAGGCTGCCGCCTCGTCCATGTCCACTATGCCGAGGCAATCACTGGAAGGTGCACTGCCCCAGAGGACGAAGATTCCCTGGGTCAGAAGCCCCCAACCAGATGATCCAACAACAGGACTGAGGGTGCCCGGGGCAAGCGCCAGCTCATGTCATCACCCTCACTGAGCCCCCGGTATGTTTAACTATTGAGGGCCAGGAAATTGACTTCCTCCTGGACACTGGCACGGCCTTCTCAGTGTTAATCTCCTGTCCTGGATGACTGTCCTCAAGGTCCCTTACCATCCGAGGAATCCTGGGACAGCCTGTAACCAGGTATTTCTCCCACCTCCTCAGTTGTAATTGGAAGACTTTGCTCTTTTCACATGCCTTTCTTGTTGTGCCTGAAAGTCCCACACCTTTATTAGGGAGGGATATATTAGCCAAGGCTGGAGCTATTATCTACATGAATATGAGAAACAAGTTACCCATTTGTTGTCCCCTACTTGAGGAGGGAATCAACCCTGAAGTCTGGGCATTGGAAGGACAATTTGGAAGGGCAAAAAATGCCTGCCCAGTCCAAATCAGGTTAAAAGATCCCACCACTTTTCCTTATCAAAGGCAATATCCCTTAAGGCCTGAAGCTCATAAAGGATTACAGAATATTGTTAAACATTTGAAAGCTCAAGGCTTAGTGAGGAAATGCAGCAGTCCCTGCAACACCCCAATTCTAGGAGTACAAAAACTGAACGGTCAGTGGAGACTAGTGGAAGATCTTAGACTCATCAATGAGGCAGTAATTCCACTATATCCAGTTGTACCCAACCCCTATACCCTGCTCTCTCAAGTACCAGAGGAAGCAGAATGGTTCACGGTTCTGGACCTCAAGGATGTCTTCTTCTATATTTCCCTGCACTCTGATTCCCAGTTCCTCTTTGCCTTTGAGGATCCCACAGACCACACATCCCAACTTAGGTGGACGGTCTTGCCCAAGGGTTTAGGGATAGCCCTCATCGGTTTGGTCAGGCCCTAGCCCAAGATCTAGGCCACTTCTCAAGTCCAGGCACTCTGGTCCTTCAATATGTGGATGATTTACTTTTGGCTACCAGTTCAGAAGCCTCGTGCCAGCAGGCTACTCTAGATCTCTTGAACTTTCTAGCTGATCAAGGGTACAAGGTGTCTAGGTCGAAGGCCCCAGCTTTGCCTACAGCAGGTTAAATATCTAGGCCTAATCTTAGCCAAAGGGACCAGGGCCCTCATCAAGGAACGAATACAGCCTATACTGGCTTATCCTTGCCCTCAGACATTAAAACAGTTGTGGGGGTTCCTTGGAATTACTGGCTTTGGCCGACTATGGATCCCCGGATACAGCGAGATAGCCAGGCCACTCTGTACGCTAATCAAGGACACCCAGAGGGCAAATACTCTGGTGGGAATCAGAGGCAGAAACAGCCTTCAAAACCTTAAAGCAGGCCCTAGTACAAGCTCCAGCTTTAAGCCTTCCCACAGTACAAAGCTTCTCTTTATACGTCACAGAGAGAGCCGGGATAGCTCTTGGAGTCCTTACTCAGACTCGTGGGACAACCCCACCACCAGTGGCATACCTAAGTAAGGAAATTGATGTAGTAGCAAAAGGCTGGCCTCACTGTTTAAGTGTAGTTGCAGCAGTGGCCGTCTTAGTGTCAGAGACTATCAAAATAATACAAGGAAAGGATCTCACTGTCTGGACTACTCATGATGTAAATGGCATACTAGGTGCCAAAGGAAGTTTATGGCTATCAGACAGCCACCTACTTAGATACCAGGTGCTCCTCCTTGAAGGACCCATGTTTCAAATACGCACGTGTGTGGCCCTCAACCCTGCCACTTTTCTCCCAGAGGATGGGGAACCAATTGACCATGACTGCCAACAAATTATAGTCCAGACTTATGCTGCCCGAGATGATCTCGTAGAAGTCCCCTTAACTAATCCTGACCTTAACCTATATACTGATGGAAGTTCATTTGTGGAGAATGGGATACGAAGGGCAGGTTACGCCATAGTTAGTGATGTAACCATACTTGAAAGCAAGCCTCTTACCCCAGAGACCAGTGCCCAGTTAGTGGAACTAGTGCATCACCCTCTCACCCTCCCTCTCCCCACCACCAAAAGTTGAGAAGGGGCAGATATGCCAGCAACTCTTCTACAAGCTCTAATTTTAATAGTCTGAGCTTTCCTTTCCAGATGTGCATACCCCTCTGCATGTGTGTGGGGGGGAAGCAGGCCATTAACTACGCTGCCTCATGGGGAAGTGGGGTATGAGGAACGGGACTAAGATGTTCTGTGAGTAAACAATTGCACTGATCTATGATTCAGAAACCTTTTTATTTTTAATAAAATTTTCTTTTTAATTGTCAGCAAGGCAAGTTATTTCTATAGAAGGGTGTGCCCTTACAGATGGAGCAATGGTGAGCACACACTCGGACAAGGGAGGGGAAGGGGTTCTTATCCCTCACGCACGTGGCCCCTGCTGCTGTGTTGTTCCCCTGTTGGCTAGGGTTAGACCGCAGAGGCTAAACTAAATCCAATTGGCTAATTTAAAGAGAATGACGGGGTGAGTGCTTTGGCGGGAGTCAGGGCAGAGCAGGTAGCAGGTGATCGGAATGAGTTAGGGTGGAGTAGGTAACTGAAAAAGGTTGCTTTACGAGGAACTTAAGTTTAAAAGTAGAAGGCAACGAATTGAACATATTGACATATTAATTCTTTGAAACGAAATTTAGAACTCATATCTAACAACCCCTCCCCTTGTATTTCCTTACAGCTTTCTTTTCAAACTTTTTTTTAATGTGTCTTGGCTTAGTTGTTTTGCTTGATTTTCCAAAAGAAGAAGCTTCTCTGGATAAGGTGGAGGATAGTTAAGGGAGGAGAAACCTTTTTTTTTTTTTTAATGTCTTGGCAGGATTAACAAATACTCGTATGAAAACATAACAGATATGATTTGTAGGTATTTTTCCTTATCTATTGCCTTTTTAACTTTGTATGTGTTTTTTCTTCTTGTATAGAAAGTTTTTATTTGTATGCAGTTTAATTTTTAAATCTTCTCTTTGTGATTTCAGGAGTGACATACTTAGGCTTTCTGTGCTCTATGAGCAATCAAACTGTTTTCTTTCATGTTTTCATCAAATATTTCATCTTTAATGGTGAAATCTTCACTTCATTTGGAATTCATTTTATTTTATTTTCCAATGGCTACCTGATTGTTCCAACAATTATTGAATAATCAGTCTTTTCTGTAATAATTCGAAGTGCTATCTACATTACATACTGAAATTGCAGATGTATGCAGACCTATTACTTCACTCTTCTTTTTTTAATTTTTCTGCTTATTCATCTCCTAGCACCACACTGGTTTAGGTATTATAGCTATATATTATAGTACAGTATCTAGTAGAACTATTCCTTTCTCATTACTTTTATTTTTCATATGAAAAATTAGCCTATAGATTAGCTTATTGTATTTATATTTAACAGAAGAAAAAGAAATTAAAATGACAGAATCTCTGGACTATTAGATAAATGTTTATAACTTTCCACAGATATATTAATTCCTAAAATATGTTCTTTTTTTCCCTTCCAGTGACATGGAACTAAAATATGTTCTTAATAAGAAAAATGGTTATGAAAAACATTTATATTTTTGTCATCATTTTCCTTCATATTTCAATCTGAAAGAGTATATTGTTTCTCTTTTACAAAAGTAATGGAAATTGGCATACTTATATTTAATCCCGCTGTCTTTACTTCCTAACTCTTCATGTTTGCTAGTTTTATTATTAGTTCTATGTGATTGTAGCATTTCCTTTCTTTTCTGTAGGCATGGCTCTCCTGGAGGTTTCATCTTACTTGTGTATTTTATCACTTTATGGTCACTGTCAGCATCTTACCATAGCTTCATGATTAGTGAGTTCTTTATTTTGATTTGTTTTATATAAAGTTAGGGGGTTTTTTTAATCAAGAATTTATTTTTTAGAGATACCTGTGGGTAGTGTATTTGAATTCTTAGATGGATTAAATAAGGTTACCCTTATATTTGAAATTTTAACTCAGATGCAAACCGTTTGATACCTTCACAATTGTAGGACTTTAAACATCTTTCTGTGGTAGACCTTCAGAATTTTATGAGGGAGTATCAAAATTTAAGATTATCGATTGTTTTATTCAATTCCTCTATATATCTTTTCTTTTTCCCTTTAAAAATTGAATCTGTTTGATTAAGAAAGAGATAGACGGAGTTTTTATCATAATTTTAAAAACGAACTTTATTTGTTAGAGCAGTTTTGGGTTTATAGAAAATCTAAGTACACAGAATTCCCATATGCCCCTCCCTCATGCCACACCATTTCTCTACTTAACATCTCATATTAGTTTGGTGCATTTGTTACAACTGATGAGCCGTTATCGATGCATTGTGGGTTTTTTGTTTGTTTGTTTATTTTTAGAGAGAGGGGTCTTACTCCACCACCCAGGCTGGAGTGCAGTGGTGAGATCCTAGCTCATTGCAGCCTTGAACTCCTGGGCTCAGGCAATCCTGCCACCCCAGCCGCCCAGGTAGCTGGGACTACAGGCATGCATCACCACGCCTGGCTAATTTTTGTATTTTTTGTAGAGACGAGGTTTCACCATGTTGCCCAGGCTAGTCTCTAACTCTTGGGGCCTCTGTCTCCTAAAGTGCTGGGATTATAGCCCCGTGCCAGGGCACCCGGCGATACATTGTTTTTAACTAAAGTCTGTAGTTTACACTAGGGTTGCTCTTTGTGTTACACATTCTATGAGTTTGGACAAGTGTATCTACCATTATGGTATCATAAGAATAGGTTCATTGCCTCAGAAATCTTTGTATCCAAGACACCTTTGCATTTCTTTCCTTCTTTCCTTGTTTGGTTCTTTCTGTCTCTCTTCTTTCCTTTCCTTTTTCCCTTCTTTTCTTTCCCTTCCTCCTTCCTTCTTTTCCTTTTTCCCTCTGTGTGTCTGTCTCACTTTCTTTTCCTCATTGTAATTTTCACACATACAGAAGTACTTCAGAATAGCAACAGTAGTAGAGTAGAGCCCTAGGAATCTGCAACCAGCTTCTTATTTACTTCCCAGTGTTGTTTCACGTATGCCTTCTTTTCCTCAGTTGTTCCTCTCTTGGCTGGAGTATCAGACATTATATAAATTCACATCATACTGAAGTATATGTCTTTAAGTTTTCCCTACATTCCTAATAATGCATATTTTTAAATATTTATATACAGTATAATTTGATGTATGTGGGTTTATGACTCTTGTACATGAGTTATGTGGCTATTTTCTTGCCTGAATGTTTATCTTGTTTAAATGTTTAATCTGAAATCCTACTTTGACTCATGTCATACTGTATCTCCTCCTGTTTTGTCTGGTCCTTTATTTTAAAGCCTTCTTTATTAGTTGTTTTGTTTTTTTAGTTTAGAAAAAATTATGTGTGTATGTGTATTTGTATAGATGGGGTCTCAACATATTGCCCAGGCTTGTCTAGAACTCTTGGGCTCAAGGGATCCTCCTCTCTTGGCCTCTGAAAGTGCTGGGATTATAGGAGTAAGCTGCTGGCGCCTAGCCTGAAAAAATTTTCTAAGAACCTAATCCAACATTTTCTTTTAGTGTGAAAATTTAATTCTTCCCATTTTAAATACTTGATTTTATTTATTTTATCTTATATTTAAAAATTTTTTTTCTTGTTTTCCATTTTGTTTTTCCTTTTCTGTTTGTTGCTTGAAATAATGGTTAATTATCCCTTTTGTTTCCCATTGATAATTTGGAAATCCTATTGTCCTTTAAAATTTTATTTATGTTTATTTTTCTATTCAGACAGACGTTTTCTCTGTCATTTGTAAAGATGATGTAACTAGTTTCCTTGACTTTCCAACACTGAAGATTTGCTAAGATAATTTAATACTTCTAAGCTATTTTTAGTTTATCTCTTCTTTTTTAGCTTTTTTTTAGCTCCCATGTATACAGCCCAGACACATCTTTCATTATTTGCTATATCTTCAGCTTTCTTTTTTGAGATTTCTGCCCTAGTTCACTTATTTGTGTAGCACATTTTTTCATGAAATTTCTTCAGTAGAATGTGTGGAATATATGCTCTGAAATGTCACATCCTCAACTATGTTTCTTTAGCCCTGAACGGGGGATACTGTTTTGATTGAATACAGGATTCTTGATTAGGATTGGGTTTCGGTTCTTGTCTTTCAGGAGCATATGAATTTCAGCTGTGTTCTAGCTTCTAGTATTATGTCTGGTGTCATTCTGATTTCTTTCCCATTGTAGATAATGTAGTCTTGCTGTCTGAAAGTTTGCCCAATTTTTTTTATTTCTCTCTCTCTCTTTTTTTTTCTTGAGACAGGGCCTCATCCTGTCACCCAGGCTGGAGTGCAGTGGCATGAACCTGGTTCACTGCAGCCTTGACCTCCTGTGCTCAAGCAGTCCTCCTGCCTCGGCCTCCTGAGTAGCTGGGACCATAGGTGCATGCTGCCACGCCTGGCTAATTTTTAAATTTTTTTGTAGAGACGAGATCTCACTTTGTTGCCCAGCCTGGTCTCAAACTCCAGGTCTTAAGTGATCCTCCAGCTTGGCCTCCCAAAGTGCTGGGATTACAGGCATGAGCCGTTGTGTCTGGCTCTAATTTTCTTTTGATCATTGGAATTCAGGGACTTTTTTTTCCAACCAGGATATGCCTTGGTTTGTGTTTGTATACATTAACCCTGCCTTTTAGTCCATGCCCTTTTTCAGTGTTCAGGTTTAAGTATTGCTTCATTTCAGAGGAAGTTTCTTCTGTTATTTAACTATTTCCTTCCATCAGCAATTTTCTCCTCCTTGTGGAACTTCTAGTTTTTGCAATTTAGGTCTACTGGATATGTTTCTCTTATGATAACTGTCATTTTATATTTATGCTGTGTCTCTTGACATTATTTCTTTATTGATCTTCCAGGTTACTAATTCAGGTTGCAACAGTGGTTATCCTCTCCTATAAGTAACTGACTAAATTGTGCAATTGGGAAATCACATTATTTTAGCTCAGAAATTCTAATTGTGCGTTACAGTTAGCCCTCCTTACCTACTAGTTCTGCATCTGTGGATTCAATTAACTGTGGCTTAAAAATTTAAAAATAAAATGAAAATATCAATTCAACAATTAAAAAATACCAATAAAAGCACAATATAGTATAACAACAGTTTACATAGCATTTACATTGTATTACTATAAGTAATCTAGAGATGATTTAAAGTATACGGAAAGGGCTGGGTGTTGTGGCTCATGCCTGTAATCCCAGCACTTTTGGAGGCTGAGGCAGGAGGACTGTTTGAGCCCAGGAGATCAGTGCTGTGATGAACCATGATCATGCCACTGCACTGAAGCTGGGATGACAGAGCAAGACCCATTTCTTAAAAAAAAGAAAAGTGTACGGGATGATATGCATAGGTTACATGCAAATACCATGTTACTTTATATCGGGGACCTGAGCATCTGTAGAGTTTAGTATTCACAGGGGTCCTGGGACCAATCCCCTGGGGAGATGGAAGGAGGACTCAGGGGATGTGTGTGCACATGCACATATGTGCATTGCTACTTCTTAAGTTTTTAAGTGCCTTTACTGCTTTTTGGGCAAAGTTGTATTTTTCTCCTGTCCTTCAGCAGCTCTGTTTCACTTGGTCTGTGTAATCATTATTCTGAATGTTTTTTCTTTCTTGTGCTAGTAATCCCCCTGCTGTGGTTTTTTGGGGGTTATCAGTACTAAGTTCTGCTTCTTGAAATATTCTAAGTGACAGCAGCCCTTCAGATGGTTGAAGACATGACCATATCTACTCCAGAGGCCTGGAAGAGCATATGTCTCCTAGCATTCTCATCTCAAGGACAGAATTGAGCTAATTTTTATTGACTACTTGGATTCCTGGGCAAAGAGACCACGGACCCATCTGGAGCCTTTATTGACTTTTCCCCTGAGGTCCATGGCTCTTTGCAAGCCAGTCTGTCTCCATGATGTGTTCCTTTCACATTCTTCCCTAGAGTTCTCTGAAGCTAGTCTCCAGTTTTCGTTCAGCCACAGAGGGAGAAGAGCCTGTTCCCAGTTTTTGGCTCTCATCTTCTCCCTAGATCTTGGTGCTTCCCATGTCCTCAGCTGCTTAGTAACTCTGGGGGAGATAGACAGCATGGAGTTTGGAGTGGAGAGGTGGGAGCCAGGCTGGTTCCAGGCTGTTTTTGACAGCTTCTCAGAGCAGGAATAGCTAACCTGGGTTATCTGGATCTCTCATGAGCTTTAGGGAAGTCTGTGAACCCTCTGAAGTCAGATATATAGTTTTTTAGTGAGAAATTCAGTGAGATTCAAAATTGTAAAATGTTTCAGAACAACTGCAGCTGACTAATGGAGGACTCATTTAATCATTGTTTTTGTTAATTGCAAACATCTACTGTTTTCACTCAGAGCAAGTAAATTCTAGTTCTCTTCCTTCTTAGCTGTGTGACCATAAGCAAGTTCCTTAACTTCTGTATGTTTTGATTTCCTCATTAGTAAAATGACATTAATTATAGCATTTGCTGTATAGGATTGTCAGCATTAAATGAGTTTATATAGTTTACAAATTCAAAATAGTACCTGGTTTATACTGAGCACACATTCTTTCTGCTAACTGTGAGTATCTTATCCATAACATTTGCATGCTGTTTATTATATATTGGTTGACATTTTTACTCTTACTGTTGTCATTATTATTAACATTATTGCTATTACTATTGTCATTAATATAAAGCCTGTCTGACATCTGAAAAGATGGCAAGCCACATATTAAATAATAACTTTCTCTCATTCTTTTGTCAGTTAACTGCAAAATTATTGTTACATGTGAACAAACATATTTGAAATATTAACCACTTTTAAAGAGATCTCCTTTCTGTTATAAGGGTGTTTGTGTAAGAAGAGTCTGGGAGGAAAAATGGAAACTGAAATCTTCCAAAAATGAAGCTGATAGAGAAAAGTATTTACTACATGGCTTAGGCCTTTGTGTTAAGATTAATATTAGGACCCTGAATACACCTTTCCAAATTCGTGTGTGTGTGTGTGTGTGTGTGTGTCTGTTTGTGTGTGTGTAATTAATAATTTCCAGATGCTAGGTTTTTTTTTAGATTTAAGTGTTTTGGAAAAGCATCCTCTGTATAGTCTACAAAGTCTATAGGAGTTAGAAAATTCCCAAATAGAGAGGAATAAAATCTTAATAAGTAAGTAATTAAAACCCCAAACATGGTCAGTCAGCTGTCCATATCTTTGAGAACAGACAGGTAAACTGTCCCACTTTTGTTAGACTTAGTCAGTTGCTTATGTTGATTGGTACAGTGCAGGAGGAATCTACTTTTACCATGGAAGGAAAGGTACAGTACAATTGTTGAAATTCTGTGAAGGCTATACACTCTAATCTCATCAGGGGGAATTCTGCATCACAGGGAACCTTTATATTCCAGAAAGATTTTAGAAATTTTTTTGTAACTTGATTTTGCCCTTTGCCATTTGTTTAAAAATTAAGAATTATTGCAACCTAAATTCTGGTTTATAACAATTAACTATAATTGAACAAATACCATATTCTAATTTCAGACTAGTTTTGGATTAAAAAAAAATTTCTAGACCTGCCAGATGAAAATATTTTGGTCTTTTATGGAATTGGAGTGTTTGATAGAAAGAATGAGGAGAAATTATTGGGAAAAGGATTTCTAACTAATTGTAAAATTTCATTCTTGTCAGAAGGGGCATTTTGGATGTGAGCAAATGTTGACCTTTTTGATTGTATTTAAAATGATAGAGGCCAGGGCTCTCAGGCTGTTTAGAGTGAGCCAGAATTGGGATGTTTTGGCATGTTTTGTTCTGGGAAACTGAGGATAGAAGGTAGGATGTGTTATACCCTCCCTTATTATTTACTGAACCTTAGTAGAAAATGAAGGAAAGAAGTTTTTGGTATACAGATATGTATAGATAAGCTTTTCAGGCACTTAGATTTGGGGTTTTGTTTTAAAGCATATTGTAAATGATATTGCTGTCTGAGTTCTGGACTCTTTTTATCTATGTTTAACTTTTTAAAACTGGTCTTTGTATTAGTTTGCTAGGGCTGCCATAACAAAGTATCATACACTGGGGTGGCTGAAACAACAAAAATGTGTTTTCTCAAAGTTCTGGAGGCTGGAAGTCCAAAATCCAGGGGCCAACAGGGTCAGTTTCTTTTGGAGGCCTTTCTCGTTGCTTGTGGGTGGCCATCCACTCCCTGTGTCTTCCTGTGGCCTCTCCTCTGTGCCTTGTGTTGTCTGGGTCCTGATCTTCTCTTATGAGGATACCAGTCATGCTGGATTAGGGCCCACTCTGATGATCTCATTTTAACCTGAGCACTTCTTTAAAGACCATGTCTCCAAATACAGTCACATTCTGAGGTGGTGGGGCTAGGACTTCAACATACGAATTTTGGGGGGTACACAATTCAGCCCATAATGGTTTCCTTATCATTTCTTCATGTGATTATTATTCTTGGGGTCACCAGGGGAACCCTATAATAGAATCTGTTCCGTTTTCGTGGTCACTCTTTTTTTTTTCCATGTATACATAGCATATAAAAATTTTAAACAACTTACTAGAATATGACTGGTTCTAAAAATCCTATCTCCCATCCCCCCAAAATGAAGACTTGACACCGGTTAGTCTATTCTAAACATTCTGATTTCAGCTCCAAAGTGAATTTTTAAGGACAAGTTCCAGAAATGAATTGGCAGTGGTGATATTAAATGCATATTTAGTTTTCCAAGATGAGCTGGAAAACTAAATTTTTAGTTTTTAGTGCTGTTGGACTATTTAGGAATAGCCAGTACTCACTTTGATGTATAGTTCTGATGTTATTGGCAAAAATAAACAAATCAAAAGCACAAAACAGGCAACTGACAATGTCATGTCTCTGAAGAGCACATCTGTATATAATCCTACACAGGTATACGCACCTTCATCCATCTATTCTAAGCACGAAGAATGTATCAGAGAAAAGGGGAGAAAAATTGGTTTCTAAGCCCTGCAGTCCAACTCTTTTTTTTGTTTTTTTCTGAGGTAGAGTCTCACTCTGTCACCCAGGCTGTCACTCTTGAATATAACCATTGTTTCCAAGGTGAGTTTATAGGAGTGATGTGTTGGGGCTTATTTCCCAACATGCTTTTCATCCTTGAGTGCTGTGGATCAAAATCTAATAACCTTAGATCTTTATTTTGAAATCCTGTATTCTCAGGAGGTAGAGCTTCAGAATTTTAGTAGGTACATGCTAGATTCTGTTCCGTGAACAGAAAGAGCAGAATCTTTCTGAACAGACAGAGCAGAACCAAAAATAATGGCATTGACCATCCTTTCAGGCTGGAATAGCAACAAACTACAAAGACAGAGGCCTATTATGCCAAACACTTATGAAACTGAATTTTATGTAATGGGACAGTTTCCTCATATTTCAGTGGGTAATCATACTAAACTACTTTGCTAAGTTGAATCCAACAAGTTCTGCTTACAAAAGATAGCTTTCGAAAAAACAAGTCTTTGTAATACCTGTCAGTTTAGACAGGATATATTGAATAAAAATGTCACTTAAAATTTTGTTAATTTAAAAGAACATTATTTTGATAACAAAAAATTTCAGCATTCTCTCACCACACCATATCTTGAGAGCAATCTCCTATGCCTTCTCTATTAAATGACAGTGATGTATTGAAGAAGTTTGTGCATGTGTGGAAGGATTTTGTAAATTTCAAAGTGCCACACTGATGTTGGTTATACTTAGGTATGGTGGGCCTTACACTTTTAGGGGCAGTTTCTGCTTTGACTAAGCAACTGGGCCACTACTTACCAGCTGCCAAATAATTAGAGCTGCAGATATAGCACTGTTGAAGGAATTTTAATACTTCTCATCAGCCTCCTCCTCATAATGGCCAAGTTAACACACACTGCGTCTTTCTGACTTCTTTTTACATGTTGTGACTTTTCCCCTTTTCCCTTAAAACTGATTTTCCTCAGTTTTAATTTTCATTTCAAGTCAACTCAGGTATATAATTAAAATTTCCTTGAATCTTGCTCACCTTCAGGATGACTTGCCTGTTATTCAGTTACTGATCCTGAAAGTTTTAGAAATTATTAGGTAAATATCACAGTAAAATATTTAAAAGTTTAGGTCAGAGGAAACATATCGCACAAACTATCTGCTATTGTATAACTATTTTTATTTAACATAGTGGGAGGATTCTGACAAGAATGTTGGTCAAGTCAGATGTCTTTATTTTTAATAATGTTTTATAATATGAAAAACAAGTCTTTCTAGGGACACTATTTTTATTTTTATTAACTTTTTTATTTTTTATTTTTTTGAGGCAGGGTCTCACTCCCATTTCCCAGACTGGAGTGCAGTGGCTCCATCTTGCCTCACTGCAGCCTCGACTTCCTGGGTTCAGGTGATTCTCCCACCTCAGCCTCCCAATTAGCGGGACTACAGGCATGCGTCACCATGCCTGGCTGATTTTTTTGTATTTTTTTTTTTTTTAAATAGAGACAAAGTTTTGCCATGTTGTCCAGTCTGCTCTCAAACTCCTGGGCTCAAGATATCCACCTGGGTTTTTCTCCCAGAGTTCTGGGATTATAGGGGTGAGCCACCGTACCCTGACGTATTTTTCTTAACTTTAAATTTTGAAATGATTTCAGACTCACAGAAAAGTTGTAAAAATATTACAGGTAATTTCTGAATACACTTCACTCATATTTACCACATTTACTTTATCTTTCTATCTATATCTGTATTTACTGGAAGCATTTCAGAGTAAGTTGCAGGCCTAGTGGCCCTTTACTCCTAAATATGTCTGTACTTCCTAAAAACAAGTAAATTTTCTTATGTAACTATAGCACCATAATCAAAATCAGGATTTGGACATTAACATATTACTGTCTTCCAATTTAGGGACTATATTCAAATTTCCCCAGTTGCCTCATTAATGCCTTTTGTGGTAAAAGAAAAAAAAATCTGGTTCAGCATCCTGCATTGCATTTAGTTGTTGTATCTCTTTATTCTCTCTCAATCTGGAATAATCCTTAGTTTTTTGGTCAGTTGTGATCTTAACATTTTTTAAGAGCATAAACCATTTATTTTATAAAATGTCACTCATTTTAGGTTTGCCTCTTTTCTCATGTACTAGATTCAGTCTTTGCATTCTGGGCAGGAATAGAAATGACACTGTCCATCTATGAGCACCATGTTGGTAGCACGAAGTGCCTCTTTATCCCATTATTGGTGGTGTTGGCTTTGTTAAGGAGGTATCTCTGGCGTTTCTACACTGTAGACTTTCTATTTTCCTTTTGTCCTTAATAAAGTATCTTATAGGGAGATACTTTGAGACTCTATAAATAGCCAGCATACTTTCACTCACTAGCTTTAGCATACTTCCTAGTTTGTATTTAGTGAGGAATAGGCTGAAGATGACAATGGCAGTGTCAGAGTTTATTATTATAATTTTTAGAATCATGAGGTAGGTAACAACACAGTGCCAAGGAGATTTAGTTTTCCCTAAGCTTATTCTGCTACCGAAATGAGATACATTAAGCACTCAGAGATGAAGCACAACCTAATTTACCTCACAGTTGCATTTGACAAGCTTGGTTATATTTTGGGAAATAAATTTGAAGCAACAGATGAGTAAGAGGGAGTGGTAAGAGGTATTAGACACGATGCTAATAGTGACAGCTTGGTGGTGATTAAGAATACAAAACTAAAAATAGCAAGTAGATCTATAAAAAGCTAGCCGATTGTTACCATCTAGCGTAGGTGTATGGAGCTAAACATATTTATTCTAGTCCATGAGGGTGATTATGGCATGAGATGTTATAAGGCACGATTATGTCCTATAATATGGCATTTGATAATTTTTTGTACCTGTTTGAACAAAAGATTCATGGTGAGCTAGGGATATAACCAATACAAATAAATTTATCAACAACTGTTAGACTCTGCAGTGTGGCACTCCCTTGAGAAATTTGTCTTTGAGGATTCAGGTATTATAACTTGGTAGGGCTTACTCCTTTTTTGTGAGTGTGAATTTTTTTTTTTTTTTTTGGGTTCGGGCTTACTCTTGCTCACTAAATCCCAAGATTTATATATTCACATGCTAATACGTTAACAATGCAAAACAGTGCTGTCTGGTGGATCCCTGATTTGTGTGCTTTTTAGAAAGAGCACATTGCTGTTGGGTAGGAAAAACATATGAAGCCAGGTTCTCAAATATTTGTGTGGTAAGGATGGAGTAACAATAAGGGAATTCCATTTTGTATTTTGAATGTTTTTGAGGCATTGTTTCCAAAAGTGTGTTCCATGGACTTGGCAACTCATAAAGGTACTTTGCAAAAGGAGGAGGAAGTGCTGCGCAAGGCCCTTCTCTAGGAGAGTCACAGGACATATGGGCATCCTAATGACAAGAGTCTTTCCTAAACAATCTGTTGAACTGAGATTAACCCGGTGTTTCCCAAATAGAAGTGACACAGAAACCTTTTCCCCCCACATAATAGCCCTCAAAACAGATGCATATTAGCATCAGACTTCTGTAGTTACATTTTTCTTCTAAGTGGGACAAGATGAACTTGTTGGTTTACCAGACACCAATTTTTGACTTTTTTGTTTTTTTATTTTTATAACCTTTTGATCAAGTTAACCATCTTTTCCCTCCCTCCCTCCCTCCCCTCCCTCCCTCCCTCCCTCCCCTCCCTCCCTCCCTCCCTCCCTCCCTCCCTCCCTCCCTCCCTCCTTCCTTCCTTCCTTCCTTCCTTCCTTCCTTCCTTCCTTCCTTCCTTCCTTCCTTCCTTCCTTCCTTCCGTCCTTCCTTCCGTCCTTTTGTTCCTTTATATAACCCTGTTCTATCACTTAAGTATTGAGCTTAACTTGCAGAGAGAAACCATTGCTAAGCACTTGGGAATAGGGGGATATTTGTGATTATTTAAGCAATGTTGTGCTTATAAGATTTCTGGTAATAACACAGTCTAAAGGAAATGCTTCATATCCTGTGGAGTAGCTTTGGAATCCTATGTATTTAGAAGGATTTCTTTCAAAAATGTTTAAAATTATAAGTTTTACTTTAAAGAAGTTAATTTCTTTTACCTGGAAAATTGAAGCAAGTTAGACTATTTTGTGGACTTATGCAGTACTTGTCAAAAGGTAAATGTTTTTTAAAATTTCTGTTAGTAAGGATTTTACCTTTAGCAGCTTGTTATTTTAGTTATCTGCTTAGTTGCTTCTAATTTGAATTACTTGTAGCTCCCTAATTTAGATTGTAAAATGTTATGGCTCTGTTATATGACTTAAGTTTAGAACACAGTGGGTCCACTTTTGGATCCCATTCAAAGTGGATCTGATGTACTTATTTTCCTACACAGTTAAAGATCCCTCTTCAAAGGTGAAGCAGAGACACAATAAATTTGGATCTTGAAACCTTCATAGTAATATGCTTTTTAAAAGACATGTATACATAATTGTATAGCCATTGCATATACTTTTATACATACATTTCTTTCATATACATTACTGTCAGGAAGATCAGGAAGATAATGTCATCTCTTTAGTGAGATAAATTCCAACTCCATCGTGACCACTTACCATAGATGTGACTCTGTATTTGCTGTTCATTCATTCAATATGTATTTATTTGCCTTGTATATAGTATGTACTTATATGGGCACTGGTCATAGAAAGAGGAAACTGAATGGTTCACTTAACTTTTGAAATTGTCTTTTCACCTATCAGGGATGTGTGAATAGTATTGATGTAAAGCACTTGGCACGTGGTAGGTTCACCTCTTTTTTTTTTCCTGAGATGGAATATCGCTCTGTTGCCCAGACTGGAGTACAGTGGTGCAATCTCGGCTCACTACAGCCTTCTCCTGGGTTCCAGCAATTCTCATGCCTCAGCCTCCTGAGTAGCTGGGACTACAGGCATGTGCCACCACACCCGGCTAATTGTTTTTATTTTTAGTAGAGACAGGGTTTCATCATGTTGACCAGGCTGGTCTCAAACTCCTGACCTGAAGTGATTTGCCCGTCTTGGCCTCCCAGAGTGCTGGGATTACAGGCGTGAAGCGCCACACCCATCCAGGTTCACCTCTTGAGTAGAGTGCTGAGATGCTTTCTCACATGAGATTGGTTTCTAGTAATAATAGAGGGTTTTTTTGCTAGTTACTTTCTTATTGTATTTATCTTATAGAGTCTTGGTTCTTACAAAATCATAATTTGCTTTCAAAAATACATATTTTAAACTACCTAATAAGATCTTTATTTAGTGTCACATTTACGAAGGGTTGATGCTTATTTTAGTGATGATTTGTCATTAAAATTATGTCAAAATGTCTTAAAATGTTGTTGAAACTGTAAGCAAACTCAACACGCACAAAGCTAATTATGGGTGCCATCTGTTTATTTTTACAAAGCTTTTTTTTTAAGACTATGGCATTGTCTGCTTATGATAAGCTTCAAGATTATTATAATGACTAAGTCCTGTCCTTCAATTAGTGTAGTTGAAGATGGGAAGATAATTCGTTTGTTCACTGACCTTTTCCTGTGTCAGAGTGTATGAAATATGACATGTCATGATAAAGAAACTATTGTGAAGTGCATTTAGAAGATACTTAATTTTTATGAGAAAAAAATGACATCAAAGCAGCAGATGTGGCCAAAGTTTTGTTTAAATTCTTAGAACTTATTCAAGGTTTTAGATGAACGGTAGACTTTTCCAGTGACTTAAGTGGCTTCATTTTAACTCAAGGTTAAGAATTTCTAAGTGATCGACCAAGTTTATGTTGACATGTATCCCTGTTTGTGTACCTATATGTCAGCACATGTTTTTGTACATACATATCTCATGTGTTAGTGCAGAAGGCCAGGTACATGCATGACAGCATCAGCCCAAGTAGTTATCAGCAATCTGCTGAGAGAGCAGAGCGATCGCACTGGCTCTGTTTTGCAATTGTGCATGCTAAGCATTACCCAAGTCAGTGTGGAGGGAAAGCAACCTGAAGGATCCATCTGCTCCCTTCTGCTACACTGCCTCGATGCAAGATTACACTAATCTGGCTGCTTGTCAGGACAGGTTAGTGAAAGCATGCAAGTGGGTGAGACTTAGGGTGGACTAGTGCTTTGGAAAATCATAAGCTGCCCCTGTAGATGCCACGTTAAGTGCAGCAGAATAGGTTGATTATCGGCCACATTGAAGATTGCCGTGAAATAAATATATAGCTTTTTGGTTAAGAATTAGTTTCAAAATTAAAATTCTTAAATATTGTTGGACCACAGATAAATCAAAATTGAGAAAAATAATACAGATAGTTTACAAATACTTTTAGGCCTTAGTTTTTCTTATGATTTGTGTATTGTGTTTATTCTTTCATTTTATTCCCCTAGCTCAAGAGTTTTTTAGTCAAATATGTTCAAATGTTACATTCGATTAACTTCATTTTACCCAAAAACTTTTGTGATTTTTCTTGTTTGTTTCTATTTATTTACCCTTTTCTACACCTACTGACTGGCAGACCTTGGCCTTGCAGGTTGAGCATCCTGTCACAGAATGCATTACTGGCCTGGACCTAGTCCAGGAAATGATCCGTGTTGCTAAGGGCTACCCTCTCAGGCACAAACAAGCTGATATTCGCATCAACGGCTGGGCAGTTGAATGTCGGGTTTATGCTGAGGTAAAATGAATGGTGTTGGGAGGAAGGATGGTGGTTATGTCCAGAGTCATGAGACCTGGTATAGCCAAACAATGAGGTAAAGTTAGGGTTTTATAATGTTGCCAACTATTGGATTACGTAATCCATAATTAAATCAGAAAAAAATTAGATAATTTTGACCTAATTCCAGATAGTTTTAAAGAATTGGGCTTAGTTAATTGTCATGTATTTGTAGATGGGGAAATAGCTACCAATCCTTTAAGAGGCAACAGAGCATTGGTTAAATACTCTTGAGCTTGAATGGACCATGGTTTTTGTTTTGTTTGCATTTTCTTTGTTTATTTTCAAACAACACTAACAAGAAGTAGCATTTATTTCCATGGGTTTTTTAAAAAAATGCCCACCTTGGGTACACATTAGTTGTTGATCAGATATTTACTTAAAATTTTTCCCAACCTTTTTTTTGTATAATTTTCTCCTTTATTATTACATAAAAATAACAATCAAAATTTAAATTGTAAAGCTTTTAGTAAAACATGTACTCTTAATTTATAATTTTAATTTTGGGTTTTACTCATAAACTCTCAGTTCAGTACTTCTAAATGCTTTTTTTCAAATGACTAAAACAAGAATGCAAGGTAACATTTGTACTATTTTTACTTTTCGACATCAAAAATGTCTGTCAAGATTAAAAATAAATCAGTGTCTGTGTTTAAGAATACTGAGAGCTGGTTTGAAATATTTTTCAAGGAGTTCAAAAATATGTTTTGGCGTGACTGTATTGCTCTTGCTTTTTTCATATTTTAAGTAGTATTACTTTCATTCTTATGACACTGAACCTGTTTATTCTGATGATCTAAGATATTTACAAATGAAGTGCATATCTAGTAGCGTGCAAAGTTTTTTTTTTCAGGTCTTTATTTGAAGAACCCAAATTCTCAAGTTTTACCATATGTGAACTGTTTTGAGAAGTAAGAAAAACAAATATCTTTAGTATACCACATTTGTTGTTCTAAACTTGAGTATGTTTTGATGTAGGGCCTAGGTTATTTTATTTTTTGCCCAAGGCATTCTAAGAAGTTTTATAAAATGTTGGAATTTTACCAATTTCAATAAAGTATGAACAAGGTCAGGCTAAATTCTGCTTACAGTTCTGTTTGATTTTTAAGTACATTCTAAGTTGTCTAGCGTAAAAGACAATAATATTCTGAAATCTGTGATTTGGTAAATACCATATGTTGAAAATAGACCTATAAATGGTTCTTCATTGTGTAAATATTTAACCTTACTTGTGCTGATTTATATTTCAAAGACTGTGCTTCCTTTCCTTTGAACTTTCAGGACCCCTACAAGTCTTTTGGTTTACCATCTATTGGGAGATTGTCTCAGTACCAAGAACCGTTACATCTACCTGGTGTAAGTCATTAAGCTGTAATACCAGCTGAAGGGTTAAAATCGTGATTTATGTCATACTTTTATGTTAAAGCATGTCAACACCAAAGGGTGTAAATTGAAGGACAAGTGAAATTCATGGGAATCATGGTTTTTGTGTTGAAAACAAATTTTTTTCAGTATTTTGTGGTGTTCAAGAAAGTCAGGATTCACTGGACAGGGGAAGCCTGGGGACATCTGATGATATAAATGATAGCTTACAGTGTTCCCAATTCTTTCGAAAATTATAATAAAAAAGGCTGTGAATCCTAAGAATGAGAAATGATGTTTTGTGTTACAATTTAATCTTTTCAATAAATCGAGTCCAACCCTGCTATATAGTCACTTGTCAAGAAATTCAAGCACAAAATCAGCTCCTTAATTGAAATTTAAGGAGATTGAATTAAGGCAAACAAAGTGTGCCTCAGTCTATTAAACCTCATGGACTTTAAAGAGTAAT
Organism: Homo sapiens; assembly: GCF_000001405.40. Taxonomy (NCBI): domain Eukaryota; kingdom Metazoa; phylum Chordata; class Mammalia; order Primates; family Hominidae; genus Homo; species Homo sapiens. The sequence continues at coordinate 100,303,474 of NC_000013.11, forward strand.
AATATTTATATCAGTTAAATAAAAGTGACCACTGTCCATTTTATTCCATAGCTCTTCTGTATTTAATAGCTATTTTGAAAATAGTTTTTGTTGCAGAAAAAGAGCAAGGACATACCCTTTTTCTTAATCAAGGTAATAAGTGCATATATATATATATATATGACATTATGTTAGCTAGTAGATGACAAGGCTGTACCATCTGTGAATATTCAAATTATTCATTTTGATTACTGGCATGAAGATGGTGAAAGATTACAGGAAGAATTCTAAATCTGAAGATATTATTGGATATATGATTTATTTCACTTTTTAAATTGTTTTTGCCCATGTGCTTTCTAAAGGGACTTGACCCTTTCTGTGCTTGGAGACTCCATGCTGTGTTCAAAGCCAGAAGGCAGAAAAAAAATTGTGAAGATTTAACAGGCATTATGTGACGTTAAATAGCACATGAGAAAACAAGTATCATAGGGACATATCTAAACACTTTTTTAATCAAACAAAAGAAGTATTAAATAAGAATTCATAATGATTACTCTAGTTGTTAGAAGTTTTCACCATGTTGTAATAGCTAACAGGATGTCAAACATTTTGCCCTCGCAAGTTTTTGCAATTTGCAATTTTCAAACGTGAGACCTGTTGAAAGTACAAGTGATAATGGACAAACTATACCCCCTACAGTCTTCATCCCACCAAATCTTTCTTCAATTAATGCTGCAGCAGGAGTTTTATGTAATAACATTTGCAGTTGTGAGCCATCCATAGAAAGAAAAAACAATTAAAATGCCTTAAATGTTCTGCTTACTGCTGTTATTTGCTTGTGTGAATGTTGCATGTCAGCTAAATGGACCAAGGAGTAGATAAAGTGATTGGGTGCAGGAGAGTGCACACTAAGCTTTGTCTATCATTATTGCTGGGAGCAATCAAATTGATGTCAGCAGGACAGTAGATGCGTTGACAGCTGTAATTATGTATCTCCATGGTGATCACTTTTGGCCTGTCATGGAGGCCCATGAGTCCCCTCCCTTGGAAGCATTTAATCAGATTGGGCTGTCACTTGTCAGGTAGACATGGCGGGCTGGGAGTTGTGCTTAGGGGGAGAGGTGAATTGAGAATGAAGGGTGGGAGATGTCTGATAGTTTCACAGAGTCCACTGTGGTACTGAAGACAGAAATTTTAATTATGCTAGAGGTTTCTGAGCAGTGGTTTGAGAATCTCGTACAGAGGTGCTTGGGTGTTTTGTTGTGGTTGTTATTGTTTGTTTTTCTTCCTTGTCTTATTAAAACTAGAGCAGTCAGTTTACCTTAGAAAACAATTTTTGGCTCTTACCTTTTTTGGTCACAAGAATGCATACTTAAGAGTTAACTTATGGTTTGTACTTTTCACATGCTTCATTAAGCCTGAGATTTATTAATATGGCAGAGGTGAAGATTTCCTTTTTTATTTTTGATCATCATGTTTTGTAAATTTGTTATTTTCAGACCACAGTTTTGTTCTGCTCAGAAATTTGGTTCTGATTTCATTTGAATTTTTTCTTAAAGTTTTTAGTGCAAATTTGTATAGCCTTTCATTGAAGGAATGGAGACTTGATCTGACTTCAGATTGGTTGTTAAGAAATAAAAATATAGCTGATTATTACTTGGAAAAAGCAGCATAAATAGTAAATTATAAAGCAGAGTTTTCATACTGTGGTACAGTTTTTAATTGGGAATACTGATTTGCTTATACAAAGATACGTGTTTATATATATCTTGATTTTATCGTATGTATTTTAAAGTTAAGATGACATAACTTCTGTGATCATAATATTAGTAAATAACAAAGACAGTTATATTTAATTAAGATCTGTAGGTAACACCTTATAGGATGATATTATTCAAGGCAACTGAAGTTTTAAGTAAGGAACTGTAGAAGAACATAATAAATATTCTTTATTGTCTATGTTATTTTATTTGTGGGTTGAACATCTAAGTTCTTCCTAGCTTTGTAGCAGTTTATGTAGCAAATGATAGGATGTAGTTAAAGTCAGAAGTTTTAGAACTTGTATCAGTCTCGTTTGTAAACACAGCATTAGCAAGCATGCTGTGGTTTTAAAGATGACATAGTGGTCAAATTAGCTCTTTCACTTTTTAGTACTAAAATTAAGAAAATGAAAACTCACAGATATATTTTCTGTTATGTAACCCGTTTACTAGTTGCCATTTTGGGGCTCTTTAATGTGGGGAAAAGGTAGATTGTGATTTTATTGCTTTTAAAGCTGCTCCATTAATTTTTTTCTAGTTTTTGTCAACACTGTGAATTTCATAGAACATCAGTTTATGTCCTGAAATATGTTTTCAGAAAATAGAAAGCCAAGTATATTTCGTAAGTGTGCTGAATGATTTTTGTTTATAATTAAGATTTTTGTATATGAATGTGAATACGAATACAGATATCTATATTTTTGTTTGTGCTTGCAAATACAGAAATAAAAGCCCTTCAGGTATGTTATAGTGTTCCTTTTACAACCTTACAAAGAGAATAATAGTAGTGTGAATTTTAAGAAAATGAAACTATCGCTTGTCTTCTGATGTCACCGTATAATAAAGCCATCATTATACCCTCATGTGGATATCCTAGACAAGAGGTTCTACATGTGGTCCCTTGATAATTGCCTAAATTAAAATATTAAAGGCCTAACAGCCGCTGTGTTGACCTTTTTCTGCCTTGCTGCAGACAGATGAGCTGCTGTTTATTAGGAAGGCTTCTTCCCACAGGTGGAAGGCTACGTGAGCTTCCGCTCTTCTCTTCCCACCCCTTTACAATGTTGGGCATCAAAGTCCTGCTGTTCCAGCAGCTTTGATTCAGTTCCTCCATCCTCAAGACCCCTAGGATGTGCCTGACAGTCTGAAGTATTTTGATTAGCTTTTAAATACTTCAGATTCCAAAACTTCTTTCTAATAATTTAATAAATGTTCTGTCCTCAGTAACTGCTCATTTTTAAAGTTTTGCATGGCTAACCTCCGTGCCTTGCTGCTGGTATCAAACTGGGAAATGAAAACAAGAATCAGTGATGTACTAACTCACTCGTTGGCTGGTTAACAGCAATCAGCCTCTTCAAAAGAATATTTTGAACTTGTGCTATCCCCCTACCCCCCACCCCAAGAAAATCACAAAATCAGAACTCTAATTGGGGCTTTACAAAGCAAAGCCATAGGAAAAGCTGTGTAAACATGAAAGCCTCAGGGGAGCAACAGTAACAGAAAAATAGTGTTTTACAGTTGAGAGGGTGAGGCAGAAAAGGAAAGTGTTACAGACATGAAAGGCCCAGGCCCACATTCCTATGGAGCTGAGGACCAGGCTTGACGAGGGGCCTCACTGGTGGGCTCAGAAGGGTCTGGCAGGGAGTGCAGTTAGCAAGGGCATCGTCCATGCCATGCTTCAGCTGGAAGACACCATCAGAGAGCCACAGCATCCTGGCATAGTGATGTAGGAAGTCTTCATTTTTTATTTTTTATTTTTGCTGTTTTTTAGTTTCGTCATTCAGTGGCAGAACAAAAAATGTGTTGCATTACATATTAACGGATCAAGATTTTAGATTGTTTTCCTATTTTCCAGAAGTTGAAATGTTATTTGAGATTGAAATTCTCTATCCATTTTCTCCATGGAAATGAAATTGGTGGTTACAAAAAAATATCTACACAATATGAATTACTTTTCTTTTTTTCTTTTTTTCTCCCAGGTCCGAGTGGACAGTGGCATCCAACCAGGAAGTGATATTAGCATTTATTATGATCCTATGATTTCAAAAGTTAGTTTAATTTCTCAATGGATTATTTGATTTCTTCGAAAAATCAATGATATTTAAAGAGTCTGAAACTGGGCCTTTATCTGAATCATAAGCTATAATTAAACAACTAATTATGCACTGATGTAAATGTGAAAGCAGAGCAGGTTTTTTCTCTTGAGAGAAAATTCAGCGTTATGTTAGTTTGTAGTACTCCTCCTCCCCAACTAAATCATGCCACACCATCACACACATGCATGAACAATAATAATAATAAACATCTAACCAGTGGTGCCAGCCTAACTCATTGCCATGAGAAGGAATTAAGGTTTTTTTTGGCCATTGGCAGAAATTACCTGAGATGGAAGTATGAATGAATGGCAAGAGTTGGGCTGATAGGCAGTGTTTGTTAGAGTACTTTTTGATCTTTTCTCTTCAGTTTTTACAAATTACCAATTATTTAAGTAGATGTGATGTAAGAGTATAAGATTTGTTTTGCCCACCTGTCTTTTTGAAGTTTGACTTTCCAGAATAAATGAATTGAATTTTTGGATCTTTAAACCCTTAAAACCGTATAAAGTGTAAAATGCTGTAATAATTAAGATTGTGGATTTTATTTTTATTTTATTATTATTTTTTTGAGATGGAGTCTCGCTCTGTCCGCCAGCCTGGAGTGCAGTGGCACGATCTTGGCTCACTGCAACCTCCGCCTCCCAGGTTCAAGCGATTCTCCTGCCTCAGCCTCCTGAGTAGCTGGGTGGCTCGTGCCACCAAGCCCAGCTAATTTTTTTTGTTTTTAGTAGAGATGGGGTTTCACCTTGTTAGCCAGGATGGTCTCCATCTCCTGACCTCGTGATCCGCCCGCCTCGGCCTCCCAAAGTTCTGGGATTACAGGCGTGAGCCACAATGGCCGGCCAGATTGTGGATTTTATTTTGAAAATTCTGTGTTCTCTGAAATGATACATCTGTATTGAGGAATGATTTGTTTTTCAAGCCTTGTTTCTCAAGATGGCTTTTCCCCAAGTGTCCTTTTTAATGTTATAGTTGCAGTAAACAAACACTTTTTTATCTGTCTTTCTTCAGTTAGGGTTTTAGTGCTTTTTTTTGGGATAGGGTCTCCCTTTTTCACCCAGGCTGGAGTGCAGTATCATGATCTTGGCTCAGTGCAGCCTTGACCTCCCAGGCTCAAGCGATCCACCTGCCTTAGCCACCCAAGTAGCTGGGACTACAGGTGTGTACTACCATGCAGGGCTATTTTTTTATATCTTTTGTAGAAATGGGGCTTCCTCATGTTACCCAGGCTGATCTCGAATACCTGAGCTCAAGCAATCCACCCGCCTCGGCCTCTCAAAGTGCTGGGATTACAAACGTGAGCCACCGTGGTTGGCCTAAGTTATTAGTAGTATTAAAATAAAATTTAGGTCTTTTGTTTATTAGAGAACCACCATTTAATTTAAAAATAAAACTATGTAAAAATATTATACGTTGATTTTTAAATATTCCATTTTTAGATGAATGTTTTTCTCTTCAGAAAAATGGCCTACAAATTAATTTTCAAATTTGCTTGATATTGAAGAGCTAGTAAAACCTACTAAAATAATCACAATCTATAGATTGGCTAATATAACTGCCAGAAAAATCTTTAATGAATAGTTAAGGTCTTATTTCATTGCCAAATTATAGAGATACATATAAGTAGGCACTAAATCATGTAGAATAGTAAGACTTTTCTGTTTTTTTGATTTCTGAAAAAGTACCATTTGCTTCTGTGTATATTATATGTAAAACTGCAAATGATTTCTAAGATAGTCGTCTTCTTTCTTTATACTTTTATTTTTGAAACTTTACTTTTTTTGTTAGTTATGAAAGTGTTAAGGGCTGGACGCAGTGGCTCATATCTGTAATCCCAGCACTTTGGGAGGCTGAGGTAGGTGGATCACCTAAGGTCAGGAGTGTGAGACCAGCCAGGCCAACATGGCAAAACCCTGTCTCTACTAAAAATACAAAAAAATTAGCTGGGCGTGGTGACACACGCCTGAAATCCCAGCTTCTCGAGAGGCTGAGGCGAGAGGATCGCTTGAACCTGTGAGGCGGAGGTTGCAGTGAGCTGAGATTGCGCCACTGCCCTCCAGCCTGGGCAATAGAGCGAGACTCCATCTCAAAAATAAAAAATAAAAAGAAAGGAAAGTGTTAGCTATTCAGGGTATCAAACTTGGAAACCACAGAAAAATAGGGAAAAAATGTCTTATCTAATCCTCACCACTACCCTTGGTGTTCAAATCCTATCTCATATATTCACGTTTAGCTGTATCTCCTTTTAAATTTTTTCTGTACTTACTTTTGTTACGTTTTTGTTTTTGTAAAATCACTCTTTACTATGATAATGAAATGTAGGAGAAGAGTCTGAAATAGCTTGATTCTAATATTTATATACTTAAAAAATCATAATTGACATGTATTGAAAACTGAACTATCATAAAATTTCGAGATATATTTAGAAATCTGTTATGAAATATTTTAATTTTTACTAAAATGAATCATTTAACATAGTTCTAAATATATATATATATTGGGTTTTTTGTTTGCTTGTTTTTAGCTAATCACATATGGCTCTGATAGAACTGAGGCACTGAAGAGAATGGCAGATGCACTGGATAACTATGTTATTCGAGGTAAAAACAAAGATTTGCACTCGTTGGTTATTGTATATGGTGTCCAGTTCCAGAGAACAGCCTGGGGGTTTACCAATGAGAATATGGCACAGCACATTTGCTCACTATGTGCTTAAAGAGAAATAAGAAAAACTCAAATCCATCAAACCACCATACCAAGTATAGCCGTTTCCACTGTTTTAAGCAAATGCATATTTTCTCTATATGCCTAACATATATATTACTCTATATAACCAGTACACATTGGTTACACAGGCCTTCAGGAGGGCGTCTTTTTTCTTACAGAAGTAATATTGCTGTGGAGAGGTCTTTAGTGCGTATTTGGGACACACGTTCAGTTTATGTGAGTTTATCTATGTTTATCTATATATGCGAGTTTAGATAGACATAAATAAGTTACTTGGGAAGATTATTCCTGGAAGACATTAAAGTATTTGTAAGCACATTCTATGGGGATTTTCTCCCTTTTTATCTCTGCATTTTTATTGTGGTAATTGAAATACTAGATTTTGGTTAATTTAATTTTTACTCTAATGTGCTTGAGCAGTAAATCCATGAATTTGAGAGTCTGAATAAGAATATTTTGTCAAAACTCATTTCTGTTAAACTGTGATATAATACGACATAGGGGCATGGCATCTGGGCAGTTTGTCAAAATATTAGATTAGTTTTGGTCCCAACTAGAAGTTATTTATCTACTCCATCTGGCTTCTGAAAGGAGTACTCTTTTGTATTTACATGAATACCATTTCATGTTTTATACTTAAATGAACATTTTCCCACTAATTTGCTTACTCTATATATGTATATATAGGTTCACCAGTTACTACAGTTTTTAAGTGACTAAAATACAAAGTAGGCTTGCCATTATTCTCCTAACTTTATATGTGTCACATATAAAAAATAAATTTTGTTGTATAGGTAGATTTTTCCAGGCTTAGTCTGAAATTTTGCCTTTGAATTACTGTGATGTAGTAGACAGAAACCAGACAAAGCTAGGTTCATAGCCCCTGTCCTGACGCCATTTAATAATTATGTGATTTTTGGCCAAGCACGGTGGCTCACACCCGTAATCCTAGCACTTTGGGAGGCTGAGGCGGGTGGATTGTGAGGTCAGGAGTTCAAGACCAGCTGGGCAAAGATGGTGAAACCCAGTCTCTACTAAAAATACAAAAATTAGTCAGGCGTGGTGGTGGGCGTCTGTAATCCCCGCTACTTGGGAGGCTGAGGCAGAAAATTGCTTGAACCCGGGAGGCTTAGTTTGCAGTGAGCCGAGATCACGCCACTGCATGCCAGCCTAGGTGACAGAGTGAGAGTCCGTCTCAATGAAAAAAAAAATTTTTTTTTAAATAAATAATTACGTGATTTTTGTCAAATGACTTTGTCTCTCTGAATCTCATACTCCACATTTGAAAAATGGAGTGATAGTCTCTGCCTTATAAATTACTGGTGAGGATTAACTGAGGTTAAGTATATAAAGGGCTTGGCACCACACTGGCTTATGTTGTTCAATAACTTTAGTTGTCATCCTTTCTTCCTCTTTCCTCACACTTAATAAAACCATATATTTAAGAATCAAGGCCAGGCGTGGTGGCTCACGCCTGTAATCCCAGCACTTTGGGAGGCTGAGGAGGGCAGATCACTTGAGGTCAGGAGCTCAAGACCAGCCTGGCCAACTTGGCAGAACCCCGTCTCTAGTAAAAATACAAAAATTAGCCAGGCGTGGTGGTGGGTGCCCATAGTCCCAGCTACTCAGGAGGCTGAGGCAGGAGAATCGCTTGAACCCAGGAGGTGGAGGTTGCAGTGAGATGAGATCGCGCCATCACACTCCAGCCTGGGTGACAGTGTAAGACTCTGTCTCCAAAAAAATAAAAATAAAAGCCATGTGTTATAAATCACATTATCAATCCATTAGTCATATGAAATTTACTAAATCATAGATAAACAATATTGAAAGACCGTTTTATGTAATTTCTAATACTGTGTGCGGAGGTTATATGCTTTCATTGCACCCTGTTCAAATACTTCTCCAGAGAATTTACCGTCACTGTAAAATTAAAGTATTAATTGTGTAATTAACTGTGAAATGTTGGGTTATCCTATAAGATTATTAGGCACATGAGGACACTGATGATCTTTATCTTGTTTGTATGCATATTGCTGGTGCTTAGCAGTGTCTGACACATGCTAGATGATTAATAAATGTTTGTTGGATGAATGAATGAGTGAGCAAGTGATACTATCCCTGATTTCAAGGAGTTACTAATATACTTGGTGTGAAAACATATGAAAAGATAAGTATAATATTAATATAGCTTTGTAGGTGCCCCAATAGGGGATTGAAAAAGGGTAGTGGGAGTTTAAGGAAGAGGCTAGCATATCTTTCTTTTCTCGCCTCTCTTGGTCCTTTGAAAGTAACTAGTACTGCTTTAGGACTCATAGTGTCTCTGTGTCTCTGTCGAGAGTACCTCACTTTGTTCTGCTTTCAAATGATCCTCAGAGTGGCAGGATTTTTAAAAAGACTGGTAATGTCCTGTGTAGGTGAAATAAAGGGGATGGGCACGCTCAAGCGTCTTTGCAGTATCACTTGTTATAGTATTTTGGGAAAATAATCTGGTGTTAGATGTTAAAATAAAAGTGCATACCCTCTGACCCAGCTATTCATCTTTTGTGAATCTTTCCTATAGAGTTAAAAAACTGAATTATGAGCATGTTCACCATGACATTTACAACAACATTGTTTGTAGTAGCCAAAATGCTGACCAACCACAGTGTCCGCTAAATGGATGAATGACTGAATAAATTACAATGCATTATTACTATAAAATACTATGCAGCTGTGACTTAAAGACCTGTTTGTATGAATCGTTAAAGTAGAAAAGCAATTTGTAGTCATGTGTAGTACATTCTCATATCACTTGAACCATCTTCTCATCCTAAAATATTTTAAATTGTGTTGGATGAGCACAGAGAAAGGTGTGGACATCTACATATCACAATAATTTTTTTAAGCTCAAAGGATTTATGAGAGAGGGGTTTTTCTTGACACATTTCTCTTAGACTTTTTAATTTTAGGTATTTTCAAATCTATAGAAAAGATGAATGAATAGTACTGTGCATGCCTGTGTACTCTTCACCTAGATTATTATTTAATAAACTTTTTTTTGATATTTGCTTTCTCTATTTCTCCCTTTCTTTGCCTTTTCCTCTTCCTTTCTCACCCTTCCTCTTTCCTTTCCTCCCTCCATTCTCTTCTCTGTTTTTCTCCTGATCCATTTGAAAGAAGGTTGCAAACATCATGGCGCATCACTCCTGAATACTTTACCAGGCTTCTTAAGGGGAAGACCATGTTCCTGTAACTGGATTTTTCTTGCCTGCTGCACAGATAGAGTCTATTTATTGAGACAGCGTTATTGCAATAGAGAAAGAGTTTAATAAACACAGGGCTGGCTAAATGGGAGACTGAAGTTTTATTACTCAAATAAATTTCTCCCAAAATTTGGAGGCTAGGGTTTTTAAAGAATAATTTGGTGGGCAGGGGGCCAGGGAGTGAGGAATGCTGACTGGTTGGTTTGGGGATGAAATTATAGGTGCTTGAGGCAGGGTCTTCTTGCTACCTTCAGTTACTGGGTAAGATCACAGAACTAGTTGAGCCAGTTTGCTGGTCTGGCTGCATGACTCCTGAGCCTTAATTTCTAATGTTAGTTTTACAAATGCAGTCTGTTCCCCAGACAAGGAGGGGGTTTGTTTTGGGAAGGGGCTGTTTTCATTGTTTTACAGTTAAAGTATAAATTAAATTCCTCTTATAGTTAGCATGGCCTACACCCAGGAATGAACAGGGGCAGCTTGGAGGTTAAAAGCAAGATAAAGTTGGTTAGGTCGGATTTTTCTCAGTGTCATAATTTTTGCAGTGGCCATTTCATTCCTGCAAAAAAGCACAATACCATCATTACACCCAAGGAAAATTGACAGCAACCTAACAGTTTCATCTCATGTATTGTCCATATTTAAGCTTGTCCCTCGGAGTCTTTTTTTATTGTTTTTTAATCCCATCTGTGGCCCAAAGTTACACAGTGTCTTTGATTATGTCTCTTTATTATCTTGCCGTCTTTCATATTTCATTTCATTAATTTTCAGGAGAGTCCACGGTAGTTGATTTGTAGAATGTGGCACATTCTAGATAGAAAGTGTTAACGTTGGTTCACTAAAGGCACTTGTGAAGTGATTCCAAGAATGAGGGTTGTAGGTGATAATTTGCACTATCACTCACAGAACTCGCAGAAACTCTTTGCTTACTATTATCAGTTTATTATAAAGGGTACAGCTTGAGAGTAACCCAGTGGAGGAGATGCACAGGGCAAGGTGTTAGGAAGGGGTGCAGAGCATCCATGCCCTCTCCAGGTGCACCACCCTCCATCACTTCCGTGTGTTCAGCAACCCACAAGTCCTCTGATCCTTGTCCTTGGGTTTTTATGAAGGCCTGACTAGGTAGGCATGATTGATCCTATCAATCTGCCATTAGTGATTAAGTCATTCTTCAGTCCCTCTCCCCTTTGGAGGGTGGGGGTGGGGCTGAAAGTTCCAACCCCTTAATCACATGGTTGGATCCTCTGGCCACCTGCTCCCATCCTCTAAGAGTCATCTCATTAGCATAAACTCAGGTATGATTGAAAGGAGCTTGTTATGAATAACAGAAGACATTCCTCTCTCAACAGTCATTTCTATGATATTCTTGCCAAAAATGTACAACCTGAGTATAATCATGAGGAAACATCAGACAAACCAAATTGAAAGACAGTCTACAAAATAAATGGCTTCTTCTCTTCAAACATGTCAAGGTCAGGAAACACAAAGAAGAGTTGAGCAACTTATGTAGATCAAAGGAAACTAAAGACACATGACAACTAAATGCAATGTGTGATCCTGGTTTAGATCCTGGACCAGAAGAAAAATGTTTTTCTTTTGTAGTAAGGGTCATAAGTGGGACAATTGGTGAGATTTGAATAAGGTCTGGAGATGAGGTGATAGCAATGTTAGCAGTGTTAGGCTTGTCTGATTTTGATCCTTGTACTGTGATTATAGAAGAGATATACCTTGCTTTTAGGAGATGTACACTGACATATTTAGAAGTAAAATGACATCTTGTCTGCAACTTACCTTCATATGTTTAAGAAGGAAAATTATGTATCTGTGTATAAATAGAAAAAATTAGTGACAAAGCAAATAAATGTGATAAGATGTTATCATTTGTAGAACCTCCATATATAGTAATTCTGCTTACTATTTTTTTGAAATTTTTTTAAATTTTGAATTTTGAAATTATTTCAAAATAATTTTGAATTTTTTTATTTTGAAATAATTTCAAAATTTAAAAAATTTAAAATTTAATTTCAAAATAAAAAGTTAAAAAAATAGGGAAGAGCAAGAACCCCCACTCTCCACTAATATTTAAAGAATAAAAGCAGAGATGCATTTGGGATTTTGAACTTACATATTACTCATCTGGCTAATTCTGAAGGATAGGCAGGTTTAAAAACTTGCTTTATGAAAGGCAGAAAAGGGAAGACAATCTACTGTCTTGTTTGGTAACTGCTTAATTATTCAAATATGAATATTTTTTTCCTGTGCTGATTGTGAACTTTTGTTAAGATAGAGAAACTTTGAAGCAAAAATGTAATTCGGTTAAAATGAATTTCAAAATCCTCATGAAATAAGAGTGCTTTTGGCCTCTGTTTGATCCTGGCAGCATGTCTAGCTGATGTCTGGGCAGTGTTTTGGAACCAGCAGGCAGTCAGGGGAAGGCCACTCCTAGGGGCCTCTTCTCTGTGGCCTGGTGGTGATTTCCCATACAGATGGGACCTGGTGAACTCTGCCAGAGGTCATCCTTGACTCCCAGTCCACACCTCCCAGTCATAATTTTTATGAGTATGTGATTAATAATATCCTTGAAGTTGTAAACTAACTCTCAAAGAATACCTCTACTGTCCCCATACCATTTAAACAAGGATCTGTTCAAATAGTGTTGTCTTTCCTGGGATGTGAAAAGAAAGAAACTAAATGCAAAATGGTAACTTTCAAATCTGTATGATACTGTTTAGTGCTTCAGTGATTCTTCCCATCTAGCTGATCTTTTGAGCTCTTAGGTATAAAATACTTTTCTGATTATTACCCTCTTTTGGCTTTAGGATTAATTAATGGACAGTAGTTTCGGGAACAGTTAGTCGAGGCATAGATGTTTGTTGTCTGCCATGAGCCATTATCTCACCATATTGGCCTTAGGAAAGAAAAAGAGATAACGATTTAGTTTTGCATAGTCATATATAATATTTTATTTAGAAAACATTAAAGAGAAAATGGTTTTGTGTTTTAATTTTGTTTTTAAAATATCATTTAGTGAGATAAAAGTCTGTGTTTTTATGCTGTATTTACTATTCAAGTAGAAAGATTTTTAAAATTCCATGCTTCATTTACGTGCTTGATGGCTCTGTTCTTTGATATCCAAAATGTAAATTAATATTTGCTTTCAATTCCTTTGAGTTAGATTTTTCTAAAATTAACACCTATTTTTCAGCTTTGGATATAGAGGACAAATACAACATATGATTTATCCTGTGAAACTGCAAGCATGTTAACTTTCTGAATATTATCAGTCACAAATTTTGGGCATCAGAAAATAATCTCTTTTTTTGTTCAAATTGTCATTAACTATTTCTGAAAACTATATTGTATTTTACTGATGACAGAGTTTGGTTCCACCTATTTTAACATTGGCCACACAGGGAGCTAAAAAATTTATACCAGCAGTAGGCTATAAACATGAAAGCCAGTAAAGTTAAATATGAAATATTAAATATATATGTTAATAGTATTCTTTTTTTTTTTGGAGATGGAGTCTCACTCTGTCACCCAGGCTGGAGTGTAGTGGCATGATCTCGGCTCATTGCAGCCTCTGCCTCCCAGGTTCAAGCAATTCTCCTGCCTCAGCCTCCTGAGTAGCTGGGACTACAGGGGTGCGCCACCACACCTAGCTAATTTTTGTATTTTTAGTAGAGACGGGGTTTCACCATGTTGGTCAGGCTGGTCTCAACTCCTGACCTCAGGTGACCCGCCTGCCTCGGCCTCCCAAAATGAACAATACTATTTCTGTTTAACCAGGGCAGGGAAGTTCAAAAATCCTGAGACTGCCTGCTAACTTACTTACTGTTTTGCAAAAACACTTGTAAATTGAAATATTCTGAATTATTTATTTGTACATAAGATCAATATTTTTGGTAAAATAAATTGTTGATGTACCTTGGTCTAATACCTTTCATCCCTTCCAGTCCCTCCCTTAGAGTCTTATTTTTTCCAGAACTTTATTTATTTATTGTAATATATGAGCGATTTGCATATTGCTGGTTTTATTTCACGTTTCTCTGTCTCACCCTGTTTTGGATTCCTTCACATATGGGAGATGTTCCCCCATAAGTAGGAACGTCTGTTTTCTGATGTATACCATCGAATCTGCCTGCTTTTCTGAACCTTAATCATTCAGACATCATCTCACAGGCATCTCAAATTTAACTTGTCCATGAATCTGCTATTTTCCTCTCAACCTGTTTCTTCTCTGCAAATGGCAACTTCTCTCATGTTGCAGAGCCAGAACTTTGGGTGTTGTGCTCATCTCCCCATTCTTTGTAATTGTGGTTGTTGTTTTGAGACAGGGTCTCACTCTGTCACTTAGGCTGGAGTGCAGTGATGGGCCCAGGGCTCATTGCAGTCTTAACCTCCAGGGTTCAGCTGATCCTCCCACCTCAACCTCCCTGGTAGCTGGGACTACAGGCACAAGCCAGCACACCCAGCTAATTTTTTGTATTTATTGTAGAGATGGGATTTTGCCATGTTGCCTAGACTGGTCTTGAACTCCTGACCTCAAGTGACCCACCCACCTCGGTTTCCCAAAATGTTGCAATAACAGGCATGAGCCACTGCACCTGGCCCTCATCTCCCCATTCTTGCCATCAGTCCCTGCCTGCCTCCTGAATATCCGTCAAGTCCAGCTGCTTCTCCCATCTGTATTGTCAGTGTCCTAGCTGTGGACCCCAGCCTTGCCATTTTTCAGCATATCTCCGCAATTGTCCCCTAAGGAATTTTTCCATCTTCCCTCTTGCCCTTCCTCAGTCCCTTTTCCGTATAGCAGCCTAAGTGATTCTGGATTGCATAAATCTAGTCATACCTGCCCTGCTTCCCATTCTAGTTGCTCTCATGGGAATGTGGAATCTGTGCATGGCCTATCACACGCTGAATGCCTATTGGCCTTTTCACTGCACCCAGCACCGTTCTCTCCTTTGCTCATACTCAGACCATGGTGTTTTCCTTTCATTCCTCTCCATAGGAATACCTGGTGGTAATCATTTGCTTTTTGCAACAGTGAAATCTCTCTCTGTCTCTGTCTCTCTCTCTCTTTTAATTATACTTTAAGTTCTAACAACGTGCAGGTTTGTTACGTAGGTATTCATGTGCCATGTTGGTGTGCTGCACCCATTAACTCGTCATTTACATTAGGTATATCTCCTAATGCTATCCCTCCCCCCTCCCCCCACCCCATGACAGGCCCTGGTGTGTGATGTTCCCCTTCCTGTGTCCAAGTGTTCTCATTGTTCAGTTCCCACCTATGAGTGAGAACATGCGGTGTTTGGTTTTTTGTCCTTGGGATAGTTTACTGAGAATGATGGTTTCCAGCTTCATCCATGTCCCTACAAAGGACATGAACTCATCATTTTTTACGGCTGCATAGTATTCCATGGTGTATATGTGCCACATTTTCTTAATCCAGTCTATCATTGATGGACATTTGGGTTGGTTCCAAGTCTTTGCTATTGTGAATAGTGCTGCAATAAACATAACGTGTGCATGTGTCTTTATAGCAGCATGATTTATAATCCTTTGGGTATATATACCCAGTAATGAGATGGCTGAGTCAAATGGTATTTCTAGTTCTAGATCCTTGAAGAATTGCCACACTGACTTCCACAATGGTTGAACTAGTTTACAGTCCCACCAACAGTGTAAAAGTGTTCCTATTTCTCCACATCCTCTCCAGCACCTGTTGTTTCCTGACTTTTTAATGATTGCCATTCTAACTGGTGTGAGATGGTATCTCATTGTGGTTTTGGTTTGCATTTCTCTGATGGCCAGTGATGATGAGCATTTTTTCATTTGTCTGTTGGCTGCATAAATGTCTTCTTTTGAGAAGTGTCTGTTCATGTCCTTCGCCCACTTTTTGATGGGGTTGTTTGTTTTTTTCTTGTAAATTTGTTTGAGTTCTTTGTAGATTCTGGATATTAGCCCTTTGTCAGGTGAGTAGATTGCAAAAATTTTCTCCCATTCTGTAGGTTGCCTGTTCACTCTGATGGTAGTTTCTTTTGCTGTGCAGAAGCTCTTTAGTTTAATTAGATCCCATTTGTCAATTTTGGCTTTTGTTGCCATTGCTTTTGGTGTTTTAGACATGAAGTCCTTGCCCATGTCTATGTCCTGAATGGTATTGCCTAGGTTTTCTTCTAGGGTTTTTATGGTTTTAGGCCTAACATATAAGTCTTTAATCCATCTTGAATGAATTTTTGTATAAGGTGTAAGGAAGGGATCCAGTTTCAGCTTTCTGCATATGGCTAGCCAGTTTTCCCAGCACCATTTATTAAATAGGGAATCCTTTCCCCATTTCTTGTTTTTGTCAGGTTTGTCAAAGATCAGATAGTTGTAGATGTGTGGTGTTATTTCTGAGGGCTCTGTTCTGTTCCATTGGTCCATATGTCTGTTTTGGTACCAGTACCATGCTGCTTTGGTTACTGTAGCCTTGTAGTATAGTTTGAAGTCAGGTAGCATGATGCCTCCAGGTTTGTTCTTTTGGCTTAGGATTGTCTTGGCAATGTGGGCTCTTTTTTGGTTCCATATGAACTTTAAAGATCCAATTCTGTGAAGAAAGTCATTGGTAGCTTGATGGGGATGGCATTGAATCTATAAATTACCTTGGGCAGTATGGCCATTTTCACGATATTAGTTCTTCCTATCCATGAGCATGGAATGTTCTTCCATTTGTTTGTGTCTTTTATTTTGTTGAGCAGTGTTTTGTAGTTCTGTTTGAAGAGATCCTTCACATCCCTTGTAAGTTGGATTCCTAGGTATTTTATTCTCTTTGAAGCAATTGTGAATGGGAGTTGACTCATGATTTGGCTCTCTGTTTGTCTGTTATTGGTGTATAAGAATGCTTGTGATTTTTGCACATTGATTTTGTATCCTGAGACTGCTGAAATTGCTTATCAGCTTAAGGAGATTTTGGGCTGAGATGATAGGGTTTTCTAGATATACAATCATGTCATCTGCAAACAGGGACAATTTGACTTCCTCTTTTCCTAATTGAATACCCTTTATTTCTTTCTCCTGCCTGATTGCCCTGGCCAGAACTTCCAACACTATGTTGAATAGGAGTGGTGAGAGAGGCCATCCCTGTCTTGTGCCAGTTTTCAAAGGGAATGCTTCCAGTTTTTGCCCATTCAGTATGATATTGGCTGTGGGTTTGTCATAAATAGCTCTTATTATTTTGAGATACGTCCCATCAATACCAAATTTATTGAGAGTTTTTAGCCTGAAGGGCTGTTGAATTTTGTCAAAGGCCTTTTCTGCATCTATTGAGATAATCATGTGGTTTTTGTCTTTGGTTCTGTTTATATGCTGGATTACATTTATTGATTTGCATATGTTGAACCAGCCTTGCATCCCAGGGATGAAGCCCACTTGATCATGGTGGATAAGCTTTTTGATGTGCTGCTGGATTTGGTTTGCCAGTATTTTATTGAGGATTTTTGCATCGATGTTCATGAGGAATATTTTAGGGCCTCTCTGTATTGCCTAGGCTGGAGTGCAGTGGCACAATTATAGCTCACTGCAGCCTTGAATTCCTGGATTCAAGTGATCTCCCTGCCTCTGACTCCTGAGTAGCTGGGACTACAGATGTGCCACCCTACGCGGCTAATTTTTAAATTTTTTGTAGAGATAGGGTCTTTGTTGTCCAGGCTGGTCACAAACTCCTGGCCTCAAGCAGTCCTCCTCCCTCAGCCTCCCAAAGGGCTGGGATTACAGGTGTGAGCTAAATTCCTCCCTAATGTTACCATAGCCTTAGCTACTTATCTTTGGGTCCTTCTCATCTTTCTGTTTTCCTTCCCAGCCAGGAAAATCTGTGTAAGTCTCAAATACTTTCCTCTTCCCGGAACACCAAAGCTGTCATTTCCTATGCAGGTGAACCTTTCTGGCAAGTGATACCTCTTTTCTTTTTCAAAAGCACTCTAGTTTGTCTCTTTGTGAAACATGATCAAGGGATTAATTTCCCATGTTTTATTTAGCCTGATCTCTTTCAAGGAGCTTTTTACATTTTTGCCTACCTAATTGATCTTTCTAAGCATCCTAGCATATTGCCTTCAGTTGCTTTTCACTTTCATCTAAACAAAAGCAACGCCACATTTTTTCAATGATTTCTTAGGTATATTGATGTCATTAGAAATTTCATCTGCCTTCTACTATGTTTCTCATTAAAAAAACTTATTAAAGCCCTCTGAAACATAGTTATTATGTATGGGCCAAGTAAATCATTACCCACAGAACAAGCATGAAATAGCTGTGTAGATCTCATGGGCATGCGCTATAGAAGATCTGTGTGTGTGTGTGTGTGTGTGTGTGTGTGTGTGTGTGTGTGTGTACATAAAGCAATCTATAATATATATATATGTATATAGTGAAGAATATGATCGATTCTGATATATATAACTTTTTCCATGGAATTTTTGTGTAGCTAAAGGAATAGCATTAATTTGAATTTGTGAATGTTTTCTAAACGTCTTGAGGCAGTTTTGATAAATTGAGAATTGGCCTTTATAAAATTTAGATACATAGCATCTCTTGAGTCAGGAACAGAAATGCTCAGGATTTTCCATATGGTTGTGGATATGGTCTAGTATAAAAGGATGCATAGGAAAATGCCTGGGAGGGTATACATGTTAAGCTGTTATCATTGGCTAGCTTAGAGATGGAAAGTCATATTGAAAAGGTGTGCCCTGCTCGCTCAAACACATGCACTAGGGTACAGGGTAACCTGCTGTAACAAAGATTTCTAAATACAGTGGGATAAATAAGAGAGACGTTTATTTACCTCTCATGTAACTGTCTGGTCCATGCTGCTAGGAGGCAAGTCAGCCTCATGAGGTCATTCAAAGATACACACACCCATCCTGATGTGCCACTCCGTTTGAATTGCCAAAGCTGAGTTTCTGCCATGTCAGGAAACCCACAGTAAGACGAGAAGAAAGGAAGCTCAAGCAAGCAATGAGAGAGTCGGAAGTTGCGTACATCACTTTAGCTTACCTTCCTTTGTCTAGGAATTAGTTTGTCATGCCTACCTACAAGCTAGATGGGAAAGTGGAGTCTGTGTCTGGGTGTCTTTTGCTCAGCTAAAATTCTATTACTATGGAAAAATGAAAAGCAGGTTTTAGGAGAAACTAGCAGTCTGTCACAATAAACTGTGTCTTAAAAATTGTTTATATATAATTATATATATGTAACTATTGTGATATATAATGTGCTAATCATTAGGTAAACTATTCAGTCTCTCTGGATTGCAATTTTCTTTTTTTTAATTTTTTTTTTTTCTTTTAGAGATAGGGTCTCTCTCTGTCACCCAGATTTGGGTACAGTGATGCAGCCGTAGCTCACTACAACTTCGAACTCCTGGGCTCAAGTGATCTTCCTGCCTCAGCCTCCCAAGTACCTGGGACTATAGGCACATGCCACCATTCCCAGCTAATTTTCTGTTTTTATTTTTTGTAGAGACAGGGTCTTGCTACATTGCCCAGGCTGATCTTGAACTCCTGGTCTCAAGTCATCTCCCACCTTGACTTCCCAAAGTGCTGGAATTAAAGGTGTGAGCCACTGCACCCAGCACAATTTTCTCATTTGTAAGGTCCCATTTTTCTCTGTAGTTTACTTATTCTATAACTAGTTGCGCAGTTTCCCAAGAGCAGGTACCATATTGTGTGCTCTCATTTTCCTTCCCATGATATCTAATGGCTGCATGAGTAATAGTGTAGAATACATGTTGATGCATATAGATAGGTTTGCTCAGATTAAAGGGCTAGATAGTAAATGTTTTAGACTTTGTGGGACACAAGGTTTCTGTTACAACTGCTTGACTCTGCTGTTACAACATGAAAACAGTCATATGTAAGCAAACCAGGCTGGCTGTGTTCTAATAAAACTTTTTTTACAAAAATAGGTAGGAGGCTAGATTTGGCCTTCAGGCCATATTTTGCCAACCATTGTCTTGTAGGAAAGTTACACTTTCCAAATAGATACAGGTGTAAACTCAGATTTCAGGAGCTCCATTCTTTTTTTTTTTGTTGTTTTTTTGAGACAGAGTCTCACTCTGTCACCCAGGCTGGAGTACAATGGTGCGGTCTCGGCTCACTACAACCTTCACCTCCCGGCTTCAAGCGGGAGGCCTCAGCCTCAAGAGTAGCTGGGATTACAGGCGCCTGCCACCACGCCTGGCTAATTATTGTATTTTTAGTAGAGACGGGGTTTCACCATGTTGGCCAGGCTGGTCTCGAATTGCTGACCTTGTGATCCTCCTGCCTCGGCCTCCCAAAGTGCTGGGATTACAGGTGTGAGCCACTGTGCCTGGCCAGGAGCTCCATTCTTAACAGAAAACAGAACTAGAAGTTAGGTAGGTCAGTGCTGAAGCTTAGGATGCAGGAAAACTTCTGTCTGATGTTTTATTAATTACATTTTGTCTCATGCTCTTTGTATATTCCCATATAACAGGATAGTAATGTTCTTTTTTGAGAGCCCAGCATTGCATTAAGCATTATATCATTTATACCTGATAACAATCATGCATAATAGGTTCTATTATTGTTAATTTACAAATGAGGAAACTAAAGCTTTGAGAGGTTAACTAACTTACCTAAGGTAAGGGATAGACCTGGTATTTGAACTTGACTATCTGATTCTTTGCTTACTTTATGGTTATTGTTGCAAAAGTGGGGATTCTGTGAGACTTGAATAGTAAAATCAGAATCATACTTCGTAGGTTTCTTATGCAGCATGATGGTACAGATTAGAACCATACAAGAGTGGACTAAAGTAATAGGAAGGAATGAACAAACCTCTGTTTACTTTGACTTCAGCTGTCATGCTGCAGTCACCTGCTCTTCTTGTGGAAGCCTGATGTAATTTCTGCCTTCCCTGGATGTAACATGCTTCCTCCCACTTGCTTTCATTCCTGTGTAACATCTTTGTAATCTGGATGACCAAGATTAGATACTTCATTCTTCACAAAACCTTCCTGCATCCTAGAACTCTCCCAATACTATTAGTATCCTCTTGTGGCAGTTACCTATTTTGATATTACAGTTGACCTTTGAACAACACTGGTTTGAACTGTGCAGGTCCATTTATCTTGGATTTTTTTTCAATAAATATATCCTAAAATTATTTGAAGATTTGTGACAATTTGAAAAAGCTTTCAGACAAACTCTATAGCCTCGAAGTACCAAAGAAAGAAAAAGGTATGTCATGAATACATAAAATATATAGAGATACTAGTCTGTTTCATCATTTGCTATTATAAAATTTACACAAATCTATTATAAAAGTTAACATTTATCAAAACTTACACAAACAGAGACCATACCTGGTGCCATTCAAAGCAGAGAGAAATGTACACAAACAGTAAAGACGCAGCATGAAATCATAACCACATTAAGATTCACTGTAGTACATACTGTACTACTGTATAGTTTCATAGCCACCTACTGTTGCTATTGCAGTGAGTTCAAGTGTTGCGAGTATCTGCTTAAAACACCATGTGATGCTGATCACCGCTGTGTGATCAGTTCTCTCTCCAGTAAATTGCATATGGCAGTAAAAAGTCATTGCTTATGGTTCTGGAATATTTTTCATCATGTTTAGTGCAAACCATAAACTTTGAATAACAGGACAGAATCCATACAAAGTGCTACTAGTAATGCTGGAGGTCCTCCCAAGAAGCAGAGAAAAGTCATGACATTACGAGAAAAAGTTGAATTACTTGATAATATATGGTAGATTGAGGTCTGCAGATGTAGTTTCCTGTCATTTCAAGATAAATGAATCCCATGTAAGGACCATTGTAAAAAAAAATAAAATGAAATTTATGAAGCATTTGCTGCAGCTACACCAGCAGGTGTGAAAATCTTGCACTTTTTTGTGAAACACCTTTCATTTCATATTGAAGATGCAGCTTTTATGTGGGTACAGGATTACTATAAGAAAGGCATTCCCATAGACTCGAATATGACTGTCTATGGGAAAAGTGAAGTTGTTATATGACAACTTAAAGCAAAAGGAAGGTGGAAGGATATAAAGCTGGAGAATGTATTGCCAACCAAGGATGGTTTGATAATTTTAGAAAGAGATTTGGCTTTAAAATGTGAAGACAAAATGTGAAGGGGAAGCTGTTTCTGCCAACTAAGAGGCAGCATTAAGACACCATTAAGAAAATCATTGAAGAGAAAGGATATCTGCTGAACAGGTTTTTAATGCAGACGCAAGTGCCTTATTCTGAGGGGGAAAAAAAAGCCACAAGGAACATTTCTTAGTAGGGAAAAGAAGCAAGCATGAGGAGTTAAGACAGGGAGGAATAGGCTAACTCTGTCTGTTGTTCTGTGCAAATGCAATCAGGTTTATGATCTGCACTTATCTGTGAAGCTGCTCATCTCCTAGCCTTGAAGGAAAATGATAAGCACCGGCTGCCAGTCTTCTGGTTGTACAACAAGAAGGCTTGGACAATGAGAACCCTTTTTCTGGATTGACTCCATTGATGCTTTGTCCCTAAAGTCTGGAAGTACTTTGCCAGTAAGGGGCTGTCTTCTAAAGTTCTTTTGATATGGACAGAGCCCCAGCCACCCAGAACACATGTGTTTAACATCGAAGGTGTCGAAGTGGCCTGCTTCTCCCCAAACCCAACAAGTCTAATTCAGTCTCTAGCTCAGAGTACTGTAAGGTCCTTTCAGGCTCATTATACACAGAGCTGTATGGAAACGATCGTTGACACTGTGGAAGAGAAAAAGTCTGGAAAGATTACACCACTGAAGATGCATTGTTGTCATATAAAAAGCTGTGAAAGCCATCAAGCCCAAAATTTGTGCTGGAGAAAACTTTGTCTGGATGTTGTGCATGACTTCACAGGATTTATGAAAGAGGCAACCAAGGAAATCATGAAAGAGATTGTGGATTTGACATAAAAGGTGGAGTGGGGGTTGAAGGGTTTTAAGGTACGGATCTTAGAGGAATCCAAGAGCGGATAGACACCACACCCGAGGAATTAACAGAGGATGACTTGATGTAGATAAATGCTTCTGAATTGGTGCCAGAGGATGAAGAAGAAGACATAGAAGAAGCAGTGCCAGAAAACAGGATCACATCAGACAATGCGGCAGAAGGATTCTGATTATTCAAGACTGCTATTGACTTATTTTACGACATGGACCCTTCTGTGATACTGGCAGTAAAACTAAAACAGTGGAAGAAGGATTGAAATCATATAGAAACATTTTTAGAGAAATGAAAAAGCAAAAAAGGCAGACAAAAATTACAAAGTATATTCATAAAGTTATACAGAGTGTGCCGCCTCTCCTGCCTCCCCTTCCACCTCCTCCACCTCTCCTGCCTCTGCAACCCCTGAGACAGCAAGACCAGCCCCTCCTCTTCCTCCTTCTCCTCAGTCTACTCAACCTGAAGAGGAGGAGGAAGACTGTTATGATGATCCACTTCCACTTGATGAATAGTAAATGTATTTTCTCTTATGATTTGCTTCATAACATTTTCTTTAGCTTTATTGCAAGACTGCAGTATTTAATATATATAATATATAAAACTTGTAATTGACTATGTTTTCAGCAAGGGTTTCAGTCAACAGTATGTTATTAGTATTTACTTTTTTGTAGCATCAAAAGTTATATATGGATTTCTGTCTGTGCAGGAGGCACCCCTAATCCTCATGTTATTCAGTCATCACCTGTGCTTTGAAATTGTCATTGTGTACTAGGCTCAATTTTTTTCTACTAGATTACATGCATCTTTAAAAAAATGACTTATTGAGGTATACTTGACATAATAAATTTCTGATATTTAAAGTATTCAATTTCATGAGTTTTGACATACGTATACACCTGTGAAACCATTACCACAGCCATGGTGTTGAACACTTCTTTCACCTCTGGAAGTTTCCTTATGGTCTTTGACATTTACCCTCCCTCTACCCCTTTCCCAGTGTAACCACATGATCTGCTTTCTGTCACTGTAGGCTCGTTTGCATGTCCTAAAATTTTATATTAATGGAATTATACATTATTATGCATTATTTTTGGTCTTGCTTTTTTAACTCAGCATAATTATTTTTAGGTTTATCCTTGTTATTTAATGTGTTATTGACTCTGTGTGTGTATGTGGAATAGAATTCCATTGTATGGACAAGCCCAGTTTTGTTAATTCATTTGCCTCTTAATGGAGATTTAAATTGTTTCCAGGTTTTGATTATAGTAAATAAAGCTGCTATTAACCTTTGTATGTAAGTCTTTGTATAGACATATGTTTTTATTTAACTTGACTTAATACGTAGGAGTGAGTTGTCTGAATCAGTGAATATATGTTTAACTTTTCCAGAAACTGCCAAACTGTTCCAAAGTGTGTGTATCATTTTATATTGCCACCACAGTGTGACAATTCTTGTTCCATATCCTGACTAGCACTTGCTATTATCTGTCTTTTCACTTTGGCCATGTAAATCGGTATATTGACGGCATCTCATTGTGTTTCTTTAACAATAATGATGTTGAACAATTTTTCCTATGCTTAGTGGACATTTTGACTGTGTTTTTTTACTTGGTGTGTTTTTTGTCTTATAATTGTGTTGTAAGTGTTCTTTATATGTTGGTAGATACAACTCCCTTGTTCAATATATGTATTGTGGGCCAGACACGGTGGCTTATGCCTATAATCCTAGTACTTTGGGAGGCCAAGGTGGGTGGATCACTTGAGCCCAGGAGTTCGAGACCAGCCTGGGCAACAGCAAAAACGTGTCTCTACAAAAAATATAAAAATTAGCTGGGTGGCCGGGTGCAGTGGCTCACGCCTGTAATCCTAGCACTTCGGGAGGCCGAGGCGGGCAGATCACGAGGTCAGGAGATCGAGACCAACCTGGCCAACATGATGAAACCCCGTCTCTAGTAAAAATACAAAAATTAGCTGGGTGTGGTGGCGTGTTCCTGTAATCCCAGCTACTTAGGAGACTGAGGCAGGAGAATCGCTTGAACCTAGGAGACAGAGGTTGCAGTGAGCCGAGGTTGCACCACTGCACTCTGACCTGGGCGATAGAGTGAGACCCTGTCTCAAAAAATATATAATAATAATAATAATAATAATAATAATAATAATGATGATAATAATAATATATTTTATGTGAATATCTTCTCTCAGGCTGTAGTTTGTTATTTTATTTTCTTAGTTGCCTCTTTTGAGGAGCAGACTTAAATTTTGATGAAGTACAGTTTGTCAATATTTTTATAGTTCATGGTTTCTATGTACTAAGAATCCGTTGCCTACCTTAAGGTAACAGATTTTTTCCTCCATATTTTCTACTGTAGTTATGAAAATAGGTTTGTGATTCATTTGGAGTTAATTTTTTGTCTATGTTGTTAGGTGTTAGCGTTGAGGTTAATTTTTTTTTTTTTTTTTTTTTTGAGATGTTGTCTAGCTCCGTCGCTGAGGTGGGAGTGCAGTGGTGTGATCTTGGCTCACTGCAACCTCCACCTCCCAGGTTCAAGCGATTCTCCTGCCTCAGCCTCCCAAGTAGCGGGGATTACAGGTGCCTGCCACCACGCCCAGCTAATTTTTGTATTTTTAGTAGAGATGGGGTTTCACTGTGTTGGCCAGGCTGGTCTCGAACTCCTTACCTCATGATCTGCCTGCCTCGGCCTCCCAAAGTGCTGGAATTACAAGTGTGAGCCACCGCGCCTGGACTTTTTTTTTTTTTTTTTTGGTCCAAATGGTTAGCTGTTTGTTCTAGTACCATTTATTGAAACGACATTTATTAGGTTGGTGTAAACATAATTGCGGTTTTTGCATTGCTGAAATTTGCTGTTTGATATTGGAATACATTCTTAAATAAATATGGTTATGTTATACATCATTTTAATGTACATTTCTCGCTTTGTTTTTTTGCTAATGACTTACTACTGGCTGTTTAATTTATATTTAGAGTATGGAAATGATGTTAGACAAAAAGCAAATCTGAGCAATTTTCTTATTTGAGTTTAAAATGGGATGTAAAGCAGCAGAGACAACTTGCAACATCAGCAGCGCGTTTGGCCCAGGAACTGCTAATGAACGTACCGTGCAGTGATGGTTCAAGAAGTTTTGCAAAGGAGATGAGAACCTTGAGGATGAGGAGCTTAGTGGCCGGCCTTCAGAAGTTGATAACAACCAATTGAGAGCAGTCATCGAAGCTGATCCTTTTAAAGCTACATGAGAAGTTGCTGAAGAACTCAGCGTCAACCATTCTACAGTCGTTTGGCATTTGAAGCAAATTGGAAGGATGAAAAAGCTCCATGAGTGGGTGCCTCATGAGCTGACTGAAAATAAAAAATATTATCATTTTGAAGTGTTGTCTTTTCCTGTTCTACAAGACAATGAACCATTTCTTGGATTGTGATGTGTGATGAAAAGTGGATTTTATATGACAACCAGCGATGATCAGCTCAATGGCTGGACCAAGAAGAAGCTCCAAAGCACTTCCCAAAGCCAAACTTGCACCAAAAAAAGGTCATGGTCACTGTTTAGTGGTCTGTTGCTGGTCTGATCCACTACAGGTTTCTGAATCCTGGTGAAACCATTACATCTGAGAAGTATGCTCAGCAAATCGATGGGATACACCAAAAACTGCAATGCTTGCAGCTGGCGTTGGTCAACGAGAAATGTCCAATTTTTCTCCATAACAACACCCAACTGCACGTCACATAACCAATGCTTAAAATTTGAATGAGTTGGGCTATGAAGTTTTGCCTCATCCGGCATATTCACCTGACCTCTCGCCAACCAACCACCACTTCAAGCATCTCAACAACTTTTTGCGGGGAAAACACTTCCACAACCAGCAGGATGCAAAAAATGCTCTCCAAGAGTTCGTCAAATCCCGAAGCATGGATTTTTATGCTACAGGAATAAACAAACTTATTTCTCATTGAGAAAAAGGAGCTGATGTAATGGTCCCTATTTTGATTAATAAAGATGTGTTTGAGCCTAGTTTTAATGATTTAAAATTCACGGCCCAAAACCACAATTACTTTTGCACCACCCTAATACAGCCCGTTGACTTGACTTGGCAATACCAAGCTTCTTAAATTTATATTTAGTGTTTTATTGATACCACAAGTTCAGATATTTTTTGTTGTTAATAGAATTCAAGGAAATAAGTAATCTTGAATGGTTTCTGCTAGGTCATAGAACAGTGATGATAAATTTCTCCAGATTATCAGAATTCAATTTTTCACTGATTCATTGTTCTTCAATTTGATATCATTTTACTTTTAGGTGTTACACATAATATTGCATTACTTCGAGAGGTGATAATCAACTCACGCTTTGTAAAAGGAGACATCAGCACTAAATTTCTCTCCGATGTGTATCCTGATGGCTTCAAAGGTTTGTATGCATTAAAATATTTTAGTGTTTTAAAGTTGTTATTTTTATACTTTATTGTAATACATAATTTCACTCTATTTTGAAATTAAGGCCTTTTGGCTTATATTATACTTCATTTTTAGAACATGCAAGACTGTTTACATTCATGATTTTGAGTATTTATGGATGACTCATGAGTGTGATAATCTGCAGTCTTGTGGAGTGCAGAATTCAACCATGTGAATTGTTCTATGAGTCCAGTGTTTTGGAGCAAAACATGTAGATAGATCATTAGCCTACCTGACTTCCTGGTTTCTGAAAATCAAATCAGATTTGTATTTTCTACTGAGGTGAGTATATAAGGAACTCTTCTAAAGTGATTTTTAAGAGATATATTAATGAAAATAGCACTGAAAATTTCAGAAAACCAGATTCTGGTCCTATTAATGAAAATCTAGGAAGATGATGATTTTATTCTGAAAAATGAAGTTTTCAATAAAGTAATGAGTGGAATGTGAAATTTAACACAGCAAAGTTATCAGCAAGCATTTCCAGGTAGTAGAAAAATTGCTCATCAAATGGGAGATAGAGAAAACCCTTTAGTGAGCATTCAAAACATAGTTAACATAAGATATTGAGAGATAAACAAGATTTAGACTGAGACTTAATAGAAATGTTACTCAGGTGAAAGCCTCTACCTACATTTTTAATGAGCTAGTGAGGTATGAAGGTTAGATAGTCTGTCCCATATTTCAAGTGTTCTTTGTATCCATTAAAGTGTTTTAATGTAAAATGACTCACATTCATATTAGGAGCTATATATAGATTCAGGTCAAGTTGATGTCGTTGAGTTGTTGGGTGCATTTATAAAGCAGTTTTCAGTTCAGAATTTACAATACAGAGTTTTCATAAGACTCAACAGAGATAACTGATTTGAATATTGTTTTAAAACTTTAGTGTTATAGAGTTTTATCATTAGTATTAAGGCAAATGAAGAATGGCTCTAAGTTGGGATCTTAAAACAAAAACTAATGATTTATTAGGTTGTTTTTCATAAACTTTTGAATTTTTAAAAATACAAAATAAAATACAACTAGGATAGTAGTTTTATACTTTTGTGACTATTCTTTTAATATTTGTTGGTTTAATGAGGCTAAGAACCCCTTACGTCATTGCTTTTCATTTTATCCCTAGCACAAAACATAGTAGGTACTAAGTATTTGTTGAATTAATGAAAAAAAAAAAATCTTAGCCATAATATTGATGAGAAAGGATTACTTTGGATTTTTTTTTTTTTTTTTTTTTTTGAGACAGAGTTTTGCTCTTTTGCCCAGGCTGGAGTGTAGTGGCACAGTCTTGGCTTACTGCAACTCTGCCTTCCGGTTTCAAGCGATTCTCCTGCCGCAGCGTCCCAAGTAGTTGGGATTACAGGCATGTGCCACTACCCCCAGCTAATTTTTATATTTTTAGTAGAAACGGGGTTTCACCATGTTGGCCAGGCTTGAACTCGAACTCTTGACCTCGTGATCTGCCCGCCTCGGCCTCCCAAAGCGCTGGGATTACAGGCGTGAGCTACCGTACCTGGCCGCTACTTTGGATATTTTTAATCATTTATACATGTATCCAGATAACCAGTTCATTCTATTTTGATCCTAACATTTAGTTTCTTGTCCTTCCTAAAATTTTAATTAAAAGTTGTAGTACGTTTTGAAGTGGACTTAGGACTTCCATGTTTTTATGTCTGCCTGGCAATTCAGTGATGGTGATAAGATAGGAAACAGTGGGCAGAAGGAGAAAACAGGGAAAAACTACAGAGAACCTTTAGAACAAACATTATATGCATGTATGGGTATTTATATATATATACACACACACAAATACACATTTATATATAAGTTTGTCTATATGTATGTATGGTGAAGTATCCCAGAGAAGAAGAAAATGGGGCATTTAAATTTTCTAATCAGAGTTGATTAGTATGTGCTGGACGTTTAGCAACAATAGAGAATATCCCAAATTCTGTAGAGAAGGGATCCCCTTCAAACTCAGAAATGTACTTAAACCTAGATATTGCAGTTTTCTGTGATGCATATAATATATTACATTTCTTTTTTTGTAAGGAATTAACAGCTTGGACACCACAATTTTGTTTTTTATGCTTAGACCAATTTTTAAAATTGGCATACATTGCTTTTAGCAATTATTTAGTTGCAGCCTTCATTTTACATGTGAGGAAACTAGAGCTCAGAGATATCAGTAAAGCTAAATGACCAGTAAGATAATAATGCCAGGAATTGAACCTAGGCTTATTCAACTCCTATTTGAGTAGTCTTTGAGTTATGCTGGGGTTCAAATTCATAAATCACAAATGTTTTCAATCAGGGTATGCTACATGTTGTTATATTGCCTCTAAATACTTTAGAAACACACTCCTATATTTGCCATTCTTAATGTCTCCCTCTTGTTTTATTTTCTTATTTTCATATCAGTTCATTCTTCTTTGAGTGGTTACTGTCTGTCATTCTTCTTCAGATTGCTGTATTTTCCCCCTAAATCAGGTCTTAGATATTTTAAACTGTATCGTCTTTTGACTGTTTGATATATGTGCCCAAGAGACTGAAGGAAGTGGTAACTACAGTTAATCCAGGATCCTCTCCATATGTTTGGGGCCAGGTCATTTTGCCCCTTTGGGGTTTCCCATCTGCTTCCCATCTGTTCAGCTATCCTAGGCACTATTCACAGGCAAGCACCTATTTTTATGACTGCATTAAAATTTTCTATTGTATATGTTTATTATCCCACATTTATTTGTATGTAGACTAAGCCAGTTTTACTAGAGATTCTTAGAGTTAAACTTTGAAATGATTGCTTCTAAAATTAAAAAATAGGATACATGAGAAATTATTCTTGTCATCTCTTTAGATGTGGATGTTGAAAAGCGGTTTCCCTTGATTCTGAAAAATAAATGGAACATGAGGAAGAAGATATTTTAAGAACTATAATTTCATTTGGCCTATAATGAACATTTTGGGCTTATTTCTCTGATACCTTCCTATACTTCAACCCCAAGCCCCATCGAAAGAAATTGTCAGAATTATCTCATTCTTTTAAGAAGTTACAGATCTTCTGGTAAAAATTTCACTCAACACAAAAAGTATATAATTAATTATACTTCTCTTTTTTCCACTGAATTTAGTCAAGTATATCTACACTTTAAAAAATACTACTATGATATTTGGACTGAATTCAATCATTAAAGTCATTCAACAAATAATTGATATAGGCTCTAGAAGAAAATCAAAGATGGGTATATTTTACCTGCTCTTAGTGAGCTGACATCATGAGAGAAATAATAATGTAAAGTACCCACTATACTACAGGACAGGATAAAGTAAGTGCCTGGTAAAGATGTAAGCAAAGTATCTTGACAGAAGAGAAACAAAACAAAACAACAACAACAACAAAACACCGGAAACCCAGTTCCATTTGAGGGAATAAAGAAAGGCTTTAAGGATGAGGTAGCATTTAGACTATTGGAATACCTCTCCGGGGACTCTCTCCATGGGAGCTGGGCTGCACTTGTGAGAGCCATGTGTGCACATCTTTATAAGCCATCCTCTTTGAAGTTGGTAGTTTGTAATCAGCCATGAAGAAAGTATTTACTGTAAAGAAATTGGTTGTACCCTGCGGCTTTTCTCCTTCCCCCACACCCCAGTTGTTTGTTAAGCATTTACCAGCAAACCACTGCCTAACTCTTTGGCCTGCATATTGAGCAGAGTCCCTGATGTAAAAAGGAAAAGAATTACTCATCTAGGGAGGAAGACCTAGAAGACTCACTAAGGACAGGTGGTGCTCAGTTTTAGAGCTGCTGTTGTAGGAGGCAGATGACTGTGCTTACTGAAAAATGGGAAGAACACTTAAAAATACTGAATTAGAGGAGAAAGACTTAATGAACTAAAAAACTGTGATTTTTCTAAATAAAACAATTCAGCAGTCAATGTGGAAGGTAGGATGGTCACTACTAAGATCCAAATTAGTGACTCAAAGGAATAAATGGAAGTATCTCAAAATATGCAGCAAAAAGGTAAAGAGAATGAAATCATGTGGAAAATGATGAGAGATATGGAGGGAAGATCCAAAAGATTTTACACATAAGTGCATACTAGGAGTTTCATGAAAAGAAAAATGGAAATGAAGGATAACTTTGAAAGAAATAATAGAGATTTTTTTCTCACTGTTCTTAAGAAAGCCTTAGGTATTCTTGGAAAGACTCACTGAGATTCAGACTGGATTAATTTAAAAAGTAACTCCACTAGGCATATAAAAAACAAATACTTTTTTAAATCTTCTAAAAGAAAAGAAAGAAGATGCAAGGAATGTACAGTGAGATTATGTTCATACTCTATAAACTGGAAGTTAGAAATCTTAGAATAGTGTCTGCTACATAGGAAAGAATTTGACTCAAGAGTACTATACCCAGCTAAGATATCGTCATCAATATAAACAAATTTGTTTTCAGTTAAATAAGGATTCAGAACTATTTTACCATATATACTCCTTTTGAGGAAATTGCTAAAGAAAGTACTTTAACCAGTTTTTAGGTAAGATGATAGCTTAAAAATATACATATTTTTCCCCCTACCCCCAAATCCACTAACTTGAGTTTTTTAAAGACACAAGCCCACTAGGAAGAAGAAAGGAAATAGCATTTGGTAAAATGAACAGCTGAAAGATGATTCTTAACTGACTTAGTAACCTAAGAAAGTTGAATCCTAAGCTGACAATGAGAGAAACTGAGAAGTAGCTCATTACCACTGCAGAACCCTTCAGAAGTCTCAATAATTATTAGCTCCAGATACCCTGGGAAATTCCTAAAGGTAGCACTACTGACCTAAAATATCTGTAAAATTTTCTCCATATCACTTCCCTCACTCTTCAGAGTAAGGCGACTCTCTTTCCCTCATCCTGGTGTAAGCTTTCAGATTCTTCTCTGCAGAGGATAAAAACCAGGGGACACCAGGCACAGTTGGACAAAGGATCGAGGGAACATGGACATAATAAATGTGGTGACACTCTCTGCCCCAGCTTTGTTCCTCAGTTGGTTCCCAGGGGACTGGCAGGCAGACTGGTACTCACAGACATGAAAGTAGACGATCCTTGAAAAATCTAACCCCCTGGTGAGATGACCTAAAGATTCCCCAACAAAACAGTCCAGCCAGATTACCCTACAGACAAAGCTGCCAGTGGTCAACAAAGCCATAGCCCACGAAGAGAGAACGGGCCTGGATTAGAATCAGGACCTCTATCTGCATTATTTAATACAACACTGTGGCCGGGCACGGTGGCTCATGCCTGTAATCCCAGCACTCTGGGAGGCCGAGTGGGGCGGATCGCCTGAAGTCAGGAGTTTGAGACCAGCCTGACTAATGTGGAGAAACCCCGTCTCTACTAAAAATACAAAATTAGCCGGGCATGGTGGCATGTGCATGTAATCCCAGCTATTCAGGAGGCTGAGGCAGGAGAATCACTTGAACCCAGGAGGTAAAGGTTGTGGTGAGCCGAGATGGTGCCACTGCCCTCCAGCCTGGGCAGCAAGAGCAAAACTCTGTCTCAAGAAACAAAAACAAACAAACACACACCCAAAAAACAGAAAACACTACATGTAATGGGAACCAGCGCGTAGCTGTTAAAAATAAATGGTAGACCTAAAACCACTCGGGAAATACACAGGTCAGGCTTCTTGAAAACTGCATCATGCCAATGAGGGTGGCCAGTAGCATGAGGGTCATAGTGGCATGTCACAAAGCTTGTAGGTGCTGTTACATGGTTTTGAACTCCAGTAATTAGTGGCTTAATGAACAAGGAGAGGAGATAATAAACATTGTTTAGGGGTTGGGACTTTTGCATGAAATTATCCCCCCAAAAGTTTAAGAAGGTAAGAGTTAGTTGTGAGGAGGAAGGTTTTTCTTCTTTCAGTCACAAATACTTATAGAGCCTGTTGGGTAAAAGATTGTGCTCTAGGCTCTGGGAATACAGAGGTAAAACTGTCAAAAAGCCTAAGGCTTTTAGAACCAAGAGTTGCAGCTTTTTCCAGCCATGTCTTCACTGAAGAGCCCACTGTGCCCAGCCTCGTTGACTTCGCAGTAGAGGCTCTAAGCTTGAATGTTGTGAACGTTCCAAGGCTGGGTTTAAGAAAGCCTTAGAACTCCATCTAGACCTGTAACAAGTACAAGTGACTTGCTCCTCTGAAGAGTGCTTGAGGCTGCATGTGTCCTGCATGTGAGGCTGGAGCTCTCAGTCCTTCTGCCTCCTCACCACCTGTATTCCACATGCACCCAGCAGCACCTCTCAGTCTTCTCTGTCGGGGTTGGGGGAGAGGGTAAACCAAGTGTCAGATTACAGCACTCTTGGTTTACGTTCACACTCGCTAAAAGGGGTAGGAAGAATTGGAGAGCTTTTAAAATACTTACCGCGCCCCCAAGTTTTAGGTGTGTAGGATTCATCAGTAAACAGAAAAAGGAGCTGCCCTCATGGGACTTACATTCCAGCAGGTTAGCAGGCAGCATGCATTCCCAGCTCCCCTCATGGCAGCCAGGCAGGGTTTACACATTAGAAGCTGCTCAGAAAAGGGAATGAGGTACATTCACCTTAGCTTACTAGCCCAGAATGCAGTGTCAGTGTGTCTGACTCAACACCAAGCTGGTCTACCACCCCCAGAGGGCAAACAGTGGAGACCGTTCAAAGGGAGCTCAAGGTCAGAGCCAGGGAAGACATGCCTTACTTAGTATCAGGCCGCAGGGGAACTTGCAGAAGTCAAGTCCACTCTGGCCTGTGATCAGGAGTAGCATTATGCTAAAATCGTTGTAAGAATAGGTCAGTTATGATCAGACTTCTTATACAGAGCCTGTTGGAACTGAGTACCCCCCTTTTGAAGTGGAATATCAGTAAAATGCTTGAAGTTGATGTGCATCATATCAGTTTGCCTGGGAGATGTGATGAATGATGGTCCATTTTATTTGGGAGACCTCTCTCAATATTGCCTGAGTCCATGCACTAATAGTTGGTTAGACCAGATGAAATACTGATTGAGCATCTTGCAGTGAATGGGTTCCCCTAATGCATTGCCTCCTCCCTTGCTGATGGTATATACGGTGCATATGTGTCTAAAGAACTGACTTGTAAAGGACTTTGATTGTGAACCACCATGAGAAATACATTTTACATCCTGACATAGTATGCACATATAAACACACACAACATTTTCATGTAAAATACTGTGTTTAAAGTGCTATGATAATTTGTCTTCCTGCACATGACACATTAAACTGGCTTCATGAACTACTAAACAGTTTCTTTACACAGTTTGATAAATATCAGTCCAGAACAGTTGTATTCAAAGTGAGATCTGCTGACTGGCAGCATCGGCATCACCCTGGAGCTTGTTAGAAATGCAGATTATTACCCCTTGCCCTCATACCTTCTACCAGTCAGTCTGCTGGTGAAGTGCACACAGCATCTTTAATCCAGGTGATTCTGATGTTTGGTGAAGTTTGAGAAGCACTGGTTCTTTTTACACTCCAGAGAGCTTTTGTGATTATATATATTGATATTTACCACATTATAAATTAAAACTGAGGAACTTGAAAATATTTATTCATTCATTCTGAAAGTAATGGTAATAAATCCATTACGTGTTGACATGCATGAGAGCAGTGATGTCATCACACAATATGTGTCCCTTGGATCTGGGAACCTCTGCAGTATACTCTTGAGAAAATGAGAGTTAAAAAAGCAAATATATTTTAGTAGTACTATGAAAATCATTTGACCTTGCAAGGACTCCTGGGGACTCCCAGTTGTTGGCAGGTCATGCTATGAGAACTGTTCTTCTCAACTGTATGTTT
This sequence comes from Homo sapiens, assembly GCF_000001405.40. Classification (NCBI taxonomy): domain Eukaryota; kingdom Metazoa; phylum Chordata; class Mammalia; order Primates; family Hominidae; genus Homo; species Homo sapiens. The sequence goes on from NC_000013.11 coordinate 100,338,555, forward strand.
TGACAAGACTGAGAGCAAATTTTTGTAATACTTCTTATATAGAGTAATTATGTAATCATATGGGATGTTTTCATCACTGCTTAGGTGTCAGGGGAAAATGAGGAACTTTCCAATGCCCATAAGAGTATGGTTTATTAGGCTGTTGTGAGGATCTAGTATGGAATTCCCAGAACCAGTTGGTAGATCCCATATTTGTATTATGTTTTATGTAATGTCTAGGTTTGTCTCAAAAGAGGGTGGATTACCTGTGCTCTCCCTGCCCTTCAGGGAGCAGATAGATTACTTCCCTGTGGAAAATTGTGCTGTAGATATTGGAAGTATTTGTATCTTAATTTTGAATATTTTTAGTCTTATTTGTATTTTGAGTGATTTTTTAGACATAATGTTTAAATTACTTCATTTCTTCCAAATAAGTTTAGGCAACTAGTTTTTTTCTTTTTTTGAATTGTACATTTGTTTCTTGGTATCTGTGGGTGATTGGTTCTAGGACCCTTTCAGGTACAAAAATCCACAGAAGCTCAATTCCCCAGTGTCGTATTTACATATAACTTAGACATATCCTCCCTGCACTTTAAATCATCTCTAGGTTACTTATAATGCGTAGTACAATGTAAATGCTGTGTAAATCATTGTTATACTGCATTGCTTTGAGGAAAATGACAAGAAAAAAAAGCCTGTACATGTTCAGTACAGACAACAATACATTTTTTTTCTCAAATATTTTCAACCTGCAGTTGTTTGAATCCATGGAGGGTCGACTGTAAAAGTAGCACCTTATGGCTGACGAGCCAGCATTCAAGTTGCTCATACTGTCCCATTTAATACTCTACTATCTATATGTAGTACTCTGGTAAATAAATAGTTTTAGATTTGTGGTGAAGTTACAGAGCTGTCAAAGGATGTGTTAACCTATAGACCCTGGAGTATTTGAATCCTACCTTGACTCACAACCTTCTTGAAGAATTACGCAAATTCTTCAATCAGTCACTCACCCCAGGCCTTTGCGGCCAGCCGACTATCCCAGGTCCAGCTGTGTAATGGTAGGAAGATACTGTGAGTGAGAGGAGGAGAGAGATTGGTTGGTTGATTGGGATTCATGCAGAGAAGCAGAAGAATCACGGCGTGATATTCTTTGGATCTTCGCACCAGAAAGCATGGCCTCATCTGTGTCCTTGACCAGCCGCTCTCCTTTTCTCCAGGGACAGGGGCTTCTTGCACGCTATCCTCACTTCCCTCAGCAGGGAAGCTGGGCTGGGAAAGGACAGAGAGAAGCAGATGTGAGGAGCTTATGCTTTTCCTGGAGATCTCTGTGTGGATGGTTTTTTCTTTTTAATTGTCTTTGTTCTGTGCATCTGTTGAATATCTTCTTTCCCAAATTAAACTTCTTTCCCAATATAAACTTCCCGTGAGCAGGATTTTGTTGTCTTATTTGAATGGTCTTGCTTCCTCAATGTCCGCACACCCCAGTGCCTAGTACAATCCTAGCTGCATAATAGATGCCCTATAAAATACTTGTTTGAATGACTAGTAATTCTATAGGAGAGAAGCACAGATGTTAAAATAAATGATTGATTGATTGATTGGTTGATTGATTTCCCTCAGGACACATGCTAACCAAGAGTGAGAAGAACCAGTTATTGGCAATAGCATCATCATTGTTTGTGGCATTCCAGTTAAGAGCACAACATTTTCAAGAAAATTCAAGGTATGGTAGATCATTTAAAACAGAATAAATGAGCAGAACAATATTGATAATCCAGTCTACATAGGAAATACTAATAAAAGATGTGGCTGATCTCAGTTCTAGAGATCTTATGGGTCTTTGGAGAAGTATAATAAAGTCACACTGTATAAATATGATATTGCTTACATTTTGTTTAAACAAGTTTTTTTAAGTTCAGAAAGGATAAAAGGATCTTGGCCCTTTTAATTTGGACATAAGAAGATAGTCTGAAATCCGATGGGAAATCCATTCGAGTAGTTTGTGTTTATGATTTCTGTTTTATTTACTTATCTTGAAAAACGTTTGGAGAAGTATATTTAAATGTAGGAATGAATCTGGGCAGTTAAAAAAATATATATCAGAAACTAGTGAACACACAAGAAGGAATTAACACCAGGTTGAGTTAGTCATTTGTGAGACACAAGTGTGCCTTTTAGCTTCCTAGTGACCCAGGTAAAAGGAGAACATGCTTTATATCAGGGTAAGTAGAAACAAAACCTCAATGCCATTGGTGCTTCTAGAGAGAGGATTGTTTATTATGAATGTGTGTTTACTTGCTGGAGCAATCCCTTTAAAGGAATCATGCTGTTGATAAATTGTTACTTCAGTTTCTTTTCCTTTTTACTTTTTCACAAGAGGAAGAACAAAGTTTAAAAAAAAGAAAAAAAAAGATGGAAGGTGATGAACTAGCTTTGAAAAGCACAAATCAGAAACTGAAATTACTTCTGAAGAATTAGGTAGAGGAGAAACTAAATTGGATTTAGGCTGTATCTTAGTGGCTAATGTGGTTTTATTCAGGAAATCTCAGTGTAGTTGGTACTCTTCACTTGTTCTCTTTACCTAGAAAGAATAGGAAGCTTACAGTGTATCTTTTTAAAAGTTATGATTTGGTAGCTACCAGGGAGAGATGAGAAGATATAGAATATCAGTAAATGACTGAATGACTGGACGGAGGAGGAAAATGGTCAATAGAACCGTGAATCTGCTTGTGCATCTGTTTAATATCTTCTTTCCCAAATTAAACTTCTTTCCCAATATAAACTTCCTGTGAGCAGGATTTTGTTGTCTTATTTGAATGGTCTTTGCTCCCCCGATGTCTGTACACCTCAGTGCTTGTTGTTTGGTTGTTTCCCCCCCACATAGTTGTGCGGTCTAGTATGGGAGGCACTAGCCATGTATGGCAATTAAGATTAAAGTGAATGGAAGAATCCTTTTCAAAGTTACCGGAAACGTGGCTACATTTCAACTGTTCCATAGCCACGCGTGGTTAGCAGCTCCTGCACTGGGCAACTCTAAGAGGCTTTCCACCACAGCAGGTGTGTTTCCATCAAGTTCTGTTGGACAGCATTTGTCTGGAGGGATATGTGTGTAGGAGAGAATGTTGCTTTTGTTTTAAAACCTGAATTTCATATTTTTTATTCTTTTGATAAATGCAGTATTCAGATCCTAATTCCTTTACCTTCAGATGTTATTTGGACCTTGATTATTTCAGAAGTTCTGAGTGTAGCTAAATATGACTGGTTTGATTTTTAAGAAATGTATGCAAGTTATTTTCAGAGAGTGCTGCCTTACTGTGTGGAAGAATCTGAAAAGGGCTTAAAAAGATGGAGAATAAAAATTACCTGTAATCCCATAATTATTCAATAATTACTTTTAATGTTTTGGTAGAACCCTTCAAAGTATATATATATATATATATATATATGTATTTATGTGTGTGTATATATATGTATTTTTATATACATACATGTAGCATTTATACTTTGCATAATTAGAGTCATAAACCTGGGAATATGGTTTGAATTACTTGTGCAAGATAAACAGCAGTATATTGAACACCCATGCACACATTATCTAGCTTCAATGACTGTAAAAAATCTATCTTCCTTGTTTCATTTTTACCTCTACCCACTCCACACTTTCCCCATTTGTTAATTTTTTAAGGTAAAATATACAAACACACATATACACTTCTTACCTGTACAGTTTTTGTTTTTGTTTTTTGAGACAGAGTCTTGCTCTGTCGCCCAGGCTGGAGTGCAGTGGTGCGATCTCGGCTCACTGCAGCCTTCATCTCCCGGGTTCAAGCGATTCTCCTGCCTCAGCCTCCTGAGTAGTTGGGACTACAGGCATACACTACCACATCTGGCTAATTTTTTTTTGTATTTTCAGTAGAGATGGGGTTTCACCATGTTGGCCAGGCTGGTCTTGAACTCCTGACCTCAGGTGATCCACCCACCTGGGCCTCCCAAAGTGCTGGGATTATAGGCATGAGCCACCGCGCCCAGCCTTACCTGTACAGTTTTAACAAAGGGATGCTTGTGTGTAACTCAGACGACTCTATCTTTACATCGTCTCTTCCAGTGCACTCCCTGCCTCCTTTTGCTTGTGGTGCTACCTGCGGTGTGATTTCTTCAGATTGCTTTTTTGGTAAACTTTTTTTTTTTCTTTTCTTTTTAGAGAGATGAAGTCTTGCTTTTGTCGCCCAGGCTGAAGTGTAGTGGCACAGTCATAACTCCCTGCAGCCTTGAATTCCTGGGCTACAGCGACCCTCCTGCCTCAGTGTCCCTGGTAGCCAGGATTACAGGAACATACCACCACGCCTGGCTAATTTCTGTATTGTTTGTAAAGATGGGGTTTCACCATGTTGTCCAGGCTAGTCTCGAACTCCTGGGCTCAAGTGATCCAGTCCACCAGCCTTGGCCTCCCAAAGTGCTGGAATTATAGACCTGAGCTGGGCGAAACCTTGTGTCTGCTAAGTACAAAAATTAGCGGGGGCGTGGTGGCGGGTGCCTGTAATCCCAGCTACTAGGGAGGCTGAGGCAGGAGAATTGCTTCAACCCAGGAGGCGGAGGTTGCAGTGAGCCAAGAATGCGCCACTGCACTCCAGCCTGGGTGAAAGAGTGTGACTCCGTCTCAAACAAACAAACAAATAAGCTAAACAATCTAATAAAAAACGGGCAGTAGGTTTGACTTAGACTTTTTATCAGAGAAGATAAATGAATGGCACATAAGTTCATGATAAGATGCTCAGCATCATCGGTCAGTGGAGAAACAAAATCACAAATCTATACCACTACACACCCACTAGAATAATATGCATCAAGTAATGAGTGGGTAAATAAAAAGTGGCATATCCATACTATGAGCTTATTCAGCAGTAACAAAGAATAAACAGCTACATTCACTAATGTGTGTAAATCTCAGAAATAACATGTGAAGAGACAGAAACCAGATAAAGAAGACTATGTAATGTATGACTTCATTTATTTGAAATTTCTAGGGAAGGCAAAAAGTATAAAGAACAAAAGAAAGATCAGTGGTTGTCTGGGTCTGGGTATGGGAGCAAGATTGACTGCACATGAGTTTTATTGTTCTAAAACTGGATTGGGGTGATGGGTGTACAACTGTATGAATGTATTACAATCTCACTTGATCTTAGCCAAAAGGCCGAGAAGTGATATAAATGTATTACAATCTCATCAGACTATACAATTAAGATGTATAGATGTTATTGGCCAGGTGCAGTGGCTCATGCCTGTAGTCCCACACTTTGGGAGGCCAAGGCGGACTGATCACATGAGGCCAGGAGTTCGCGACCAACCTGGCCAACATGGCGAAACCCTGTCTGTACTAAAAATACAAAAATTAGCCAGGCTTGGTGGCGCATGCCTGTAGTCCCATCTACTCAGGAGGCTGAGGCACGAGAATTGCTTGAGCCTGGGAGGCATAGGTTGCAGTGAGCCGAGATCACGCCACTGCACTCCAGCCCGGGTAACAGAGCGAGACCCTGTCTCAAAGTAATAAAAAGTAAAATGTATAGATGTTATACAAGTAAATTATATCTTAATGCAACTTAAAAAACTGTAAATGTGGTACCAACAAAGGGCTTGAAAGAGGTGGGAAGTATTATGAGAAGTGTTAAGATGATGGAAGATACATGTAAAAATAAATTGTATTCGAAACTTGAGTAGAAGCAGATATTAAGGAGTCAGGTTACTGACTTGGAAGACCTGGTGGATGGTGGTAATAACAAAAGTGCAAGAGCAGCTTTGAAAAGAAAATATGAGAAGTTCCATTTAGGCAGTTGAGTTTGAGATCCTTGACAGGCATAATTGTAGCTCCTAAAGACTTAGCAATATGATATATTCCTATCCCTTTGACTGTTTCTTCTTTAATAATAATATATATGCCCCTTTGAGCCCATTAGGAAATACTTGGGGCATGCTTTTGTACTCATTAGTTCCATGATTTTTTTGTAATAATCAAATGCACACAGTTTTAGACTTCAACGGTGTTCCTTAATGTGTGCTCCATAGAGCGCTAGTTTGGGGGAGTATTAAAATGCATTACTTAAGAAAATGTTTCTGTGTTTAAATAAACGTGGAAAATCCCTTGTTAAGTTAGAAACCTCTTAGAGACTGTCATACAGGCACACCTCATTTCATTGTCCTTTGCTTTATTGCACTTCTCAGATATTGCATTTTTTACGGATTGAAGGTTTATGGCAACCCTGCATTGAGCAAGTCTTTTTGTGCTGTTTTTCCAACAGCATGTGTTCACTGTCTCTGTGTCACATTTTGGTAATTCTCATTACATTTCAGACTTCATCATTATTATCATATCTGTTTTGGTGATCTGGGATTAGTGACCTTTGATGTTCCCATTGTAATTGTTTTGGGGTGCCACAAACCATGCACGTGTAAGGTGGTGAACTTAATTGACAAATGTGTGTGTTCTGATTCACTGACCTGGCCATTCCCAGTGTCTCTCACTCTCCTTGGGTCTCCCTATTCCCTGAGATAAAGTAATATTGAAGTTAGACTAATTAATAACAAAGCAGTGGCCTCTAAGTGTTCAAGTGAAAGGAATAAGTAGCACATCTTTCACTGTAAATCAAAGGGTAGAAATGATTAAGCTTAGTGGAGAAGGTATATTCAAAGCCGAGGCAGGCTAGGCCTCTTGTGCCAAATGGTTAGCCAAGTTGTGAATGCAAAGGAAAAGTTCTTGAAGGAAATTAAAAGTGCTATTCCAGTGAACACACAAATGATAAGAAAGTGAAACAGCCTTATTGCTGATATGGAGAAAGTTTTATAGGTCTGGATAGAAGATCAAACCAGCCACAACATTCACTTAAGTGAAAGCCTAATCTAGAGCAAGGCCCTAACTCTCTTCAATTCTGTGAAGGGTGAGAGAGGTGAGGAAGCTGCGGAAGAAAAGCTTAAAGCTATCAGAGCTTAGTTCATGAGATTTAAGGAAAGAAGCTGTCTCCATAACATAAAAGTGGAGGGGAAGCTGCAAGTGCTGATGTAGAAGCTTGCAGCAAGTTATCCAGAAGATCTCACTAGCATCATCGATGAAGGTGGCTACACTGAACAGCAGATTTTCAATGTAGATAAGACAGCCTTCTATTGAAAGAAGATGCCATCTCATACTTTCATAGCTAGAGGGGAAAAGTCAATACCTGGCTTCAGAGCTTCAAAGAACCAGCTGACTCTCTTGGTAGGGGCTAATGCAACTGATGACTTGAAGTAGAAGCCAGTGCTCATTTACCATTTCATAAACCCTAGGGTCTTTAAGAATTATACTAAATCTATTCTCCCTGTGCTCTAGAAATGGAACAACAAAGCCTGGATGACAAAATGTACATTTACAGCATCATTTACTGATTATTTTGACTCCACTGTTGAGACCTACTTCTCAAAAAAAAAAAAATTTTTTTTTCAAATGATTGCTGCTCATTGACAGTGCACCTGGTCACCCAAGAGCTCTGATGGAGAAGCACAAGGAGATTAATGTTGTTTTCACGCCTGCTAACACAACGTTCATTCTGTAGCTCATGGATCAGGGAGTCATTTTGATTTTCAAGTCTTATTATTTAAGAAATACATTTCACAAGGCGATAGCTGCCATAAATAGTGATTCCTATGATGGATCTGGACAAAGCAAATTGAAAACTTTCTGGGAAGGATTCACCATTCTAGATCCCCTTAAGAACATTTGTGCTTCAATGGGCAAAATAAAAGATCAACATTAACAGGAGTTTGGAAGAACTGGCTTTGAGGTGTTCAAGATGTCATTGAAGGAAATAGCTACAGTTGGGGTGGAAATAGCAAGAAAACTAGAAGTGGAACCTGAAGATGTGACTCAGTTGCTGCAATCTCGTGATAGAACTTGAATGGATGAGAGTTGCTTCTTATGGATGAGCAAAGAAATTTTGCTTAAAAAGCAAAGTTTTTAAGATGGACTCTGCTTCTGGTGAAGATGCTGTGAACATTGTTGAAAAGGATTTTAGAATATTACATTAACTTAGTTGATAAAGCAGCGGCAAGTTTTGAGAGGATTGACTCTAATTTTGAAAGAAGTTCTACTGTGGGAAAAATGGTATCAAACAGCATCACATGCTACAGGGAAACCTTTCATGAGAGGAAGAATCAATTGGTTTAGCAAACTTTATTGTTGTCTTATTTTAAGAAACTGCCGCAGCCTCCCCAGCCTTCAGCATCCATCAGCCTGATCAGTCAGCAGCTACCCTCTATCAGCAAAAAGATTATGACTCACTAAAGGCTCAGATGAGGGTTAGCATTTTTTTAGTAATAAAGTTTTTTTTTTTGGAGATGGAGTCTCGCTCTGTCGCCCAGGCTGGAGGGCAGTGGTGTGATCTTGGTTCACTGCAACCTCCGCCTCCTGTGTTCAAGCAGTTCTCCTGCCTCAGCCTCCCAAGTAGCTGGGACTACAGGCACATGCCACCACACCCCACTAATTTTTTTGTATTTTTTAGTAGAGACGGGGTTTCACCGTGTTAGCCAGGATGGTCACGATCTCCTGACCTTGTGATCCGCCTGCCTCGGCCATCCAAAGTGCTGGGTTTACAGGTGTTAGCCACCACGCCAGCCTAAACTACTTTTTAATTAAGGTTTGTACATTGTTTTTAAGAGCTATCGCACACTTAATAGACTACAACACAGTGTAAACGTAACTTTTATACACATTGGAAAAGTAACAAATTCATGTGACTTGCTTTATTGAAATACTTGCTTCATTGCAGTGGTCTGGAACTGATCTCACAGTATCTCCAAGGTATTCCTATATACTAAAATGCATTCTGAAACTCTTAAGAGCAGGATATAGTTGGACTCTTACCTACACTCTTTTTTTCTTGTGAAAACCTTTTTCCTAAAAGCTCTTTGAAAAATTAATATTCCAATGAATGCTTTTGGGAAACACAGAGTATGTTATATTGTGATTTGTAGTGTTTTAGATAGTTTAAACACAACATTCCTTAGAGATTGTTGAAATATTTAGGGCAATTGCTTTATAAAGTGGAGGTTAAGAAGCAATCTTTATAGTCTTTGCTAATTTCTAGCTAAAATTGTAAATGTGATAATTGCTACATTAAAAAATTTAAGTATCTTATTTTTTAACTCATTATCTTTTAGAAGTTAGAAACAAAATATGTATTTATGAAATATGTAGACTGCAAGTTCACTTATCCAGATAATTGCACATTTATTTTCTATACAACAAGCAATTGTTCATTTTTGGTGAGTTTATTTTCTGTTGAAAAAAAGGTACTATCACTTATTTAGTATTATCAGTTTATTGTAAAATTGCTACACCCTATAACAGTGTAGAGCTGTAACATTTAGTAAATATAGTGTTCTTCTTCAGGAAGCATAATCTTGTGTAGCTAAGTGAAGCTATGTTTCTGGCTTGCTTACTGAGGAGGTCCTTGACACCTACATCATGAAAGCTGATGTACGGTGTTTGAACCTTCACATTTTGGCTTTAGAGTCATGTTTTCACAATCGGCTTGGGAATGGATTCTAAGAGTCACCCTCCAGGTGTGGCTCTGTATTGCTTTGTCATGGGTGTGTCCGTGAAATGTTTTTCCTTCCAAACCAGTAGCCCACAGCCCTTCCTTTGTGTTGCTTGTTTTGGCTGCTGATCTTATTTTCCCAATTTCTCTATGGGCTTCACTCTTTCATCATTTATGACTTGGAAAAACACATTAATAATACATACCCCTAGTATTTGGATAGTAAAACAATAGTGGTTCATTTTAGAAAAAAAGAAAAGTTAATGTCAGAAACAATAGCCATTTTTTGGGGGATGACTATAAAATGAATTTGATGAGCTCAATCTTTTTCTGACTTACCATGAAGGCTTCTTTTTAATAATTATTCTTAAACACTTATATTGACAGAAATGAATCATTAAAAGCTAGTTATATTAAACAACCACTTTTTTTAAAAGCTAAAATGATTTTGTTGACATTGTAGTTTGATATAATAATTTGTTTCACTAACTGGTAATGATTGGAAGAAAAAATAGTAAAGGTAACATTTTAATCATTTTTAGTAATCTTTATTTTTGCTCAAAATGTCTGTTTTTTCTTGGATCTGGATTCAGCTTTCTTGAGAATCAGCTTTTACTTTCCGTTTTTTTTCCTTTCTTTCTTTCTTTCTTTCTTTCTTTCTTTCTTTCTTTCTTTCTTTCTTTCTTTCTTTCTTCCTTCCTTCCTTCCTTCCTTCCTTCCTTTCTTTCTTTTCTCTCTCTTTTTCTCTTTCTCTCTTCCTCCCTTCCTCCCTTTCCTTTCTTTCTTTTCTTTCTTTCCTTCCTTCCTTCCTTCCTTTCTTTTCTTTTCTTTTCTTTTCTTTCTTTTCTTTCTTTTCTTTCTTTCTTTCCTCAGTCTTGCTCTCTCATCCGGGCTGGAGTACAGTGGTGTGATCTTGGCTCACTACAGCCTCTGCCCGCTGGGCTCAAGCAGTTCTCCTGCCTCAGCCTCCCAAGTAGCTGGGATTACAGGCATGCACCGCCAGGCCCGGCTAATTTTTGTATTTTTTGTTTGTTTGTTTGTTTTGAGACGGAGTTTTGCTCTTGTTGCCCAGGCTGGAGTGCGATGGCGCAATCTCAGCTCACCGCAACCTCCACCTCCCAGGTTCAAGCAGTTCTCCTGCCTCAGCCTCCCAAGTAGCTGGGATTACAGGCGTGCACCACCATGCCTGGCTAATTTTTTTTGTAGTTTTAGCAGAGACTGGGTTTCTCCATGTTGGTCAGGCTGGTCTCGAACTCCTGACCTCAGATAATCCACCCACCTCGGCCTCCCAAAGTGCTGGGATTACAGGCGTGAGCCACCGTGCCTGGCCTAATTTTTGTATTTTTCGTAGAGACTGGGTTTTGCCCTGCTGGCCAGGCTGGTCTCAAAATCCCAACCTCAGGTCATCCACCTGCTTTGGCCTCCCAAAGTGCTGGGATTACAGGCATGAGCCACCACGCCCGGCCACTTTCTGGTTTCTACTTTATCCTCATAATTTCCCTCTTGGTATTTGAGCAGGGGTTAAAGACTCAGAAAAAGAAACAACTTCACTATGGCCTATAATATTAATGGAAATACTTCAGCCTGAAAGGTTAAAATAAAGCACTCCCTTTGGTGGAGGATGACTTTGGCTGCATGGAATCAGTGTACTTTGTGCTCAGGCTTAGGAGAACATATCAAGTATCACGGCTGGCTACACAGCCTGGTGTCAGTTTAACTCTTTCAGCCACAGTAGCATAACGGGAAATTACTTCCTCTTGGGTTCTTTGTATGTGCAGTCATTGTGTCTGCATTTGTATTGTATTATCTTTCCTCATCTGGCTTCCTGATAAAATGGAGAATCGATTTTTTAGTGATTTCTGCCTAGCAGAGACAATTATCTGTTTATTTTTCTTTGCCTTTCCTGGTTTCAGATATAGAATTTATTCACCTGTTATTAAATTTTCAATTAGATGATAAAAGTTTAAGGTTTTTGAAATATGATCTTAACCACTGAAAGATGAGTGGGGTGAGAAACATAGAAAAAAGTAACCGTGTGAAAATAATTCCCAAGGAAAAGCCGGTATTGTTGAACGGGTACATACTGGCTCTTTTACTAAGATGTCTTCTGAATTAAAAGAGCATGTGAAATTATAACACATTTATACGTCAATGAAAATAAAACAACTTATCATAACTCGTTTCATACTCTCAGATAAGCCACTTCACTGTGACAATGAAGGTGACGTGATACCTAACTATACAATAAAAAAAAATAGCACTTTAAGTATATATTTACAAACGTATGTATACACTCTTTGTGTTTGGAAATAGCTACGTTCATTTGAGCAAATAAATCCCCTAAAAGCAACAAGATGGGAGAAAACATTAACTCAATCATTATCACTTAAGCTTGCCTTACTTTTTACTGTCTCTGTTATGATATTTTCAGTTACTTAATATGACTGTGTTGAAGATGGTTTAGAAATCTATGTGAGATTAAGTACAAGATACTAAGTGGATAAGAAAGCACATTTACATATTTTTGCTTACTATTACATTGTAAAATATTTTTATTTTGATCCTACTATAAGAGCTGAGGGAAAGGCAGAATAGCCTGATTATTGCTGGAGAATTTCTCTGTTCCCTACCATGATTCCAGAAGCTCTTGCACACTTCATCAGTATTATTGTAATTCTTTGGCTGCAGGATATTTGGCAGCTGTTGCACCCCACTGGCAAATCCTATTCATACTTCTTTCCCATTCACCATTGCCATTGGAGAATTGATTTCTCTCTCCTCTACTCTAACCTTTCCCAATTCATTTTGGATTGTTCAATGTGAAACATTTTAATTTCATATCATACAGCTATTCAGCTTACAATCCCTTTTTTAACCTGTCACCAGGGTAACAGCATAGCATGCTTTCTTTAGGCAATCAAGTTTTTATTTCACATGCTTAATGTTGCATTAAATGTTTGCATTTTGTTTAACCCCCTTAAATAGTTTGAACTCTGGATATGTTTTATAGGGTAATGAAATCCTTGATTTTTGAATTGAAACTAAATCAACACCATCAGTGCATTTATAATAAAATGTCAAAAGATTAATTTCCATAATACAAAGATTATTATTAAAAACGCAAGTTAGCTGATCTGTGTAAGGCAATTTTCTGTAGGTAATGGAGGAATATTTGTATATATTATATTTGTGTTCAGCCTTGTTCCAAAAAAAGATTTAAAAGTGGTTTAGAGATTGTCAGTGAGATAAGTAAAAAACTTAAAAAAGGAATAGATTTGGTGCAAATGGGAAAATATATCTTTTGAACCCATTATTTGATTTTTCAGTATAATGCTTTTTTCTCTGTTCGTATATATGAAGATTTGATTACTTGATTTTTCAGTATAATGCTTTTTTCTCTGTTTGTATATATGAAGATGTGATTACTTGATTTTTCAGTATAATGCTTTTTTCTATATTTGTATATATGAAGACCATAATGATTTATGCATGTGGAGATGGGTGAAGTAACGAGATGTACTAGAATGAGATTAGACATCTTTTCTAGGAGACCAGTGTGGGCATTGTGTGCTTTAATATCTCTTCATCAGTTTACTTTAGAACTACCTTTTCCTTAAAATAAGTAATTTAATAATAATAGATTAGTGAAGATAAAAATGCATATGTTTAGATATTGATTATTTGACTTGAATTGGATAGACCTCAGTTTCCCTTTACAGAACTACCTAGTCATCTTTTCAGCCTTATCCCCAATAATATGTTCAATGAAATTTGTTCTGTGAATAAATCCTGTGATATTTGGAAAATACTAAGAAATGTGTAAGACAAGGTAGAGCAGAGACTAGCAAACCATGTTGCTTGGAAGCATGGTTCAAATTGTAATGCCCGGGGTAACCACTAAGAAAATAACTTTAAAAAATAGTATTAGTAAAAGAAAAGTCAAGGGAATTAAAATAAGACAATAGAAAACGTTGATTTAAAACAAGACAATAATAAAGGAATAGAGGGAGAAAAAAGATATGACATATAGAAAGTAAAAAGCAAAATGGTAGATGTAAATCCTACCTGATGGGTAATTAATTATATTAAATGCAGATGGCTTAAGCCTATCAAGAGCAGATACTGACAGAATAGATTTAAAAATATGATCAAACCATATGCTTTACAAGAGACACACTTTAGAGTTAAAGGCATAAATAGGTCAATTGTAAAAGGATGGAAAAAAGTATCAGACAGACATTGTATTCGTAATATTATTATCAGTATTTTATTACTAATAATGCTGATGTCAAACAAAATAGCCTTTTTTTTTTTTTTTTGAGATAGGGTCTTGCTCTATCACCCAGTCTGGAGTGCAGTGGCATCACAGGTCACTGCAAGTTTGAACTCCTGGGCTCAGGTGATTCTCCTGCCTCAGCCTCCTGAGTAGCTGGTACTAGAGTGCATGCCCTAACATTTGGCTATATATATATTTTTAAATAGAGATGAGGTCTTGCTATGTTACCCAGGCAAGTCTCGAACTCCTGGGCTCAAGTGATCCTCCCACCTCAGCCTCCTGAAGTGCTGGGATTATAGGCATGAGTCAACACACCCAGCCTTTTTTTGTATTTTTTTTTTCTTCCAGAGACAGGGTCTTGCTCTGTCACCCAGGCTAGAATACAGTGGTGTGATTATAGCTCATTGCTGCCTCTAATTCCTGAGCTCATGTGATCCTTCTGCCTTAGCCTCCCAAGGAACTAGGACTACAGATGTACTCCACCATGCCCAGCTAATTTTTAAAAATCTCTTTAGAGGTAGGTTTTTCCTATATTGCCCAGGCTGGTCTTGAACTCCTGACCTCAAATGCCTGGACTCAAGTAATCCTTACGCCTCAGCCTTCCAAGTAGCTGGGATTACAGGCATGAGCTGCCAAGACAAAATATTGTTCAAGACAAAATTATTGCTAGAGACAGAGGGGTATTTTATAATGATAAAAGGGTCAATCCATCAGAAAGCTATAACAAGTATAAACATATATGTACCTAATAACACAATTCCCAAATATGTGAAGCAAAACTGAGACAAAGAGAGAAATAGGCAATTCCACAATACATCACTTTGAAAAATGGATAGAACAACTAGAGAGAATATCAGCAAGGAAGTAAAAGTGTCGGACAGCCCTATAGACCAAATAGATCTAACAGACATCTCTAGAATAATCTCTCCAACAACAGCAGAATATACCTGTCTCAAGTGCACGTATAACATTCTCCAGGCTAGACCATATTTACCATACCATATACTAGGCCATAAAACAAGCCTCAGTAAATTTACTAGAATTGAAATCATCCAAAGTATGTTTCTGACAAATTAAATGAAATTAGAAAGCAACAAGGAAAATTTGGGAAGTTCATACATATGTGGAATTAAGCAATGTACTACCAAATAACCAATAGATTTACAAAATTACAGAGGAAACTAGAAAATATTTTGTGGTTAATATAAACATCACAACATCTAAAAACGTGTGGGCTGCACATAAGCAGTGCTTAGAGGGAAATGAGAGCTGTAAGCACATGTATTAAAAAAAGAAGAGGCCAGGCAAAGTGGCTTACATTTGTAATCCTAGCACTTTGGGAGGCTGAGACGAGCAGATTGTTTGAGCCCACTAGTTCGAGACCAGCCTGGGCAACATGGTGAAACCCTATCTCTATAAAAAATACAAGAATATGCTGCGCATGGTGGCACGTGCCTATAGTCCTTGCTACTTGGGAGGCTGAGGTTGGGGAATTGTTTGAGCCCGGGAGGCGGAAGTTGCAGTGAGCCAAGATCGTACTACTGTACTCCTGCCTGGGTGGCAAAGTGAGACCCTATCTCAAAATAAAAGAAGAAATAAAGCTGGGTGTGGGTTTGGTGGCTAACGCCTGTAATCCCAATTCTTTGGGAGATTGAGACTGGAGGATCACTTCAGCCTAGAAGTTTGAGACCCCATCTCTACAAATAATAATAATAATAATAATAATAATAATAATAATAATAATAATAAAATAATTCGCTGGGTGTGGTGGCACACACTTGTAATCCCAGCTACTAAGAAGGCTGAGGTGGGAGGATCGGTTGAGCCCAGGAAGTCAGGGCTGTAGCAGTGAGCCAAGATCATGCCACTGCACTCCAGCCTGGCTGACAGAGTGAGACCCTGTTGAAAGAAAGAAGGAGAGAGAGAGAGAGAGAAAGAAAGGGAGAAAGAAAGAAAGAGAGGGGGCGGTGGGAGGAGGGAGGGAGGGAGGGAGGGAAGGAAGGCAGTCAGGCAGGCAGGGAAGGGAGGGAGGGAGGGAGAGAAGGAAAGGAAGGATCAATTACCTTATCTTCCACTTCAGGAAACATGGAAAAATAGAGCAAACAAAAGCAGAGGGAATAAAATACTGAAAACTAGAGTACAAATAAATGAAATAGATACTAGAAAGCAATAGAGGAAATCAATAAAAGCAAAATGTGTTTGTTGGAAAGATCACAGAAATGACAAACCTGTAGATAGGCTGACCAAAAGAAAAAAAACTGAAATTGTAAAATCATGAATAATAGGGGGTATGCCTACTGACCTTACAGAAATTAAAATGGTCATAAGGGAATATTGTGAACAATTGTTTACCAATAAACAAGATAACTTAGATAAAATGGAGAAATTCATAGAAAGATACAGACTGCCAACACTTTCTCAAGAGAAAGTAGGAAATCCGAATAGACTTATCATAAGTAAAGAGATGGAACTAATCGTTGCAAAACTTCTTAGAAAGAACTCAGGACCAGATGACTTCATTGGTTAAAAAAGTTAAAGGAAAATTACTTAATACTAATCCTCACAAACTCTTCCAAAATCCCAATTTACAAGACCAATATCATCATGATTCCAAAACCAGATAAAGTCATTGCAAGACAAAAACTAAAGGCTGATATCCTTCTTAAGTATTAATGCAAAAATTCCCAACCAAATAGTGGCAAACTGAATCCAAGAATATATACAGTGATATACATCATAACCAAATGAGGTTTCTCCTAGAGATACAAAGTTGGTTTAACATACAAAAGTCAATCGATGTGATACATCATATTAATAGAATAAGAGAAAAAAACCACAGGATTATCTCAAATGCAAAAAAAAAATCTGACAAAATCCAACAGCTTTTCATTATGAAAAACACTCAGCCTACTCGGAATAGAAGGCAACTTCCTCAGACTGATGAGGAGCATGTGTAATAAACCCACACCTGAAAATAAGGGCATCTAGATTGGAGAGAAGTCAACTTACCTCTTTTTGCAGATGACATGATTTTAGATGTAGAAAATCTTGAGGAATTGACAAACAAATCTGTTAGAACTAATGAGTCCTGGAAGGATACAGGATACAAGAATGATATGCAAATATCAATTTTTGTTTTTATACAGTGGCATTGTACAAGCCAAAAATGAAATTAACAAAACAACTCTATATAGCACCAAAAAATATACAATACTTAAATGTAAATTTTAAACAAGAAATGCAATACTTGAACACTGAAAACTATAAAATGTTGTTGAAATAAAGATGACCTAAATGAAAAACACCCTATGTTTTGAATCAGAAGACCTAATATTGATCACCAAACTGATCTACAGATTCAGCACAATCCTTACTAGAATCCCAGCTGCATTATTTTTGGAAAAATAGACATCTGATTCCAAAATTCATATGAAAATGCTTTTGCATTGTAAAAGAGGAATGAAGTTCAGAGGCTCCTACTTCCCGATTTCAAAACACTACAAAGCTACAATAATCAAGACAAAGTGGTACTGGCGTAAGCATAGACATGTTGATCAATGGAATAGAATCGAGACTCCAGAAATAAATTGTTATATTTACAGTCAATTGAGTTCAGTAAGGATAGGAAGAAAATTGAATGAGTTAAGATTAATCTTTTCAGTAAATTCTGCTTGGGCAATTGGATATGCACATGTAAAAGAATGAAGTTGGTCTCCTTCCTCACACCATACATAAAAATGAACTTTAAGAATCATAGACCTAAATGTAACAGTGCATACAACAAAATTCTTAGAGAAAAACATAGGAGTTAATCTTTGTTACGTTTGGTTAGGTAATAATTTCTTACATAAGATGTCAAAAGTACACGCAGCAAAAGAAAAATTAGATAAATTGGACTTCAGAATTTAAAACTTGTGCTTTAAAGGACATGATGAAGAAAGTGAAAAGACATCCCTCAAAATGGGAGACAATATTTGCAAATCATATATATTTAATAGTCTTTTGTCTAGTATAGGGAATTCTTACAACTTAATAATAGGACAAATGATCCAGTTAAAAGATAGGCAAAGGACATGAATAAAAATTTTTCAAAAAAGATATAGAAATGGCCAATAAGCCCATAAAAGATGCTCTGTATCATTAGTTGATAGGAAAATGTAAGTCATAACCACAATGAGATACCACTTCACACCCATGAAGTGGTGAAGATGTGGAAACATGGGAACCATTACATGTTCCTGGTGGGAATTTATGACTACAGTGATATGAACTTGGGAATAATTTGACAGATTCTTAAAATATTAGACGATTACCACATGACCTAGCTATTCCACTTCCTGGTATATACCCAAGGGAAATGAAACCATGTGTGCACAGAAATGTTGTATACAAATGTTTATAGTGGCATTTTTCATAATAGCCAGTGGAAACAACCCTAATGTCCTTCAAATGATGAATGAGTATATAATAGTAAATAAAATGTGATACGTTCATAGAATGGATTATTTTTCAGCAATAAAAATAAATGAGCTATTGATATTTTCTGCAACATGGATGAATTTTGCAAAAATGCTAGATGAAATAATTCAGTCAAAGTAGATCACAAATTTTCCCAGAATAAGCAAAGCTATAGAAATCGAAAGTACATAACAGTTGCTTAGGGCTGAGGAGGGGAATGTAGAGTAACTGCTCTCGTATCTAATGTTTCCCTTATGAGGCAATGAAAACGTTTTAAAGTTGCTTGTGGGGATGGTTGCATAACTCTGTGACTATACTAAAAACCATTAACTTGTACACTTCAGATGGGTTAAATGTATGATATGTGAATTTCATCTCAAACTGTTTAAATGTATATAGTCTGTTACACATTTTATATTTAAGAATTTGTTTTCCTAATGGTATAATAGATGTTCAAATTTTAGGAATTAAATGAGGCATTTCTTCCTTCTAGTTTGATGGAGTCTTTGAGAATATTTCTTTTCAAATTGTAAAATATGTTTCTATGTCTGCTCTCAATTTAGTGCAAGAGTAGCTCTTGGGGGTAGCAATATCAAGTGTTCCTGGGCTACCACCTGGAAGGTGGAAGTAGTAGATGTATGTGAACCCGCGTTCTTCCATCTTTTCTTTCCTCTTCTGCCTTGAAATGCAAGTGACATAAAATTAAAACAACACGGAAAAGTTTCAGTTCCTACAATGGCAGTGTAGTGTATTTTCAATGAATTCCTTTCCAGATAAATAATTATAAACTCTGGACAAAATATAAAGCACAACTATTTGAAGGCTGTCGATGTACAACCAAATACGACCCCTAAAAGAAGAAAACTACACCAGTGAGATGCACATTTATGTGGCTTTTCCTCTGAAAGCAGTCACTATTGCATGCATTAAGGCATGGCTGTAACTCAGTTATTGGTTTTAGGTCTCAGAGAATGATGTTCAGTGTTGTCAGAACTGCTGGAAATTAAGCAGGGATATCATGGCAGAAAGGGAGCAACAGAGTGAAGAGTTCCATATGTGAATTCAGGTTCTCTCAAATTGTTGGTTGACCCTGGAAATGTGCGTAACAAAGACCCCAGGGATCCCAGAAGATCCCAGAACTGCTGGAATGCTGAATGAACTGAGCTAAAATTTCAGTTGCCTACCATGGTTATGATAATGTTGGAATCTGAATCTCATCAATTTGAGGTACTTGTAAACACCTTGAGCTTTCCATTAAAACCCTGGAAGGACCATGCCTTGGGAGAAAAGACTGTTTCTGGAATAAATGGTTTGGACTTTTTATTTATTGAGAGCAAAACCAAATAGTTCCTAGTACAACATAAAAGTGAGCCTCCACAACTTCAGGACTGGTAACTAGCAATGTAACTGCCTGCTGTAATAAAAATCAGTACTTTTCAGAGGGAGATAACATGATGAGTGAAGTCTGACAACATCTCCACAATACAGTTTACTTGGCATGCAATCTAAGAATAAAGACAACTATAATCCAGAGGAAAAGCAGTCAACAGAAATCAACCGTGAGATTACTAAAATGTTTGTTTCATGGGCAAGAGCTTTAAAGTAGCTATTAAAATCATTTTCAAGTATTAAAGATGAAAATGAGGGAAAAATGGGAACTATCAGCATAGAAATGGAAATTAAAACACACTACTAAGTGGAAATTCCATATCTAAAATGTCCTATATCTGCAATGGATAATTTGCTGGATAGGCTGAAAAGCATACTGGTGATGGCAGAAGAAGGAATAGGTAACCTTGAAGATAGAAGAATAGAGATTATGCAATCTGAAAAAAGAGAAAGAAAAATGTGTTTAAAAAATTGAAGAGACACAAAAGGACAAAGGAAACTTTTGGAGGTAAAACATGTTTATTACCTTGATTGTGGTGATAATGTAATGACCGTATGCATATGTCCAAACTAATCAACTTGTGTGCATTAAACATGCTGTTTTTTAAAATGTCAAATACACCTCACTAAAGGTGTTTAGCCGAGGTGGGCAGATCACCTGAGGTCAGGAGTTTGAGACCAGCCTGGCCAACATGGTGAAACCCTGTCTCTACTAAAAATACAAAAAATTAGCCAGGTGTGGTGGTGCACGCCTGTAATCCCAGCTACTAGGGAGGCTGAGGCAGGAGAATCACTTGAACCTGGGAGCTGGAGGAGCTTGCAGTGAGCTGAGATCGTGCCACTGCACTCCAGCCTGGGCAACAGAGCAAGACTCCTCAAAAAAAAAAAAAAAGAAAAAGAAAAGAAAAAAGCTGTTTAAAAAAAAATGGAAGACAGCCTCGGTGACTTGTGGGCACTATAAGTTATCAGGAAGCATGTATTAGGAAGGACAAAAAGAAAGGCAAGAGAGTGAAGAAACTTCAGAAAAAATATTTAATGTTGTCTTCTTAAGATTGGGAACAAGACAAAGTTGTCTGTTTTTATCGTGTTTATACAGTATTATCCTGGAGATCCTAGCCAGTGCAGTTGGAAAGAAAAGAATAAAAGGCATAGAAATCAGAAAGGAAGAAGTAAAGTCATTTCTATTTACAGAGGTCATAATTGTTTGCATAGAAAGCCTTATAAGAATCTATAAAACAATTGCTGGAACTAACAAATTTAGCAAGATTACAGGATAAAAAGGCAATCAAATGCAAGTTGTATTTGAATAAACTAGCAACAATGGGAAAGTGAAAATTAAAGTTCCACTTAACATAGCATAAAAATAGGCAAAGCAGACACCGTCACTAGTTAGAGTATGAAGGCATGCAAGAAATAACGGAGCCTAATGATTGCAAAGGAAGCTTTCCACACCTTAATTGGTTACCTAAGAAAACTCTAAGGAGTCTGCCATACAATGAATAAAACTAAGGCAAAAATAGGCATAAAGTTAACAAAAGAGATTCATGACTACCACACTTTATGAAATAAATTAAAAATCAGAAGAAGTAAGAGTTATATCCTGCTCATGGACTGGAAGAGAAAATATTAAGATGTCACTTCTCTCTACAGTAATACAGATTCAATGCAGGCCCGATAGTAATTCTATTGGGATTGTATCTCAGGGAGGATGTGGAAGAAATTGGCACATTGATTTTGAAATTTCTATGGAAATGCAAAGGGACTTGTATTAGTCCATTTTCACCCTGCTGATAAAGACATACCTGAGACTGGACAGTTTACAAAAGAAAGAGGTTTAATTGAACTTACAGTTCCACATGGCTGAGGAGGCCTCAGAATCATGGACGAGGAGGGGCAAGTCACATCTTAAGTGGATGGCAGCAGGCAAAAAGAGTTTTGTGCAGGGAAACCCCCCCCTTTTTTTTTTCTTTAACCATCAGATCTCGTGAGACTCCTTCACTATCATGAGAACAGCATAGGAAAGACCTGCCCCCATATTCAGTCACCTCTTACTGCATCCCTCCCATAACACGTGGGAATTCAAGATGAGATTTAGGTGGGGACACAGCCAAACCATATCAGACCTAGAATAGCTAATAGGAACAAAGTTGCAGTACTTGGTCTACAAATTTTCCTGAAATGGGCTCACCCCTGTCTCCTACCACACAGGAAAGTTAGAGATGCATCATAGACAGATCTACATGTAAAACATCTAAAACATGTGAGTATATCTTCTGAAACTTTGTATGTAGGCAAAAAACTTCTTAGCAAGGACACAAAGCACTAAACATAAAAGGAAAAATTAGTGAGTTAGATTTTGTTAATATTAAAAACTTCCATTAAAACTGTAAAAAGATACCACTACATACCTATTAGAATGTCTAAAATCCAGAACACCGAACACCACGTGCTGCTGAGGATGTGGAGCGACAGGAGCTCTCATGCATTGCTGGTGGGAGTGCAAAATGGTAAGCCACTTTAGAAGACAGTTTGGCAGTTTCTTACACAGCATAACCTTACCATATAATCAAGGAGTTGTGCTCCTTGGTATTTACCAAAATGAGCTGGAAACATAGGCACACACTAAAACCTGCACGTGAATGCTTACAGCAGTTTTATTCATAATTGCCAAAACTGAGAAGCAATGTCCTTCAGTAGGCGAGTGGATAAACTGGTATGTCCGTACAATGGAATATTATTTAGCAATAAAAAGAAATGAGCTACTAAGGCATGAAAAGACAGTGGAAACAAATACATATTGGTATGGGGAAAAAGCTAATCTGAAAAGGCAGCATTCTGTATGATTCCAGCGCTAAGTGACATTCTGAAAAAGGCAAACCTATGGAGATGGTAGAGATCAGTGATTGCCAAGCATTCGGGGGAGGGAGGGGAAATAAATAGGTGGAACAGGGGACTTGTAGGCAGTGAAGCTACTCTGTATCATACTGTAATTCTGGACACATTTCATTAGATATTTGTCAAAACCCACAGAATGTATAACACAGTGAACCTTAATGTATGGACTTCAGTTAACAGTAACATTGATATTGGCTTATCAATTGTAACAAATACACCATACAAATGCAAGATGTTCATAATAGAGGAATTCATGTGGGGGAGGATGTATGGGAAATTGAAATTCTGTTGAGTTTTTGTCAACCTAAAACTGCTTTAAAAAATAATGTCTTTTTTTTTTTTTTTAAATCTGCTGAAGGAAAGACATTGTTAAGAAAATTCATAAGCAAACCACAGAAGAGAATACTTGCAATACATAAATCTGACAAAGGCCTTGTATCCAAAATAAAGAACTTTCACAAATCAATAAAAATAAGGCCAATGACCTAATAAAAATGGGCAAAAACTTGAATATAAATGGCCACTGAGCACCATAAGGTCCTCAGCATTACTAGTCATGGGGGAAATATACATGAAACTATGATAAGATGCGGTTTCCCAGCCTCTAGCCTGGCTAGAATTAGAAAGACTGACAATGCCAAATGGTGGCAAGGATGTAGAGTAACTCATTGCAGTGGAAACATGGAAATGTTGTAATCTTTTGGAAAACAATTTAGCAACTCATATAAAATTAAACCTACATTTAGCCTACGACCTCTACTCCCTAGATTTTTTACCCCCCAAGAAATGAAGACATACCTCTTTAAGGGGGGAAAAAGCAATCAAGTACAAAGAATATCTACAGTGGCTTTGTTTATAACAGCCCCAAACTGGAAACCACCAAAAATGTCCATCCACAGAAGGATGAACTTATTTTGGTGTGTTGGTACAGTAAAATACTTCTCAGCAAGAAAAAAAGGATGAACTATTCAACAACATGGATGGATGCACCTCAAAAACATTATATTGGTCAAAAAAGCCACAGTTTTTTTTGGAGTCTGTTCTTGTGAAGCTCAGAACAGGCAAGCATAATCTCTGGTTGACTGTTAGTGGCAGGCAGAGCCAAGCGACTGGAAGGGTGAATGACAGAACTTAAGATCTTGGAATTTGACTGTATGTTAGTTGTATGCGAGTAAAATTTAAAAAAAAATAACAGTTGCTGAAACAAAAGAGAGGGATTTCAGATATTTCTGCACCCAATTATGGTAACAATAATAACTAATTTAGCATTTATGTGCCAAACACTACTCTAAGCATTTTACACCTTTTATCTCATGTAAGCAGCATATGGGTTAGGCATTCTTATTATCTTTGTCTTGCTGATGAGGAAACTGAGGCACAAGGAGGCTAAGTAAGTTGTGGATGGAGGTCACACAGCTTTTGTAGGTCTGCACTTGGTCAGTGAGACATGGGGTCTGCTGGGGTGACAGCTGTGCCACAGTGCCTTTCCTGGCTAATCATGCCCAGTGTCTAAATTGAGAACCTTAAGCCCTTATCGGTGGAAGAAGGAAAGGGAGTATGCATAATATTTAAATATATGAGATTATGAGTAACATTACGTATTCTATCCTAGATTCAGATGTCATTTGTGTAATTATTTGTAATGCTAATAACACCAAACTTGGGGGTGTTCCCTGTTTCTCAGCATGATTATGTGATACAGACTCTTCCACACAGTCTCATGTATTTGAACATACACATTTTCAATTGCATGTAGGCAGAATTCTAATCCTCCTCTATGCCAATTCCTAGCTTTGAAGAGGTTCTCTGAAAATGCTGCTTTTATCTTTCTTCTGCAGTGATGAACTTTAATGTTGGAGTGTTGTAAGTTCTCACATAATAAGGCTCAGATTTTTGTTTGGTTTGGCAGTAGACTTCTGTTTAAAATTCCTTTAATCTGTTCATTCTATGCTTTTTATATTCATTTTAATAACTGATGGCTCTGTAAAGAATTTTTTTTGAATTTATTGCACTAGTTAAAAAACTACTAAAACTTGTACTTAACTATTCCTCCATCTCAACGTTCTAAAAGTGAGTTTTCCAGTGAATTGCTGAATTTTTATCTTCCCTGGGAGTTGTTCCTCCCCTTCCCCAACCCTGGGGAAATAAGAAACAATTCATATACTAGATCTAAAGTTTCATTAAAATTGCTTATGCCCTGTCTCAGGCATTTTAAGTGGGCCATCTGTCTAAACATCTCTCTCTCCTTTTTTTTTTCTGATCATTTCCTCGACTTATTCATGAGCCATGGGAGGGCTCCTTTGTAGTCTCCATGTAGCTGGTTCTGTCTACCCCCACTGAATACATCTATGTGCTTGCATAACATATCTTTTCACCGTGCTGGAAATTCTCTGAACTTGGTTCAGATGAATGGCCCACTTTCTGAAGGCCTTTTTCTTCCTGCAAAGATTTGTATGCAGAAACTGACCTCAGTGGCCATGGAATGCAGCATATTATTCTCGATCATTTTACAGCCCACCCACTGTGAAAGTTATGATGAAGCATTTCTTAATGATTCCTTGACCATTAGCATTGTTTTAACTCAGTATTTTACTTCTAAAGAGGTGATGGCACAACAAAAACCAGCTTTTTTGAGTGTCTGATAATTATGGTTTAAAATGCTTATAATCCTTTCTAACTGAAGATGCTGAGAGTTTTTATGTTTATACAGTCTTCTTTTAGCAAATGACTTGTAATAGCAAAGTATTTACTCAAAAGCACCCTTTTGAGTAAAATATTCCAGTAAGTTAAATGTATTAGTATTAATAGTGACTATCAGCTGACAGTTCTTCACCATCAAATATAAAAAATTTAGTTATGTCGAGCATATTCATCCTGGCTGGCTGATGATAAAGTGGACAGACCTGGGTTAGAGCTATTATTTTATTTGCTTTGTGAGTCACTGTTTATGTGAGTTCTTTTTTACTGGGGTTTTTGGTTTTTGTTTGTTTGTTGAAGAAATAACTTAATTGGTATCAGCTTTGCAGGTGACTAATAAGTTGCACAGATTAAATTTTTGGTCAGATGACAGCATCTTTCACTAGAAATGTACTTCGTTAAAGGAAACTGTATCATTACTATGGTGAGTTGAAGTTCTAAGACCTTTTCCTTATTGTCAGAGAGTTGTTCATAAAAATCTTCTTTGAGACTATTTTGAATTTAATGGATCTGTGTAATTCTTTTCTAAACATTTAGCACATAATTGTAGGTAATTGTTACTATCATAAATCTGTCTGTGCTGGTTAAATTAATAAGAATGTTTCAAAGTAAGTATTATAAATGTATTTTCAGTGATTTTGCAGAAATAGAGCATGCATTCTTTCAGGTTTGTATTTTTTAAAATTTATAGCTTATTTCTATTGCAGAGCATATTTATATCTGCCAGTTAACTGGCATATATGCCCAACCCATCCATTTTATTTAAAAACCCAAACAAAACTAGTTTCAAACTTATGTCAAGCCAGAAGGAATCTTTGCAAATTTTGTTTGTAGAAGAGTGAACTTACAAATAGATTTCACAGTTTCGACTCTGTTTTGGTATTTAGAGGTCTTGCACAGTGAAGCCTTTTTCCTATATCCTGTTAACATATCACCCTGAAAGAAATTGTTAGAAAAAGGCTGGGTACTGTGACTCACACCTGTAATCCCATACTTTGGGAGGACAAAGCAGGAGGATCCCTTGAGGCCAGGAATTCAAGACCAGTCTGGGCGTCATAGCGAGATCCACCCCATCTCTTAAAAAAAAAGCCAGACCTGGTGGTGGCGCACACCTGTAATCCCAGCCACTCAGGAGGCTGATGCAGAAGGATCATTTGAGCCCAGGAGTTCCAGACTGCAGTGAGCTATGATTGGGCCACTGCACTCCAGCCATTGTGACACAGTGAGATCATGTTTCTTAAAAGAAAAGGAAAAAATTGTTAGAAAAGTGCCACTGCAGGAGTTAAGTTTGTAGAAGAAGCAGTAGCTTCCTATCACTTGCCTAACTCTGATACACTTTTACAGGTGTAGAAATATTGGTTCAAACAGATTGAATAAGTTCTCAGGTACATTGCTAGTAGAACAGGCTGAGATTTAGACCTGGATGTTTTAACTCGAAACCCTGTACTCTTTCCATAAGGCCCCTCCTGGGACAAATTATAATATATATGAAACAGATGTGAATCAAAATAAAACAATGGAAAAATAAATAGTACTTAGGTTTTGGAGAGTGGCAACTGTATCTCATCACCATCTATAAGGTCCCTTTCTGTGGGAAAATGGGTTCTGGGTTGGAACAGGATGTCAGGATCAGCAATGTTCCAATGCCTCTGGAAGCAGAGACTTGTTACGTGATAGAAGAAATTCTCAATCCCTACTCCATCAGGCTGCTACAGTTTGAAAAATATTACAGCATATGACATAGATTAAATGGAAGAAAGATCTCTTGAGTTTATGCTATAATTAAGGAACAATTTGTGAGGGAGGCAATATTTTCCTTGAAGGATCTGTTAGTGTGAGAAGCAGAGAGATGAGATGAGAATCCAAAGTTTCTATAAAGAAAGAGGTTTCAGTTATAGGGGAAAGTAAGAATATAGGCCGAGAGCCGGGACAACTACTCATAATAAAAGCTATAGCATGTATACACCTAATTTAATCAACACCTCCCTATCAATGCAGATATTGTTACAATCTTTTATACATACATAAGGAAACTGAGACAGACAGTTTGCTCCGGGTTTTGTGTCAGCTTCTGTGACTCATCAAGGCCTGAGTTCAAAACCACTGTCTTGCTCTCTGCCTCATGGTAGCTTGGTTTAAGAGTCTGTCCTAACCAAATAGACAAATCAGAGAATAAGCAGAAATAAAATTGAATGCAAAAGGTGGGTTCTTACTTTTAAGGCATTGAATGGTAGTTAGGTTAATAAAGATGTAACTTGGTGTGGGGTAGAAAACGATCAAATGATCATGAGCAAGATAGTGACATAATTCTTGAGGAAAGCACAGATTCAAGAAAGCCAAGTTGCACGGTCATCTAGATGTGAGGCTGTTTCTGCAATCACAATACCCCTGTGAAATTGGAGTATTGACCCCATTCGAAGTGAGCAAAATGAAGTCTTAGTGAGATGATAGGCGTAGTCCAGGGACACCCAGGGAGTATCCAGGAGCTTGGGGCACACAGTCCTGTCACACCTGTGCTCTTGCTCTCCTGGGCAAGTCAGCCTCCCCTTCTACACGTGCTTGGTGCATAGTAGACACTCCTCACAGTCTTTTCTACTTATCCCTCATCTCTTTGTCTCCATCCTGTGCCAGGAGCTGGAGATACAAAAATAAGGAATGATTTTGGTCTTTTAGGAGCCCACAGGACACTGGGAGACAAACATATAAACAAATAAATGCCCTGTAGAATAAAGGTGCTAAGAAAAAAAAGAGGAATACTGGCACAGAAGCCCTTTCTTCCCTTCTTCCTTTCTGCTCAGACCTCCTTTTCTTTCCCTCTCCTCCTCCCCTCCCCACTGTGTGTTGTCTCCCTCAACTCCCCTGCACCCCCATTCATTCATACTCTTCTGTGTGAGGCTCTATCCCCTGAAACAGTTCTTTTCACACTGCCAGAAAGAATCGTCAAGGCCTGTGTGTACAGTGTGCATTATTGTTGATGCATTTTTTTTTTACTTTTATTTTTACTTCCATGGTATTTAAAACATATCCTTATCTTCAGAATAATGCAGATCAAGAAGTGGTAGGTCAAATACAAATATGTATTTAAATTAATAATATTAATCAGATATTGAATCTAGAGGTGATTGGATTAGAAGCATAGTTTTTGTGACTCTGATTTTTTTAATGCTGAATACACAGAGACTTCTTTTGAAAATTTGGTGGGTTTAAATGAAAACATAACTTGGAACATTTTTTCAGAACTGTGGTTTAAGCTGGAGCCCAGATACTACAAAATGCTGATGTTTAGTACTTGGTAAATATTACTTCACAAGTATAAATATGCAATACCTAAATTAGGTTAATTCTGAAATCATTAAATTTTGTTACTTTAAAAAGTCGTGGGAAACATTTATATTCTAAAAACACTTTTGTCTTTGGCTGCTTGATACGGATTTTCTGAACCATGTAATACTGATAATATGCAAGAAAAGACCCGTATGATAAGACTAACATTGTTCATAGATATGGAGTCCTTTCTGGGGGGTTTTAGGTGATGGGGAAAACCAGGGCTAGAAAAGAAATAATGTGTAAGTTTCCAAGATGAGGACTGTGTTTTATTTCTCTGTGGTGCCCCACAATTTAGAGCCAAGTGCTTAGTGTTTGTTGAACTCATAAGTCATTTAGGGTTTTGTGTGTGTGTGTGTGTGTGAATGTGCTTTATTTTAGCAAAATTTAGATGTTGTCCTATTATATAATAACATAATAAGTGGGTATCTGAGTAATGTTTAAATTCGTTTTTTAAATTTCGTGAATTTTTAGTAATAACATTATAAAATAAGTATAGTTTTTTTTTTGTTTTTTTTTTTTTGCAAAAAATAATTATATCGGCCAGGCGCGGTGGCTCATGCCTGTAATCCCAGCACTTTGGGAAGCCGAGGCGGGTGGATCATGAGGTCAGGAGTTCAAGACCAGCCTGACCAAAATAGTGAAACCCCATCTCTACTAAAAATACTAAAAATTAGCCGCGTGTGGTGGTGGGCGCCTGTAATCCCAGCCTCTCGGGAGGCTGAGGCAGAAGAATCACTTGAACCCAGGAGGCAGAGGTTGCAGTGAGCCGAAATCGCACCATTGCACTCCAGCCCGGGCGACAGTGCAAGATTCCGTCTCAAAAATAATAATAATAATTAAAAAAAATTATATCCTAGCTAATGTACTAAGATATTTCTCTTCTAATTGACATCATGAAGAAACATTCTATAAGTAGAATAATGTAGAGAGGTTCATTGTTTAATACATTTTTAGTCTCATCACCAGTAAAGAACAAAATGATTCTCTAGGCCACATCATGCTAACTCAGTAATTCATTTTATGTCTCTGAAGTTTAAGGCATGGCATACTTACTTATTTCATTGTAATTTTTTTTTAAAAAAACCATTTTGAATAGTAACCAAATATTGAAAAAAACTAATACTGCTTCAGGCAGATGAATTTGTGAATGACTGTAACAATTAGGCAATTCAAATTCATAGATACATGATGATTCTTAGAGTAGGTGTTTAAAATGTTCGCAAATACATTCAATGGCAGTTTTAGCCTGTGCATTTTATATCAAAGGGAAATTAGTTTATTGAGAAATAATAATATAAAATTATTAACTCTTTTTCTTTTCATTCTACTTCAGAATGCCTGTTATTAAACCAGACATAGCCAACTGGGAGCTCTCAGTAAAATTGCATGATAAAGTTCATACCGTAGTAGCATCAAACAATGGGTCAGTGTTCTCGGTGAGTTTTCTTTCTTTATTTTCTTGGTAATCTTGATGTTATCTATGAATATTTAAAGCCATTTTTAACCTGTTCAGTGACTCTCGTCTTTTGAATTTGTAGTACCTCTATGTATTTTTCATCTTCTTTAGGAAGCTGAATGGAAATGGAAATTTTTGTTCTCTTATGCTTATTAGGAAATACATTTCTAGATTTAGCCACATCCTAAACTCACTTTCTGATACTTGATTCATTTTTCTTTTATGCTGTGAGAAGTAATACTTTTGCCTTTGTTACAGAGAAGAGCATTTTGAATTACAGTTCCAAATGTATGATAGTGGTGGTAGGTAACCATCCTTTTAAAACAAATAATCTGAAGCCTCACATAACATTATCTTTAAATCTCATGCTGCAAGACACTCTTGAGGCTAAATTTACCTTGTGGTGACACTCTTTTTGTTTTGAAGAACTTAAACCCCTTGGATATAGGGTCCAAGATAGAACTGCCACAGTTGGAATTCTAGTCTATAGTGAACAAGATTACAGTAAGATTTCAGTGTTTATACTGTAGTATGAGTGATATGTTTAAAACTGTGATCCGAGTGTGCCAGAAAAATACCATTAAGAGTTGCTGTTTTAAGTCGTATGCCTTCGTGTTTTCAGCCTGAACTCAAGGAGGTTGCTATTAATATATAGTTAGTATAATGAATATTCTGTTTATCTACATTTCTCTTCTTACGGCTAAATTGCATTGAAATGTCATTTTGTTTTGGGGAAACAAGTGAATTTTTATCAGAATATTGAAATAGGATATGAACATCAAAACAATATAATTTCACACAAATAAGACCTGGTGTGGCTTGAGAGGGGTACGGCAGTTTCTTGATCTCAGTGAGAAAATATCACAAGTTGAAGATTCATGAGAATTCATTCATTCCACAAATAATTGTTGCATGCCTACTGTGCACCAGATCAGTTCCAAGCTGTTGCCCTGGAGAAGCTGACATTCTTGTGTGGTGTCAGACTCACAGATCAATGATGTCAGTCCATGAACTAAGGGTAGTCTCCTTGGTTTTCTTTAAATGTTGTGATTCACTGTATACGCCAAAATTGCTGAAACGTTAGATACTGAAAGATACTTCACTCAGCTCTCTTAAAATGAAAGCTATGATGGAGTTAAAC
Organism: Homo sapiens; assembly: GCF_000001405.40. Classification (NCBI taxonomy): domain Eukaryota; kingdom Metazoa; phylum Chordata; class Mammalia; order Primates; family Hominidae; genus Homo; species Homo sapiens. Next base: position 100,369,736 of record NC_000013.11, read on the forward strand.
AGCTGTCTCATGAGATCTTGTGTGACTCTCTACATTCCACCTATTGACATGGTCATTTCAGAAAAACAGCTTTGTAAGTGCACATTTAACCAGAGATCAGGTTGAGTAGCAAATTATAGGAATTGAATAGTAAAGAGTATCAATATTACAATGTAGCATTTTTTTTTCTGGGGGAAGATTAACTTTACAAAAATGTAGAGTTTAGCATAATTTTCAGTTCTATATTGAGTCACCACTGAAGCCTTACTGTAATCTGATATTCTGATACAATGTTCTTTTAAGTAGTGCCTTACCTTAATAAAGAAAACTGTCTAGATTACTTTTCAGAGCTGTTACTTCTTTTTTTTTTTTTTTTTTTTTTTTTGAGACAGAGTCTTGCTCTGTCGCCCAGAGGCTGGAGTGCAGTGGCATGATCTCGGCTCACTGCAGCCTCTTCCTCCCAGGTTCAAGTGATTTCTCCTGCCTCAGCCTCCCGAGTAGCTGGGACTACAGGTGCATGCCACCACACCCAACTAATTTTTGTATTTTTAGTAGAGATGGGGTTTCACCATGTTGGCCAGGCTGGTCTCGAACACCTGAGCTCAAGTGATCCTCCTGTCTCAGCCTCCCAAAGTGCTGGGATCACAGGCGAGCGTTGCTTCTTTATGTTTGTTTTAGATTCCATGTTGAAAAGTAGAGACCTCTGGCCTGACTGCATACGTGGTATCTTTCAAATTTTTTTCTGTAGAATTATCTCCAGCTTCACTTTTTAGCTTATGAGGAAAACAGGGCTGTTTTTAAAACACATCAAAATTAGTGCATTAAAAACTTCCCTGGAAAATATCCACCTTAGTATATAATATCAGAAATGATTTCCTATATTTATTGGCTTAGCTACTGTCAGAGCATCAATAGCCCAATGAAAGGCATGTGCACATGATAGTGTAGCCCTTTTTCCTAGGCATATTTAAATTTAGCTACTTTCATTTGACATCAGTATTATGAAAGGAGGCAGGTTGAACAGCGTGGCGAAGTAAAGGCTCATTGGTAGAAATATTTCAATAGTATGGCACTATTGTCTGCTTTTAGGGTCATAGACGGGAGAACTGTGATTGTTAACTTAGTTTCCCAGATCACCCACTGTCACATCAAGAAAAAAATTAGCCTACAGGTGACAAGCCAGGTCTGGGTTAATGACTCTGGAGATAGTGCAGGCAAAGGCTTTACTGAGCACACAGTAAAGCTTTAGGTGCCCTACATTTCCAGAGTTCTTCTGTTTAATTTTTAGGAGTTTAAATTATAAGATATTTCTAATAAGGAAAGTACAGCAGATGTTGCAGATTTTCCATACAGGTCTCCTATTTAAAAAGAAAAATATATAGATTAAACTAAGTCCTTTCTTTACATCATCCTGTTCCACTTTCTCCCAAGTGGTGGCAGCTAACCTGATGATGCTGTGTGTCCTTTCTGTATGTGTTGTTAAGACTTTTGGTACAGATGTATACACCACAATAATGGTAAAAAGGAAAGTTGCAACAATATACATACTTAATGGCACCATTTATGTAAATTTTAGGCAAAGCAATTTCATTTACAATAGAATGAAAAGGACTAAAATACTTAGGAATATATTTGACCAAGGAGGCGAAAGGCTTACACACTGAAAACTATAAAATGTTGCTGAAAGAGCTTAAAAAAGACACAAATATATGGAAGGGTATCTTGTGTCAGGGACTAGAAGACTTAATATGGTTAAAATATCAGTACCTCTCAGCTACTTGGAAGGCTGAGACAGTAGGTTCACTTGAGCCCAGGAGTTTGTGCCCAGCCTGGGCAACACAGCAAGACTCCATCTCTGGTGAACAAAAGAAAAATGAAAGAAGGAAATGTCAGTACTACCTGAAGTGATCTACAGATACAACGCCATCCCTATCAGAACCCCCAAATACATTTTGTTGCAGATATAGACAAATTTATTCTGAAATTCATGCAATTTCAAGGGGGTCCCAAATAGTCAAAACAATCCTGAAATAGAAGAAGAAAGTTGAAAGCCTTATACCTCCTCATCTCAAAACTTATTACAAAACCACAGTTTTCAAAACAGTGTGGTACTGCACATATATAGACCAATGGACTAGGATAGAGAGCCCATAAGTAAACCCTTGTATGTATGGTCAAATGGCTTTTGACAAGAGTTTCTAAAATATTCAGTGGAGAAAAGACAGCCTTTTCAACATGAATAAATTTGGGTCCTTTTCTTACTCTGTATACAAAACTAACCAAAATGGATCAAAGACCTAAATGTAAGAGCTAATGCTATAAAATTCTTAGAAGAAAACACAGGGGAAGGCTGCGCACAGTGGCTCATGCCTGTAATCTCAGCACTTTGGGAGGCCAAGGCAGGTGGATCACTTGAGCTCAGGAGTTCAAGAGCAGCCTGGGCAACATGGTGAAACCCCATCTCTACTAAAAATACAAACATTAGCTGGGCTTGGTGGTGCATGGCACACACCTGTAATCCCAGCTACTCAGGATGCTGAGGCAGGAGAAGCTCTTCAACTCAGTGGGCAAAGGTTGCAGTAAGCTGAGATCGTGCCACTGCACTCCATTCTAGGTGACAGAGTGAGACCCTGTCTCAAAAACAAAACAAAACAAAACAAAACAAAAAAACCAGTAGATAACATAGGGGAAAAGCTTCAAGGTATTGGATTTGGCAATGGTTTCTTAGACATGACACCAAAAGCACAGGCACAAAAGATAAATTGGACTATGTGAGAGTTAAACACTTCTATATATGAAAGGAGAATATTTTCCCAGAATTTTCATCCCTCCTTTAAAATTTTCCATTCTAAACACTATAAATATATAAATGTTTCATGCAAATATTTTCTCCCATTCTGTGGGTTGCCTTCTTACTCTGTTTTTTTCCCAAAGTAACCACTCTGTCAGAGTACAATCAACAGAGTGAGAAGGCAACCCACAGAACGGGAGAAAATATTTACAAATCACATAGATGATAAGAGTTTGTTTGTTTGTTTGTTTTTTGAGACAGTCTCGCTCTGTCACCCAGGCTAAAGTGCAGTGGCACAATCTTGGCTCACTGTAGCCTCTGCCTCCCAGGTTCAAGTGATTCTTCTGCCTCAGCCTCCCAAGTAGCTGGGATTACAGGTGCATGCCACCACACTTGGCTAATTTTTTTTTGTATTTTTAGTAGAGATGGTGTTTCACCATGTTGGCCAGGCTGGTCTCGAACTCCTGACTTCAGGTGATCCACCCACTTCGGCCTCCCAAAGTGCTGGGATTACGGGTGTGAGTCACCACGCCCAGCCCTCCCGATAAGAGTTTAATATCTGGAATATATAAAGAAATTTTTCAACTCAATAACAAAAAACAATTAAAAATGGGCAAAGGACTTTCATAGACACCTCTCCAAAGAAGATATACGCATGGCCAATAAGCACATGACAAGATGCTCAATATCACTAATCATTAGAGAAATCCAAATCAAACCTGCAGTGAGATACTACCTCCCACCCGTTAGAATGGCTAGTATCAAATAAACAGAAAATAAGTACCGGTGAGGGTGTGGAGAAGCTGGAACCCTTGTGCACAGTTGGTAGGAATATAAAATGATGTGGTTACTTTGGAAAAAACAGTATGATGGTCCCTCAAAAACTTAAAAGTAGAATTACATAGTAACCTTAGAAAGTTGGTAATTCTGATATGTGCTATATAACACAGATGAATCTTGAGGACATTATGCTAGGTTATAAGCCAGGCGCAAAAGGACAAATACTGTACGATTCCACTTATATGAGGTACCTGGAGTAGTCAGACTGATAGAGACAGAAACTAGATTGGTGGTTGCCAGGGGCAGAGAGGAAGGGGAATGAGGAGTTATTGCTTCAAGAATACAAAGTTTCACTTTTTAAGATGAAAGGTTTTCTGGAGGTAGATGGTGGTGATGGTAGCAGGAAAATGCAAATGTATTTAATACCACTGAACTGTACATTTAAAAATGGTTAAGATGGTAAATTTTATACGCGTTTTACCACAAGTAAAACATACACAAAACAAATCAGTATTTATAATGAAAAACTTAAAAGGAGGGTTGTGGCCAGGTGCAGTGGCTCACACCTGTAATCCCAGCACTTTGGGATGCTGAGGTGGGTGGATCACCTGAGGTCAGGAGTTCGAGACCAGCCTGGCCAACATAGTGAAACCCCGTCTCTACTAAAAATACAAAAATTAGCCAAGTGTGGTAGCACGCGCCTGTAATCCCAGCTACTTGAGAGGCTGAGGCAGGAGAATCACTTGAACACAGGAGATGGAGGTTGCAGTGAGCTGAGATCACGCCACTGCACTCTAGCCTGGGTGACAGAGTGAGACTCTCTCTCAAAAATAAATAAATAAATAAATAAAATAAAAAAGGAGGTATGAAAATTCTGGGAAATGAATGCATGGTAAAAATGAAAGTTAAGTGAAGTGTTAATCGTAGGAGAAGTGAAGTATTTTATGTATTTTAGGTCTTTATTCTGATTTCTGAATACAGCTGTCTGAATGAATGACAGAATTAATTAATAGTATAAAACCTGCTAGACACAAAGTAGAAATATTATTCAGCTTGTCATGGTGATAAGCCGAAAAGTACCCAATAACAAACTGATTTTTATTATAATTATTTTCATGATTCCCTTCTGGATTCCCAGGATGTTTTCCATTTCTGTCTTGCTCAATATAACACAAAACTGGTCAAAATAGTTTTTGGCCAGGTACAGTGGTGCGCACCTATAGTCCATCCACTCAGGAGAAAATAAGTTTATGATGAATTAAAATATTAACACAGTTAATATCTTAAAGATGGTGAAAAACTAAATTCATATTGAATGTGATTCACTTGAAAGAAAGAGTTGAAAGAAGAGTGTCAGAGTAGTCCTAATGTATAAGAAAATTAGTTAGAAATTTGGCCTTCCTAGCGATGGAAAAAGGAGCACTATACATGCACTTTTTGAAAAATTTTGCCTGATGTTTCATGTTTACTACTAATAAACTAGAAAGCAATTGTATATGATCCTGTATATTGAATTGTTACAGTGGGCCAATGATAGAAAATTTTGTAAGGACCTAAGGGTTTTTCGTGTCTCTGTCTCCTTCAGTTCGGCTCTGATCTTAGTTATTTCTTGTCTTCTGCTAGGTTTTGAATTTGTTTGCTCTTGCTTCTCTAGTTCTTTTAATTGTGATGTTAGGGTGTCGATTTTAGATCTTTCCTCCTTTCTCCTGTGGGCATTTAGTGCTATAAATTTCCCTTTAAACACTACTTTAGCTGTATCCCAGAGATTCTGGTACATTGTGTCTTTGTTCTCATTGGTTTCAAAGAACTTATTTATTTGTGCCTTAATTTTGTTATTTACCCAGTAGTCATTCAGGAGCAGGTTGTTCAGTTTCCATGTAGTTGTGCGGTTTCGAATGAGTTTCTTAATCCTGAGTTCTAATTTGATTGCATTGTGGTCTGAGAGACTGTTTGTTACGATTTCCATTCTTTTGCATTTGCTGAGGAGTGTTTTACTTCCAATTAGGTGGTCAATTTTTGAATAAGTTCCATGTGGTGCTGAGAAGAATGTATATTCTGTTGATTTGGGGTGTAGAGTTCTGTAGATGTCTGTTAGGTCTGCTTGGTCCAGAGTTGAGTTCAAGTCCTGAATATCCTTGTTAATTTTCTGTCTCATTGATCTAATATTGACAGTGGGGTTGTTAAAATCTCCCACTATTATTGTATGGGAGTCTAAGTCTCTTTTTAGGTCTCTAAGAACTTGCTTTATGAATCTGTGTGCTCCTGTATTGGGTTCATATATATTTAGGATAGTTAGCCCTTCTTGTTGCATTGATCCCTTTACTACCAGGCCTGCCTTACAAGAGCTCCTGAAGGAAGCACTAAATATGGAAAGGAAAAACCAGTACCAGCCACTGCAAAAACATACCAAATTGTAAAGTCCATCAACACTATGAAGAAACTGCATCAACTAATGGGCAAAATAACCAGCTAGCATTATAATGACAGGATCAAATTCACACATAACAATATTAACCTTAAATGTAAACGGGCTAAATGCCCCAATTAAAAGACACAGACTGGCAAATTGGATAGAGTGAAGAGCCAACAGTGTGCTGTATTCAGGAGACCCATCTCACATGCAAAGACACACATAGGCTAAAAATAAAGGGATGGAGGAAGATGCACTGGTTTTTCCTCATCTTTATGGATTTATCTACCTTTTGTCTTTGATGTTGGTGACCTTCGGATGGGGTTTTTGTGTGGACCTCCTTTTTATTGATGTTGATGCTGATGCTGTTCCTTTCTGTTTGTTAGTTTTCCTTCTAACAGTCAGGCCCCTCTGCTGTAGGTCTGCTGGAGTTTGCTGGAGGTCCACTCCAGATCCTGTTTGACTGGGTATCACTAGCAGAGGCTGCAGAACAGCAAAGATTGCTGCCTGTTCCTTCCTCTGAAAGCTTCGTCCCAGAGGGGCACCTGCCAGATGCCAGCTGGAGCTCTCCTGTGTGATGTGTCTGTCAATCCCTGCGGGGGGGTGTCTCCCAGTCAGGAGGCATTGGGGTAAGGGACCCACTTGAGGAGGCAGTCTGTCCGTTAACAGAGCTGGAGTGCTGTGCTAGGAGATCTGCTGCTCTCTTCAGAGCCAGCAGGCAGGAACGCTTAAGTCTGCTGAAGCTGCGCCCACAGCTGCCCCTTCCCCCAGGTACTCTGTCCCAGGGAGATAGGAGTTTTATCTAGAAGCCCCTGAGTGGGGCTGCTGCCTTTCTTTCAGAGATGCCTTGCCTAGAGAGGAGGAATCTAGAGAGACAGTCTGGCGACAGCGGCTTTACCAAGCTGCCATGGCTTTGTTTATTCTCTGAGGGGAAAACCACCTACTCAAGCCTCAATAATGGTGGATGACCCTCCCTGCCAGGTTGACTTCAGACTGCTGTGCTGGCAGTGAGAATTTCAAGCCAGTGGATCTTAGCTTGCTGGGCTCCGTGGGGCTGGGATCCGCTGAGCAAGACCACTTGGCTCCTTGGCTTCAGCCCCGTTTCCAGGGGAGTGAATGGTTCTGTTTCGCTGGTGTTCCAGGCACCACTGGGGTATGAAAAAAAACTCCTGCAGCTAGCTTGGTGTCTGCCCAAACAGCCGCCCAGTTTTGTGCTTGAAACCCAGGGCCCTGGTGGTGTAGGCTTCCAAGGGAATCTTCTGGTCTGCGGGGTTGTGAAGACCGTGGGAAACGCTTAGTATCTGGGCTGAATAGCACTGCCCCTCCCTCATGGCACAGTCCTTCACGGCTTCCCTTGGCTAGGGGAGGGAGTTCCCTGACCCCTTGTGCTGCCCGGGTGAGGCAATGCCCCACCATGCTTTAGCTTGCCCTTTGTGGGCTGCACCCACTGTCTAACCAGTCCCAGTGAGATGAGCCGGGTACCTCAGTTGGAAATGCAGAAATCACCCACCTTCTGTGCTGATCTCGCGGGGAGCTACAGACCGGAGCTGTTCCTGTTTGGCCATCTTGCCAGCCACTTGAGAAAAATGTCTTTTTACTGTTTTTGACTTAAAGCTGTTTTATGTGATAACAGTATAGCTACTCCTGCTTATTTTTGGTTTCCATTTGGATGGAACAATTTTTTCCATCCCTTTACTTTCAGACTATTTGTGTCTTTAAGGGTGAAGTGTGTTTCTTGCAGGCAGCATATATTTGGGTCATATGTTTATTCAGTCAGCCAGCCTCCATCTTTTTATTTTATTTTATTTTATTTTTTTGAGACAGAGTCTCGCTCTGTCACCCAGGCTGGAGTGCAGTGGCGTGATCTAAGCTCACTGCAAGCTCTACCTCCCAGGTTCACGCCATTCTCCTGCCTCAGCCTCTCGAGTAGCTGGGACTACAGGCGCCTGCCACCACGCCCGGCTAATTTTTTATATTTTTAGTAGAGACAGGGTTTCACCGTGTTAGCCAGGATGGTCTCGATCTCCTGACCTTGTGATCCACCCGCCTCAGCCTCCCAAAGTGTTGGGATTACAGGGGTGAGCCACTGCACCTGGCCACCAGCTTCCATCTTTTAAGTGGAGCATTTAATCCATTTACATTCAGGGTTATTATTGATATATGAGGTTTTGTTCCTGTCATATCATTAATTGCTTTCTGTTTGTTTTATATGTTCCTTGTTCCTTCCTATTTTATATTGTTTATCTTTGTGGTTGGTGTTTTCCTTCAGTGGCAACATTAGAGTCTTTTCTGTTCCTCATTTGTGTGTTTGCCTTACCAGTAGGTTTTATACTTGCACGTGTTTTCATGATGGTGTATATTGTCCTTTTGCTTCCAGGTTTAGGACTCCCTTGAACATTTCTTATAGGGCGGATATGGTGGTAATGCATTCCACTGGTCAAATTCGGCGTTTGCTTGTCTGGGAAAGACTTTATTTCTCCTTCATTAATGAAGGATATTATTACTGGGTATAGTACCACTGAGTGGCAGTGTTTTTCTTTCAGCCCTTTGAAAATACGATTCCATTCTCTCCTGGTATGTGTGGTTTCTGCTAAGATGTCGACTGTTAGTCTGATGGGACTTCCTTTATAGATGACTAGATACTTTTCTCTTACAGTTTTTAAAACTCTGTATTTGGCTTTAGATAGTTTGACTATAATGTATCATGGAAGAGATACTGTTTTGCATTGAATCTGGTTGAGGATTTCTGGACCTTCTGTATCTGGATGTCTGTATCTCTCACTAGACTTGGGGAGTTTTCAGTTATTATGTCCTTAAATAGAGTTTCAAATCCTTTCATTATTTCTTTGCCTTTTGGGATACTGATAATCTTGATTTTTGGTTACTTTATTGTGTCCCATATATCATGAAAGCTTTCTTTATGTTTTAAAATTACTGAAAAATTTTTTTGTGTGACTGCATTATTTCAAAAGACTTCTCTTCATGCTTTGAGATTCTTTCTTCTGCTTGATCTAGTCTGTTGAAGCTTTTGAATGCATTTTGCATTTCATTCAGTGAATTCTTCATTCCAGAATGTGTCTGATTCTTTTTTATGATACCCATCTTTTTGGTAAATTTCTCATTTATATCCTTAATTGTCTTTCTGATTTTTTTGTGTTGTTTTTCAGATCACTCTTGTGTCTCACTATTATTAGTATCAAAATTTTTAGTTATTTTTCTGGAATGTGAATTTCTTTTGGATGGGATCTGTTGCTGCAGACTTATTGTATTCCTTTGGAGGTATCATATTCCCTTGCTTTTTCATGTTTCCTGTGTCCTTACGTTGATATTTGAACATGTAGGGTAATATTCGCTTCTTCCAATTTTAGAATTTGTTTTCATAGGGGAAGACTTTTTCCTGAAGATGTATCCATGCTGTTGGTTGGGTAGGACCCTTTGGCTTTGATTCTGGGTGCATGTGGTAGTCACTGTATAGTGTAGTCACTGTATGATTTCTTTGGCTGTAAACAGTATCGGTGGTATCTGTGATTTCTTTAGTGGCTTAGGGTACTGTTATTAGTAGAGGCTGTAATGAGGTTTTCTGGGGACAAGGATGCCACATGGGCCACTCTTTGGGCCTAATGGTGGTAGTGGTGGGCTGAGTATGTCTGTCCTTGGGCCCCGGGGTTGCATGTGCTGACACTGATGTTAGTGGGTCCAGGTGAGTAAATTTAACAAAAGAAGTATAAAACTTGTATTGTGAAACAAACCATTGAAAAAAGAAATTAAGGAAAATCCAAATAAATGGAAAGTTTCTAATATTTGTGAATTGAAAAACTTAAGATGGCACTGCTTGCCTGTATTAGTCTGTTCTCACGCTGCTAATGAAGACATATCCAAGACTGGGTAGTTTATAAATGAAACAGCTTTAATGAACTCACAGTTCCATATGGCTGGGGAGGCCTCATAATCATGGCAGAAGATGAAGGAAGAGCAGAGGGACATCTTACATGCAGCAGGCAGGAGAGCGCTCTTGCAGGGGAACTCCCCTTTATAAAACCATCAGACCTCCTGAGACTTATTCACTATCACAGGAACCACACGGGGAAGACCCACCCCCGTGATTCAATTTCCTCCCACTGGGTCCTTCCCACACATGTGGGAATTATGGGAGCTACAATTCAAGATGCAATTTGGGTGGGGACACACCCAAATCATGTAATTCCCAAATTAGTCTAAAGATGCAACACAATTCCTGCCGAAGTCCAAGCTGTATTTTTATCAGAAATTGACAAGCTGATCCTAAAATTTGGAAAATATGGAAACTTAAGGGACCCAGAATAGCCAAAGTAATCTAAACACACACACACACACACACAGACACACACGAAAAAACAAAAAAACACGCCAGTCACATTGGCTCAGACCTGTAATCCCAGCACTTTGGGAGGCCAAGGCAGGAGGATGACTTGAGCCCAAGAGTTCGAGACCAGCCTGAGAAATATAGTGAGGCCCCCATCTCTACAAAAAAGTTTTTTTTAGCTGATGGTGGTAGCATGTGCCTCTAGTCCCAGCTACCTAGAAGGCTGGGGTTGGAGGATAGCTTAAGCCCAGGAGGTGGAGGTTGCAGTGAGCTCTGATCACACCACTGCACTCCAGCCTGGGATACAGAGCAAAACTCTGTCTCAAAACCAACCAAACAAACAAACCCACAAAAATCCAGAATTGGATAAATCATATTTCCATCTTTCAGAAGTTACTACAAACAGCCTTGTAATCAAATACAGTGTAGTACTTGCAAAATGATTGTCATATAAATCAACAGAATAGAATTGAGAATCCAGAAATAAGCCCAAAAATATATGGTCAATTGATCTTTGACAAAGGTGCCAAAATAATTCAATGGTAAAAAGAATAATCTCTTCAACAAATGGTGTCGAAACACCTGGGTTCACATGTAAAGGAATGAAGTAGAAACCCTACCTCATATTGATTAGTATACAAAAATTAATCCAAAATGGATTGAAGACCTAAATATAAGAGGCAAAACATCTTTAAAAATAGATGAATTGTTCAACATCAAGATTAAAATGTTTGCTTCAAAGGACACTAACAGGAAATTGAAGACAAACCAGAGAATGGGAAAAAATATTTGCAAATGAAATTTTCAGTAAAGCACTTGTGTTTAAAATACATAAAGAACACTTACAACTTAACAATAAAAAACAGCCCACTCTAAAAATAGGCAAAAGATCTGAATAGACGTTTCTCCAAAGAATATATGCAATTGCCGGTAAGCACATATAGAGATGTTCTGCATCATAAGGCATGGAGGGATCCAGATGCAAATCAAAACCACAGTGAGATTGTCCTTTGTACCCACTACATAGCTCTACTTTAAAAAGTCAGGTAATAACAAGTGTTGGTAGGCCAGGTGCGGTGGCTCACGCCTGTAATCCCAGCACTTTGGGAGGCTGAGGCAGGTGGATCACGAGGTCAGGAGATGGAGACTGTCTTGGCTAACACAGTGAAACCCCGTCTCTACTAAAAATACAAAAACAAAATTAGCTGGGGCATGGTGATGGGCGCCTGTAGTCCCAGCTCCTTGGGAGGCTGAGGCAGGAGAATGGCATGAACCCGGGAGGTGGAGCTTGCAGTGAGCCGAGATCGCCACACTGCACTCCAGCCTGGGCGATAGAGCGAGACTCCGTCTCAAAAAAAAAAAAAAAAAAGTGTTGGCAAAGAGGTGGAGAAATTGAAACCTTCAAATGCTATTGGTGGGAACGTAAAAGGGTGCAGCTGCTTTGGAAAACAGGATGGCATTTCCTCAAATGGTTAAATATCTGGGTTATTCAGAACCTTGGCTCTGTTGTATCAGGAGTATTTAATCTTGAATATTTATATAAGTATTTATGTATTTCTTTATTACTATGGTGAATATATCTTACCTTTCAAATAATATTGAAGCAAGTTATTTCCCTGACCCCTTTGCGGGACCGCTTTGCCACGGGGTGCCTCCTTTAATCAGCCTATAGCTCTCAACTCCTTGTGGGAGGGAGCACACGAGCGAAGGAGGCGGGAACTGTAGTGCAGGAGCACTGGAACTGACCAGCCGTTTTGGCGCCAGTGGGATCAAACTCCACTCATTTGCACCTGTTGCCTTCCACACCTCGTAGGAGGGAGTGCACAGGTGAGTGGGTGCAGGAACCAGAGCAAGTGCTTTTGGGCGCCAGCAGGAGCGAACTCTGTGCAGGCCCCATGGCAGCATCCAGGAGGGGTGCCTGTGACTCCCAAAGCCCCAGAGGGCATGTTACAGTGCTCTTTTAGCTCTGCTCTCCACAGGCGGCTTAAGTGTTAACAGCTCAGTTGGCCTGCTGCTGCCCTCCACCAGCGAGGGCAAAGGGCCAGCGTAACAACCTTTTGTATCCACACACATGGCTCCTGAACTCTTGTCTGGTGTCCAGGAAAAATGAGGTCACACGAACTAATTGAAGGATGGTAAATGCAGGAATGATTTTATTGCCGATGAAAGTGGCTCTCAGTGGGAAGAGAGGGGAGCTGAAAAGGGGACAGAGGAGGGGTAGGTGATCTTCCCCTGAAGTCCGGCTGGATTTTCTCCGGTTACTCCATCAAGCTGTCCCTCTGAAGTCAAGTCCCTTCTCTCCAACATTCAGCTGCTTCTCCTCTCTGCTGATTGAGTCTGGGGTCTTTATAGGCACAGGATGAGGTGGGGTGGGGCCATGGGTAGTTTAGGAAAAGGCAACATTTGAGCTGGAAAACAGGGAGAGAAGTTCTCACTTTGGGCCACGGTCTCAGGCTTTTCAGCTTGAGGGTGGAACTTCACCAGGGACCCACACCTGTCTGCCTAGAATTTCTCTGCCTCCTGTCTCTATCATTGTATCAATATCAAACAATAGTTGTTGGCCTACATGTCAGTAATTTAAAGATGAATTAAATGGTTATATATGATAACATTTATCAGAGACCTTTAGAAACATTCATATTCTTTGGTCTACTATTTTTACTTCTAGAACATATTCCAAGCAAGCAATGAAAAATCGCTAATTCAACATATAATATTTTGTCAGGGAAAAAATAAATTAAAGGCAGTTGGGCTTGGAGATATCCATGTAAACAATCTGTACTTATAAGGGAAGGCAGAGTTGGAAGTAATTAAAATAATGTAATAAATGCATTAATAGAGGTGTCATCAACCAGTTAAATCTATGAGAAAGAAAGAAAGGCACTCAACTGCTTGGGGGAAGGGAAGGATCTGGGGGAAGATGAAAGAAGTTCCTCTTGGGGGAGATGACTGATGAGTCACAGCTTAGAACATATTTTTTAGTATATATAAGCCAGAACTTGCCTCAAAATTATTGTATAAATAAATGAGGAAAAACATTAGAATGTGGTAGCATGGGGGAGAGCACCTCAGTCCCCCAAGTAGCTGAGACTACAGGGGCATGCTACCATGTCTGGCTAATTTTTATATTTTTTGTAGTGACAGGGTTTTCGCCATGTTGCCTAGGCTGGTCTTGAACTCCTGGGTTCAAGCCATCTGCCCACCTTGGCCTCTCAAAGTGCTGGGATTACAGGCATGAGCCACCGTGCCCAGCCTGTGATTTCAAGTTTTATCCAAGCAATATTTTTTGAGAGCAATATAAGATTTGAGACTGGGTGCGTGGCTCACGCCTGTAATCCCAGCACATTGAGAGGCTAAGGCGGGAGGATCACTTGAGCCCAGGAGGTCTAGACCAGCCCTGGCAACAAAAAAAATTTTATATGATTAGCCGGTCATGGTGATACACGCCTGTAGCCTCAGCTACTCAGGAGGCCCAAGGGGGAAGATGCTTTGAGCCTGGGAGATTGAGGCTGCAGTGAGCCATGATTGCACCACTGCACTCTAGCCTGGGTGAGAGTGAAATCCTGGACCCCGTGTCGAAAAAAAAAAATAAAGATTTGAGATAGGTAAGCTTTTGTGTACAAGAGAGTTTGTGCTACATTTTGTTTTCTTTATAATGTTTGTTTTGGTTGATGCAAAATTGTTTCATCTTAGATGCTTGAGGTGGAAGGAGGGAATTGTTTTGTAGTATTCATATAATTGAAATTACCACCCTATATTTTTCTCCTCAAAGAAAGAATATGGTGATGAACTAAGAATAGAAAATAATAACTACATATGGATGCATAATAAGAAATAATTATATACGCATTGTTTGACGTTTTCCTTCTCTGCTATAACTCACCCTTTTTCCTTTGTTCTACCACCATATGTTTTGTTCTGGATTTCTTGACTAAGAAAACATTCCACCATAGTTTATTTTAATATTTAAAGAGCACTTTGAAAGTTTGATTTTTTTTTTTTTTTTTGAGACAGAGCTCACTCTGTTGCCCAGGCAGGAGTGCAGAGGCACAATCTTGGCTCACTGCAACTTCCACCTCCCAAGTTCAAGTTATTCTCATGGCTCAGCTTCCCGAGTAGCTGGGATTACAGGCACGTGCCACCACGCCTGGTTAATTTTTGTAGTTTAAGTAGAGACGGGGTTTCACCCTGTTGGCCAGGCTGATCTCGAACTCCTCACCTCAGGTGATCTGCCCGCTTCAGCCTCCCAAAGTTTTGGGATTACAGGCGTGAACCACTGTGCCTGGCCAAAAATTCAATTTTAAGTAAATCTGTTTAAATGTTTTTGTGTAACGTTTTCATAAAAATGAAAAATTCGATGAACTTAGAATATGCCAAGAATCTTCTGCACAAAATAATAACTTTGTGTTCTCAAATAGTAATATAAAGAATCTGTAATGTATCTTCATTAAGAATTTATACATGCATTTTACATCATAATCTCTTTTATTCTATGAATAGAGCATAATACTAAATTATGAAGTTACTGGAATTTTTATAGGAACATGATAAGAATCATGTGGTTCTTTTAAAGAGTTAATTTTGGAACATCTTTTGTTCAAAAAATAGAACATTATTATATGTATTCTTTTGCCTCTATTGTCAGTTTTTAGGATAGGCTTTTAATCTTGAACATGAAAAGGACATCAGTAAACAAGGTGAGTTAACTATTACATTTATGCCTATTATAGGCTTTTAGTTTAAAAATTACCTATGGCTTAAATACAGAGAAGGCAGACAGAAAAAGAACCTTTTTTTCCCTGAGCATTTTAAAGAGAATACTACAGTACCATTAGGGGTTTATAATAAAGGACTATAATTCTATTTAGAAAACTGACTTACAGTACATGACAAATGATAGAAAATTGAGGTAAGTTTTTTGAAGTCATATTTTATATTTATTTTTTATTTTTCATTAATTTGTCTTTTGCCAGAATTAAATGTTATGATCATTAAACTACTTCTCTTCTTAGGTAATTTTTTCACTTAGTCTTTCTACCCCTCTACCTTTAAAAAGTATACTGAACAAAGCAGCAAAAGATATTCTCTTTGAGGAAAATACCTTATTTTCTGTGAATAGTTTTTTAAAATTAAAACATAATGCATAAACATAGAAATTCTTTTACATTGGCAAGAACTTTTTCCTTGATAAAATTATTTTTCCATTTGAAAAATTATTAGGATAATAAGTCAAGATAATGCTTAAAAATGTAAAAATTTTCTGCAAAGAATGTAAAACTGTCGTAAGTGAAGCCAACAGGTAAGCCAAAAAACCAGAGAGAAAATTTGCAGTTCATTTTAGTCACAAAATAAGGGATGCCCTTCATATATGCAGAACTCTTACAAATCAATATGAAAATGAACAAAAGCCCTGGTAAAAAAATATTCAGAGACAGTTTACAGCAAAGGACATGTGGCTCCTGCACATATGATAAAAAGTGCTAAAAGCCACACACACATTCAAGTGAAAATCATGATGAGATACGATTTTCCATGCACATTTTGGCAAAAATGAAAAATGTGTTAATTCCGTTTTGTTTTGATTTTATTTATTTATTTTTTTTGAGACCAGGTCTTGCTCTGTTGCCCAGGCCGGAGTGCAGTGGCATGATCACGGCTGACTGCAACGTCGGCCTCCTAGGCTCCAGTGATCCTCCCACCTCAGGCTCCTGAATAGCTGAATAGTCAGCATGCCCAGCTCCTTTTTGTATTTTTTATAGAGACAGGGTTTCACCATGTTGCCCAGGCTGGTCTCGAACTCCTGGGCTGAAACAATCCACCTGCCTTGGCCTTCCAAAGTGCTGCAATTATAGGCATGAGCCACTGCACCTGGCCTCTTCCTAAGATTGTAGAAACGTAAGCTCTCAAACGCTGGTGGGAGTATAAATGGATATAACAACCTCCATGGAGAGCAATTTGACAAAATGAATTTATACTGTGTGTTATGTCCACCTGTAGGAGATGTGCAAGAATAGTCATGTTAGTATTATTTCTTAGAGCAGAAGACTGGAAAGAACTAGCAAAAGGTAGTGAAAAGGTAGCTCACTCCAAAAGTTTTGCTTAGGGTTCCAGAGTTCATAGTAATTTCATTTGTCCTAAAACATCACAGGACTATTTTAAAGAATACTATGTTTCTCCCTGCTATTGGTTTAAGGAAGAATGTCTAAAAGTAACTTACTGTACCAGTGTAACATGGTATCAAACTGCCTGTCAGACTGGAATAGTTAAATAAATATGATACATTCATAACATTGAAATACTGTGCAGCCTTTAAAAAGTTGAGAGTGTCTTCTATGTGCTGCTTTCTTTTTTTTTAAGACGGAATCTCGCTCTGTAGCCCAGGTTGGGGTGCTGGGGTGCAGTGGCGCGATCTCAGCTCACTGCAAGCTCTGCCTCCCAGGTTCACACCATTCTCCTGCCTCAGCCTCCTGAGTAGCTGGGACTACAGATGCCTGCCACCATGCCTGGCTAATTTTTTGTATTTTTAGTACAGACGTGGTTTCACTGTGTTAGCCAGGATGGTCTCCATCTCCTGACGTCGTGATCCACCCGCCTCGGCTTCCCAAGGTGCTGGGATTACAGGCGTGAGCCACCGCGCCCAGCCCTGTGTGCTGCTTTATCAAGTGACAGAGGCAAACGACATTCATTGGCATAAAAAAGAATGTGTGTGTTTGTGCTTGTGATATCCACAGAATATCTTTGGAAGGAGCCACAAGAAACTGGGACCCATGGTTGCCTGTGAGTTGGGGAGCTGGAGGGCTGACTCCATAACAAGTGAGAAGGATACATCTCTTAGATCATATCTTTTTAGTATTTTTTGAATTTTGAACCCTACATGTGTATTACCTATTTTTTTTAAAAAACATTTCAAAATTGTGCAGTGGAAGGGTCTGTAAGATGGAGCAGTGTTGAAATAATGGAGCCTTAATTACCTTTCAAGAAACTTCTGCAGTGACTTGGCCATCCGGGGAAGCAATCAGAAAAGCAGCTGGCTCATTAAATGGAGAGTGCTGGTCCCACAGGTGTAAGTACACAAAACGCAATCACTGAAATTCTTTGGCTAGCACTTCCAACTCGGAGACAGTTGCTGGAGATCACTTAATAGGCTCTGGTTACAGGTTGATCTAATCTGAATTAAGAAATTGGAAAAAGCAAAGAAAGAGCAGTAACATAGGTCAGAGTAAGGAAGCTGAGTCCGAACAGTTCCTCCACAGCCTCCTGTTTCCCCTTCTGTAGGTGTATGAACTACCCAGAGAGATTACTGTGAATGTAGAATAGTTGGAGAGATGTGTTTCCCAATAGCAAAAGGCAGTGTAAAGGTAGTTCACTCCAAAAGTTTTGCTTAGGGTTCCAGAGCTCATAGTAATTTCACTCGTCCTAAGACATCACAAGGCTATTTTAGAGAACAGTATGTTTTTCCTTACTCTTGGTTCAAGCAAGAACATCCAAAAGTAACCTGATGTACCAATGTGACTCCTTATCCCAAGCTAAAGAATATCCTTTCAAGGCAAATTCATCCAAATCAGCTTGACATCTGATGGGAGGGGGTTGGATAAACAAGGTTGTAGAGAAATCAAGTCTGAAGAGTAACCTTGCACAGCTTGATCTGTTTACTTTTTAAATGCAGGTTTGTTCAGTGGGTATCGCACTCTACTTTTGAAACATAGGACTAAATTTTCACAAAAATGTGAAGATCCTGCCCGTGTACTCTGGAAAATTGCTTGTCTAATTGGGTGCACAGCTGCACCTGTACCCTCTTGAATGACTCAGTCATGGTGTGCTCAAGGGCCAAGTAACTTGTTATGGTGCTAAGTGAAGAACAAAAATATATAAAATTCAGTTACTTTGGCAATGAAAAACACTGAATGGTATTGGTTGTTATATTACAGTTGGCAAATACTGTAATTAAGACTTCAAGTGATTTTTAGTATTAGCCCTGGATTCACTTTCTGAAGAATTTTATTTAGAATAAAACTTTCAGCGTTGATACCAGATAGTCACCTTTAGTTCAGTTCAGTTTCATAAATCTTTATAAAATATTTATAGTAGTCAAGGAGCCTATTACGGGTGCTAGTCAGGTTTCTGCAACAACAAAAAGTAAATTAAAGTTGGCTGGGTACAGTGGCTCACGCCTATAAGCCCAACAGTTTAAGAGGCTGAGGCAGGAGGATCGCTTGAGCCTGGGAGTTGGAGACCAGCCTGGGCAACATAGTGAGACCCTGTCTCTACAAAAAAAAATTAGCCAGGCATGGTGGCACATGTCTGTGGTCCCAGCTACTCAGGGGGCTAAGGTGGGAGGATCAAGTGAGCCTGGGAGGTCAAGGCTGCAGTGAGCTGTGATCGTGCCACTGCACTTTAGCCTGGGCAACAGAGTGAGACCCCATCTCAAAACAAACAAACAAAAAATGTAAAACTCACAAATTTAAAAAAGTTTTAAGACCAGGCGCAATGGCTCACGCCTGTAATCCCAGCACTTTGGGAGGCCGAGGTGGGCAGATCACCTGAGATCAGGAGTTGGAGACCAATCTGGCCAACATGGTGAAACCCAGTCTCTACTAAAGATGCAAAAATTAGCCAGGTGTGGTGGTGGTCACCTGTAGTCCCAGCTACTTGGGAGGCTGAGGCGGAGAATCGTTTGAACCTGGGAGGTAGAAGTTGCAGTGAGCCAAGATTGCAACATTGGACTCCAGCCTGGGTGACAAGAGTGAAACTCCGTCTTAAAAAATAAAAATAATTAAAAAGTTTTAAAATTCACTTTGGTATGATATTTTGACCCCTCAAAGTTGTTTATAAATAGAATGAACAGTGGAGCCATCTGTTAAAATGCCTTGGCTGAGTGACTCAGCTAGTAGATGAATTTTGACATATTTATAGCACCATGCATTGATCATTTTAGTTGTAATATAACAGCTGTTTATTGAGTACCTTTTATGACATAGGTCCTGGAGAACCAGTGGTAATCAAAAGAGATGATACATCTGACTTCTCACAGTGTCATCTGTTGAGGGGGACAAGGATGAAAGCTGTGTCAGTGAAGGAGGAAAATTGAGTGGTAACAGGGAGGGCAGGTGCTGTGGTGAGCATGTATGTAGCGGAGGCCCCGAACTGAACACGGAGGTGGTTAGGGGAGGCTTAGGAAGGAAATACTGGCCAGGCTGAGACCTACACAGGAGGTTTGGGGGAGGGTAGGGGAAGGAGTCAGAGTTTGAAGGCCTACATAAAAAGTAGATACAGCTATAAAGAACGAGATCATGTCCTTTTTAGGGACATGGATGGAGCTGGAAGTCATTATCCTTAGGAAACTAATGCAGGAACAGAAAACCAAATGCCGCATGTTCACATTTATAAGTGGGAGCTAAATAACAAGAACACATGGACACAAGGGAACAACACACTGGCGCCTACCAAAGGGTGGAGGGAGAAGATCAGGAAAAATAATGGATACTAGGCTTAATACCTAGGTGATGAAATAATCTGTACAAGAAACCCTCATGACACAAGTGTACCTATGTAACAAACCTGCACATGTATCCCTGAATGTAAAATAGAAGTTAAAGAAAAGAAAAACACACACACACCAAAAAAAAGCAGAAAGAGAACTAAGAAAGTTAATTGTGTCTGAAGCAAGAGAGAAGTTGTGTATGACTGCAGCACAGAAAGCTTGAAGTGTGGGACCTGGTGGCAGGCAGGGAGGGGGAAACGAGTGGTGAGATGGGAGGGGCAGGCCCCAGGGGAAGCAGCTGGGACCCGGCCATGTGAAAGTGCCAGCCCTGAACCTGGTCTGGATGTGTGTGGAGTGCAGTGGAGAGCCACAGAAGGCTTGCCTGCAGGGAGTCGGACAGAGTTGCCTGTTTGGGAGATCACTCTGCCTTCATGATGGAGAATAGGTTTGGAGAGGCAAGACTGGAGGAAGAGGGCCTGCTAGAAGCAGTCATGCAGGTGGGCGCTGTGAGCCTCAGCTGCAAGTATTTTGGAGAAAAAATGGATCAACATGGAAGAGATTTAAGATGTAGAATTAACCGTGCATTTATTGAGCAGTAATAATATTAGCTAATATATATTGCATATTTAATATGTGTCAAGCACTGTTCTAAGTGATCCACATGCAATATGTTATTTAACAACAATTGTAGTCAACATGTACAATCTACTTTCATTTCTATTCCAATCCTATAAAGCATAAGTACTATTATTAGTCCTATTTTTAAGTATAAGGAAATTGAAGCATAGAGAGGTTACGTCTAGAGAAATAGGAAGACAATTTTAGACATAATTTTGAAGGGATCTGTGAGATACACAAGTGGAGATGTTTCCTGGGTCATTGCATGTGAGGTTCTGTGGCCCAGGAGAGAGTTTGGGGGAGATTCGGTCTCCAGTAGTATAAATGGCAGTTGAACACGGGTTGAATTGAGGAGAAAGTAGAAAAGGGAAGAGGACCAAGAAAGATGAAACCTTGAGGTATGCTAAAGATTTAAAGGATGGGCAGAGGAAGAAGAATCAGCAAAGGATACTGAAGAGGAGCATTGAAAGAGACTGTGTCAGAAAACCCAAGAAGTTGTGTTGTTTCAGAATTTAAAGGAAGAGGCTGTTTTAAGAAGATGAGGTCATTGATGCCAGTGAATGTAAGAAGTCATGTTAAAACAAAAAAAACAACTAAGGCTGAGATTTATCCATTGGATTTAGTGAAAATAATTGAGAACAATTTCAGTGTTGTAATGGGGCCAGAAATGAAATTGTGGTGAGTTCAGACATTGAGATATGCGGACAAGTGGAGTGAATGACTCTTCTAAAGGCATGGTCGTTAAGAGTGGGCCATGGTGTTGAGGGGATTGACTTTTTAAAGGTTTAATAAATTCTTAAGTGCTGATAACAGGTGCCAGAAGAAGGGAATTTTTGATGATTAAAGAATAAGGAGAAAAAGAAGAACTAGGAGAAGGGCCTCTGTGCTTTTTTTTTTTTGAAATGGAGTCTTGCTCTGTCACCCAGGCTGGAGTGCAGTGGCACGATCTTGGCTCACTGCAACCTCCACCTCCCGAGTTCAAGTGAATCTCCTGCCTCAGCCTCCCAAGTAGCTGGGACTACAGGCGCACGCCACCACGCCCAGCTAATTTTTGTATTTTTAGTAGAGACGGAGTTTCACCATGTTGGCCAGGATAGTCTTGATTTCTTGACCTTATGAACCACCACACCCAGCCTCTGTTCCATTTTTATATGAAAGGACAAAGGAGCGGGTGGAGATGAAGGGAGAGTTGGTGACTTATTCACCTGTGATGGCTGCTGTGGGGGAAGAGGTGAGGTGAGACTGGGAGGAGTTGATTATGGCATTAGAAATTGGAAGTACGTGGAATGTTGTTGAGGCTGGGAGCAAGAATTGACTTAAACACAACAGAAGGGCTAGGCTAACCAAGCTTCCATTTGAAGTCGTGGAGCAGGAGTTGATGGGGTATCAATCCATGTGGTCAGATAGTGCAAGGCAGCTCTGCATGTCCAGGAGGCCAGGACACAGGGAGGCTAGGCGGAGAGGTGCCAGTGAGGGAGGTGGAGATAGGCAGATCCTGAAGGGCCTTTAAACTATGGGTTTCGATTTTATTGTGACATTATTCATTATCTAGCCAGCTTTTATAGGAGCAGTTTATAAAGTATGTTCTAGGGAATACTATTGATCAACACGTTTTTCAAAAGTCTAAATTGTGTTCAAATTGGTGTCTTGTGAGAATTAATAGAATACATATTTAGATCACTTTCATAAATAAATACATTAACATCATATTTTCAGTAAGCTCATATTTGATATCTAATCAAATTCTTTTAGTCATGAATTTGAATGAGAGGTTTTTTGGGTTATTGTTACTGTTTGTTTTGTCTTCTGTGTTTTTATATTTGGAAGCAGAATTAGCTTTTGGTCTCTTAAGTGACCCCTTAGTCACTTAAGATGGTGTTCATTTCCATCATTGTGCTTATCATGCACTTGAGTTCTCGTGTTTATTTCTTTGTCCACTTGTTTAATTTCAGCCTCTTCACACTAAAATAGGAGCTTTGTAAAGGCAAGGACCTAGTCTTGTTCACTGTCACACTTCTTGTACTTCTCAGGAAATATTCATTGGGGGCAGGGTAGAGGAGTTGGGGAAGGAAGGAAGGAAGGAAGAGAGAGAACAGTGAAGCGGGAAGGAAGGAGTTCCAAAAACTGCTTCCCTAGTGGTCATGGAAACTCTTTAATAAATTAGAATGTTGTCTCCAAAAAATACAGGCAGATATGCGTTGACAATTGCCTTTCATACACCTTAACAAACTAGTTACATAATGGGATATCAAAATTCAGTCAATGTGTTTGCTAGTTTAATTTGTTGTGATTAAAGAAAACAATGATTTTATTTATAAATTTAGCACCTAGGAAATGTGATTTCAAATATCAAAGCATAGGCATTTTTTACTCTTTTTAAAATTGAAGGGTCAACAAAATCTGCCTTATTCTTCACAGTTTTTTCTCTGTCAGTAATGTAGCAGTGTGTTAATTTCCAGAAATTTAATCTCTTCTATAAAATTTCCTGTGACCTGAAAACTTTTGAATTGGAGTTAATTTACCAAACTGTCATGGAATGCCTGAAATTTCCTTGGGGCAGAGGAGGTAGCAGAGAGGTGGTAAGTTACCATGTTTCCATTGTGTGAATAACTGATAAGTGGGATTCCAAACAGAATCCATGTAGCGTTTTAATGAATTCACATTTGGAGAAAAAAGTCACAGACTTTCAAAACTTACAGGAATTTGGCTGTCCTAGGGCAACTCCTCACTTAACAGCAAGAGGGGATGAGAAGGTTGAGTGACTCACCCAGGGAAGTGACTCACCCAGGGAAGGTCAAGTGACTCACCCAAGGTTACTTGGTAAGTAAAGAGAGAAGCCAGAAGCCTGGGGCCTCCTGACGGCTCCTGCTTCTCTTTTTACTAAGGTCTTCTGCCATGGGAAGAAACTCTGAATGTTAGCAACCATCTGGATGGTGTTAGTTGTATGTCTCTCTATGTATGTTGAAAAGAAAATGTTGAAGAATTGAATTTCTCCTGCTTATGGGTTGTGTCACATTTAATAGCGTTCTTTAAGAAAAAAACACGATTGCTCAATATGATTATATGAGCTCACCATAACCAATGACAGGCAGAAAATCCTGGGAGGATAGACACTAACACCACATTATCCTGTTGGGATAATATCCCAAATTCTGAATATAACTTTCTTTTACCACTTTAAAGGCCAAAAAATGGCTGTTAAATGGAGTATTTTTGTCAAACCAAGTTTTTAAAGTTTTCAGCAGCTGCTTCTGCTGGCTTTTATTAACTACTGAAGAGTCTTTTTTTTTTTTTTTTTTTGAGATGGAGTCACGCTCTGTCACCCAGGCTGGATTGCAATGGCGTGATCTCAGCCCACTGCAACCTCTGCCTCCCGGGTTCAAGCGATTCTCCTGCCTCAGCCTCCCTAGTAGCTGGGTTTACAGGCGCCCGCCACCGTGCCTGGCTAATTTTTGTATTTTTAGAAGAGATGCGGTTTCACCATGTTGGTCAGGCTGGTCTTGAACTCTTGATCTCATGATCTGTACACCTCGGGCTCCCAAAGTGTTGGGATTACAGGCATGAGTTACCGGACCCTGCCTACTCAAGAGTCTTAATTGAACATCAAAATCCTGGTTTTGTTTATAAGGAAAAAAAGTTAATGGTGCAACTAGGACTAATTCTTTGATTAATTTTTTAACCACTTCTACTTAGCAAGTATATGAAACACATTAAAGACTGATGCATCTGTTTTGTTTTTGTTTTGAGATCAGGTAGAAGATCTACAAAACTAGTTGGAGGCTGGAAAGAAATTTCAGATAGTGATACATAGAAATGTTCTGCCTTAACTCTGAATTTTTAGTCATGAAATAGTGCAAACTCTTAACATTACTTTTGTGGAGCTTTGTAGTCCATAAAAATAACATTGTTGTAGAGCCTCTGTATGCGTCAGCTGTGACTGAGTGTTTTGATGTCTTAGCAAAAGGCAGAGGAGTGCTTTCCTTTGAAATGTGTGAGGCGGTTTGAGATGCAGCTTCTCAGATGGATTTAATTAGTCCTTCGTAGAACTGGATGTCCGTTTGTTGCAACTGAATTCTCATTTCATTCATCCATAACTAGAAACACCTCGCTTCAAACGGGTTTCTTCAAAGAAAGAGGGGTTTAGGGTTCTATGTTGTACTGCTTTTTGATGTTGGTTTCCCTTTAACTGAGAAGACCTTATGTTTATACAACTGTTATTATTAAGAAAACACAGCTTTCTTCAGCGAGGTTCCTTTTGCATCAGCGCTGGTTCTTGGTGGCAGTCAGAGGTCTGTGGAATGGATCTCTGTCAGACTATCACAGCAGCTGTGTGTTTGCAGATTTTGCTTATGAGAGGCATGAACTGAAAATAGGCGTAAACTTGAGTAATTCCCTAAACCCAAAATATAAGATAGAAACCAGTAACTGAATCTGGTAACAGGGTAGTTGTTTGTTTCAGAAGCTTATATTAACCACAAAAACAAAGTGAATCAACTAACAAGGGTTACCATGACCCAAATAGTAATTGCATTTTGATTCACTTTGCCTACAGTGCACAGGTCAGGTCTGCTTCTCAATAAATATGTTGAAAGAATGAAATATATCCTTCATAGTAAAATTATGTTTTTTAAAAAATATGTCCTACTACTAATATTTTTTAAATTATCCCTAAACCTTCACATTTCATTAGAATAGCTACTTCAATTTACTCTGAAAAAACTGCTTTCTTGTCTTTCCAGTTTGTGTGTCCAGGGTCTGACGTGCTCCATCATCAAGGCAGCTTTTATCTTCTGTGTCCGTGATTCTAATTACATTTCAGGGGGTTGTGATCTCTCCCAGAATCCCGTTCATGCATTGTGTTTAGGATGAAATGCTTGAGGGGGTTTGGGGCTGTACACTCATGGGCACAGGTTTGCATATCTAAAACTTTCTTTGCTCTAACATCCTGATTTGTATAAAAATCCTAAAAGCAAATTTCAGACTTCTAATTATTCTTTGCCTTTAAGGAAAGACAAAATTAATTTAGACTGTTCAAGCTTAAAATTATCCCAAAGCCACAGATCACACTGAAAACACATAGTAATATAGCCCACAAATTATTTTGGTGTCTTGTTTCCATATTCCATCCAAGAGTCTGTAGAATCTGTAGGCTTATATTTCTGTCTTGTTTCTTAGCCATAACTGATCTTTTCCATCTTATTCACCAGACTCAGCACTGCGTAACTGTGGCAATTTCTGAAACTCAGTGGCAAGGGATATACCACCATTGAAGAGATTAAAAATAATCAACAAAGGCTTTAAAAAGTTTAAAAAATGTATTTGGAGCAATAATAGCAATAGGTCAGAAAAAGTTTTCACGGAAAGGGCCAATATACAATTAGGTTTCCATCTCTGTATTCTTGATTGTGTGTTTTATGTCTTGTGACTATCTTGTGGAGTTCCTAATTTTAAAAGAATTATGGGTGTGGCTCAGGAATATTTTATTACATTTGTGTAAATTAAATAATTTTTTAAAATTATGGATGTGATTTAAATATTCTTTTAGTGGTTCTGCCTTTGGTACAGTGTTCCATGATTTTGTAATGTTTTTATTTGTTGAAAAAGCTCTAAAAATCTTGGTAGAAATATAGAATCTCAGAAGGCAGAACATTTGGTAATTATCTTTTATATCAATTTGCAAGACAACTTGTTAGGGAGCCCTATTTCTAGTAGTTGAAGTTAATAAGTAACAAATCACAGCAATCACGTTTTTTATCATGCAGAGTGGGCAGTCTTATAAAAAAGAAACGTCAGTCTTTTTGGATATAGGGACACAAGCAATCATAGTTTTCCTCTGTTATCTTTAGTTTGTAAAAATCAACCTATCTACCATCAGCATTTACCCACAAGGTTTAGTTTGGAGTTACCTAAGGGGATGGTAGAGAAACAATAATTTAACGTTATGCTGAAAACAATAGTCTCTGAAGATAGAGAAACCTCTGTCACTTACCAGTTGTGTAAAGTTGGAAAAGTTACTTAGCCTCCCTGAACCACTGCAGCAGTGGTGTTTACCTGAATGTTGGCATAGAGGAAAACCAAGGGTCACGAGGCAGGTGGACTTGAGTTTAAATACCAATCCTGAACCTGCTGGCTGTGGAATCCAGCAGAAGTTAGTTATCTTTTCTTAGCCTTAGTTTTCCTTATCTGTAGAATAGGGATAGTATTCTCCAGGGTTTTTGTAAAAATTAAATGAGATTTTATATAAAGGCTCTAGTACAGTGGCTGATGTAATAAGCACCCCAGAAATGATTTCTCTTCCCTCTAAAACACGGATATTTTGCTTTTTAAAAGAAGCTAAAGTAGCTTTTACTTTGCAAGCAGTTCTTTTCCATTGTATGAAAAATTCTTGGAAAGTTTTAAAAATAAGACAAAAGGGAGCCACAGTGGCCCAGGCCTGTGGTCCTGGCACATAAGCAGCCGAGGCTAGGCGTTCGAGGTTAGCCTGGGCAATATAGAAACCTCTTATCTATATAATAAAAATAAGACAAAAAATAAAATGTGCCAACATATATTAGCAAGGTTTGTCAGTACTGATTAATATTTTTACATTCTAATATTCTTTGTTAGAATTGTATTTATTTTATGAAGCCCCTTTTGAATCTACAGCAGACTACCTGGGAAGTAGTTATAGAGGTCATCATCGTGTCTTGGTGATTCACTTTGGGAAATTTTGTTGAGTGAGGCTGGTGAACCTAGAAAGCTGCTTCTTCTGCCTCCCCATTTCTGTCCCCAAGGCCCTGCTGTGGTTCAAAAGCCCATATAAACCTGCAGTTTCCCTTTCTTCCACGATAGGGCGCGCACCTACACTGTTAGGGTATGGGGCCGACTGGCTCCTGCCCTGTGGGAGGTTTGATCCTTGTCCATTTAGAGGCCCTTCCTTATTCATGGACACTCTACTGAGTGTCTGTTGCAAACTCCCTGGTATAAACCCCAGACGTCATGGATTTACCACACTAATTATTAGAGTGGCCATTATTTGCAATAAAATAGTGACCCTTGCCACTGTGTTTTCCTACCAAATAAACTTACTGACAAGTATCTGCATTGGCTGGGTCGAGGTGTCATCAAATCAGCCTAGGTTTGGATGTGCTGTTTTGCTAGCTGTAGACCCTTGAGCAATTATGTAACTTCTCTGAGTGTCAGATTTGTCATCTATAAAATGTGGTTAGTAACGTCTCCATTGTAGGATCGTTCCTAGGATTCTGTGAGTGTGATGTATATTAAAATACCTGATTGATATTAGGGCCTCAGTCATGTTCCTTTCTTTGCTTTAGACTCATTTCTCTGAAAAAGTAATACGATGTTTATAGTTGGGGAAAAAAACCCAAAGAGCGTTCATAATCTGGATATTACCACTATTGAAATTTCTATTTTGATTCAGTGTTTTTTTTGAAGGTATTCTTATTTTTAAGAGAGGGAATTATAAAATATGCCATTTTCTAACTCAGTGTTTAAACCTTAAAAAAAGAGACATTTCTTGAAATGTTAAACCTATGGCTTTGAGCATGGCTGTGTGTGGCTGTATTTGCTCTTGGCCATATTTATTGTGGCAGCGTGGTAATGGGTTTATGCTTGTTTTATCGCTTGTGGTTTTTATAAAATAAAAACTGTGTTTGGCTGTGTGACTGTCGTTCAGAACAAGATTAAGGAAACTAGATGGAGATTAAACATAGCACAATCTTCTGTTGTAAATAACCATAGACAAACTTGTGAGCAGCTACCAAATTCCCCAGTTGGACAAAAAGTGCTTCTTTTTAGCTTTGAAAACCTAGTGATGATGATTTGAGAACTGGCATAAGTCTCTTTAATCATTCAGGTTCAGCGTGATTAGAAGAAGAGTTGTTTTAAATGTTTTTGTGATTAGATTTGAAACAAAGCTTAGAAGGATTTATGATTTTGTTTACAACCAGCTACGAAAAACACCAAGGAAATGTGAAAGCTGGTAGTAATTGGTGAGCTTGCTGGGAGTGGATGTTGTTTCCAGTAGTGTAACTTAACAAAGATTGAAGGAAGCTCCGTGCCATTTTATTTCATACCACTGGTTTAGGTGCATTAATTGATATTTTAACCAAAATTTTAATCTAAATCAAGTCTTTTAGGTTCAACCTATTCCACTGGGTTTTAAATGATCATATATGCATACCACAGCACATCTCACATTGAGAACGTTACCTCAGTGGGAAGGTTGTTTCATTCTTGGTTGAGTATAGCATTCCAGCTTGTAATTAAGCTGCAATACAAAAAATATACGCACTTGCTAGAAGGATATTCTTGCTAGCATTCTGTATGTATCATTTGCTTATTCAAGCATATAAAACTTCAACAAGAGGAGGTAATTTTGCTTAGATCTCTTGATTTGAATTGTTCCGCTATTTGGCACTGGGTGGAAAAGGGAAAAAAATCATATTGAAAGCATTGTTCTGTTAATGAAGTTGCTTGTCCTTTTTTGTGCCAAATTTGGCAGGTAAAATTACCATTTATTCTACTTGCTAGAGCTGGAGAATAGACTGTTGAGGAAAAGTAGCAATTTAAGTAATGACACTAGATAGAATGTGCTACATTATATACATCTCCCATACTTTTAGATATTGACATGCAATTTTTATTTCTCTTTAGTAATGCACTTTGTCTTTAACCACTACATTACTTCCCGTAAGCTCCATCAACTACATGCAATTTGCTTCAGTTGTGAAATTTAAAAATTTACTATTAATTATAATAAAGTGAAGCATTTTGATTCAAGAAGAAATTAAAGATTGCTGTATTTTGTTCTGGATATTTCAGAAGTATTGTATTCTTTTTAATTCTGAATATTTAACATAAAAAAGATGAAATAGACGCATTGGTTAATTTGAAGAAATACAATCAAATTTGAGGTATTCATGGTTTTTTCCATGTTAAATATGCTTTGCCTATTTATATTTGCCTTAATTTTTGTTTTGTAGAGTATAAAAGAGAAACTTTAAACTCGTATACAAAAATGGGAAAATATCTAAAAATATGACTAGGTAGTTTTAAAAATTACTCACGTATTCAAATGAAATGCATAAGTTTAGCATTTGCTAAATTTGAGATATTTTATTTCATATTATTTGTAAATATATTTTTGTTTGGCGTGAATTTGTAATTCACTAAGTTTCTTGTAGATTAAATTTTTCTTAGTTGTAAAACTTCAGGCTTAAAAAAAGTATTATTATTGTTACAATTTACACTATAATGGCTAAACTTGCCCCTCCTCCTTAAAAGAAATATAAACTAATTTGCAAAAATATATTTTTTGAAAAGCCAATTGGTGAATTTGTAGACTTGTAAATGTTAATTCAGGAACAGAGTTGAGTATTGCTGGACCTTCTAACCATCACTCATTTCTTTCTGCCCACTAAACTAACTGGTAGGCAGGTGCAGATGTTACAAAATCTAGCATCGCAATTGACACTAATTGGCATAGTTGTTGGCAGTCTTATCAGAAAGCAAAGGGCTGAATGGTTGAATGGGTTTAGAGAACTTGAATGGTAATAAGCATTTTTATATGCATCTTGAATTACTTTTGTGACCCAGACTAACAGGAACACTTTATTCTGACCTCATTCTTCAATGAATAGAAATTGTAGAAAGCATAATATGCAGTGTATGTGATGACTGATTGTTTTTCAGGTAACCTTTTACAGCTATCTGCTCTGTTGCCTACTTCCTCCCCCCACTACCTCCCTTCCCAGTGCTCAGAGAAACCAAAGTACTGTAAATGTGTGGAATAAAAAGGAGATAACAATCATTAATGAATATTGAATTAATTTATTTGAGTGGTTTGTTGCCAAAAGCTTGAGGATGTCATAAGAGTTAGGCTAAACTTAAGAAAAAGTATTCATTGAATTTATGGATGAAACAAAAGGACGACTGGGACTTGCTTCTTAATAGTCTTGGAGCAGGTGGGTGAATCAGTGGGGATATGGATAAAACAGGATTGGCTTTGAGTGGATAAGTTTTGAACTTGGGTGATGGATATATAGAGGTTTATTAAACCATTCTTTCTGTTTCTATATATGTTTGCAATTTTCCAGAACAGAAAGGTTGTTTGTTTAGTATGCGGGGTGACTTCACCCTCTGCTGTTGTCAGGTTTTTTCAATACCTGCCAGTTCCTTTCCAGGATCTGCCTTTTCTCCCCCAGTTCCTTTTATCAAAAAGTACCCATCTAAAGTGAGAACTACATCACCTGACAAGCTGTTCTGTGCGCTTATGTATAAATGAGTTATTTTCTAGGCAGTGTGGATTTTAATAGGAGTTTTCTAAAGACACTGCCTTAATTAAAGGAATGGCTCTTGGGTTGGGAATTATAGTGTTGGGGTGGGTCTTTGTGTCTATATGTGACTATATGTAGACCACTCTTCACACTTACAGAAGTGTTAGGTGATAATTTTAGGTGTAATATGATGATTGATCTTAGTTCTTTTTAGTTCTTTTTTTTTTTTTTTTTGAGAGTTTTGCTCTTTTGCCCAGTCTGGAGTGAAGTGGCGTGATCTCAGCTCACTGCAACCTCCACCCACTGGGTTCAAGCGATTCTTCTGCCTCAGCCCCCTGAGTAGCTGGGATTGTAGGTGCCCGCCACCATGCTTGGCTAATTTGTGTATTTTTAGTAGAGACGGGGTTTCACCATGTTGGCCAGGATGGTTTCGAACTCCTGATCTCAGGTGATCCACCTACCTTGGACTCCCAAAGTGTTAGGATTACAGGCGTGAGCCACCGGCATGGCCTCATCTTAGTTCTCTATGTTAGAGGTAATGATGTCTTTTTCTTCTGTAGAAAGACTTTCCAAAAAGAAAGTGCTTTTCTTTAGGACTTTTTAGAATATGTTCAAAATACTGATCTTTGACTAAGGAGAGGAAGAGAAACCAAGATCATATTTCAGACTATTGTTTCTTTTCCCATGGTTTTGGCTTATCCCGAGAATTGACTTGACGTGTTCCCTTTTTTATTTCAAAGTAGCATTGCTTGAAATATTTTAGATTTTTTATAGCTTTCTAAGGAATTAAACTCTAAAAACACTTTAACTGTTTTTTTGTTGTTGTTGCTTGTTTGTTTGTTTGTTTTGATACAGAGTCTCACTCTGTTGCCCAGGCTAGAGTGAA
Organism: Homo sapiens; assembly: GCF_000001405.40. Lineage (NCBI taxonomy): Eukaryota > Metazoa > Chordata > Mammalia > Primates > Hominidae > Homo > Homo sapiens. The sequence goes on from NC_000013.11 coordinate 100,401,300, forward strand.
GTGGCGTGATCTTGACTCACCACAACCTCTGCCTCCTGGGTTCAAGCGATTCTCCTGCTTCAGCCTCCCGAGTAGCTGGGACTACAGGCGTGCACCACCATGCCTGGCTAATTTTTGTATTTTTAGTAGAGATGGGGTTTCACTATGTTGGTCAGGCTGCTTTCGAACTCGTGACCTTGTGATCCACCCACCTTGGCCTCCCAAAGTGCTGGAATTACAGGCGTGAGCCACCGTGCCCAGCCAACTGTTTTTTTGTGTTTTTTTTATTTTTTTTTAATTGTATCTTGGGAGGCCTTCATGAGTGAATGTAGCTTGCTCATTATTTTTTGTACCATTCCCAGTCATTTTCTACTCATTCCTTTCCTTACTAGTTTTCAGTTTGGCCATGTTCTGTGTACAATTTCTGGTAAGTGCTACCAAAACCAATATATATTAGACATGCTGTTTTTCAAGACTCCTGAAAAAGTGCCAATCTTATTCTCCTTTCAGTTTGGGAGCACAGTTTCACAAATAATAGAATAGTCTTACTTTGTTTGCAGAATTAGAAGGATTTATCTAACAACTTGAATAGATAATTTTTTTTTTGTAGACGTGAAAGTGAAACCTTAGTATTGGGATAGAATTTTAAGTAGCATTTTAAATTTGTTTCAAAATCTTTTCTTATTGCCTGCCTTTCATTAAATGAGCTATGGTAAGTATGCTGGGGTGTATACGTGTGCGTGGTGATGAGATGTTTACCTCTGTGTGGATCCCTTGTAGATTTTGTATTGTAAAAGTGCATAATAGAGTCCTTTATATAGCTGGAATAACTGTAATCTGCTATTGTAAGCATATATGGATTTTTAAATACAACCATTATAATACTTTATAGGACATTACAACTGAAAATATTTTGACTTAAAAGTTGCTTTATTAGTCTTACAAAAGCTATGTTGAAGAGTTTTTTGTTTTTTGTTTTTTGTTTTTTTTTTAAAGAACCATGTTGTCAGTGGTCAACAATCAAATGTAAAAAACACTTAGCTGGAAAACATCCATTAAGATAATGAAAGTGAGCCACGATGCTTGTGTCAGTTTTTATATTTTAGTTTAAAACATAGTTTTTTAGCAATCCTATAATTATAAATATAAGTTAGATTTTCTCTCTAATTTAATTAGATAATTTTTATTTTAATACAATAGATACTTATCAAGGATCTGTCGTTCTTCAAGATCAGGGCACTGTGCTGAGTTCTTCATGAGGGCCATGAAGGAATAATGCCCACCCTCACGAACTTCCAGCCTAGTTTGGAGGTGTTGAGATTAATACAGTAATGATTGTAATATAAGGCTTACTCTGATAAGTACATTGAGATATAAAGTGTTACAGAGATTCAGAGCAAGGAAAGACCCAGCCCTATTTAGCAGTGGGCAAGGGGTGGTATGGGTGGGTGGTATTGGTAGGGGCAGGGGGGATGAGGCAGAAAATCAAGAGCAAACTGAACAAAATGAATAGAATAGGTGTCAGGTCATGGAAGATGGATGGTAGAATTCTGTTAGGCTGAATTGGCTAGTCCAAATTTAAAAAATAGTAGGACTAAAGTTTAGGATATAGTGCCTGTGCACATTTGCTGAATGTAAGAGAAAGTGGGAAGAAAAATTGAAATGATAGTTAGATTGTGACCATTAGTACAGAAGACCCAGAGGACCATGTGGAGAACTTAATTTTTTTTTTTTTTTTAATTAAGCAACCAGAAGCCAAGAAGGATTTTGAACTGAGAAAACTTGTAAGACACAGTAAAGCCACATTTGTAACTGGTCTATCGAAGTGAATACAACTGTAGCAGGTTGGAGATGGGGCTTTGGGAAGGTTTTCTTGTTTGATGGGATTGTCAGTAGTAAAAGAAATGGGAAGGAAAAGAGTTCACATTCAGCTTAGAAGTTGAGAACAAAATTTGGGGAGATAGATGAGAGAGATGTCAGGTAATAGTTGGGGGTTGGGAAGGGCCAAACAAACAACACTCAGTTATTGGCATGTGTGTTAGGCCGTTTCTCACACTGCTGTAAAGACATACCTGAGACTGAGTAATTTATAAGAAAAGAGGTTTTAGTTGGCACATGGTTCTGCAGGCTGTGTAGGAAGCATAGCAGCATCTGCTTCTGGGGAGGTCTCAGGGAGCTTCCAATCACGGTGGAAGGCCAAAGAGGAGCAGGTGCATCACATGGTGAGAACCACAGTGAGCGGGGGTGGGGATGTGCCACACACTTTTAAATGACCAGATTTCACTAAGGAGATGGCCCAAGTCATTCATGAGGAATCCACCCCCATTGTTGCAGGACTTTTTCTTGGTTTAGCTAAGGATGGGGTTCTTTGTCCCATGGCCATGAAAATTCAGGCCCACAGACAATTTGAATGGTGAGTAAGACAGGGTTTTATTGGGTGAAAAGGAAAAAAAACGGGGGAACAGGGACTCTTCAAGGCCAGAGTCCTGCTACAGTGCTTCCTGCCTGCAGCTTGAATGTTTGGTTCCACACAGGAAGAGGAGGGGCCAGGTTCCTCCCTGCTGCAAACACTGCGAACTTCCTGAGGCCCCACCCCAGTGCGCAGCTGGTTGGAATTTTTCCAAGAACCCCCTCCCTCCCACCTGGCTGTCTCATTCTCCCCTCTAAAGAAGTACATCTAACTGCCATTAGAATACGGATAAGGACAAAGACCGATCTTAACTGCTTCCTGCTGACAGGGGATGCTGTTTTGGGGAAACAGCAGTCAGAGATCCCTCAAAGGCCTATCTAAGCGTTCCCGGCAGAAGGGGCCGTTGTCAGAGTCTCCAGTTGCATGACCATTTGGAGTTTGATGGCCTGAAGGCAAGAACAGACAAACCGGGTTGTTAGAAAACATGTATCAAAAGGAAACCAGAGGACGGGTAAAGATAGCTAAAAAATTAGGCCTTTTACCAGTTTGCACAGGGAGAAGGAGGCCAAAAGCCCGACTGGTCAGGAAAACTTCACACTTTTGCTGGCATGTTGGGCTTCTGGGTTCCCTTCCCCTGAGCCCAGTCCTAAGCCAACCCGTTTAAGGTTTGGGAAATTAACTCTTTCCAGCTTGGAGGATGCATCTGAGGTGAGTGTATCATAGTATAGAGACACAATTACCTATTTGCAAAGAGAGAACTGAGGAGGAGAAAGAAGAAAAGAAGGCGTTTTTTTTCAAAGGAGTCCTGGGGGTCCCGGATGCATTCAAAAGGCGTACAAACTGAAGATGAATGGCTACCTATCTAGAAAGAGGGGAGCAGGTGTCCCTGGTTCCCTTCTCTTCCTAGCAGATACTCAGGGTTAGTGAGGGAGAGAAGAGAGAGCATCCTCTTTCCTTTCTTCTATCCTTGCATCCCTGAATCCCAGCAACCTTGGTAGGTGCTGCCATGGCTGTCAAATCAACTTGCACCGGTGAAGCAGGGGGCCTAGGGGGTGAGAATCATCCACTCTTACCCACGTAACGCCCTATCTCCCCTGCTGTCAGTAGCTTTGAATTCTGTATGCCATGGATACTAATGTGGCCTTTATCCATGAAACAGGAAGCCTTGGGGTTGGCTTAATCAGCAGGAATCAGCCACTCTCACCTGTGCTGTGCCTTTTAACCTTGGTGTTGTCATCTGCCTCTGGATCCCTTACATCCAGTTTTCTTTCTAGGGCTTTGACCCGAAGCTTGGAATTGAGTCGGGAACACAAATGTGTCTCGAGGGGAGTTGTGTGGACTCCTTACCATAAGTGGAATACTAAGGTGAAACTGTGGAACTGAGTCCTCCTCCAACAAGGGAGAGGAAAGCATGTCTTGTGACACACCCAGATAACTGGTGACTGTAGTTATGCTTGCTAGGATTTGGGTGCATGGTGCTTGGCTTTGGTTCACTCCCTTGGTCTTACTTTACCCAAAGGAAACCTCGGAGTGATGGGCATCCTATTTATTCCCATCCCCTGGCAGGATTTACAGGATAATTGCTCAGAACTAGAATATTGATCCAGACTTTTACATTACCCATCCCTCTTGTTCTTTCTGAGCTGCAGCCAGAGATTGCTGGTTGGTTTACAGGAACAAGCAGGGTTAGTCTAAAATGTAGGTGAAAACTTAAAAACAACTAGTGAGTTTAGAATTTAATGACAAATGTATGATAAGTTTTGGAACATAATTTCTCTCCAGTCCTCATTTTTGTTAAACAAAAAAAAATTATGATAGGACTGAGTGGTTTGCAAAGTAGACTTTAGTCTTATTCTTTGCCTGAATATTTGCATAAAATGCAACAAGAATAATTATTTCTACATAGGCCTTTTGGATTGGCTTTGATGGATGTCTATTCCACAAGGAATCTCAGATAAGACCTTTTAAGCCGAGCCCAGCCATGGCTTTCTATCCTCAAATACTTGCGAGTTGGGTGGTCCTCTCCTTTTAAGGTCCCAAGCTAAACTTGGAGCTCCTGGACCTGTTAGGAAGTGACATTCTTTTTTTTTTTTTTTTTTTTGAGATGGAGTCTTGCTCTGTTGCCAGGCAGGAGTGCAGTAAATCTCGGCTTACTGCAACCTCCAACTCCTGGGTTCAAGTGATTCTCCTGCCTCAGCCTCCCGAGTAGCTGGAATTAAAGGTGTGCGCCACCATGCCCAGCTAATTTTTGTACTTTTAGTAGAGACAAGATTTCACCATGTTGGCCAGGATGGTCTCGATCTCTTGACCTCGTGATCCACCCGCCTCGGCCTCCCAAAGTGCTGGGATTACAGGCATGAGCCACTGCGCCCCACCAGAAAGTGACATTACTTACTGACCACAGGTCAGTAACCCTTTACAGGGACTGCGTAGACAGGGGTATGAGGCCATTTTCCCCACTGGGCTCTTACTGGCTCTGCAAGTCAAGATTCACTCCTTTCACAGTGAAAGCCTTGGTAAAATAACCACTTTCTCCAATTGTGTCCTGTTGCAAAAGAAAAATGGATTCTTACTACACTGATGCAAACAACTATTTTGTCATAAGTTAAGAACACTCACAGATAGTTTCCAAATTCTAGAGGAAGCAGGAAGAGAGAAACAAACATGCTCCAAACCTTCATCACAGTAGTGTATACCTTACTTAATTATTAAAGTCCGTAAACAGTTCAAAATTGGCCGGGTGCGGCCGCTCACGCCTGTAATCCCAGCACTTTGGGAGGCCAAGGTGGGCAGATCACCTGAGGTCAGGAGTTCGAGACCAGCCTGACCAACACGGAGAAACCCCATCTCTACTAAAAATACAAAATTAGCTGGGTGTGGTGGCACATGCCTATAATCCCAGCTACTCAGGAGGCTGAGGTAGGAGAATCGCTTGAACCGGGAAGGTGGAGGTTGCAGTGAGCTGAGATCATGCCATTGCACTCCAGCCTGGCTGGGCAACAAGAGTGAAACTGTCTCCCCACCCAAAAAAAGAGAAAAATAGTTCAAAATAAGTTTCCTTGACTCTGAAAAACTAAACAAGGATCAGCAATATTCCAAGCAAAAGTCAAAAAGGTTGCTTCAGGTTTCTGAGTTCACTCCATTAAGTTCTCTTGTTTTGCTTGATATTTGTGAACACTTCAGCTCTTTATGAGTCTTGTACTTTTTCCTTTATTTTAATGTTACAATCTTCAAAGTTATTAGAAGCCTGTATTTGAGAGGACCTGTTAAAATTCTATAGCTTATTATAAACCATCTTTTGAAAAGGATTAAAACAAGACAACAATTGCTGTGAATAGCTAAATATCCAGGGTAGTTACAGTTAGAAACACAACTGACAAAGAAGTTCGGTTATCTCCATGGTTTACAATAACTTAACATAACAACCTTAATTATGATTAATAGCATATACTTGGACATTAGAATTTTAGAAATCCCATACAATTTGGGAACACATATTAGCATTATTCACAAAAATATAACCTAAAGAAGATTGAACATCATTTTGGCAATCCCATGTAAACTAAACATGTTAAATAATCCTGTTTACCTCTCTTTCTGGACATTCCAGGGGCCCTCTGGACTATCCGAAAAGCCAGTTGTCAGGAAAGACAATTTTGAAACTGAAGTTTGATTTTGAGAAGGCCGTTAAACGTTCAAGGTTTAAATACTTTGTGTTATAAAATAGAATTCCAGATTACCATAAATTATTTATTTTGCCAAAGTAATGACTCAGAAGTTTTAAATAAGTAAAAACCTTTTATAGCCCTTTACGAATTTTGCCAAAGAGCAGATTAGCGCCTTACAAAAACCTTGTTGTGTTTTTATTTCAATGCTCAATCTACAGAAAAACCATATTATACCTTTTGGAATTTAGTCAATATGTTCACATAGAGAACCTCTTCTGCAAGATTCATTTCCACAATTCTTCCACCACTTGTTTGAACCTTCAGCTTTTTCCTAATTTAAAACTGTCCTTTAACCTAGACAAAAATTTATATTTCCATGCCTCCTTGTAACCTTTTGCTAAAAAACACATTTTACTGTTCTTACATACCTTGCATGTAAATCTATTTCCAGTAGTCTTAATTACATGTTATAATAGTAACTCCTAGCAATTTTTAACTTTTTTAAAACTTGGGGCTGGGCATGGTGGTTCATGCCTGTAATTCCAGCACTTTGGGAGGCTGAGGTGGGTGGATTACCTGAGGTCAGGAGGTCAAGACCAGCCTGACCAACATGGTGAGACCCTGTCTCTACTAAAAATACAAAAAATTATCTGGGCATGGTGGCGGGCGCCTGTTATCCCAGCTACTGTGGAGGCTGAGGCAGGAGAATTTCTTGAACCCAGGAGGCAAAGCTTGCAGTGAGCTAAGATTGCACGACTGCACTCCAGCCTGGGTGACAGAGTGAGACTCCGTCTTAAACAAACAAACAAACTTGATAAGTTGTTTTAATTGTTTAATTGTGTGCTAAGTGCTGCCAAGGTTTGCCTTCTTAATTAAGAGCATGGTTATATGTCCCCAGCCCTTACCAGTTGTGAAGCCAGCAAGTCAAATAGTTCTTAAAACTCAAAAAGCAGCTTGTAACCTCAAAATACTTAGCAAACTTTGTATCTGACCTGCATTGTTTAGTCCACCTATTTACATTTTGACAACATCTGCTCTTTACCAATAATCCTTAAGGCTGTTTTTGTTTCTCAATGATTAAAGTCACGTGAACTGAAAGGTATCACAGTTTTTATCTTCCCTTTAAAAAATATTAGATCCAAGTGCTTGTCTTTGTTTAGGCCAAATTAATTAGAGCTCTTTTTACAGATACCACACACAGTATATACACAGACAGGCAAAAGAAAACCCAGTCACTGGGTGGGGCCCTTTAAGAGACAGGGCTAGGAAGACATGCAGATATGGAACCAGAGAGGGCTCATCCCCTAAGGCAGGATTGCTAAACAAAGCCTTGCCACTGGAGTTAGAAGCCATGCCCTCAGGATGTAAAACAAGATGGAAGCCTGATTTCACAACCAACACCTTGCAGAGAATACAAACAGTGATAGTTCCGGGGTGGGGGTCTGGCCTAGTAAAGTGTTTTCTAAAAGAGAAAAAACTTAAAAGTTAACTGTTGACAGGGTAAAGTAGGAAAAAAACAACAACAAAACAACAGCAGGTTAAAAAATGCCTAGGAAAGAACCTTTTATTCTCATGCAAGTGGTTCTTTCACCGAGGAGAGAAGCTTAAGCTTAATTACTGTCCGATGGAGTTGAAACCCTTGGCTGGGGAAGGGGAAGGCTCCAGTGGCTCGTGGCAGAAAATGCCAGCCAGCCACCCCGGGTGCCCTTGGACCATGTGTCCAAGCCTCAGCAGTGGAGGAGGGAGGTAGGGAGCTGCTGCTCTCTGGTCCCTCCCAAAAAAGGAAGAAAAGGGCTATGGAAAGGTCGGGTTGGTTCTCAACCCCTGGGAGCAGCAGGCGGTGGGGGCACAGTTTCCTCCACCCTCAGAAATCTCAGGATAAAAAGGCTTAGGAGCCACAGTGAAAGGTTTTGAGTCCCCATTTCACTCACTGCTTCTTGAGCCCCACATTGGGCGCCAAAAATGGTTCCTGGACTTTTCCTTAGTTCGGCTAAAGATGAGGTTCTTTGTCCCATGGCCAGAAGAATTCAGGCTTGCAGTTTGAATGGGAGTAAGGCAGGGTTTTATAGGGTGAAAAGGGAAAAAAAGGGGGAACAGGGACTCAGCGAGGCCAGAGTTCCTGCTAGAGTGCTTCTCACCCACAGCTTAAATTCCTACTTCCACATAGGAAGAGGAGGGGCCAAACGGTGCAGATGGTGAGGACTTCCTGAGGCTCCACCCCAGTGCACAGGCCAGTTGGAGTTTTTCCAGGGGCCCCTTCCCGCCTGGCTATCTCACCATGATCGGAACACCTCCCACTGGTCCCTACCTCCAGCAGTGGAGATTACAGTTCAACATGAGATTTGAACAGGGACAACTGTCCAAACTATATCAGTGTGTCTTTTAGAGTTGGCCATTTTTGTCACCCCCACTCGTTTATTTATTTTTTTGAGATGGAGTCTCATTCTGTCGCCCAGGATGGAGTGCAATGACATGATCTCAGCTCACTGCAACCTCTGCCTCCTAGGTTCAAGCAACTGAACCTGTTGAGTAGCTGTTGGGATTACAGGCATGCCACCATGCCCAGCTAATTTTTGTATTTTTAGTAGAGACGGGGTTTCACCATGTTGGTCAGGCTGGTCTTGAACTCCTGACCTCAAGTGATCCACCCACCTCAGCCTCCCAAAGTGCTGGGATTACAGGCGTGAGCAACCATGCCCAGCCTGTCACCCGTACTTGTGATATGATTCAACAAACCCGTTTCTATGGCCAAATTGGTTTGCTAATTAATGTACTATATGGACTGGGATTCTTTGGTACAAAACGTGACTGTCCAAATAGCCTGACTAATTATCTATTTTCCTTAATTTTTTGCCAGGGAAATTTTTTTTGTTTTTGTTGTTGTTTTGTTTTGTTTTGTTTTTTTGAGACGGAGTCTCGCTCTGTCCCCAGGCTGGAGTGCATTGGCATGATCTGAGCTCACTGCAACCTCCACCTCCTGGGTTCAAGCAATTCTCCTGCCTTAGCCCTCTGAGTAGCTGCGACTACAGGTACATGCCGTGATGCCCAGCTAATTTTTGTATTTTTATTAGAGACAGGGTTTCACTGTGTTGGCCAGGATAGTCTTGATCACTTGACCTCGTGATCCACCTGCCTTGGCCTCCCAAAGTGCTGGGATTACAGGCTTGAGCCACCACGCCCAGCCTGCCAGGAAAATTGTAAAGTCTACACACAGTGGAGCTACTAGTGTAGTGAGCACCATGTGCAGTTCTTGCGGACCTCTCCTTGCACACCACTGTTTTTATTCTGAAGTATTTTATAGCACGTATTGCAGTCCTGTAAATTGATGCTATTTTTTTTAAAGTTTGTTGAATTGCAGTATCCTAAATTCCCAAACCCATGTCCACTGACAACCTAGCACACTCTTTTTTTTCCCCAAGAGAAACTCGTTTCTTATTAAATTTTGCATTAGTGTCAAATCGGTTGACTGTTTTTTTTGTTAAAGCACTGTCATATTTTTTTCTATAATATATACTCTTTGACCTACTGTGAAATATATTTAAAGTAGAAGATTTATGTGTATGTCAGACAAATTGTGAAAGAAAATAGTAGCAAACTTGTTAGTTAGCCAGATAATGTGAGGCAGTTTCTCACTGTCTGTCTTTGAAGGGAGTTGCAAATATAGAATAGGGGAAAGTTAAAATAAATCCTACATTGTTGAAATGTTTGGAATCAGAGGTATCAATGTGAAGTCATTTTTTTTTTAATCAGTAGACACAGAAACAGATTTAGATGTATTTGCTTAGGGCTTAACTTTACAAACTTGGCAGAAACCATCTTAACCAGTAATAAAGTAACCTTACTGGTAATGGGACAGGTGTGCCTCTTGATTTTTTTTTTTTTTTTTTGAGACATGGTCTTGCTCTGTTGCCCAGGCTGGAGTGCAGTGGCACGATCTTGACTCACTGTTACCTCTGCCTCCCAGGTTCAAGTGATTCTCATGCCTCAGCCTCCCAAGTAGCTGGGATTGCAGGTGTCCAAGCCATGCTAATTTTTTGTATTTTTAATAGAGACAGGGTTTTGCTATGTTGACCAGGCTGTGCCTCCTGATTTGATGCTGAAAAAAGCACAACATTACTTCTGTGGTATTCCAGATAAAAATACATTAATCAAGAGGAAACATTTTCCCAAATTAACTGGTCTATGCCCTGCAAGTCTGGAAAGTGTCTTAGTCAATTTGGACTGCTATAATAAATATACCGTAGAATGGGTGGCTTAAACAACAGTCATTTATTCCTCCAGTTCTGTAGGCTGATAAGTCCAAAATCAAGGTGCTGGCAGATCCGGTGTTTGGTAAGGACCCACTTCCTGGTTTGCAGATGGCCATCTTTCTTGCTGTGTTCATTCATGGCTGAGAGCAGAGGGAGAGGAAGCAGCTCTTGTGTCTCTTCTTATAAGGGCACTGATGCCATCAGGAGGGCTCCACCCCCACCACCTCATTACCTCCCAAAGGTCCTGTCTCCTCATACTGTCATATTGAGAGTTAGGCTTTTATCATATGAATTTTGAGGGGACACAACCATTCAGTCCATAGCACAAGGAAAATCATGAAGGACAAGCAAAGTTAAGGAACTATTCAGGTTGAGAGAGACACCAAAGAGACATGAAAACTAAATGTATGAACCTAAATTAGATCTTAGACATACCATAAAGGACATTATTAGGGCTATTAGAATTTGAATAGAGTTTGTGGATTAGTTGGTAATATTGGGTTAATAGTAAATTCCTGTTTTGTTGACTGCACTGTGCTGTCGACAAAATGTTAGTGACAGCAAAATGTTGTTGATAGCACAGTGCAGTCAACAACATCAGGAAGTTACTATTACTCCAGTATTGCCATCTAGTTCACAGACTCTGTTCACATTCACTAAGGAGAGGGTCCTTGTACTTGGGAATAAATGCGGAAGTATTAAAGGGTAATGGGACATCATAAAATGTATTCTTTACTGCTCAGAAATGTTAGCAGCTAGGGAATCTGGGTGAAGGGTGTAAGGGAACTCCGTGTACTATTGCTATAACTTTTATGTATATCTGAAATTGTTTTACAAGAAACAAACAAGATACAAAGAAATACCTCCCCAGGATGTTTATTAGAACAATAGAGGCTAACTATACCATTTTTCTATTTCTTATTAGGTGCAATAAAAGGACACTGGTAACTGTAAATTTAACAGTTAAAAGTAAGGTCATGGCGGTGGCTTACAGCTGATAGTGCCCTGTATACTCTGTACAAGTGCATGCTTTATTATGATCAACCTAATGGATAGTTAGTTTTGTTTTTTTTTAAACCAGGGTCTTCCTTGAGATGTAATGGGCACAGAGTAAACGGCTGATTGTTAGCTTATTCTGTGGATGTATGTGATGAGTGGGTCTGGGGCATCAGTTTCTATATCTCACCTTTACCTATCAAAGAAATTGGACAAACCATGATAGCAAACAAATGAAAAGAAAAAGGAGTTTTATTGTTCATGCTTACAAAAGAATCCTGTTAATCAATTTGTAATCCACCAATTATTTTGGGAATAAAATTGTAGCAAATAAATTTAAGATAGAAACATAAAACTATTAAACATGTTATTTGTATTATAATGTAAAATATAATTAATATTTTAGTATGTACATATTAGGAATAATGTCACTGGTGGCCCCAGAGGCTAAAAAACAGAATGCAAACCTGCTGGAAAATCCTTGGTAGATAGGAGCATAGAAAACAGAATATCAAATGCATTTATTGTTGGCCAGGAGACATGGACTACTAGGGGAAATTCTGAGTGTCTAAGGATAGTACTAGAATGCTAAACAGTCACAGATAATAATATAAAGTAGGTAGGATTAACAAGAAACAGCACATCACAGTCACAATGTGTGGGAATTAGGCAAAGGAAATACGTAGCCATTTTTATGGACGTCTTATAGTCCACTTAGACAATAGATGTATTCTGTGGTGGTAAACCACCAGCTTAGGTAATGGGATTTATTGGAGGACATCAGTGGTAGCAAAATACATATGAAAAGCAAAAGCATACTAATAGGAATCTGATGAAATTAAGAGAATAAATAATGGAGGAGATATTAGTGAAGAACAAGAAAAATTGAAGAACAGTAAAAGTAGGCATGCTTGGAAAAGGAGAAAAATAGATCTCTAATAATCATTTTTGGGGAGGAGTATAGAGCGTCACTAAGTTGAACTACCACCAACAGCCAGCATTCATTGAGGGCTTATTATGTACTAGGTGCTGTTCTAAGGGCTTGACTTCATTCCTCACAACCACTCCTTGAATATGCATTTTACATATGAGAAAATGGACACATGAACAATTAGGTTACTTGTGGAACTGAGGTTCAAACACAAGCATTGCGACCATTCACGGCAATACTGCATAGAAACACAGGATTCCACCATAATCAGGTAGGGGAGCGAAAGGCAGTTTCAATTGTTCTTTATGTAAAGAACTCATCTACCTGGAGTTATTCATTAAGCTGATATAATTTACAGTGTGATCTGCAGAGAATGACCTTATCACACCAATCCAAAAGAAACTACTACTATAATTAAACTGTGGGCAAAATAATGTAGGATATTTTTGTAGACCGTAAAACTGAAATTAAAGTTGTTACTGATCAATTAATGAGGTGATAATTAAACAGAAACTAGCCAACCTGACTGATTGTAGACCAATACCTAAAATTTGTTTTTGCAATTCACATCCTTTGAGATATATTTAATTACATTTATAACACATGGATATTTAATATAATCTTTTGTGACAGATTGACAGATCTTCACTATCATTATGTGTAATTCCTCTTGATGTTTTTGTCATTATTACATATATATTTGGGAGAGAAATAAAAGGCTGTTTCCAAGGTGATGGTGATAAAGAGCAAACTTATAAAAATGGTTGCCTCCTTTTGTTTGTATAAAACAACCATCTCATTTCCCTCTGGGAGGTCACTAGAGGTATGATAGCTCTGTTTTGAAATAATATTTTAGTAAATAGGAAAGCAGGGTAAAGAAAGCCTCCCCTTTTTGTGTTATGTTAAGGTTTAAAACTGTGTTACAGTTTATACTAAAACATTAAGAATCAATTATTATAAGAGCATTAAATTGTTTGAGTTTTGTCATGCTTTGCCTAGAAATCAGCACTGAAGCGAGTGACTTAGCAACGTTATTAGATCTATTAAATAATTGGAAATTTATGTGCTTATTGTCAGCATCTTGGCTTTTTAGAATTTTAAAGTATGTTTGTGCTTCACATCTCTAGTTGCAGTTTATGTAGAATTTAGTGAACTATAATAACGTTGGATGGTGGTAATGTCACAGTGTAATTAACTGCATAGCATACAAAGTTCTTTGTTAATGGGGAATGGGATATACATCATCTATTTGATATATAAGTTAATAATCATACTTTTTGTTAGCAGTAGTTAAATGATAAGAACTAAAAAGAAGCAATAAACATCTCCATCTCTAAAACAGTCTTGCAAATATGCAGTGAGCATCTACTGTATACAAGCACTATATCTTCATATTTAGATTACATTTGCTATTTTGCTTTTCACATGTGAACTTAAGTGAAATACTCTAAGGAGTATTGCAAGGTAATTGCCCCTATAAATTACATAATTTATATGGCTCTTTAACTTTTTTAGATGTAAAATGGGAGGAGGAGAGCGTTGAGTTGGAGTGTATTATTTCTAGGATTCTTTCTAGCCCACAAGTCGAATCAGAAAACAGTGGCTCATGCCTGTAATCTCAGCACTTTGGAAGGCTCAGGTGAGAGGATTGCTTGAGGCCAGGAGATCGAGACCAGCCTGGGCACATAGTGAGACCACACCTCTACAAAAAAAAAAAAAAAAAATTAGCCAGGCATGATGGCAAACATCTGTAACCCCAGCTACTCAACCCGCTGATGTGGGCAAATTGCTTGAGCCCAGGGGGTTGAGGCTGCAGTGAGCTGGATCCCACCACTGCTTTCCAGCCTGGGTGACAGAGTGAGACCCTGTCTCCAAAACAAAACAAAGCAATCAGAAATGTACAGATCTTTTTCCACAGTTTGTGCAGAACAGTCACTTCTAAGATATACTATGAAAGTCTATTACAGGAGCAGGAACTAGTTATTCCTTTCTGAGAATTAGATATAACTTGACCAACAAATCGGTTTTTTATCCTTCATATCATCTTCAGAAGTAGAAGCAAGATATATGATCAAAGTCTTTTTAAAAATAGCAGAATACCGGGGTTTTTATTTTATATTTTCACTCTGCACAATGCTAATCTCCTTAACATTTGATGACAAAGAAAAAACTTGGAATTTGTGTATGACAAAAAGAATGACTTATGAGGTGAATCGAAAACACTTTTTACAGCCTCTGTCTTCCTAAAGTTTATTGTTTTTGGAAATAGTTTTTTGGCAAATATTTTGTTTTGTAAGTTTTACATTTCTAAAGTTGAATAAAATTAAATGTTTAGCAGGTGCTTGTTGTAATAGAAGCTATAATATTTTAACTATGTCATGAGGTATCTCTGAGGAAGTGTTTCTTTTTTGTTTTTTAATGGTAAAGGATGTCAGTAATATCTCTCAAATGTCAAATTAATTTAGGGTGTGTACTTTCTTTTTCCCTATGATGACGTAGATAGGAAAATCGAATGTTCCAAACAACTCATGGAAAATGTTCCACTTCAGCGTTATTTGTACCACAAATGCAGTGAAATGCTTTTAATGGAATCCAGAGTGATAGGTGGATTATGACATGTGGGGAGATGCCTTCTTGAAATAGGACATAAATCATGGTTTTTTTTTTTTTTCTGAGACGGAGTCTCGCTCTGTCGCCCAGGCTGGAGTGCAGTGGCATGATCTCAGCTCACTGCAACCTCCACCTCCCAGGTTCAAGCAGTTCTCAGCCTCTTGAGTAGCTGGGATTACAGGTGCCCACGACCATGCCCATCTAATTTTTATATTTTTAGTAGAGAGAAAGTTTCACCATGTTGGCCAGGCTAGTCTCGAACTGTTGACCTCAAGTACTCCGCCCGCCTCGGCCTCCCAAAATTCTGGGATTAGAGGCGTGAGCCACCGTGCCCAGCCAAATCATGTTTTTGAACTTGTTTTAAATATCTGTGTGTGTGTGTGTGTGTGTGTGTATGTATTTTTTTTTTTATGGAGTCTTGCTCTGTTGCCCAGGGTAGAGTGCAATGGCACGATCTCAGCTCACTGCAACCTCCACCTGCCGGGTTCCAGTGACCTCAGCCGCCTGAGTAACTGGGATTACAGACACTCGCCACCACGCCCAACTAATTTTTGTATTTTTAGTAGAGACGGGGTTTCACCATCTTGGCCAGGCTGGTCTCAAACTCCTGGCCCCATAATCTACCCGCCTTGGCCTTCCAAAGTGCTGGGATTACAGGTGCGTGAGCCACCGCGCCCGACCAGTATTATGTATATTCTTTTTGTTTGTTTGTTTTTTGAGATGGAGTTTTGCTCTTGTTGTCCAGGCTGCAGTGCAATGGCGCGATCTCGGCTCACTGCAACCTCTGCCTCCCAGGTTCAAGCAATTCTCCTGCTTCAGCCTCCCGAGTAGCTGGGATTACAGGCATGTGCCACCACGCCTGGCTAATTTTGTATTTTTAGTAGAGACGGGGTTTCTCCATTTTGGGCAGGCTAGTCTCGAACTCCCAACCTCAGGTGATCCCCCCGCCTTGGCCTCCCAAAGTGCTGGGATTACAGGCGTGAGCCACCGTGCCCGGCCTGTCATGTGTATTCTAATTATAAATAATTTTCAACCAAACTGATATGTTTGGTTAAGCTGGGGAAAGTTTTCAGAAAATAGAGTACACTGAGATGAATTTCATGAACTGTACCCACCAAAGCCTTGTCCTGGTTAATTCAAATTTATAATGCCAATAGTTTAAATTAGCATTTAGCCTTTAAGTGACGGTGGAATGGTGAGGCATATGATGTTTTTATACCAAACACTCCGTGCTCCATGTCTTTTTTGGAGTTTACACTTTTCAAAAACAGGCGGCACTTCCATGTGTTTATTTCCCCTTCATCTCTGTTTAGTGAATGATTGGTTTCATCTTTACAAAGATTATTCTGGCTGTAGTGGGGAGAACCAGTTGGAGATATGGAAGATGTATGTGGGGAGGCCAGAGTATCGTGGCAGTCTGCCTGAGAGATGCAGTGGCCGGGGTTTGGTCTAAGATGTTATTGGTGGAGACGGAGAGAATTTGCGGTATTTGAGAGCCACTCCAGCCTCCATTATTTCTAATTCTATGTCCTCTACCCTTCTCTGTCATCTCTCCACTGCCTCCCAGCCCCTTCCACTGTGCCCCCTGTATTGCCCACTTTCAGACCAACAGCCTTTTGTATCAGCCTTTTCTGGAATGTTCCACTAATTACTTACCCTAACTAAAACCTTAGGGTAGTTTTGTTCTCATACCACACGCACCTCCAAGACAGGAGGTGGGATTACTTTCCTCCTTGTGTCATTCAGGACGACTGCTCCGCTCTTTCTTGTAAGCCCTTTCTTTTTTGAAATCACATCATCAGTCTTCACTACCTCATCTTCCTCTTGGCAACCTTCAGCTCCCCTTCCCTGTATCCCTCTCCCTGCACGTGAAGACCAGCAGCCAGTTCCTGGTCTGTCTGTCTGTCTCCATACAATCATTATTCCCTGTATTTTCTCTCCATCCACAGACACCACTCCTGTTTTTACATCCTTTATCCAATCCCTGGCCTGGCATTATAGTCACTCACTCATGAATACCCTTAACTGCTCACTCCTTCATTCTTCCATCAGTCTCAAACTTAGAGGAACTCTGCCTCCACCTTCCCTATGCCTGCGCATGAGCACCTTACCATGGCTGGTGAACGTCCCATACCAAGGGCACAGTTAACATGCGTCTGCTGGTCAGGGCCAGCTGAGCATCCTACACTGGGCAGAAGGGTTGCTGTTTCTCTGATAACTTCTCCTCCCTTATCCTCAGTGATTCCTTCCTGTCTTCACCACTGTATTCACATGTCCCACGCTCCTGCTGCAGCTGACACTACTTCTGAATGTCCCTCTTCTCTATACCACCAGGGCTCTAGATCTGATCACCATGACTTTTAGTTTTATTTCCTCTAATTCATTGTCCAAGCTATAGCCTGCATGATCTTTCAAAAATGGACAGTGTGGCTCACACCTGTAATCGCAGCACTTTGGGAGGCCGAGGTGGGCAGAGATCAGGAGTTCGAGACCAGCCTGGCCAACATGGTGAAACCCCGTCTCTACTAAAAATACAAAATATTAGCCGGGCATGGTGGTGTACACCTGTAATCCCAACTACTCGGGAGGCTGAGGTGGGAGAATCATTGGAACCCAGGCAGTGGAGGTTGTAGTGAGCCAAGATCATGCCATCGTACTTCAGCCTGGGCAAGAGAGTGAGACTCCACCTCAAAAAAAAAAAAGAAAAAAGAAGAAAAAAAAGGACAGCAGACAATGGCACTCTGCAGGTGGAACTGCTTCATGTTTCCCACTCCTGTCCCTGTTCTTCAAGAGCCGGCCTCCCCTTCTCTCTGCTCCATCCACATGGGTTTCAAAGAAGCTTAGCTCTTTCTCACCCCAGGGTTTTTTTCTTTCTTTTTTTTTTTAAATATGATATTCCTTCTAGAATATTCCCACACACCCATCACTAGCATACTTAATTCCTACTCACCCTTCCAGTCTTTGCTCAAGATCACCTCCTCAGAGAGGTCCTTCTTCCTGCTGACAAGTAAAGAATAATGAGAATTCAGAAGAGGCTATAGAAATTGGCTGGGTGTGATGGCTCACGCCTGTAATCCCAGCACTTTGGGAGGCCGAGGTGGGTGGATCACTTGAGGTCAGAAGTTCGAGACCAGCCTGGCCAACATGGTGAAACCCCATCTCTACTAAAAATACAAAAATTAGCCAGGTGTGGTGGTGGGCGCCTGTAATCCCAGCTACTTGGGAGGCTGAGGTAGGAGAATTGCGTGAACCTGGGAGGCGGAGGCTGCAGTGGGCCAAGATTGTACCACTGTACTCTAGCCTGGGCAACAGAGCGAGACTTTGTCTCAAAAAAAAAAAAAAGAAAAGAAAAGAAATTGCTGAAGATTTGTGATTTTTCACAATACAGTTTTAGTAGTCAGATTATAGAAGGTTATGGGGAAAGGTGTATGGTAAGAAAATAGCTGCAGAGAACTTGTTTTAGAACCTGTCAGAGAAAGGAAGAGACACAGTTAGGGAGCTATGGAGTCGTGCATGTGTTTGAAAGCAGAGGCGAGACGCCAGTGTAGACTGAAAGCTGGAGAACAGCGAAGTTAAAAGGATTAACTAAGAAGCAGAGAGGGCATGAGATGGGAGTGAAGGAAAGAGCATGGCTGGTTAGGCGAGAAAATAAGGACTTGGGCCTATGGCTTCGATTTTGGTAAAGAGAAGAAGTCATCTGCTGAGAGTAGGGGGCAGGGTTATAATTAATGTAAGTTTGGTGCACTTGAGTCCTTGGTCAATTTCAGGGCAAATTATATAATCTTTGTTTACATTAGCATGGCTGCTAAACACCTCTAGCGTTGTGTCTTTGGATAGTTTATGAAATACAGAGTTTTTTGCATAATTTAAACTACTCCAGTGTTTTCACAGTGCTAAGACATTTTGATAATATTGTCTGCCTTGAAAGGAGCAGATTTTACTTGTGCCTCAGGATATTATGTCATTTATCACTTCACTTTTGGCTTATTTTTCTTTTTATCCCCACACTGAATTTGATTTAATTTGTTAGCTTTTATTGTCAATTAAAGGCAAAATGTCAAAAAGTTCTAACCTCAAACAGAGGTATGTGAGCAAAACACTCACTTTATAATATTGGAAATAGCCATATTAGAAATTAAATGTCTGAGGTCAGATATGGTGGCTCACGTCTGTAATCTCAGCACTTTGGGAGACCAAGGTGGGAGGACTGCTTGAGCCCAGGAATTCGGGACCAGCCCTGGCAACACAGTGAGAACCTGTCTCTCCAAAATAAATTAATAAATATATAAATCTGGAGGTGGTAGCTCGTGCCTGTAGTCCCAGCTACACGGGAGGCTGAGGTGGGAGGATTACTTGAGCCTGGGAGGTCAAGGCTCAGTGAGCCATGATCATGCCACTGCACTCCAGCCTGGGTGATGGAGTGATGCCCTATCTCAAAAAAACAAAGACATTAACCATCTAAATACATCTGAAATAAAAGGGCTTTGTAACCACAGAATTATAGATGTAGCAGAGATATTTGACCTTGTTAGTTCAGGTCTCTTTCAGATGAGGAAGAGAGATTATCTGAAACACATTGTAAAATTTGGTGTTGTAGTTGAAGTCTGTAAATCTACAACCAGAGAAATAGAAATTAGTATCCACCTGTTAACTCAAATGCAGTTTAAAAAAAACAGCTACGATTTATTGTGTGCCTACTAGTGAAAGGTCTGAAGTGGTTGTTGATTGCATATTGTAATGACAGAGAAAATGAGCACACTTCACTTGAAAAAAAAACTTTAGAGTGGATGTAGTGGCTCATGCCTGTAATCCCAGTACTTTGGGAGGCCGTGGCGGGCCAATCATCTGAGGTCAGGAGTTTGCAACCAGCCTGGCCAACATGGTGAAACACCGTCTCTACTAACAATGCAAAAATTAGCCGGGCCTGGTGGCAGGCGCCTGTAATTCCAGCTACTCAGGAGGCTGAGACAGGAGAATCGCTTGAACCCGGGAGGTGGACGGAGGTTGCAGTGAGCTGAGATTGCGAGACTGTGCTGCAGCCTGGTCCACAGAGTGAGGCTTAAAAAAAAAAAAAATTAATGTACTGTATGTATATATGGTACAAAGTTCAAAAAGTCCAAATGGATTTGTGGGGAAAAACAAGCCTCCCTTTCATACCTGTTCCTCAGCTATTCTGTCGCTCTTAAGCATTTGTCCAGAGATACTCTTTGCATTTAAAAACACACATGTATAGTTATTTTTTTCTTAAAAAATGATAGCACACTGTATACACTATTCTGTATTTTCTTGAAAATGGTTTCAAATCAATATGTATAGAGATGACTCATTTTTTTAAAGAAGGGGCACTAAGTTTTTACATTCTACAGAATATGTATTTATTTGATATACTTTAAGGAAATCTTTGCTGGGTGTAAAATTGGGGGACAACATTTCCTTTTTTTTTTAGTACTTAGACTATATTGCTGTGTGGTCTTCTGTATCTGTGTTGCTTTTGAGAAATTAGACTGACCTGAGTTTTTTTCCTTTCTTGTACATGATTTCTTATTTTTTATTTTTTTTGAGATGGAGTCCCGCTCTGTCGTGCAGGCTGGAGTGTGGTGGCGCGATCTCAGCTCACTGCAACCTCTGCCTCCCAGGTTCAAGCGATTCTCCTGCCTCAGCCTCCCGAGTAGCTGGGACTACAGGCACCCACTACCATGCCCGGCTAATTTTTGTCTTTTTAGTTGAGACGAGGTTTCACCATGTTGGTCAGGCTGGTCTCAATCTCCTGACCTTAGGTGATCCGCCCGCCTCGGCCTCCCAAAGTGCTGGGATTACAGGCGTGAGCCACTGCACCCAACCCATGATTTTTTATTTCTAACTTAATACCTCCATACTTTCTTTTTATTCTCTTCTTTTCTTTCTTTTCCTTTTCTCTTCTCTTTTCTTTTCTTTCTTTCTTTCTTTCTTTCTTTCTTTCTTTCTTTCTTTCTTTCTTTTCTTTCTTTCTTTCTTTTTTTTTTTTTTTTTGACAGCATTTTGCTCTGTCGTCCAGCCTGGAGTGCAGTGGCAAAATCATGGTTCAGTGTAGCTTGGAAGGCCTGGGCTCAAGCAATCTCCCCTGCCTCAGACTCCTGAGTAGCTGAGACTACGGGCACTGGCCATCATGCCTGGCTAAGTAAAAAAAATTTTTTTTGTAGAGATGGGGTCTCACTTTGTTGCCCAGGCTGGTTTCAAACTCCTGGCTTCAAGCAGTCCTCCTGCCTGGGCCTCCCAAAGTGCTGGGCTTACAGGCGTGAGCCACCATGCCTGGCCATAATTCTTTCTCTAGCCTTAAAGTTCTATAAACATAATCAATCCACAAATTCCAGGTTTTACTTATTTTGACAAGTTTTATCCTGTTATGTATCTTTGAATGTACATTTGTTCTTTTTGCTTTGTGAGCCTCTTTGGACAGTTACATATTCTTTCTAACCCCCTTCCTCCTCCATATCTGTTGTCTTCTCAGTAAATTGGTTTTATATTGTTAGTCTTATCTATTTCATTTTATATGATTTCTTCAGTCCTTATCTTTCTTTTAGTCACATTTATTCTATTTTTGGTTGCTTCTTAATGTGGCTTTTATCTCAATAATGTTATTTTTCTCTCCATTTTTTTTCTGAGTTCTATCAGCTTGACTTTCATTTCCTTCTGTTGTTGTATAATCTCTTCTTTGAACCTTTGTTTTTCTTCTTTGAGCTCTTTTTTTATTTTTATTTTTTTAAGAGGGGTCACGTTTCCTATGGTTGCCTTTGAGACTTTGGAGAACTATTTATCTGAACTCTTCCTGTGTTTCTTTGAGTAGTTCTTGTGTTATATGCTACTAATTTACCTTTTTCTCTGAGTTTTTTTTTTTTTTCCAAATTGTATGCAGACATCGAGTATTGGTTGTTTTCTGAGTGTTGTTTATGTTGAAATAGGCCGGGAGGGTAGGTGAAGCAGGCTACAGCCTTTTTTTTGGACATGTTACTTAGTCATTTCTCACCAAATCTGTTATTTAGTTTGAAAGGGTAGGCTGGTTCTTCGTGTCGGAGTCTATCACGAAATGCCACCTCCACTCCACATCTGCCCCTTCAGTGACCCTTGACTGAAGGGTTGCATGTACACAGTGGATCTGGCATGGTAACAAGGATTCTTCGGTTCAGCCAGCCCACCTTTCTCTGGTATTAACCCGTGGTTCAAAGAGACATTCTCTACTTCTCCTTTGGCCTATACTTCCATCTAGATTCCCTCCTTGGATGCTAGCATCATTAGAATCACTGTACCTCTTATTCGGGATTATGTATCTGTGTATTGCTAGAAGCCTGAGAAGGCCTGTGATGGCTTTCCACACATCCCTTGCCCCGCTTATACTGGCAGATAGGTTTCAGTTTATGATTTGGAGTCATGATAGCTTCCTTGTTTCAGTTGTGTAGGGAAGTTGCAAATTTCTACTCATGACTCATTGTGTAGATGATGAAATGTAGTGTATTTTCTATCACCTATCATCTTTGTCAGAGGCCCTCTACCTTTAGTAGTGGATGGTGGGAAGAAAAATTTGTGAGTAAACAGGATCTTGGCCTCTGTTGGTTTAAACAGTCTCTTTGGGGTAATGTGTTTCAGTTTTCTTCTATCCCCAGCTTCTGCTGAGGTGAGGTCTGGGAGCAGTGAGAGAGGCCTTTGGGAATGATGCTTAGATCTGCCTCGCGGCGCTGGCATGGGGAGAACGTAGACTCACACGCAGTCTTCCTGAGGCTTTGCTACGAGGGCCTGGGTGGGTAACCACTGAGTAACATCTCTCGCTGTTGAGGCTTTGAAAGCCTTGAGGAGGCTTCTCCTGTCCTTAGACCTACTACAGTCGGCCCATGGGCTCTGCATCTGTGGATCCAACCAACTGCAGATATTTGGGGGAGCGGGGAGGAAAAGATTTGGATCTGTACTGAATAGGTACTGCCTTTTTTCCCCCCATCTTTATTCCCTAAACAATAGAGGATAACAACTATTTAGATAGCATTTACATTGTATTAGGTATTATAATTCAAAGGTATTATAGGTAATCTAGAGATGATTCAATATATGGAAGAATGTGCCTGGGTTAGATGCAAATACTACACCATTTTATATCAGGGACTTGGAGCATCCCCGGATTTTGGTATCTGCAGGGCGGGGCGGGGGTGGTGCTCCTGGAACCCGCCTCCCATGGATTCCAAGGATCACCTGTATTTGCCTGCAGTCATCATGGAGTTCCCCATACTGTGTGGTCTTCATCCTGACCCAGACCTTCACTGGTCAGAACTTCAGGATTCCTATCACGATGTACTTGGGTTATTTGCCCAGCCCCTCCCTCCAGCCATGCTGCGCTGTTGCTGCCACGCCATATTCAGAATGCCACAAAACTGAGCCCTGGGCTTCACTGCAAGCCTGCAGCCTCCCCTACACTGTGTCCCAGAAGCAGACCTCTTGCCTGGATATTTTTAGGGCACCTTATACTTGTCAGAATGTTTTCAGCAATCTTTGTCCACTGCCACCCCCGCCCTATCCCCAAGGGTCCAGCAGAAGAGGAAATAGTGAAGTCTCTGATAATCTGATTTTAATGAGTATCTTTTAAGAGAAATAAGTGATAGTGGGGGAATTGTTAGGGATCATATATCATAGTTCTGCTGCAGGTTTATCTGGAAACTTGAGCAAGATTAAGTATCACCTTGTTAGGTTGTCTACCATATAATAATAATGTCATCTGTAAGCCTCTCATATTAAAGAGTTAGGGAATAAGCATCAGTGAGTGAAAGGAAGAAAACCAATAGTTCTTTCATTTTAAATTAGCTATGATTTTTAAATTTCCATTACTTTTATATTTATTTGGAAATTATTTTTTTTCTTTTACGAGTATCCCTGTTTTGAAAGATTATGGGTCTTTTTTTGCATATTCATGAAGGATGACTGGATGAAATCAGTCATTTATGATTGACAGAAATATGACAGAACTTTGCAAAGTTTGAATGGACTTTTGATATTCAACACCAAAGAATTTTGTCTAATTAAAGCTTCTGTTTAATTAAGATAACAATGCATAGTCCTTCATTAAAATTAACACAGAAAAAGTTCTTCCTTGGTCCTTGGAGAGGATATTATATGCAAGCCCTGTTGTGTGGGTTGCAAGATGTCACTGGAATTTATATGCATTACTTGTCTAATTGCAGTAAATGTAGCATGTCCAGATAGGTTTCGAGTTAGAAGGCTGTTTGTTACTTACGGAAATCACTTGAAGCCTCAGTACCCGGAGGCAGCTGTTCACAGGTCCTTCACCTCTCCCCAGAGATGACTGGGAAGACGCTGTTGTTGGACCCTGTCTTTCTTGGCTGGAGCAGTAAACATGACAGGTTGTTTGGGAGCCATCTGTTTAAAATGGCTGCTGCTTTGTATGCAGCAATGAACTTGAGATCAGTTTTCTGTCTTTCTTCATGGTAATGGTCTTATTTGGTGTCACAACAGGTGGAAGTTGATGGGTCGAAACTAAATGTGACCAGCACGTGGAACCTGGCTTCGCCCTTATTGTCTGTCAGCGTTGATGGCACTCAGAGGACTGTCCAGGTGAGTGTTGTAAGGATTTCCTTAGAGGGCCTCCTCAAGTCCAGAATCCTTGTCAGCACCTGTGTGGCTAATACTTAGAGCTATAGGAGGGAAAAGCTGTATTTTATTCACCTTATACTTTTTACAGTCGAAAACTTTTTCTTTTCTTATTTTAGAGGATCTTAAGTTTTAACCTGAGCATTTAATGTTTTCTTTTTTCAGACAATCCAAGAAGGTTCATGTATTGTACTTTGTTGTAAACAAGGAATTCTGCAGGCTTTTCTAAAAATGCTAGATTAGCTGTTTTTTTTTTTCCTCTGTGGGTTTTTAGTTGTAAAATACAACTTACTTTGTTACCTTTCTTTTCTGTGCAGTTGAAATTACGTAGTGTTAGGCTAGTAAAACTTGTGTTATTCAGGTTGACTTTCCACAGCTCACTGATGTCCTTTAAAAATTTAGTAATCTTAACTTATTAATCTTTCTTTTCGCCTCAATATAAAATGTCCTGCCTTGAGGAGATGCCTTGGAACCCAGAGTCGATAGAACATTTTTTGTAACCTGTGACTTCCATTTTAAAGTAGAAAGTTATGAAAAGAGATTCTGCCAAAATTCTTCACCTTACCTCATATTTGAGGTTTAGCGTTTTAGGAAAAAAAAAAAAATCATGGAACATGTGGCTATCACAGGCTAATAAAAATCTAGCCCCACCCATAGCATTAAATGCTCATTCTTTGTTCTTTTTTATGAAAATCATCTTAACTTGATTTTACACAGGAAACTGGTTTTAAAAACCTTGAGAAATCAGGATAATCACAGATTAAGACTACTTACTCCATACCTGATTCTTATCTACCTCTATGAGAGACCGGGATAGTGGACATCAGAATCCACAAAAACTATGTGATGACTGAACTGATTTCTAAGTCAGTTTCAATTGATATATTATCTCTATGGTTCCAAGTAACCTTGAACTCTTGGTAATAAGCCCTATATTTTGACTTTGGTTTTGTGACTTGTCCCAGTATATTTTTTCTCATTTTTTTAATTTTCTAACTCCTGTCTTTTCTCATATTTTATAACTTAACTCATATTATATAACTTTATATAATATTATATCAGTATAAATTATGAGTTGAAATAGTTTAAGACTCTTGAAAAAAATATCACTACATAATTTCACATTACTTAGATCCATGTATTATTATGTCTTTAAAAACTGTGGTGTCTGGGCACGGTGGCTCACGCCTGTAATCCCAGCACTTTGGGAGGCCAAGGCAGGCGGATCACCTGAGGTGAAGCGTTCCAGACCAGCCTGGCCAAAGACAGTGAAACCCTGTCTCCACTACAAATACAAAAATTAGCCGGGTGTGGTGGCGGGCGCCTGTATTCCTAGCTACTTGGGAGGCCAGGGCAGGAGAATCACTTGAATCTGGGAAGCAGAGGTTGCAGTGAGCCAGGATCACGCCATTGCACTGCAGCCTGGGCAACAGAACAAGACTCTGTCTCCAAAACAAACAAACAAAACAAACAAACAAAAAACTGTGGTTTTGTTATACTGGTTTATGTTCGATAGACTGTACAGTGCATCGAATATGTTATGGCTCAAGTGTTTGTCAGAGGGACATAGTGTTAACTCTCAGTAGTCAGAAGAAAGAGGTACAAACTCCTATTATGCAAATTTTTTGTATTGTGTTACTTTCATCATCCTTTTCAGTGAGTGCGCAGATAGTTGTCTTGATGGCACTTTTACATGTAGAATTTATAGCTAGATTAATAGGGATACATATGTAGAATAATCAAAAATATTTTCCCTAGTGTAGGGATCATGTTCGGTAAATCCCTTTTTAATCCTGTAAGTACTTTGCTACTAAAAGAATTAATGTGTCTGAAATAAGTGACCCCTTAAAGAGAGATCCCTTGACTCTTAGGAAGAGGTCGTTGCATCAAGTTAAGTACTCTCTAATTGGAAGGAAATAAACTCAGAGAGGTAAATGGTGTACTAGGAAAAACAGTCGTTTACCTAAAAAAAAAAAAAAGGTAAGGAGAGTTTTTCCTTGTGAAAGGGGATGGATTTTATTTACTTTCTGTAGGCATTAGCATTATATCGACTCTTTCCAAAAATGTAATGTGGCCCCTATGAAGATAATAACAATTGTAGTAATAATAAATAACACACAGTGCTTACTGTGTTATCAGGTGTAGTTTTAAGCATAGTACAGATATGAACTTCTTTGATCTTCACAATTGTATGAAGTAGGTGCTATTTATAGTTTTATAAATGAGACAACTGAGGCTCAGAGAAAAGTAAGTGACTTACTCAAGGTCACCAGCTAGTAAGAGGTAAAGCCATGATTTTTTTTTTTTCTTTTTAAATGAGACAGGATCTCGCTCTGTCACCTAGGCTAGAGTGCAATGGCACAATCTGGGTTCACCGCAGCTTTGACCTCCCAGGCTCCAGCGATCCTCCCACCTGAGCCCCCCAGGTAGCTGGGACTACAGGTGTGCCTGCCACCACACCCAGCTAATTTTGTTTATTTTGTAGAGATGAGGCCTCACTATGTTGCCCAGGCTGGTTTGGAACTCCTGGGCTCAAGCAACCCTGCCTCCTCCCCGACCCCCCCTACCCCCCACCCCCACCCCCACCCCCCCCACACCCTCAGCCTAGATCCATGATTTAAATCCGAGCAGTCTTGCTGTAGGTAGGATCCTTGCCATCAAGCATTGCAGGATGCTGAGGCAAGCTATGTAACTTCCTGGGCATCACAAAGCTAGGAAGAAGCAGAGCAAAAACTTGGTCCGTGGCAGTCATGTGTGCTTTCCCCCACTATGCTATAGTACTTTGCGATTTTTCCTATCACATTCTTCTTCAAATTATAATTACCTGTCATTCATGCTTTAAACCAGAGATGCTTAAACTTTAATATGCTTCAGAATCAACTAGAAGCCTTGTGGAAACTCAAGTTGTTGGACCCACCCATAGCTTACTCTGATTTAGCAGGTCTGGGCTAGGTCTGCATTTCTGGCAAGCCCCCAGGTAATGCTGCTGGTCTGGGCCACATTTGGACACCCTCTGCTTTAAACCTTTGTAGTCAGAGAATGAGCTGAGGAGTGGTGTGCCCCAGCAAGGTGGGTAGGAACCGAGTCACATGAGCCTTATTAAGGACATAGGAGAGGCTCTACTTTATCCCTAGGTCAGTAGGGACCCGTGGAAGAGCTTTCAGTAAGGAAGTGATGATTGAACAGAATTGTAGCTTACGAGGTTTTTTTGGTTTTTGGCTGCTTTGTGGAGAGTGGCTTGAAGAAGCATGAGGTGAAGATTGGAGGCAAAGAGAGAAGTCAGCAGATGTTAGGGATTCGGAGGTAAGAAGTCTCAGCAGCTGTGGGGATGAGGGCACTGTGTGCAGAAGGGATCTGCAAGCGTGACAGGAGAAAGAACTGGTGGCTTTACAGTCATCTGCTGATTTCTCTTCTGACCACTGTTAGCATGGGCAAACCTCCAAATTCTATTCCTGACTCCCCCTTTTCTCTCTCTGCTTGCTTCCTGGGCTGCATTGCTCCAAGAGTTCCAGCTTAACACCTCCAAGCAGATAGCTACGAAATGCAATTATAAGTGTTTGTGTGTCTCTTTGCAATTGTTTATTCTGAGAAATAAGGGATGAATATTACCAAAGGCATTTTTCAAGTGATTTTACAGTAATCACTTGAAATTGATTACTGTAGTAATTGATTACTATAGTAACTGTAGGTACTTTAAAGTAATAACTACAATTCTTTTTTCTCTGGATTTTTGAGCATACATATAAACTTTATATTCTTAAATAGTATTAAATATTACTATTTATCATTAACTTGTATCATTAAATTTTATTATTAAACCTCATTTAATATAAAATAATATGTATTATTATTATTTTGAGACACAGCCTCCCTCTGTTGCCCAGGCTGGAGTGCAGTGGTACGATCTTGGCTCACTGCAACCTCTGTCTTTCGGGTTCAAGCGATTCTCTTGCCTCAGCCTCTGGAGTAGCTGGGATTACAGACACGCACTACCATGCCTCGCTAATTTTTGTATTTTTAGTAGAGATGAGGTTTCGCCATGTTGGCCAGGCTGGTCTCGAACTCCTGACCTCAGGTCATCCACCTGCCTCAGCCTCCTAAAGTGCTGGGATTACAGGTGTGAGCCATCACACCCAGCCAAAAATATTTATTATATCTATATAAAAGCTAAAGAATGACCCAATGAAAACCTGTTTACCCACTATCTAGATTAAAAAAAAGAAAACAGGCTGGTCACTGTGGCTCACGCCTGTAATCCTAGCCTTTGGGAGGCCGAAGCAGGCAGATCACCTGAGGTTCGGAGTTCGAGACCAGCCTGACCAACGTGGAGAAACCCCGTCTCTACTAAAAATACAAAATTAGCCAGGCATGGTGGCGCATGCCTGTAATCCCAGCTACTCAGGAGGCTGAGGCAGGAGAATCCCTTGAACCCGGGTTGTGGTGAGCTGAGATCGCGCCATTGCACTCCAGCCTGGGCAACAAGAGTGAAACTCCGTCTCAAAAACAAACAAACAAACAAAAAACCAAAACATTATCAGTGCTATTTGTATCATTCTTCCTTGATTAAATCCTCCTTTCCAGTGTCCCTGAAGAACACCATTATGAGTTTTAAATTGATCACTACCTTGCTTTTCTTTAGGGATATTTATGAATACACCAACACTGTGAGCAGTATCTTGTTGAGCTGCTCTTGTTTTTGAACCTTGTAATTGCCCCCATCCTCTCTGTGTTCCTCCAGGAGTTGTCTTCTCCCCACCAGCATGATGTTTGTGAGCCTGGCCCATGTTGCTGCCTATAGCTGCAGTTTATCTACTTCCATACATCATATTAATATTACCACCAATTACTTATTCTCCTCTAAATAGACATCTGTGTTATTTTCCTTATTTTGTTGTCACAGTGATGCTTGTATGAACACCCTACTTCCTGTTTCCTCTTGACATAGGAGGTTCTCCAGGTCATGTGCCGGTATAACAGCCATGCTGTGGGGCCTGTGCTTTCTCATTCCTGCATGGCAAGGCCAGGTGGGTTTCTCTGTGTGGCTGTACCAGCTTATGTGCCCATCAGTAGTGAAGATGATAGTCACAATGAGAACAATGAACTAACCTTATTCTGTACTTATTATGCCCGGCACTGACTGTTCTAAGCACTTTGTATGTATGAATGCCCCCAAAAACCCAATAAAGTACGTACTAGTGTTATCCCTCATTTTGTATTTGGGAAAACAGAAGCTTGTAGAGGCTAAATTGCTTTCCCATCTGGTAGTAAATGGGAGTGCCAGAATTTGAACCAAGGAATCTGTGCCCTTAACATTTTTTTTCACATCCTGGTGAACCCTTGGCCTTCCCAGACTACTTAGGTTTTTCCTGACTGGTGGGTTTAGATGGCATCTCATTATGGTTTTAATGTATACTTCCCTGATTAGTATGACAATGAACATTGAAAATATATATTTATTGGCTCTCTTGTTTTCTCTTCTGTAAAATATCTGCTCATGACTTTTGCCCACTTTTTAAATTGGATTATCTTTTTCTTATTGACTCATAAAAGTTCTTCCTGCGTTATGGCTCCTTTTTGTCGTATGTGTTGATAAAGTAGCTTCTGTTTTTATTGTTTTAAGTTATCCAAGTTAAGTTTTAAGGCAAGATTTAATGTCAGAATTTTCAATATTTTCCTTTATGGTTTGTGTGTTTTGCGTTTGTGTAGATAATCTTGTTCTACTCCTAAGCTCACAAAGATACCTATATTTTCTTTTAAACCTTTTTAAATTGTGCTTTTCAAAGTTAACTACTTAATCCTCATGGGATTGATTTTTGTACACGGTATGAGTGGCTCACGCCTGTAATCCCAGCACTTTGAGAGGCCGAGGTGGGTGGATCACGAGGTCAGGAGATCGAGACCATCCTGGCTAACACAGTGAAACCCCATCTCCACTAAAAATACAAAAAATTAGCTGGGTGTGGTGGCGGGCGCCTGTAGTCCCAGCTGCGTGGGAGGCTGAGGCAGGAGAATGGTGTGAACCCAGGAGGCAGAACTTGCAGTGAGCTGAGATCGCGCCACTGCACTCCAGCCTGGGTGACAGAGTGAGACTCCATCTCAAAAAAAATAATAATAATAAATAAAATAAAATACAGATACCAGGCCGGGTGTGGTGGCTTAAGCCTGTAATCCCAGCACTTTGGGAGGCCGAGGCGGGTGGATCACCTGAGGTAAGGCGTTTGATACCAGACCAGTCTGACCTGTAACATGGTGAAACCCTGTCTTTACTGAAAATACAAAATATTAACCGGGGATGGTGGTGCACACCTGCAGTCCCAGCTGCTCAAGAGGCTGGACCCCTGCACTCCAGCCTGGGCAACAAAGCAAGACTCCATCTCAAAAATAAATAAATAAATAAATAAATAAACAAACAAACAGATAACTCGTTATGCCAGCACAATTTAATGATAGTCGTGCTTCTCTTCCCTTACTACCTTGCCACCACCTCACCTTTCCAACCCCGAAATTCTTTAAAAGCGGTTTCTGTGATTCTCAATTAATTGTAAATAAAAAGATGATTTTTCGCTTAATACGATCCTCAGTATATTTGCTTCTGTGAGCTCTCAGTCAGTTGCACTCTTTTATTTTTTGTTAATCTTCTGGAAACCCTTAGCCAAGGGCATCAGATGATATTTGAGATACACCTTAGAAAAACGTGTTTGTGAATCAACAGGCAAATTGGGAAGTATTCATTTAGGGAAGTAATGAGAGCTAAACATGGAAAAATAGGTTGGAGGACCAGATAGTGAATGAGAGCCTGAAGAATCTATGCTTTTCAGTCAGCAGTGGAGATATTACAACTTTTTGCAGAGTACAGTAACGTCCATCAAAATGCCATTGTAGAATATTAATGTGTCCTCATAATAGAGGAGGGGTTAAGGGATTGAAGGGTGAAGTGGAGATGGAGTTCATTTAGAAGACAATCCTATTACTGCCTTCATCCTCCACTAGGGTGCAAGCAGTGTAGAGAAAAAGGGGGTTGAGTTTGAGAGAAACCTATGTTTCCATGCATAGAAACCACTTTCTGTTTCTATGAATTTGACTACTGTGGGTATGGGTACCGCCTATAAATGAAATGGTATAGTATTTGTCTTTTGTGACTGGCTTATTTCACTTAGCATACTGTCTTCAAGGTTCATCCAGGTTATAGCATGTGACAGGATGTCTTTCCTTTTTATGGCTGAATAATATTCCATTGTGTGAATATACTACATGTTGTTTATCCATTCCTCTGTCAACGGACATTTGGGTTGTTTCTACCTTTTGGCTGCTGTGAATTATGCTTCCATGAGCATGGGTGTACAAATATCTGTTTGAGTACCCCATTCTTTTGGGCATATGCCCAGAAGTGGAATTGCTGGATCACGTGGTAATTGTATGTTTAATTTTTTGAGGAACCTCCATAGTTGCTGCACCATTTTACATTCCCATTAGCAGTGCACAATAATTTCAGTTTCGTGCCATCTTTGTTAACACTTGTTATTTTCTGTTTTGTTTTGTTTTTTAATAATAGCCATCCTATTGGGGGTGAAGTGGTATCTCATTGTGGAGCAGGACTTATCTAGATAGTAACTGAAGAAAAAGCATTCCGAATACTTCTAGGATGTGTCCTTCCTATATTGGTATTACTCTGTAACCAGTTCACTGCACAAGTGGCACTTTTTTCAGTCCAAGTAGAAGCAAGTTTCTTAGAGCTGTTTTTTTTTTTAAACCCTTTATTTCAACTTCTTTCCTTCCCATATATAAAACCACATACCATTCTAACAGTCTGTAATGTTGCTACCAGGTAATAAACAAGCCATACTGTATTTGGGAGAGGAGGGTGTGTTTCAAAGTCTAGTTCATTGTAATATCAAAACTGGTAAAACCTCTCCTCTCTAAACTCAGTTTGACCTCACACTGAGAAACCTTTACTAGTGCAGAGGAGAATGTTGCTTTCTTCTTGCTTGCTTTATATTGTAGGGGCAAAAGGGTGTGATCCCACTCCTCCCCATCATAAGGGTGTCCATGGCAGACACTCCTATAACAAAAGACAGGTTAACAAGAGAAAAGTATAACTGATTTATTTAATCAAAGTTTTATGTGACATGAGAGTCTTCAGAACAGAGATCCAAAGATACAAGGAAAGCTGTCCATTTTAATGCTTAGGTTTAATGAAGAATGGGCAGCCGTGTAAAACTGATGGGACAAAGAATGTAAGTGAATGCTAGTAGGCTGAGAGGAACCCAGCAAGGCCTATGTTCAGATCTTCCTGGCCTCTCTTGTACTATTTCTTCCTCCCAGGTATGGGACAAGACCCATCTGGGATGACGGTCTTATGACCTGCTACTGTTGTAGAGAAGGGTAGGCCAGAGAATTTCTTTATGAGCAGCTCTTAGAAAGGCAGGGAGGGGTTAGAGTCCTCTTTCTGGTTTCATAGTTGTCTTTGCGGGAGAGGAATTCTGATGTCTGTGACTCATCTCAGGAGAGAATGAGGGGTGAGAGACAGGAAGGCAGAAGGTCAGAGATCTTAGTTCTGAGGTTACTTCTGAGGCCTTCTCTTTGGGGTATCATTTTCTGAGCCTCAACAATACCCTTTTCTACTTCAGAGCTGCTATATTGGGTCTCTCAGAATTTGCAGTATGGGGTAAAGATGAGAAGAGCATGGCAGGAAGAACCAGGTTTTCTGGGGCAGAGGCAACCTGGCATTCACTCTCTTGGGGCATGGCAGATGTCCAAAGCTGGCCGGTAGCCCTGGGATACTTTCATGTGGATTTGGGGGAACTTCTCACCTGCAGAACACTTAATGCCTCCTGTCTTTTCCAGTTGCCTTTGGTCTCCTGAGCAACTACTGTGTTGACTCTGAATGTTCTCACTGGGCATGGTCCCTCATAATGACCCCGCCTGCTTTTCTCCTGCACAATCCACGTCTGGCCACAGGAAATAGTAATAAGTCCTTGCCTCACCAAACCAACAAAGTACAAGCTTCTCTTCTTGGTCTGTCTCTAAGAATTCGCATGAATAAGTGATTCTCATGAAGTCGCTTTCACGTAGCTTAAGCAGAGTTCAGCCTTAAATTCTAAGCTTAAGAATTCGACCTCCTCAAATTAATTTTCCTCTTTTATTCTTTTAAGGTGGGAGATGGACAGTCACTGGTCCCACAGCTTCCTAGCACATTCTACCAGGTAGCCTTGGCTAGCATCTGACTTAAAGATGTATGGGTACTTGGCGTCTACTTCTTTTTGTTGCTGAACCCCTGTGATTCCATGAAAAGTAGTGCGTTCATCTGTTCTTATATTGCTATAAAGAAAAACCTGAGACTGCATAATTTATCAAGAAAACGGGTTTAAATGGCTCATGGTTCTGCCAGCTGTACAGGAAGTATGGTGCCAGCATCTGCTCAGCTTCTGGGGAGGGAGGCCTCAGGGAGCTTTCAGTCATGGTGGAGGCAAAGCAGGAGGAGGAGCATCACAGGGCAAGAGCAGGAATGAGGGTGAGAGAGAACGGGGAGGTGCCCCACTCTTTTAAACAACCAAGATCTACCTCTGTGATCCAAACACCTCCCACCAGGCCCCACCTGCCATGTCGAGAATCACATTTCAGCAAGAGATTTGGAGCGGACACATCCAAACCATATTAAGGAGCATTTAACTTCTTTATCTGATTAGATGAGTAAGTAGTTGGGAAGGCAACTTACCTTTGCTTCAGGAATTAGCTCCCGATTCATCCAGTCCGATCACGTGTATTCATGTTCCTGGTTTTCATTGGTAAACTTCATAAGTTTAATATTACCCATTAAATTCCTTTAAAAGTAAGTTGTATTTTGGTGTATACTGTCACTGGTAGAGGGTCATGATTGCAAGTTATCCAGGTTCTTGGCGTTTTGAACAAAGAATTGGACAACATGTCCAGCAAAGCAAACAATGAAGCAACAACAGAACAAAAACAGGGATTTATTGAAAACAAAAGTATAGGCGGCCAGGTGTGGTGGCTCATGCCTGTAATCCCAGCACTTTGGGAGGCCGAGGCAGGTGGATCACCTAAGGTCAGGAGTTTGAAACCAGTCTGGCCAACATCGTGAAACCCCGTCTCTACTAAAAATACAAAATTAGCCTAGTGTGGTGGTGCATGCCTGTAATCCCATCTACTTGGGAGGCAAAGACAGGAGAATTGCTTGAACCCAGGAGGTGGAGGTTGCAGTGAGCTGAGATCGAGCCATTGCACTCCAGCTTAGGCAACAAGAGCGAAACTCTGTCTCAAATAAAAAAAAAAAGAGAGAGAGAGAAAGAAAATGAAACTGTACTCCACAGTGTGGGAGCGAGCCTGAGCAGTGGCTCAAGGGCCCGGATACCGAATCTTCTTGGTTCCAAATACCTGCTAGAAGTTTTCCATTGATTACTTTATACTCACCTCATGTAAATGAAGTTGCAGCCTATAAGGTTGCAGAAAGCAGCCAACCAGAGGCTGAAGTGAAGTTACAAAGGTCACACTCCTGTGCAAACATGTTGCAAAGTTATACTCTTATGCAAATGAAGACTTGGCTGGCAATCAGTCTGATTGGTTTTGGACAGCAACCATTCAGAGACTGGAGTGAAGTTACAAAGTTGCAAAGACTGGACCCACAGTCAATCTGATTTTCTGATTTGTTATTGGATGGGAAATTGACTGTCCGATTTCCCATCTGCCACACAGAAAAGGTGGGTGGTTTGCAAAGGGAGTAGCCCCTGGTCCTTTTATTACTTAGGTGTGGAAAGCTAGGATTTTCCTTTCAATTTAGTTCTAGGAAGTTGGCGTGAAACAGCCTTGGGTTCCCTGCCTCCAGACCCTATTCTCCTGCCTCAGTGCTATCATTAGAATAATAAATTTCATAGGTTATTAACCTCTTTTAATTGATCTAAATCACCTGTTTCCTTTTGGATTTGACTTTTAATTCCCACTGCCCTGCTGACTTCTCGGCGCATATAAATGCTCAATAATTGGATGAATAGGTGTGGGTGGGTGAATGGGTAAGTGGACAGTCATCTTACATTATAGAATGTTTTGCTGATTCTTTTTAGTTCCTGACCTCCCAACATTTGCGAAATCCATACTCCATTAGTGTGGCTGGTGGACCTCTCTTGATACAGAATAACCATGGTTTCTGTGAGAGCAAA
Organism: Homo sapiens; assembly: GCF_000001405.40. Taxonomy (NCBI): domain Eukaryota; kingdom Metazoa; phylum Chordata; class Mammalia; order Primates; family Hominidae; genus Homo; species Homo sapiens. Next base: position 100,436,939 of record NC_000013.11, read on the forward strand.
AAGAAACAAGAGGGCTCCCAAGGACTTGCCCACAGAGGCGCTTTGCTCACCAAGCATGGTTCTTTCCTGTTGGCCTCTGTTTGCTCTGGGTAGCACCTCGGCTGTTTTAGGCCCACAGTATCACCTATTGACAAGTGTAGATAGCTATTGATAGTATCAATAGGTGTAGGAAAGGGTCTGCCTCCTGCTATTCCTGGTTTTCTCTTTCTCAAAGGCTTGTGCATGCCCTAGGCTTTCTCACTGTCCGTTGCTGGGTGAGGTCATATCAGCTCTTACTCCCACAGAACCACCCGCACCTGCTTTAAGTACGCTGCCTTTCTGACTTCAAGAAAATCATACTCTCGGAAAAAGTCTAATCATTGTGGATAACTTTGAATATGGAGCTAGTGATATATTACCTAAGGGAGGAGGAAATCACATATTTTGAAATGATAAAGAACCAGGGGCATAAACATTGAGAACTCTTGAAAATAATTAAAAGTTCTCTTCAGAATTTTAAAGTCTTTTTCTATTAATTTCTCTAATAATTTAGCCAACTTTTCTTCAAATATCATCATTTAAGGAAAATGAAATAACTATTTTATATTTATTTGTTTATTTGTTTTTTTTTTTACCAGTGTTTCTGTTTTCATTGCCGAAGTAGTCAGTTGGTAATGACGTTTATTAAATAGCCTTATCTAATAGAAGGCTAACACAAGCCATATTTAAAATTTCTTTGTTTTAATTAATTAGCTCTTTGTTTTGTTTTGTGTTTGAGACGGAGTCCGTTGCCCAGGCTGGAGTTCAGTGGCACAATCTCAGTTCACTGCAACCTCCGCCTCCCAGACTCAAGCAATTCTTCTGCCCCAGCCTCCCAAGTAGCTGGGACTACAGGCACCTGCCACCATGCCCAGCTAATTTTTTGTATTTTTAGTAGAGAGGGGGTTTTACCATGTTGGCCAGGCTGGTCTTGAACTCCCGACTTCAAGTTATCTGCCCGCCTCAGCCTCCCAAAGTGCTGCAATTACAGGTGTGAGCCATTGTTCCCAACTGTCATTTAAAATTTCTTAGTAGTCATATTAAAAAAGATGAAACAAGTGGAATTAATTTTACTAATACATTTTATTTAAACCAGTGTACCTGTGGAGACAAAAGTGATTCCATCTTAATTGCTAATGCACCATGTTGTTTTTTTTTTCTTGAAGGCAAACCTTGTTGTTTTAATGTAATTTATTTTTTATTTTACTTTTTTTTTAATGATAGGGTCTTGCTCTGTTGCCCAGGCTAGAGTGCAGTGGTGCAGTATGGCTCACTGCAGCCTCAACCTCCCAGACTCAACTGATCCTCCTGCCTCTGCCTTCTGAGTAGGTGGGACTGCAGGCCTGTGCCACCACATGCAATTAATTTTGTTGATTTTTTGTAGAGATGAGGGCACACTATGTTGCCCAGAACTCCTGGACTCCAGTGATCATCCCGCCTCTGCTTCCCAAAGTGCTGGGATTATAGGCCTGAGCCACCACTCCCAGCAAAGCCATGTTGATTTCTCATTAGCCCCAGTCTCGTGAATGCCTCCTGATTCTGATTTTATTTACTGTTTTTAGTGTAAGAACAAAGCAGCCTTGATCTTACCACACAAATTATAGGCAGTGACGCACATAGCATTCCCACCTGTTCTGGAGGATGCCTTTAATTGCCTCTGTAGAGCACGTACACCCTTTCCCTGTGGCATATAAGCTCTGGGTCTGGCCAGTAACAGAGTGGGTTATACCTGTCTTGCAGCCATCCGAGATCACGCTTCTGTCTGTAAGTTCCCCCAAGAAAACACCCTTTACCAACAAATTGAGTTTCTTTGCCTTATTCTTTGGTTTCTTGGCTCCCTCCGCATTTGGGGGCTGCTTTGCATTTATGGCCCTTTCACAGAATAATACCCCAAATGTTGTCATTTCAACATGAAAGACTTTTAAAAATTACTAATGTGATACCAGAAACAACATAGACATTGGCATTAATACAACAGTATCTTAAACAATGGAACGGTCAGAGTGGAATGTAGTCCTACCAAAACAATGGAGTTGGGTTTAACAGAAAATTACACTGCTTCAGTTTTAAAATTAACATTAAATACAATTGAAAATTTAACTCCTCAGTCACACCAGTCATATTTCAAGTTCTCAGTAGCTACGTGTAGCTAGTGGTTACTGGGTTAGACCACTCACAGGCAAAATTTTTTGTAAACCAGAGAGTGTTTACAGATAGAGAAAACTCTACATAATGGTTTTTAAAGTATTCCCCCTTAATGTCAACCACAGTTTTGGTTTTTATCTCTTAAAATTTGGAATAGATGAGTTGAATTTATTTTTAAACAGAAGATGAATTTATCATCTAGCTGACAAACTTTTTAAATTTCCCATTAGAAGATTTAAAAAATTACAACCATTTTTAAAACGTGGAATGATTTCCTGCCTGTGGCATATAATTAAAGTGATGAAACAAACAGAAGATTCGCTGTGTCCTGGCCATGGTGAGCTCACTCTCTGTTTTCCTCACAAACCCCAGAACCTTTGTAGTGTGGAACCTGCTGGATGAATAGAAGTTTTTTATTTTATTTTATTTTTTTACTATGTCTATATTCCTGTGAAGTAATTTTTTTGACCTTGAAAGAAGTTCTTCAATTTTGCTGTTCTCTATTTCTTACAGTGTAGTTTGTGTACCGGGATTTAATGTATTGTTTGTCGTTAGCGTTTTACATACTAGATTTTCATCGTGCATAGTCACGTTGTTTGAACATTTGCAAGCAGAGCCGACTAACTGCTGTTGGCCTGTTTCTTTGTATGGCGTGATTTCTTCTATCCACCTGCTCACAGCAGGTTGCCTTCAGGCCTGAGGAGTAGCTAAATACTTTTGAAAATATCTTGAGATCCTGCTAAGGTCTAACAATTTCTGCATTTGTGTGATGTGAAGCTATTCATGCTGTACCTTTGAAGACTTTTTTCTTTCTATTTCTCATATTCTTGCTCAAATATTTTCAAAAGAAGATAAATTTATTATAAATAACAGTGCAGAGCTGATTGTAGCACCACTGCATTCTATATTGAATAGGTCTTTGATATTCAGCTAAGTGGAACTAATTTTCTATGTTAAAGCAGACAAATTTGGAATAGTGTCACATGAATCTCATGTTATTTACTGAAGAATACCAGATTAAATGGATTAGTTGTGAAATGACTAGAGTATTAAATTATATATATATATATATATATATATATATATATATATATATATATATATATATAAAACGTGATAACTTAAAATGCCCAGTGGGCCTATGTAATATAAAATATTACACAAGCACATGAATATGATGGACGAGATGTTATTCTGTTTGCAGATTGTGAAACTATCTGTAGTATATATACAAATGGTTGTCCACACAGAATTTGAATCAATTTTAAAATTGTAACCTTAAATTTCAGTTTTGAAGAAAATAAATTGTTGATTTTCATATCTACTTGAGAGGAAGTTAAAAATGTTATTTTCTTTTCAGTTTTTTTTAGATTAAAATAGCTCCCACACCCTCCAAGAATAAACTTTAGTTTTAATCCTAATAACTGTTTATAGATAGTAAAATTAATATTTTAATTAGAAAAATAAAGCGGCATACATTTTTGCCTGTACTTTGCTGGTACACAAATGAATTGGGAAGTAATTGTCTTATGTTTTCAGTCCTAAAGTGTTTTACAGGTTTTAAAAATGTTCCCCCCACCCCCATCTGTTTGAAGTCATTATTATTTTGTACTTTACACATGTGATTTCTCTAGAATCATTGCATGTGACATGACACTCTCAGGATATATAGGATATATAAATATATAACTTAGAATAAGTAGAGGTTGGTATTTTTCGAATGAAGTAGGAAATGAAAGAGTAATTATTAACCATATCCTTTTTACATTCCTGACATATCAATACAGCTACACATCTTAGAAACAAGCTCACCAGTAGAACAGAAATAACTCTGTTGACTCTGCTTTAAAATATTTCAAGGCAGTTTAACAGCTGGGATGTATTTACAGCTATGGTATAAAGTATTAATTTTGATGCAAGGCTACCTGCTTTTGTAATGTAGTCCTAGAAGCTTAGCAGTTTTCTGGGTTTTATAATTTGGAGTTGCTTTTAAAATTTAACCGAATGGGAAAATGTCTTTCTGAACTTCCCCTTCCCACACCCCCACACATACAAGCTTTTCTCCTCTTCTGTTAACTAGAAAATTATATTTTCGTTGCTGCCTGAGGAAGAGAATTTTGAGTAGTATAAACACTGATTGTAGTAAATGTGGAAAATAATACAAACAGCTGCACTGCAGACCGATAAGACAAATCCCACAGTAATGGCCTTTAAAACATATTACCAAGTTGGAAATCAGTGAGGGGAAAAAGAAAACTATTACTATTTCTTCCTCTTACTGTTCAGTGACATTATTTTTAAAGGTGAAATTACCTCTGGTTTTATTATCCTAGGAAGGTATTTTTGGAACATTTGATTTATTGTTTTGCAAATGTTTTTGCCTTTGTGTGAATAACTTTGCTAATTTTGTATGAATTTGATTCTAACAAATGTTGAAGTCATTTTGTTAACAAAATCTTCTAAAGTATTTTTTAAAGAAATAAAAAGGAATATATTATGTAAACATTGGAGCAGACTATCAAAATAAGAAAAGGAGAACATTTTTATCTGGCTTTGGAGTGCCATTTAAAATAGGAAAAGGGATGAAATATTTGCAGAAAATATTTTAATAAGCGTGGATATGTTTCATCAAATACAAGTCTTAATTTTTATGAAGAATTTTGCTATTAGCATATCAAGTGGTCAGTTCATATTTGTTTTGGCATGCATTAGACTCATGATAGGCATTGAATACTTTGTTTTTTGTGGATTCTAAAACTGAATTATCTTAATCCTAGGCTCTAGGAAAAGTATATCTTACTGCTAGGGAAGATTGAAATAAATTCCAGTTCTGAGTGAAATTTTATTTCTGTTTTTCTTTACATCAATCTTTTCTTTTTCCTTTTTTCTTTTTTTTTTTTTTTTATTTTTGAGACAGAGTCTTGCTCTGTCACTCAGGCTGTAGTGCAATGGCATGATCTCAGCTCACTGCAACCTCCGCCTCCCAGGTTTAAGCGATTCTCCTGCCTTAGCCTCCTGAGTGGCTGGGATTACAGGCGCGTGCCACCATGCCCGGCCAATTTTTGTATTTTTAGTAGAGGCAGGATTTCACCATGTTGGCCAGGCTGGCCTCAAACTCCTGGGCTCAAGTGATCCGCCTTCCTTGACCTCCCAAAGTGTTGGGATTACAGGCGTGAGCCACCACGCCTGGCCTGTCCTTCCTTCCTTCCTTCCTTTACAAACTGTGGGAGAGTGGTGAAAAAAAGGTGACAGTCATTATATATGTAATTGTGACCTGCTTTAAATTGAATGCAATGTTAAGGACAGCTTATTGGTACTTATACCTATGGTCACACATTCATTGATACAGTTTGTTTTTAATGTGAAAATTTGTTTCCATTTTACATAATACAAAATTACTTCTATTTGCCTGGGAATGAATCTAACCTTTGTAGTGTCAGCCAAAGGAATGATAATATTGTTTTAGTGTCTCCTACATAGAAGGGAACGCCCAGTATGGCCTAGGCAGTGTTCTAGACTCTGCAGATAGAACAAGGAACAAGACTTACCTTCCAGCAGGGGGAAGTAGATACTAAACATGTAAATACCTAAATAAGGTGATTTTAGTACTAAGAAGTTGGATGAAGACTATGAAATTGATAGAAAGTCACTAGAGAAGGCAGCTTTAGCAAGGATGGCTAGGAAGTCCTCTCTGAATAGCTAACACTGAGCTGAGACCTACGAAGAGGAGGGGGCAAACGTGCAGAAGTCTGGGGGAAGGAAGTCCCAGGTAGCAGAAGGGGCAAAGCAGAGGCTCTGAAACGGGACAAGCTTGTTTTGTGTGAAGGCCAGTTGGGGAGAGTGGAACGAGGAAGACAGAACCAGATCATCTAGGGGCCAAAGAACTGTTTTGTTTTGTGTTGTTTCTTTCTATTCATGTTGTGGAGCGTTTGGAGGGTTTGGGTAGGAGAGTGATGTGATGTGATTTTTTAAATCATTGCAGGCCTTGGGGTAGAGACAGAGAAATCATTGATTTGACCATTGCAGACCTCAGGTGAGAGGTACTGGTGGCTTAGACCAGGAGGCACCGTCTGTTTCTATGGGGCTCACAACTTGAGTGGTTATTACATTTTTAAATAGTTGGGGGAAAAAATTAAAGAAGAATGTTTCATCCAGCCTGGGCAACATAGTGAGACCTTGTCTCTACAAATAATTTTTTTAAAAATTGGCTGGGTACAATGGTGCATGCCTGTGGGTCCAGCTGCTTGGGAGGTTGAGGTGGGAGAATCGCTGGAGTCCAGGCAGTTGCTGTGGAGAGCTGTGACCATGCCACTGCACTCCAGCCTGGGTGACAGCATGAGACACTGTCAAAAAAAAAAAAAATCAATAATGTTTCATGACCCATGAGAAGTATGATGTCACATTCAGATCTTATTGATGATAAGCAGTTAACTAGAACATAGCCACATTCATTCATTTTTGTCTGCCATGTATAGCTGCTTTTGCAGTTTTTGTCGTATGAAGCTGAATGCACAGACTTTCTTGCCACGCAGCAGTTCAGTGGGTTATTGTGATTTTTTTTTTTTTAATCTCAGGACCAAGATTAAAGTTTTTTGTGCAGAGTTGCAGGTAGCCAAATTACTTTTTGTATTCCTGTGCCTTAGATTCCTCATCTGTAGAGCAAAATTGAGATCGTCTTTCAGGTCTGTTTGCTCTCCACATCCTAAGGTCCTAGGTCTGAATCAGACTTAGTTCTTCTGTTGTGGCTGCTTAGCACATCAGGCTCCTAACTGAATGATTGTAGTGGTGTTTTACTCGGTCTCCTAGCCTCGTCCTTCCCCATTCTATGTATCTTCAGCATGACCTCAGACCACCGTCTTTCTAAAACATGAGCATGTCACACTCCAGTTCTTAACTGTAAGAACTTTGTCAGGTATGAGCTCTCTTTGTACAAGATCTGACCTGGGTTTATAATTCCTTCCTGGTTTCCTTTCTTGCCACTTCCACCTTCATCCAACCCTATTTCTGGCCACGCTGAACTGCTTAACATTCCCTAAACTTGCCATGCCATCGTGCCATCCCTTAATCTGAAATTTTTGTTAACTGTCTCATCAGCCCACAATTTTTTTTTTTTTTTTTGAGACGGTGTCTCGCTCTGTCTCCCAGGCTGAAGTGCAGTGGTGGTGCAATCTTGGCTCACTGCAACCTCCACCTCCCAGGTTCAAGTGATTCTCCTGCCTCAGCCTCTTGAGTAGCTCGGATTACAGGTGCCACCACCACGCCCGGCTAATTTTTATATTTTTAGAAGAGACGGGATTTCACCATGTTGGCCAGGCTGGTTTTGAACAACCTTTTTTTTTTTTTTTTTTTTTTTTTTTTTGAGACGGAGTCTCGCCCTGTCACCCAGGCTGGAGTGCAGTGATGCAATCTTGGCTCACTGCAAGCTCTGCCTCCCGGGTTCACGCCATTCTCCTGCCTCAGCCTCCCGAGTAGCTGGGACTACAGGTGCCCGCCACCATGCCCAGCTAATTTTTGTATTTTTAGTAGAGATGGAGTTTCACCATGTTAGCCAGGATGGTCTCAATCTCCTGACCTGGTGATCCGCCCACCTTGGCCTCCCAAAGTGCTGGGATTACAGGCGTGAGCCACTGCACCCGGTGGTTTTGAACTTCTGACCTCAAGCAATCTGCCCGCCTCGGTCTCCCAAAGTGCTGGGATTATAGGTGTGAGCCACCGTTCCCAGCTGTTTTTCAGTTTTCTTTTGGAAAATTCCTGCTCATTTTTAAAATTTGTAATTGGTTTTTAATTGATAAATTAAAGTTGCATATATTTGTCATCCTGTCTTAGTAGTGTCTTTTGTGTTGCTACAAAGGAATACCCGAGACTGGATAATTTATAAAGAGAAAAAGTTTATTTGGCTCGTGATTCTGATGTCTGGAAAAGTTGAGGATTAGGCATCTGATGAGGACCTCAGGCTGCTTTTATTCATGGTAGAAGGCAAAGGGGAGCTGGTGTGTGTGGAGGTCACAGAGTGAGAGAGAAGGGAGGGAGGTGCCAGGCTCTTTTAAACAACCAGCTTTCTCAGGAACTAAGAGCTTGAACTCGCCCTCAAAGAGGGCATTAATCTATTCATGAGGGATCCTTCCCAATGATCCACACACCCCCATTATGCCCCACCTCCAACACTGGGGATCACATTTCAACATGAGGTTTGGAGGAGATAAACTTTCAAACTTTCACACATGTACAACATGTTTTGAAGTACACACTTCAAACAGTGGATACACTGTGGAATGGCTACATTGAGCTAATTAACATATATGTATTACCTCATATACTTATTCTGTATGTGAGGTACACTTAAATATACTCAGAAAATTTCAAGAATATATTAATAATACGTCGTCATTAACTGTGGTTTCTATATTGTATAATAGCTTTCTCGTACCTATTTCTCCTTTATAACTGAAATTTTGTGGGTTTTGATTAATATTTCCTCAACACCCCCTCCCCAACCACCATTCTATTTTCTACTCTATGAGTTTGACGTTTCCAGATTCTTCATGTAAGTGAGGTCATATGGTATGTCTTTCTGTATGTACCTGGCTTATTTTACTTAATGTAATGTCTTCCGGGTTCATCCATGTTGTTGCAAATGGTAGGATTTTCTTTTTTAAGTCTAAATAATATTCCATTTTGCATATTATACCACATTCTCTGTATCCGTTGGTCCATGGATGGACACTTAGGCTGATTCCCTGTCTTGGCCATCATGAATAGTGCTGCAAGAAACATGGGGATGCCAGTATCTCCTTGACATAACTGATTTCTTTCCTTTGGATATATATGCAGTAGTGGGATTGTTGGATCATATGGTAGTTCTATTTTTAATGTTTTGAGAAACCTCCGTACTGTTTTCCATAATGGCTGAATCTTGTTCATGTTTTTTTTCTTTCTTTTCTTTTCTTTGTTTTTTTGAAACAGAGTCACGCTGTGGTGCCCAGGCTGGAGTGCTTTGGCACAGTCGGCTCACTGCAACCTCCAACTCCCAGGTTCAAGTGATTCTCCTGCCTCAGGCTCCTGAGTAGCTGGGACTGCAGGCACCTGCCACCACGCCCGGCTACTTTTTATATTTTTAGTAGAGCCACCGTGTTGGGCAGGCTGGTCTCAAACTCCTGACCTCAAATGATCCACCCACCTTAGCCTCCCAAAGTGCTGGGATTACAGGCATGAGCCACCGCACCCTGCCCCTGTTTGTTTTTAAATATCCAGCTTTAATGTCTGTCTTAACCTATCTAATGTCTTCCTTATTAACCTTTCTGCTCATTTAGTCGGTCTGTCCTCTTATCCCATAATACTTTGTACATTTTGTACTATGCATTTATCGTATTGAATTATACTTATTTTTCCAATAATTCTGCTGTCTTTTCCTTAGTCTCTTGGAAGGTGGGTCTTAATTCAGCCAGCAGTGCCCAACACAGTTGAGAGGTAGATGGATGATTAGATGGATGACCAACGTAGAAATGCCAGTGTCAAAACCTAGGAATCAACCCTCCGTTCTTAACTGAGTCTCCCTAAGACACAGGAAAGGAGTCTATTTTATTCCATTTTGTTTTCTGTCTTTTTTTGCCTTTATTAAGTTCAACATGTGTGTATAAAAGAATAGGAAAAACAGATAAGTGAAAACGAGAGTCAACTAATATTTTTGCCTAGAAATAAGTTTTATGTGCACTAATTCTAGAATTTTTCTGTAACATAATTTTTTACAAGGCTTATTCTGAACATATTGTTTTGTTCTTCTTGCCCTTAGAAATAAACTGTAAGCGTTTTTCATATCTTGAAACTTTTTAAATGGCAGGCTGGATATATACCACAATTTACTTAGCTAGTGTCTTTCCCCGTCATTTACATTTCTTGCCATTGTTCAGTTCTATAAACTACACTGTGATATTTGTTCAGCTTTATTTTTCTGCCTATCCTTACATTTTTTCCTCAGGATAAATTCTTAGAAGTAAAATGGGTTGGCTGGGCGCAGTGGCTCACACCTGTAATCCCAGCGCTTTGGGAGGTTGAGGGAGCGGGTTATGAGGTCAGGAGTTCGAGACCAGCCTGGCCAACATGGCAAAACCCCATCTCTACTAAAAATACAAAAAATTAGCCGGGCATGGTGGGAGATGCCTATAGTCCCAGCTACTTGGGAGGCTGAGGCCGGAGAATCGCTTGAACCCAGGAGGCAGAGGTTGCAGTGAGCCGAGATTGTGCCACTGCACTCCAGCCTGGGTAACAGAGTGAAACTTTGTCTCAAAAAAAAAGATGTGAAATGGGTTGGTTGGGCATGGTGGCTCATACCTGTAATCCCAGCACTTTTGGGAGCTGAGGCCAGGAGTTCGAGACCAGCCTGGCCAACATGGTGAAACCCCGTCTCTACTAAAAATACAAAAATTAGGCAGATGTGGTGGCAGGTGCCTGTAATCCCAGCTACTCAGGAAGCTGAGGCAGGAGAAACACTTGAACCTGGGAGGCAGAGGTTGCTGTGAGCCGAGATGGTGCCATTGCGCTCCAGCCTGGGTGACAAGAATGAAACTCTGTCTCAAAAAAAAAAAAAGAAAGAAGTGACATGGGTCAAAATGCTCCCATACTGATTTTTTTTCTACTCTATACCACACTGCCTTAAGTATGCTATCTAGATTACCATTGTGTCAATTTACTTGGCAATATTTGCAGGTAGGGGAAAACATTTTGCATTAAACCACTGTCTTTCTTATTGATCTAACCTCCCTCCGTCAAGGAACCGAGGACTCAGCTTGATTTCTAGAGGTTCACTCTGGGTTCTATTACTTCTGTGATCATAGAGATCAGAGTTGGTAAACCTCCACTTCTGTAAAAAGGAATGAAATTAGGATACATCTGTATCGTAATGCTCATGGCATGTAGTTGAGTGAAAGCCACTAATACTCTACATCTGGGAACTTAAAAAAATGATGCTGGCTTAGTTAGAACTGCTTTATTTGTGTGTGTAGTCTTTGAAGTCACTGAGCCCTCTCTGATTAGCCAGAAGAGGAAGAATTCTGAGGAATACGTTAGGATTAAGTAGAGCAAGTTTTTTTTGTTTTTGTTTTTGTTTTTTGAGACGGAGTCTCACTGTCATCCAGGCTGGAGTGCAGTGGCAGGATCTTGGCCCACCACAACCTCACCTCCGCCTCCTGGGTCCAAGCAATTCTTCTGCCTTGGCCTCCCGAGTAGCTGGGACTACAGGTGTGCACCACCACGCCTGGCTAATTTTTGTATTTTTAGTAAAGACGGGGTTTCACCATATTGGCCAGGCTGGTCTTGAATTCCTCACCTCGTGATCCGCCTGCCTCAACCTCCCAGAGTGCTGGAATTACAGGCATGAGCCACCGCGCCTGGCCCAACAGACCAGTTTTGTAGGTGAGAATTATCTCACAGTGTAGTCAGCTTCCAGTGTACTACTTATTCACCCATTTTTAGTAGCAGTAGTAGTTACTTTTAACTAAAATTTTAATAGTCATAGTATTTACTTTTAATTAAAATTCAAACAAGATATATGCAAGTGATATATTTGCTGTAAACAAATTTTATTTATAAATAAATGAATAATAAAGAGGTTATTTCTTTCACTACTCTCTGGACATAGAATTGCATTGTTGTTTTAAACAAATGCTAATTCATTTTCTATAACTATTTTATTGAGATATAATTCACACACCATACAATTCACCCATTTAAAGTTACAGTTTAGTGGTTTGTAGTCAATTCACAGGGGTGTTCCACCACCACCACAGTCAATTTTAGACCATGTTTATACCCTTGAGAAACCCCACACCAATTAGCAGTCATCTCCATGTCCTCCCAGACCTCCTCTTGGAGGCATCTACCAATCTACCTTCCATCTCCATGGATTTTACTATTCTGGACATCTCTTATTAAGTGGAATCATATAATGCATGATCCTTGGTGACCAACTTCTATTGTAGCATGTATCACTACTTCATTCCTTTTTATGGCCAAATAATATTCCACTGTATGGCTATACTATATTTTGTTTACCCATCCATCAGTTGATGGACATTTGGGTTTTTTGGCTATCGTGAACATTACATACAAGCTGTGCAGATATGAGTTCATTTTATATCTCTTGTTTGTTTTTTAGTGTCTTTCTCGAGAAGCAGGTGGAAACATGAGCATTCAGTTTCTTGGTACAGTGGTAAGTATGAAATCATTCTTTATTCTCTTAATTTACAGAGAAAAAATGTTCAACTAGTTGTAGCTCATGTGTTTGAACTTGGCTTCATTACTGCTAGATATTTAAATTACCTCTACTTTTTTGCCTTTACAAATGATATTCTAGGGAACAACTTCATATATTTCACTTTATTTTAGTGTTTGGAATTATTATCTTTTTTGAGACAGAGTCTCACTGTGTTGCCCATGCTGGAGTATAGGGGCACAATCTCAGCTCACTGCAACCTCTGCCTCCCGGGTTCAAGCGATTCTCGTGCCTCAGCCACCCAAATAGCTGGGATTACAGGTGCCTGCCACCAAGCTCGGCTAATTTTTGTGTGTTTTTTTCTAAAGATGAGGTTTCACCATGTTGGCCAGGCTGGCCTCAAACTCCTGGCCTCAAGTGATCCATCCACCTCGGCTTCCCAAAGTGCGGGATTACATGTGTGAGCCATGTCCGGCCTGGAATTATTTTCAAATGTGGATAAGATATTTTTAAACATGTATGATATATTTTCTCCCAAATAGAATCAAAGTCATAAATAGTTTTATGGCTTATTATACATGTTGCCCATTATTTTATGTCCCTTTAGAACACCACCCATCATATATTAGAACACAACTTTGCATTGTCACCTAGTGTGAGTTGTAATTTTCAAGATTAGTAAACTTGATCTGCTGAAGAGTTTCAATTTATTATTACTATTTTACTTATAAGTTTATAATTAGTATTAGTTACTATAATTTTCAAACTAATTTGTTTAAAAAGGTACCTTATTTGGCTTGGTGCGGCAGCTCACGCCTGTAATCCCAGCACTTTGGGAGGCTGAGGCAGGTGGATTCCAAGGTCAGGAGTTTGAGACCAGCCTGACCAACATGGTGAAACCCTGTCTCTGCTAAAAATACAAAAATTAGCCGGGTTGTGGTGGTGGGCGCCTATAATCCCAGCTACTCAGGAGGCTGAGGGAGGCTGAGGCAGGAGAATCGCCTGAACTGAGGAGGTGGAGGTTGCAGTGAGCCACGATTGTGCCACTGCCCTCTAGCTTGTGTGACAGAGCGAGACCCCGTCTCAAAAAAAAAAAAAGTACCTTATTTTAATTTTCATTTTTCTGTTTATTGCTATTGTATTTGAATATTTCTCCATGTATTCATTCACCAGATATCATTTCTAATCTGTGAAATGTCTGTTCATGTCCTTTGGGTACCTCATTCAGGATATGGATTCATATTGGGCATTTCAGATAACTCTGGAGTTTATTAAGAATATCAGAGGTATTCTGCAAGAATATCAAGAGGTATTTCAGGCGAGAGAGCTTGCGTGAAAAAGGGTTTTGCAGCCATTGAGATAGGAAGGATGTTAATAAAATGTGTGTTTACTGAATGCTTTATCGATTATAGAGATGTATATATAATTTATGTATATAAAGTATATGTATAGGTACTTGGTCAATGTAACCTAAATTTTAAGTATTGGAACTAAGTTTTGTGATTATTCTTGTTTTTCTGATTAGTAAGGTAATACATGCTTATTGTAAAACATTTGAAATACAATTCAAATGTATGTCATAATATGTTGCATTAGTCAAGATTCTCCAGAGAAATGGAATCAACAAGATGTGTGCGTATGTGTAGAGAGAAAGAGAAAGATAGATCTAAGGAATTGGCTCAAGCAATTGTGGAGGCTTGGCAAGACTAAAATCTGCAGGGTAGATGAGCAGGCTGGAGACCCAGGGGAGCGTTGCAGTTCAAGTCCAAAGACAGTCCACTGGCTGAAGCCCTCCTTGCTTGGGGAGGTCTGTCTTTTTCTCTTAAGGCCTTTAACGGGTTGGATGAGGCCCACCCACTGTGGAGGGTGATCTGCTAAACTCTAAGTCTACTGATTTCAGTGTTCGTCTCATCTAAAAATATCTTCGATGATACATCTCAGTGTTTGACCTAACATCTGGGTACCATGGCCTCGTCAGGTTGACACATAAAATTAACCATCACAGAAGTATATATCCTATCCCTAGAGGTTTTTAAGTTATTAGCAATAGATAATTCTTCCAGAAAATTATGCATCTTTTCATGCAATAATAGATCTTGGACACCTTTCTGTGTCAGTCCGTAAGATGGACCTCAGTCGCCTTAAGGGCCACACAGAGCTGCATTACGTGGATGGAGAGGACTGCTTTCACTCCTCAGTGTTCGTGCTGGGAAGTCCACTCATGCTGTCTCTGCTACTTAGCATCTCTACTGGGTTTCTAATCGGTTTCTCAACTTCATGTATCGGAAACTGAGCTCGAAAAGTTTCTCCCTCAGTTTTTCCTCTCTCTGAAAATGGCAACTTGAACTAATCCTTGATTACTTTCTCTCCTCTTCCTCTCTCTCCTCTTCCCCTCCTCTCCTCTCTCCTCTCTCTCTCTCTCTCTCTCTCTTCTCTCCTTCCTCTCCCTCTCTGTCCTCTTCCTCTCCTCTCTGTCCTCTTCCTCTCCTCTCTGTCCTCTTCCTCTCCTCTCTCTCCTCTTCCTCTCCTCTCTCTCCTCTCTCTCCTCTTCCTCTCCTCTCTCTCCTCTTCCTCTCCTCTCTCTCCTCTTCCTCTCCTCTCTCCTCTCCCTCTCTCTCCTCTCCCTCTCTCTCCTCTCCCTCTCTCTCCTCTCCCTCTCTCTCCTCTCCCTCTCTCTCTTTTCTCCCTCTCTCTCTCCTCTCCCTCTCTCCCTCCTCTCCCTCTCTCCTTTCCTCCTCTTCCTCTCTCCTCTTCCTCCTCTCCCTCTCTCCTCTTCCTCCTCTTCCTCCTCTTCCTTTCTCTCTCTCCTCTTCTTCCTCTCCCTCTCTCTCCTCTTCTTCCTCTCCCTCTCTCCTTCTCTTTTTTCTTTCTCCTCTTTCTCGCTCCTCTTTTTCTTCTCTCTCTCTCCTTTTCTCTTTTCCCCATCTGTCTCTCCCTGTCTCCCTCTCCCCTGTCTCTGTCTCTGTGTCCCCACGCCCCCCACTCCTGGCCCTGCCTTTAGCCATCTCTTGTTTGGAGGATGGCAGTAGCTGGCGTCCACCTCACTGCCATGCTACTCCCTAGTCCATCACTAATAGAGCAGGAAAAGGAGTCCTTTGAAAACATCCCTTGGTTGGCCTTGTTGCTCTTCTTCAGACCTGCTGGGCACATGCCTTAGGGTCTCTGCCCTTGTTTTTCTTCTACTAAGAACATCTGCCCCTACATGTCTGCTCAGGGGTTTCCTCACTTTCTTCCGGTCTTTACTCAGTAGGCTCCTTCTGAAGGAAGGCTTCCCTGGTCACGCCGCTTACAGTTCTGGTCACTCTTTCCAACATCTTATTCCCCCTCGCCCACTTTATTTATTTATTTTTTTCATTAGCAGTTACCACTGCTTGACATACTGCAATTTTCCTTTTTTGATGTATTTGTTGTCTATCTTCCTCACCTGGAAGTGATAAGCTCCTTGAGTGCAGGGTGATTTGTCTGTTCTGCTCAGCGTGCTCTGCCCAGTGCCCTGAACAAGGCCTGGCTTGGAGGAGGTATTCAGTCAGGGTTGGGCAAATGAATGACTGAAATTGGCCAATGTAGGACCTGAGTGTTAGACTTGAAAAGAAAACTAAAGAAAGGAAATACAGGCCTGGCTCGGTGGCTCGTGCCTATAAACTCAGCCCTTTGGGAGGCTGAGGTAGGAGGATCACTTGAGCCCAGGAGTTCAAGACCAGCCAGGGAAACAAAGGGAGACCCCATCCTTACAAAAAATTAGCTGGGTGTGGTGGTGCATGTCTGTGGTCCCAGCTACCCAGGAACATCACTTGAGCCCAGGGAGGTCGAGGCTACAGCGAGCCGTGATCACACCACTGCACTCCAGCCTGGGTGAGAGTGAGACCCTGTACCCTGTCTCAAAGAAAAAAGCAAATATGAAAACAAATGGAGGCCGGGCATGGTGGCTCACACCTGTAATCCCAGCGCTTTGGGAGGCTGAGGTGGGAGGATCACCTGGGTCAGGAGTTCAAGACTAGCCTGGCCAACATGGTGAAACCCTGTTTCTACTAAAAATACAAAAATTAGCCAGGCATGGTGGCAGGAGCCTGCGATCCCAGCTACTACAGGAGGCTGAGGCAGGAGAATCGCTTGAACCTTGGAGGTGGA
Source organism: Homo sapiens (assembly GCF_000001405.40). Taxonomy (NCBI): domain Eukaryota; kingdom Metazoa; phylum Chordata; class Mammalia; order Primates; family Hominidae; genus Homo; species Homo sapiens. The sequence continues at coordinate 100,453,437 of NC_000013.11, forward strand.
GGTTGTAGTGAGCTGACATTGCAACCACTACACTCTAGTTTAAAAAAAAAAAAAGAAGAAGAAGAAACAAATGGAGAAAAAGAAAGTGCAGGGAGCTTTTTGGGACTGTGGAGCTGAACTAAGCTGTCTTCCATGGATAAGGAAACTGTATCTTAGAAAAGGTCACTTGACTTCCCCAAGGTTTCACGTCTGGCTGGTGTGTAGAGCACTAAAGGGTATACAGATTTCCTGGCTCTCAGTTCAGGGCCTGTTCCATCAGCAGGTGCCCTTCAATTTCACTCCCTTTTATCCACTTCAGGCACCCAAAACATGCTAGCATAAAAAAACACAAGAAACAAAAACACACCACATGTACACACCCCTACTTAAATGGACAACAAAAGTCACCGGAAAAAAGGGAAAAAAAGAATGTCTTTTTGATTTGTTTTGTTTTGTTTTTGTTTTTGGAGACAGAGTCTCACTCAGTTGCCCAGGCTGGAGTGCAGTGGCGCGATCTCGATATCCGCTCACTGCAAGCTCCGCCTCCTGGGTTCAGGCCATTCTCCTGCCTCAGCCTCCTGAGTAGCTGGGACTACTGGTGCCGGCCACTACACCCGGCTAATTTTTTTGTATTTTTAGTAGAGGCAGGGTTTCACTGTGTTAGCCAGGATGGTCTCGATCTCCTGACCTCATCATGATCCACCCGCCTCAGCTTCCCAAAGTGCTGGGATTACAGGCGTGAGCCACCGCACCTGGCCAAAAAAAAAAAGAATTTCATGTAGCTGACACTTTCCTCTGCCCCTAATAAATCATAGATTCCTTGCCAATGAGTTCTAAAGGGGCTGTGTCCACTCTGTTTATACAGTTTATACCTAGCAGGAATGTCAGTTTCAGGTACAATTTCTAGAGTAATTTCTAATTACTGTAAAATTCACAGTACAGCATAGCAGTTTGGATGGCCAATGTGCTTTGTTTTACTGAATTTTTCTGTGTGTGTTATTAGCAATAGTAGATCAGTCTGAAAGGGGGAAAGAAATAGTTTGAAGATAGTAGTGGTCCTGTTACAACAAATACAGATTGATTCCTAGCTAGCATATGTTGCTTCAGTCAAAGATGTCTAAAGCAAGTATAGTTTCCAAGACACACAGGTCAGGAATAGCAGCATGTCCCATGGCAAAGGTGATGCTTTCCAGGTATAGATTTGTCTTTGTGAGAATCCTTGTAGAATTTTCTATATAAGTTTGTTTTTGTCAATATTGATAAACATGATCTTCAATGTTCAAAGGAGAGTTCAATTTTAGACTAAGAGAAGTACTTCTGTTGTGTAAATAAGGTTCAAAAATAAGGTTACTGTTCAACTTAGAGAAAATACAAACTTAAAAATAATTCATTTCATTTTTTATTCACTCTGAACTTTTAAAAAAAGCTGGTTTGTGATTTTCATTTTCAGTAAAACAAATCTCATTACTTTAAAAAAAATGCTTGTATTAGATATTATATATATGAAATATTATACTTTACATTCTTATAAAACATTTATAAAGAATGATGATACAACAGATTTGCATACCTAAGTGTAAGACTTGAACAAAAGACTAAAGACAGGAAATACAGGCCTGGCTTGGTGACTCATGCCTATAAAGCCAGCACTTTGGGAGGCTGAGGTGGGAGGATCAAATACATCAAAAAAGTAAAATATGTAGTATGTCAAGCAGTGGTAACTGCTAATGAAAAAAAGTAAATAAAGTGGGCAAAGGGTGGAATAAAATGTTGGAAAGAGTGACCAGAATTGTAAGTGGTGTGACCAGGGAAGCCTTCCTTGAGAAGGAGGCTACTAGCCTGAAGAGTTTTTAAAAACGTAACCATTAGTTTGGAAGGTCTCTGTGTTACTCCCATTCTGTCACTCATTCTCTCCCTGCACAAGGAACTAACATCTTCCCGACTTGTATCTATTATTCTTTGCTTTTCTTTATAATTTTCCCACATTTATATCCCTAAGTGATATACATTTTTGTTTTACGCGTTTTTAAACTTGATATACATAGAATTATATTCTGGAATCATCTGTGACTTGGTGATTTTGCTTTGTGTTTGTGAGACTCGTATGTTGCATGGAGGTATAATTCATTTATGCTCAGCAATGCAGGATGCTGTGGTGTTGATAAACTAGCCTGCTACTCATGGATAATTGGGTAGTTTCCAGTGTTTTGTGCTGTAATTCTCACTACTACCCGAAGCATTTTGGTACGTGGGTATATGTGTACTGATGGCACATATGCAATCGTTTCTTTCTTTTTTTTTTGAGACAGAGTCTCCCTCTGTCACCCAGGCTGGTGTGCAGTAGTGCAGTCTTGGCTCACTCCAACCTCCACCTCCTGGGTTCAAGCAATTCTTCTGTCTCAGCCTCCCAAGTAGCTGGGACTACAGGTGCATGCCACCACACTCAGCTACTTTTTCTATTTTTAGTAGAGATGGGGTTTCACTGTGTTGGCCAGGCTGGTCTCAAACTCCTGACCTCAAATGATCCACCCACCTCAGCCTCCCAAAGTGCTGGGATTACAGATGTGAGCCACCATGCCCGGCCATATGCAATAGTTTCTTTAGGGTTTTGTGCATTGAGTATGCAGTGAATGAGTTCACTTTGTTCCACATCTTCACTTGGATCTTCTTAATTTTTGCCAGTGTGAATAGTGCCCTCATTGTTGTTTCAATTTGCTTTATCCTGATATTAATGAAGTAGAACATCTTTTCTTATTTATTGGCTATTTCTCTTCATCAGCCATTTGGTTTCCACCTCTGAGAAGTACCTCTTATAGCTTTTTGTGTGTTTCTCTATGACATGGGACTGCAAAAATACATGAATTTAGTATGTGAATGATACAAATTAAGTATATGTCATTTGGCTTTTCAATAAGGCAAGAGGGTTAGGTGTGGACTTTTATGACTCATTCTTGTAGGGCCCAGGCCTTTGGGGCTTAGCGGGTGTTCTCCCGGTGTGCGGAGACGAGAGATTGTAATAAATAAAGACACAAGACAAAGAGATAAAGAGAAAGCAGCTGGGCCTGGGGGACCACTGCCATCAAGATGCGGAGACCGGTAGTGGCCCCGAACGGCTGGGCGCGCTGAGTACAAGACCAGGGGGCAGGGTAAGGAGGGTGAATCTTCTAAGTGATTGACAAGGTGAAGCAAGTCACGTGATCGTAGAACAGGGGGGCCCTTCCCTCTTAGGTAGCCGAAGCTGAGAGAGAGAAGGCAGCATACGTCAGCGTTTTCTTCTATGCACTTATAAGAAAGATCAAAGACTTTAAGACTTTTACTATTTCTTCTACCGCTATCTACTACGAGCTTCAAAGAGGAACCAGGAGTTACGGGAGGAACATGAAAGTGGACAAGGAGCGTGACCGTTGAAGCACAGCATCACAGGGAGGGGTTTAGGACTCCAGATGACTGCGGGCAGACTGGGATAATATCCAGCCTCCCACAAGAAGCTGGTGGAGCAGAGTGTTCCCTGACTCCTCCAAGGAAAAGAGACTCCGTTTCGCGGTCTGCTAAGTAATGGGTGTCTTCGCAGACACTGGCATTACCGCTTGACCAAGGTGCCCTCATGCGGGCGTGACAGAGGGCTCACCTCTTGCCTTCTAGGTCACTTCTCACAATGTCCCTTCAGCACCTGACCCTATGCCCGCCGGTTATTCCTAGGTTATATTAGTAATGCAACAAAGAGTAATATTAAAAGCTAATGATTCATAATGTTTATAATGATTGATAATGTCCATGATCATCTCTATATCTAATTTGTATTATGACTATTCTTATTCTAACTATTTTCTTTAATATACTGAAACAGTTTGTGCCTTCAGTCTCTTGCCTCGGCACCTAGATAATCTTTCACGCACACGTTCTGACTATGAGCTATGAATGGAAGTGACTGTCAATGACTCTGAAGGTTCTGAGATTTATGCTACTTGCTGGCTGACAAATCAGCCTGCGACATTTCATAGATGCTGATAGAAAACATGAGACTCCAGGATCAGAGATGAAGGACAGTTTATTACAGCAGCAGCAGTGGTCAGGATACCATTGTCTTTGTACCATTTCCCTGAACCCAGATTCCTCTAGGGCAATGCAAAGAGACATGATACCTGCACACATAATGGGTTGCATTATAGGAGAGGAGCTCTGAGTTTAGAGAACCTGAGTCTTTTTATACTGTGCAGTAATCGCACCTGCCCTTTGATCTGGAGGGAGACACTCTACCAAGGCCATTTACTGTACAAGCATCTTTGAAAAGGTAGTTCAGAGCAAAGAACAATCAGTGTCTTGCTCACAAGAAGTGGAAAAATGCAAGAGACCTGGGGGTGAATTGTCTCCTGGTAGTGATGTGTGTCACTTTTGGTCAGAGATAGCTAAGAGCAAGTGTGAGCCCTCTAGTCCCTGCCATGCCCCCCTTGGAGGTTGTGTGTGACGCTGATGCTCCTGTCAGCATGAGTTCCTTCTGAAGAGTGGCAGTGAGCACTGCTACTTGCAAGCTGTAGTAGACTGGGATCTCAGTGTTGACTTATTGCTAATGCGTAGCCCAGCTTATCCTGATACATAGTCTGGGAACATGAAGGACCACCTTCTGTTTATAGAACCCCATGTCTGCTTATAGATTTCAGATTTTATAGAGATTCATTAGGTTTATTCTGTCTACTTTCAGTCCTTTCGCTTATAAACTTTCAATCCAAGCATAAGGTCTTTTTCCTGTTACGCTGTTTGAACTTTGTTTAAAAATTGTGGCCAAGCATGGTGGCTCATGCCTGTAATCCCAGCTACTCAGGAGGATTGCTTGAGCCCAGGAGTTCAAGACCAGCCTGGGCAACAGTGGGACCCCATCTCTACACACACACACACACACACACACACACACACACACACACACACACACACAGTGGGACCCCATCTCTACACACACACACACACACACACACACGCACATATACACACAGTGGGACCCCATCTCTGCGCGCACACACACACACACATACACACACACACACACACACACACACACACACACACACACACACACTAGCGGAGTATGGTGACGCCCACCTATAGACCCAGGTACTCAGAAGGCTAAGGAGTAAAGATGGCTTGAGCCCAAGAGTTCAAGGCTATAGTGAGGTATGATTACTCCACTTCACTCCAGCCTGGGGAACAGAGTGAGACCCCACCTCAAAAAAATCAAAAAAGCGAAGATTTAAAAATTAAAATAAGATTGTTAGCCAGTTTTTTGTTTAATGAAGGAAAAGTTTTCCAAATTAACAGAATGGGACATTCAGATAAAATTTGTGCCTTTATGACCCAGGAGGATGGCCTGGGTGTACATACAAGTACTCAGGACACCACATTCTCACCTTTGGTATCTATCCGTTTTATTACTCTGCCACTCCCAAACAGTAATACATAGGATTCCGTGTTAGTTTCCTAGGGCTGATGCAACAGATTAGCACAAACCGGGTGGCTTAAAATAACAGAAATGTGTTCCTTCACAGTTCTGGGAGCCAGGAATCTAAAATCAAGGTGTGGGCAGGGTTGGCGCCTCCCTAGAGGCTCTTAGGGAGGGTCTGTTCTGTGCCTCTCTCCTGGCTTCTAGTAGCTCCTGGCAGTCCTTGCCTTCCTTGGCTTGTGGCTATGTAATTCCAGGGTCTTCTGCTGCTGTCACATGGCCTTCTTCCCTATGACTGTGTGTGTTCATTCACATAAATCCAGCACCACCAGTCATCAGATTTAAGGCTCACCCTAATCCAGTGAAACCTCATTTAACTCATTATGTCTGCAAAGACCCTATTTCCAAATAAGGTCACATTCTGAGGTTCTGAGTAGATATGAATTTTGGGATGACACTATTCAACCCAGTATGCTATATAGATCTGAAAGCCTACTTGACACACATGTAAAGCTAAAAAGTGACTGAGGCAACTTACCTGAAAATATATTTTACAAACAGAGCATTACTTCTTAGGTCTCATTTGAGTACTACCATTTATTTCCCTAGTATTTTCATACATCACCTGTATGACTGCAGTTCGTACCCCATACTCAAAAATGCAGGAACACTGATGATGGCTATGCCTAATTTTCAGAAGACAAAAGTGAGCATAGAAAGGTTAAAATAACTATCCTATGGTAATAACTGGTAGAAACAGGATGCAAAACCAGCCCTCACCAACTTTGAAGTCAGGCTGTTGAACATCAGAGGACCTTGAGAACAAATTGCTTGACTGTGGAATCCAGGGAGCTCTCTGCAGTAACTGCTAAGTACAACTGCTCAGGCTGCCATAATGAAACACCATTGACCGGGTGGCTTAAACAACAGATGTTTATTTCTCACAGTTCTAGAGCCTGGGAAGTCTAAGTAAGGTGCCAGCAGATTCAGTTCCTGGTGAGGGCCCTCTTCCTAGGCTGCAGGCAAATGCCTATTCTCCCGTAGCAGAGAGAGAGTGCAAACTCTGATCTTCCTTCCTGTTAAGGGCGCTAATCCCATCATGGGGCCCCACCCTCATGACCTCCTCTAATGAACTCTGAAAGGCTGCGTCTCCAAATACTGTCACATTGAGGGTTAGGCATTCAGCATATGAATTTGGACGTTCAGTCCCTAACATACATTTGGTTGGTAAGCTGCAGATCCCAGAATTTTTCCAGGATATCTGTGCCCATTTCAAATTGCAAATTGTCTGGGTTTTGTTTGTTTTGTTTGCATGTTTTGGTGAAGCTGTGAGTCTGTGTACATCAGATAGTGTAAGCTCACAAAGAAATCGAAGAGAGCTGGTGTTTTACTTAACCAGAATTCCTTACTTGAACTGTGCTTCACAATAAGAATAAATATTTTGTTATTAAAGAATGCAGAAGTTACCATTTTATTGCAAATTTTTATTATAATTAGGTTTTAAAGTACTATAATAAGGCAAACATATCTCAGTGAGACTGACTTTTTTTCCCTTATAAAAACAATGTTTGTATGAAAGAGAAAATAAGCTTAGACTCCATTGAACAGCTTCTTCATGGCTGCAGTATTGGCATTCACCCAAGGACTCTTGAGAAACGATCAAATTTTCAGTATCTTTGAAGCTTAGCCAGAGATCTAATGAAACCAAATGATGCTAAAGTTCTTAAAGCTAATTTAAATCTCAAATTATACATTTTAAATTAAGTTTTTATTGATAATAAATATACTTTATTTCATATTACCCTTGAAAGCTTGAGTGATAATATTAGTAGAATAAACATGTTTTACAAAGATTTACCATTAAGAATGCTATTAATATGACCCTTGATACACCAGCACAATTAGATTTCAAAGTAAGCACTTATGAAGTAACAGCGATTAATGACAACCATCGAAAACAATTTTGAACTCCATCAGTTTAACTCAGGAGGGTAAACTTAATATGATAATTCATCTAGTTGAATTGTATCAGCTTAGCAGGAAGGTATGTAAATATGTGACCCTTACCTAGCTTCTAAATGGATGCTGTGCTGATAGATTTATCAGTTCCATTAAAGAACTTTGGGGAACTTTGGAGTTTCAGCAATTGTTCCCTTGGAGGCTGAAAACCCAACCTGATCTCATACTGGGACCATTCTGGTCTGCATATTTCCATAATTTGCCTTTGCTACTAATATGACAGCAAGACACAAATAACTGTTTCTAATAATATCAGATGGAGTTGTGGAGGACAGCATTTTAATGTAGTAAAAGACCTCCCCGTGGGGTTGTTATTGCTACTATAGAACAGCAGCTACACAGTTGCAACTGTAGTCTCTTAATTGATTCGTTTAATTAGCAAGAGCTGAAGCTTGGGCTGTATCTTGTCATCTGATATCATAGGACTCGAAATTTGCATCATTCATATTTATAGATATGTAAACATCATCAAAAAGGTCTTCTGCTTCTGAAAATTCACTTACAGATATCAAATTTTAATAGAGCAGACTCCCATTTGTTTGAAATTTAACTAATTAAAAAATGAAAAGAATTAAGTTTGTTACTGTTTTTCTTTATCTGTACTCTTGAGAAATAAGTGATGTCATACATTTTTGGTTGTGGATCATCTCCTAAACATAAACTTCCAGAGAACTTCTTCAGTCTTCCGTATCTCATAATTCCATAAGCAGTCCCTCAACTGACATGTCTGACTTAAGTTGATCTCTCCTCTCTGTCCCATCCCTTTCTCTGTGTCAGTGTGATTTCAGGAATGACATGATGGCTTACTGGGGTTTCTTGCACACGTGTGCTGTAACTTTCCACCTGTCCCTGCCTGCCTTTGCAGCTGCTCCAAGTCCTGCTAGGGTAGGCTGTCTGCTTGTGCTGTGGTTTGGTGGGTCATCTGGCTGAGTTGGCTCTTGGCAGTTACCTGCCTACCCAAGCTGCATTGGTCCCCACTTTCTCTGGAGGGGAAAAGAGAAACGGATAGAAAGTATCTGGCATAGAAACCAGAGCCTTTCTAGTCTGTTTACCCTCAACTCCACAGGGCTTCCTCCCTGCTCGGTCACACTCTTTGTATTCCTGACCCTTTTCTAGTCCAACAATAGGAAGCAGGTGGCGGTCACAGAGCAGACACTTTGTGGAGGGGTGATGAAGTTTTCTGATGTTCAGATATATTTTACAGTGCTAAGAAAATCTATAGCATTCCTTCCTGCATTTGCCCCTAAATATACAAAATTTCAGGCAAAATATGGGTAGAATAAGATTTTATGAAATGGAATATAAATGTAGTCTTAATCTTGAACATTGTTTCTGTGGTAATGTGTGTTCTGTGTGCCATGTAACCAAGCTAAGAATGAACTTTTGGAATATAACTACGTTTTTATTCTTTTGAAATTGGCATGCTCTATATAATATAAAAGTTTGGTTATTAGTATTGCAGTGTGATGCATTCTGAACAAAAATTTAAAAGAAATCATTGCCTGCCTGCTATACTATGTGCTAGGAAGTGGGTTAGTTGAACATGACTTGGTCCCTACCCTTAAGTAGCACACTGGCTGGTGAAGACAGACAAACTGATACCATGCAAACATGGTATCAGTGCTGAGATGGGTAATGCATAGGCTTATATAGTAGCAGAGCGAATTGTAGATCTGTTAGCTTTATTATTTGTTTCTTTTATTGATAAACAGTACAGTCCATAGGGCGTAGGTCTCTGGTTAAGAATTTGCATTTTATTTGTCAAGTACACCTCAATAAACACAGGGAAAAGAAGAACTGTATTTCATATCTTATTAGACATTACTTTTTGAAAATGAGCACAAAACCTAGCATTTAATGGTAGTCATGAGAGTCAGTCAGTCATCTTACACTGGTGACAGACACTGAATTCTGGCAATTCAAAGGAAACAAATATCCCTGCAGTCATTGGGCCCATTGTCACCTAAGGATAGAGAAATGTAAATGACTGATTACCGTGATAAGAACGCTAACAGAGGTGTATACGAAGTAGAGGGATTCTGGGGCTGAGGTGAAGAAAGTGGAGAAATTGTGAACAGTTTTTCAGTGTTTATAGCTCATGCTGTGACTTTAAGGATGAATTGAGTTTGCAGGAGAAGGCATTTCAGATAGAGGGAACAGTGAGCCTGGAGATAGCAGGTTGTAGAAACTGCACTCTGTACTGATGATGGAGAAAGAGGACGGAATGAAATTAATAAAGGCGCAGAGGTATTAAGATGTCCCAAGTGTTTAAGGAAGAGCAGATTGGCTTATGAGGGTGATGGGCAGGGCAACAAAGATCCCTTTGGAAGATGAAATTAGTCTGTTGGGGGCAAGATGACACAAGACCATTCCAAGGAGGTTGGGTGGCATTCCCTAGATTCTGAGGTTCATTGAAGGAGTTGAAAGAAGAATCATAATCTCATCAGAGGTGGTTGGTTTTATTGGTGTGGTTTTTTTTTTTTTTTTTTTTTTTGACAACTTATGGGAGTAGGCAAAGAAAGAAGAGGGTACATTTGAGAGCCACTTCTTTAGAATCCAGTGTACAATTCTATGTATTGGGCAGAATTGAAGATAATTCTGAGATTTCTAGAGGTGATAACTGATGCAGTTAGGGAGGAAAAACAGGAAGAAGAGAAGAATTGTACCAGAGAAAAGGTGGACTCTATTAAAAAGATGGATTTAACCAATTTAAGTTTGAAATGCCAAGAGACATCTATGATATAAGGGAAATTTCTGGTCTGGAGAGCAAGAAGAAGATTAAGAGTGAGCACGTAAGTTGATGCCCCAGCAGAGGTGAGGTCCTAAGCCATGCAGTAGATGAACCTGCCAAAGGGACAATGGCAAAGCAGAGGCCAGGCCCAGAATGGAGCTCCAGGAAATGCCCACAGCTAAGGTGGAGGCTTGTCCTCTCTAATGGAGTCACTTACAAAATGATGACATGTTTATTATTGAAATCATTTATATATACTATTAGAAGCCAGTTCATTGTAACCTCAGTTATGATTTCACAGTATCCTAGGGTATCACTAAGTTATTTCAAAGTATCTCAGGATCTGTTGCCACCTGCCAAAGATCTTCAAAGTAAAATTAATATTTATAAATAATGCCTTACGCGTGTATGGTGCTTTAGGGCTTTAGAATGATTCTACATATGTCAGCTTACTTGATTCCATTCAATTGCTAAGATGAATAAGCCATAGCACACCTTAGAGTGAGTGGTAAAAATTAGACATGGAATACTTCTTGCAGTGTTTTCCATTTAAAATATTTGAGATTACAAGTTATGTGTTCACAGGAAATTACCACGAACCACTGCCAGATTGCTAGTGAACAGGATCGGGCAGGGGTGGGGGAGGAATAAGTAGAGTTTGTCTTCCTGCATTTGAATCGCAGATCACCTGTCTCTTAGCTTTGTGAATTTGAACAGGTTGCCTAACCTCCCTGGTCCTCAATTTTTTCATCAACAGAATAGATATTATCTGCTTTTATGGAGATGGCAAGGGCTGAAAAAGAAAACGTTTGTAAAATGCCTGAAAATAGCAGGCACTTGGCAAAGAATAGCTCGGTTTTTATTGTAGCTCCCCACTCTCCCTTTGCTTCATTTTCCCTTTCATTTGTCTTGCTTGGAGACATGCTATCATCTGAAGTGATAGTCTCCACCGAGTCTTCAATTTGGTGCTTGGCCTACAGAAAAATCCAGAGGGAAAATATTGTTCCCTTTTATTTGAAAAACCAAATTTGTGTTAATCCCCTGGTTATGACCCCTTAACATAGTTAATGTTTTGTAAGTGAATATGGAATAGAAAGCACATACTTAAATGTGTACCTTGTGGTGGCAGGGTGCTTAAAAACATCTGTTTCCTTGAAGAATCTTGCGAATCACCAACACCAAACTTGACCAGGGAAGAATTTGGTGCCTTGTGTTTAAACTGTGCTGCTTAAAATATATTCAGATGGAAAGAATGGCAAAACCATTCTGATATAGGACATTTTATGACAGTGCCTATGAGATGTTCTTTCTTCTACTGGCCTCACTTTTAAAGGGATATCATTTTAGGTAGGCTGTTTCAGGGCACTGTCATATGTTACTGTGGACTATCGATCTCTTGTACCTATGAATTATTTGATTGTCACTCTTTAATTTATAGTGAGAAGGAAGTGGGAATGGCAGCTCTTCTCTTATAGAAGAAAAATCTGAGTCAGTGGTTCTCAAGTTTTATCATGCCTGAGGATGACCAGGAAATCCTGGTGAAAATACAGATTCCCAGATCTGTTCCTAGAAAAGCTGACCCCCCATGTCTGATGTCGAAATCGGCTTAAAATGCACCAGGACTAGAATTTGCAATATATTTTGAACATTAATGTAGAATTACTATCTAGTTTGGAAAGTCAATACCAAAAGACACATGATATTCCTGGCCCCATGAGCCAAGCTTAGGAGCAGTGTTCTGGATCCTTTTCAGAATGAGAAGATAGGACAAACATTTGATTATTTGTGCTAATTAACATGTACTTTCATAATACATACTTTTTTAAAATCAGGGAGTGACATGATAGGATCTAAAGTATAATTAGGTCCATAGTGTCATCAACTGTATCTTTTAAGTTTACTTATCATCTGTATAATTCTTTAGATTCAGTCTGAGTTATTTCAAGTCTTATAGACAGTGATAATTTTTATTTTTGCCCTAGAGCAGGGCAGTGTTATCTGTTTGGGCAGTATTAACATTTTGGACAATTCTCTGTTGTGGGAGACTGCCCTATGCGTAATAGGATGTTTAGCAGCATCCTTGGCGTCCACCAACTAGATGTCAGAACATGTCTCCAGATATAACAACTAAAATTGTCTCCAAATATTGCCAAATGGCTGCACACAGCTTGGTTGGGGAGAGACTCCAGAACAGATGTGAAACTTAGTGGCTGGAAGCTTACAAAGTACACATGTCATGACCTACTTGAATACCTTATGCGAAGAAAATAAACTTTACCCGTCCTGATACTGGATTTGCTTTAGGAACATGTTTAGCGAATAGCTGTTTGGAAGTGTGTAAGGGGTACTTTTTCTTTATCTTCCTCATATTGGATCATGAACCAGGTCTACCATGGACAGCCATTCATGGAATTTAGGGCAAAGTCTAGTTTGTGTGATTGCATTGTGTTCATTTGGGTTCTTTTTACCATTTGAGTAGATGTACTGTTACTGCTTACCAAAGACACATTTTGGGTATACAGTGCGTGTGCAGCTCAATACCTTATTCTAGAAGCTGCTGCTCTTCATTTTGTCTTCAGTTTTGTAAAAGCCCCGTAATCCTGCTGGTGAGACATATTAGAGTGTGATAAGCATCACTTCACAGTGACATCTGTGAAGTTCTTCTGTTCTTTTTGCAGCTACTATTTAATTGTTTGGCTATTTAATATTTTGTGGCGCTTCCCCCCTTGTGCAAGGAAGTATATGGCAGGATGCCTGACAAGACACGTAGGAAGCCACACAGTAGTCAGCATCTCAAGTGTGTGTTCCTGAGAAATAGCCTTCCCAAGCCGGCATATGTTTTGTATGGTGTAAATTCTCAAGATTGTGAGGGGAACAGCTAAGGTAATTCCTAAGGTATCCGTGTTAATTACCTAAGGTAATTACCAAGCATCAGGGAACATAGCAACACTGCAAAGTCAAAGTACCCTCGTTTGAAATAGAATCTCTACCTGATTTAGGGGTTAGGGAAAGAATTAGTGGATAGGTTCTAACAATTACCCTTCTGAGGTCACGAGTTTGAGACCAGCCTGGCCAACATGGTGAAACCCCATCTCTACTAAAAATACAAAAATTAGCTGGGTGTGGTGGTTTGTGCCTGTAGTTCCAGCTACTTGGGAGGCTGAGGCAGGAGAATTGCATGAACCCAGGAGGCGGGGGTTGCAGTGAGCTGAGATTGCGCCACTGCACTCCAGCCTGGGCGATAGAGGGACAGTCCGTCTCAAAAAACAAAACAAAACAAAACAAACACAGTTACCTTTACAGTTCACCATGGCCAAAAGATTGTACCACTCCTTTCCTGTCTCAGCCACTTTTTGAGTGACTGTAAAGTAGGTTGGCCGGGGGACGATCGTTGCTTGCTGAGTGCCTGTAGGTACCTAGCACCGTATGTTTGTCATTCTCATTGAAGTCTCCCCTTTGAGATCACCAGTAGAATCCCCATGTTTCAGATGCAGTAACACGGACAGGAAGTAAGGGATTTGCTCAGAGTGGTTTATATCAGAAGAGCAGCTGTAGGACCAAACCCAGATCTAGTAACAAATGTGGCTTCCTTCACATGAGCATCTGGGTGGTTGGGAGTTAGTTATTCCTGACTGTTGGGTGGAGAGCAATTTGATGGGACAAAACCAGTTCTTCTGTGTTGAGGCTTAGACACCAGCCACTTAACGGGCCAGACAGCTGAGGTCCGGATTTCTCTGCTTCCTGAGCCAGTTACTCTTGTATAGCGGGGGAGGAGTGGGCACATTCTTTTTTTGAGATGGAGTCTTGCTCTGTTGCCCAGGCTGGAGTGCAGTGGCACAGTCTCCCCTCACTGCAAGCTCTGCCTCCCGGGTTCAAGCTATTCTTCTGCCCAGCCTCTTGAGTAGCTGGGACTACAGGTGCCCGCCACCATTCCAGACTAATTTTTTGTATTTTTAGTAGACACGGGGTTTCACCCTGTTAGCCAGGATCGTCTTGATCTCCTGACCTCATGATCCACCCGCCTTGGCCTCCCAAAGTGCTGGGATTACAGGCGTGAGCCACCGCGCCTGGCATCAAGTTTGATTGTGAGAGTGCAGCAATTCAGTCACATGTCCAAGCTCCACTCCTAGTTCTTTTGCTGTTTTCCCTACATCTGCAGTTACTTCTTGAACCCCTCAAAGTCACCCATGAGGGTTAGAATCCAGTTCTTCAAACTCTTGTTCATGTTGATAATTTGGCCTCTTCCCATGTGAATTCAACACAAATGTTCTTAATAGCATCTAGAGTGGTGAAGAAGGTTTTCAATTTACTTTGCCCAGATCCATCAGAGGAAACACTGTGGCAGCTGTAGTCTTCCAAATGTATTTCTGAAATAATAAGACTTAAAAGCTGAAACGACTGCTTGATCCATGGGCTGCGGAATGGATGTCGTGTTAGCAGGCACAAAAACCACATTCATCTCCTTGTATATCTCCGTCAGAGCTCCCAGGTAACAAGGTGCATTGTCAATGAGTAGTAATATTTTTAAGGAAATATTTTTTTCTGAGCAGTAGGTCTCCACAGCAGGTTTTAAATATTCAGTAAACCATGCCCTAAACAGATGTGCTGTCATCCAGGCTTTGTTTTTGCGTCCTAGAGTACAGGTAGGGTAGACTTAGCATCATTCCTAAGGGCCCTGGGATTTTCAGAATGGTAAGTGAGCACTGGCTTCAACTAAAAGTCAGCAGTTGCATTAGCCCTTAGCAAGAGAGTTGGCCTGTCCTTTGAAGCCAGAGGTTTACTTCTCCTCTCTAGTTGTGAAAGTTAGATGACATCTTCTTCCAACAGAAGGCTGTTTTGTCTACACTGAAAATCTGTAGTTTAGTGTGGCCACCTTCATCGGTGATCTTAACTAGACCTTCTGCGTGACTTACTGCAGCTTCTTCATCAGCACTTGGTACTTTGCCTTGCACTTTTATATTATGGAGATAGTTTCTTTAAACCTCATGAATCAACTTCTGCTAGCTTCACACTTTTCTTTTGCAGCTTCCTCGCCTCTCTCATCCTGTGTAGAATTGAAGAGAGCTAGGGCCTTGCTCTGGAGTAGGCTTTGGCTTAAGTGAATGTTGTGGCTGGTTTGATTGTCTATGGAGACCACTAAAACTTAGGCTGGGCACAGTGGTTCACACCTATAATCCCAGCACTTTGGGAGGCCGAGAGGGGCGGATCACTTGAGGTCAGGAGTTCGAGACCAGCCTGGCCAACATGGTGAAACTCCATCTCTACTAAAAATACAAAAATTGAGCTGCAACAATAGAAAGATGGTGGAGCAAGAACAAAGAAACAATCCCTTTGACTGGGCGCGGTGGTTCATGCCTGTAATCTCAGCACTTTGGGAGGCTGAGGCGGGTGGATCACCTGAGGTCGGGAGTTCGAGAGCAGCCTGACCAACATGGAGAAACCCCGTCTCTACTAAAAATACAAAACTAGCCGGACGTGGTGGCACATTCCTGTAATCCCAGCTACTAGGGAGGCTGAGGCAGGAGAATCGCTTGAACCCAGGAGACGGAGGTTGTGGTGAGCAAAGATTGCGCCATTGCACTCCAGCCTGGGCAACAAGAGTGAAACTCCGTCTCAAAAAAAAAAAAAAAAGAATCCCTTTGGTTCCAGAAAATCTCCTGAAAAAGAGGAAGGCTTATTAAGCCTTCAGAGCTACCCAGGCAAAGCAGGTACTTTTGGCAAAGAGGAACAAAGGAAAGGAAAAGGGCTCAGGTTTAAGGGACTGGAATCCTACATGATTCCTGGCGGCAGAAACATGACAAGGTGGGTCTCAGACGACTAGAAGTGAAACCTCATGCTTTGGAATTGCCAGATAAACATTCCTTGGCCTTTCTTGTACGTATCAAAAGGATTGATGGTGTGGCCGGGCACGGTGGCTCATGCTTCTAATATCAGCACTTTGGGAGGCCGAGGCGGGCGGATCACAAGGTGAAGAGTTCAAGACCAGCCTGGCCAACACAGTGAAACCCCATCTCTACTAAAAATACAGTATTAGCTGGGCGTGGTGGCAGGCGCCTGTAGTCTCAGCTACTCACTCGGGAGGTTGAGGCAGGAGAATCGCTTGAAACCCGGAGGCTGAGGTTGCAGTAAGCCGAGATCTCACCACTGCACTCCAGCCTGGGCGACAGAGTTAGGCTCTGTCTCAAAAAAAAACAAACAAAACAAAACAAAACAAAAAAAGTTTGATGGCGTGTGAGTTTACTGGTGCAGAAAACCATTGCAAGATTTTGCCTAAAGAAAGTTTTTAGTGGTGTCTTTGTAAAAGTCACCCCCTGCTGCATGTAATGGGATCTTATGTGACCTGGGGATTTCCAAATCTGAATTTTCTCTGGGAACTGATTTTGAAACGTGGTCAAGGTCAAGAATAAGACCATCCCTCTGACAGACAACACAGTGGTTGCGGAGCACCTGGGGAAGTATTTCCAGGAGACTTCATGGTTCTTGCGTCGTTTCCACCTCTCAGTGGCCCATCATGCTACCAAAAATAGAGTGGGCTTCCTCGAGATGGGCACACCTGGCTATCGGGGTGAACACGTCAATCAGCTCATCCGCCAGCTGAACTAGACCCAGGTGCCAAACTGCAGTACATTTTTATCAGTGAAGTGGAAGCGTGTGTTTTGGGTTTTTTTGGGGAATTTTTATCAAGTATCTTCAGAGAAGATTATTTCCTGCTTAATCTTCAAAAACTGGAAAGGAAGGGTCAAAGAAAAGACAGTAGCTTATGTTTATGGCGGGCACCTCTCATCACAGTCATTCCCAAGGAAAAATTCCAGAGTTTTCTACATTGGCAGCTGCCTCGTCTAAATCAACACATTCCATGTGCATCTTCTATCCTTGGGTTTAATGTTGCTAAATGAGTAACTCTAGCATTTGTACAAGACCCCCTAAGACTCTGGCAGCAGTCGACCAAGCCCAGGGACATAATTGAATCTGGAGATTCCTGAGGCCTTGTTTTGAAAAAGACTTGAAATACACATAGGAAGAAAGGCCCAAAAATAAATGTTCACTTGTCTCTGCAAAAAAATAAAAATAAAAAATAAAATTAAATTAAAAAATAAAAATATGAAAACTAGCTGGGCATGGTGGCTTACGCTTGTAGTCCCAGCCACTCTACTCGGGAGGCTGAGGCGGGAGAATCGCTTGAACCCGGGAGGCGGAGGTTGCAGTGAGCCAAGGTCACAACACTGCACTCCAGCCTGGGCGACAGAGTGAGACTCTGTCTCAAAAAATAAAAATAAAAAAACTTTTCATATCAGCAACAAGGCTATTTCACTTTCCTATCATCCATGTGTTCACTGGAGCAGCACTTTTAATTTTCTTCAAGACATTTTTCCTTTGCATTTACAACTTGAGTAACTGCACAAGAGACCTAGCTTTTGGCCTGTTTCAGCTTTCCACATGCTTTCTCAGTAAGCTTAATCATTTCTAGCTTTTGATTTAAAGTGAGAGACATGTGACTCTTCCTTTCACTTGAACACTTAGAGGCCACTGTAGGGTTATTAATTGGCTTAATTTCAATACTGTTGTGTCTTGGGGAATAGGGAGGCCCAAGGAGAGGGAGAGAGATGGGGGATTGGCCAGATAGTGGAGCAGTCAGAACACACACAACGTTTATTATAGTTTACCATCGTACATGGGCACAGTTTGTGGTTCCCCAAAACAATTTCAATGGTAACATCAAAGATCAGCGATGACAGATCACCACAACAGATAACGACGAAAATGGGTTTCCTAATAATGCAGAGGTTTGAAATACTGCAAGAATTACCAAAATGAGACACACAGATGTGAAGTAAGCACATGCTGTTGGAAAAAATGGTGGCAATAGATAAAGGGTTGCCACAAACCTTTAAATTGTAAAAAGTGCATTATCCTTGAAACACAATAGAGTGAAGCCTAATAAAATGAGGTAGGCCTGGATTTTTTGGATACTTGATAGTATCTAAGTTTCTTCTCAAACACAGCAAACATTTCACAGTTCAAATTTGCCCATCGGTAGAGTTTTCTCTGTGGATCTTCTCTGTTAATGCCACATCTGTCTAGAGTAAAAGTTCAATTCAATATTGTGCTATCAACTTAGCAACTTGTTGAAGATGAACTAACATAAGTACATGCTGTGTGTGTGTTCTGTGTGCAGACACAACACAGGTGAGCTTTCCGTAAGCCTGGATCTTCCCAATGGCGGTGCTTCTCGTGTGCAGGCCAACTAGGGAGAAGGGGACACTGGGGCCCACCCGGAGCTCTGTGGGCCTTGTCTCTTGTGACAAGGATATTTTGCTCCTTAGCTCAGCAGAGTCCAGGTTCTTGTCTCAGGACTGGGAAGAAGTAGGCAGGCGGACACTTGGAGAGTGAGTGGAGTAGAATGCACTAAGGGAAAGGAAAACTTAAAGGAAGGGTCTTGAAAGCAGATTGTGGTTCTCCCTTCACAGTGGAATACAAGGGCTTTTATATACCTGCTGATGGGGCTGCGTTCCCTATTTCTGTAAGCGCGAATTCCTGGCGGCTCCACCCGTCCTTCCAATGCAGACGTGGGCCCTTAGTCTGAGCCACTCTACATTGATTTATTTCCCTTACTGCGCATGTGTTAAGGGACAGAACTTTTCCACCGCAAGCATGTTTGGGCAAGGTCCCTGGGCACGACGACCTTGGTGGGTCAGAGGTTCTCCGGGGACCCTCCCCTGTCTACCGGGGAGAGTTCTCTGCTTCCTGCCTCCATCTACTCCCCAGTCTGCAGTCTGGCCCTCGGTGGTCCTGCAGATCTGGTGTTGATTTTGCAGGGTGTTTGGAAAGGTACCTGCGTATTTTCATTTATGGAAGTGACTGAGTGCCGACGAGGAGAGGTTAATGCCCTTGAGAGGAGAATTTATTACTTCATCACCTAAGAGAAGGGGGCACACCCCTCCATGCAGGGCACAGGGGAACCACCAGTGTGGGTCAGGAGGCAGAAAGGAGCCAGAGAAAAGTGTGGGTGGGAACCTTAGTGGGGCTTCCTCGGGAAAGGCAGTGCGTGGCTGGTTTGAATAATGATGGTGGGCTTTGGGGTGGTCTCTATTTGCCTGGTATCTGGCCCTGGGATGTTTTAAGGCAGGGAAAATACTGGCTTGGTGTGTGTTAGAGAAAATGGGCAGCTGGCTTACTTCCAAGTTCTTTACTAAATTGAGGAATTAGCTGGTCTTGGGAGAGGCAGTGTCTTTCTGGGTCTGTAAGTCCCTGGAAAATGTTAAAGTATCATAAGATAAAAAAAAAAAAAATTTAAACCTGATTAATACACTGTGAACCTAGAAGTAACCAGATTTTAGGAAACTGACCTATAGTGAGCAAACTCACAGGGATTGATAGCTAAGCCAGAATATGCATTTATTAGCTTGAGGGGAGGAATGTTTCTTCCAGTGACCAAATCTTTAAGTCTGCCCTCCAGAATATTGACTAAATATTCTGCCATCTAGAATGGAATAATTAGGAAACTCATTAGTCACCTTAATTTCAAACTAGTTTGGTTTATGTGGTAATCAGAGCAAACGGTGACGTGGTGTACCTGTGCCGCGCAGGGACTTGGTGAATTAATCTCTTCTCCCAGAACGCCCCACAAGGGCCACCGCCGTGCCTTCCCTTTTCTTTGCCTCTGCGCTGCTGTTATCTTCCCACAGAAAGGCCCCCTGCAGTCGATTAGGCTTCAGCTACCTAAACAATAGGCACAGACCCAAACGATGTCAAACTACAGTTTTCTCCTGCCCTTAGGGTGGCACTCAGGCCACTTTGATTGGAATTTTGAGTGTCCCCAAACTCTGGTTGTACTCTTTCACAGATGGGCAATTACAGTACTGCTCTGTGGAGTTTTACCAGTATAGCTCTCAGAAATTCCTAAGAATTTTCTATTTCTTAGGTTACACTCTCTATAGTACATACACTCAGACAGAAAAATATATTTCACGAAGAGAGCCTTGAAAAATCTCATCTCTAGTCCCAGTGATGCCTTAAACTGGTTGTGTGACCTTCGTAAACCTCAGTTTTCTTTGTTGTAAAATGAAAGGTCGGGGTCGGTGACCTCTAGAGTCTATCCCACCCCTAGCCTGCTCCGAGAGTGATTGCATTTGGCACAATATGCAGTTTGCTTCGCAGCAGTAGCAAAATGACACATGCAACTTATTATCATCATTGTCTATCTTTTGATTTCCTTGAGTTTTCCAGTCTCATTAGGGGAGACATCTCTGGCTTATCGCACAATGACATCGTGTCTTGTAACTTAATTTCTGGGGACAACACATTGTGCTGCCACAGGCACAGTGCTAATAATCAAGGTTGTCTGTTCTGCTTACTGTGACTTTTTTGTGGTTTCTGGAGAAAAAATGCAGATGCTTTTCAATTATTCTAAGGGAATTTTGATGAACCCCCTGGGTAGAGTTCCCTGTGCCACCTGCCATGAGAAGTGAGTTTTATCGAACAGAAGGTAGGGAATTGAATTGCTCATATTTGTTTTCTTTCTGGTACCTATAGTATTATTTCAAGCTCAAGCATTTTAATAAATATTTAATAAATACCTGTCTAAAATAGGCCAAAACTGTCATAAACTAAACCTCTTTTCTTCTTCAATTTTAAATGCAAATGAGTTAATTTGACTTTTAGTGGAATTTCCAAGATAAAGGCCCATGTTTTTCCTTTATGTATCCGAAAGTTATTTTTGATGGTATAGTGAACGTCCTGCTTACTACACATTTTATGTATTAGCCTTTGGAAGCAAATTCCTTAAGTTTATTGCAACGTTGCTGCTTTTGTTGCCATTCTTATAATTTTATGTATTTACTGTTTCTCTCTCTCTCTCTCTCTCTCTCTCTCTGTCTCTGTCTCTGTCTCTGTCTCTCTCTCATATTGAGACAGGATCTCACTCTGTGGCCCAGGCTGGAGTGCAGTGGTACAGTCATGGCTCACTGCAGCCTCGACCTCCTGGGCTCAAGTGATGCTCCCACCTCAGCTTCCCAGGTAGCTGGGACTACAGGAATGCGCCACCATGCCTGGTTAATTTTTTAGGTATTTTTTGTAGAGAAGGGATTTTACCACGTTGCCCAGGCTGGTCTCGAACTCCTAGTCTCAAGCGATCCTCCCACCTTGGCCTCCCAAAGTGCTAGGTGTGAGCCACTGTGCCTGGCCGTATATGTCCATTTTGCAGGCCAGAATTCTTTGACTGTTTGATTTACAGAGAATTTTCAAATATCTGCCTCTAAGGACTTTTGTAGCAATTTTATTGAGATACAATTAACGTATAATTCACCCACTTAAAATGTAGGATCCAGTGGGTTTTGTTTCTTGTTTTTGTTGTTTCTTTTGTTAAGAGATAAGCAGCAAATACATTTTTAGTATAATTATGTTTCATTCAATATTTGGGACATATGCTAACACTTGTTATTATTAGCATTATTATTAGCATTATTATTCAAGCTGAGGTCTCATTCTGTTGCCCAGGCTGGAGTGCAGTGGCTTGGTCACAGCTCATTGCAGCCTTGAACTCTTGGGCTCAAGTGGTCCTCCTGCTTCAGCCTCCCAAGTAAGTGGGATTATAGGTGCAAGCCACAGCACCCAGCGATTCACTGGTTTTTAGACTGTCCACAGAGCTGTGCTGCCATCACTGTAATATTTTAAAACATTTTCATCACCCCAAAAAGAAGCCCCCTACCCATTAGCATTCACTCCTCACCCCTTCCACCCCTCCCGCCTGTGGTAGCCACTGATCTACTTTCTGTCTGTGTATAGCTTATTCTGGACATTTCTTAGGAAAGGAATCATACAGTATGTCGTCTTTTGTGGCTTTCACTTACATACTGGTATCCACATTGTAGCACATGCCAGTACATCATTCCTGTGTATGGGCAAATAACATCCCATTGTATGGATATACCTTAACATTTTATTTACCTGTCAGTTGGTGGGTGTTGGTTCCTGTCTTTTCGGCTACTGTGAATAATGCTGTTATGAACATTCATGTACGAGTTTTTGGGGCGACAAGGTTTTAATTTTTCTTGGGTGTATACCTAGAAGTGGAATTTCCAGGTGGTGTAGTAACTCTATGTTTAACTTTATGAGGAATTCTCACACTGTTTTCCAAAGTGGCTGCACCATTTTACCCTCCCACCAGCAATGGGAGCGATCCAGTTCTTCCCACATCCTCACTGACACTCGTTATTGTCTTTTTTATTATGGTCATCATAGTGGCTATGAAGACAGGCTTGTTTTTAAATATTCTCTATGTAGTATTCTGCTTTCTTCCCTAGAAATCATAATTAATGCAGAAGTAGCCCAAATTGTGTATGTTAATTTGTTTTATTTTTTTAAAACAAACTTGACCCCCCAAAAGCAACAAAGCACATACATTTCAGTTAATATATATTTTCTAGGACGTTATTGTCTCTTCTCAAATGAGATGATTTCGATATGAAGCACAGAGTTCCTTTCATTTTCCTATGCTCATTCTCTCTCTTTTTAATGGTATCACATACTGTGCAGGAAGGTCATTATATAAGGAGAGGAAAAAAGAATAATCAGCATAGAAGAGAAAATTAATGCTGTTTGTGTAATTTTTAATAGGAATGTTGTAAAATTTTGAGATTTAAACCAACTACTAATATTTTTTATACATTACTGGGCAGTTTCCTCTTGTTGCCTGTGAACTGATACTTTGCCTTGGAAACTCAGATAGTAAAAATATTTGTCAAAGCTTCAAATACCAGTGTTTTAATTCCTTAGTCATTTAGATATTAATCCTGTTCTGGAGACCACCTACATGTGTTTGTAAGGGATGTGATAACTGACACTGTATTTAATTAGCACTAATATTGTGAAAAAAGCAAAACATATTAAGTATCTTTCCAAGTCACTAGTTTGAAATTAGCAGAAGTGAGGAAGAGAAAGTCCTGTCCACCCCCCACCCTTAGTTTGCATACCCATGGAAGTTTGTGATCCATTTACTCATTCATTTATCCAAGTATTTGATAGGTACATATTTTGTGGTGGACAACATTCCAGGTATTGTGGAAATGGACCAATTTCAATAGGACAGAAATCTGAATCACAAATAAGCATCCAGTGGCAACCAGCTGGTGTACACACTGCACCTAAATACAAATTCATAGGTATCAAAATCACCTTCATGTGTCACACAGTCACCTTTCTTAGTTCCTCATAGCAAAACTGGGGGACTCTGAGGTCAGTCCCCAGAGTACCTGGTTGAGGGGTGGGGCAGGGCAGTTGAATAAGGGAGTAGAATGAATGAAAACTTTAGACTCTGAAGCTCGTCACTTTATTCTGCCATATTTTAGTTTTGTGGTATTAAATCTCTACAGAAATTAATTATCTTGCTTCCTTTCTTGAATTCCTTTTCAAATGTTATAGTTACTACTTCAGTAATTCTATCCCATCTGTTTATATACAAAAGGTAATTTACCGGGTAATGACCGAGGGCACCTGCTTTAAAGTCAAGTGCATACTAATTTACTGGCTATTTGCTTGGCCTCATTTACGCTCTCTCGGCACAGTTTCTGGGTCTGTAAAATGAGAGTGATTGTACCATCTACCTCATTGGCGACAGTGAGAATTAAATGAGTTGGTGCATGCATAACACTTAGTACAGTTCCTGGCACAATGTTACCACTCAATAACTAGCAGTGTGGAAATATTTCACACCTAAGAGTAAAGTTTTATTTACCTTTAGGAGACAGGATCCTGGGAACTTTCTGGTTGCCATAGCTGCTTCCTCAAGGCAACTAAGTTAGATGTGGAGTTTCTAATTCCTGTTGGAAATTCAGTGAATAAGAAAATACTACTGAAAGTTATACTATTTTCTGCATGTTAATGATTTGATATTATACAGCTTTAAGTTCTCAGTGCTCATTCGGGTAGTGCAGGTGAGAGACGGCGGCTTTAGGGGCAAGGCAGTGACCCTGTGGATGATGGGAAGAGAGTTGTTAAGAAATAATTGTTTAAATCATCCAGAGAGTACTGTAGCAAGGATTGTTCCTAAAAAGAACTGTGGTAATCCTTGTTGAATAGCAAGTTTGGACAGTATACGGTAGGGAAATCTCAGGAATACTATAAACAAATAAAATGATGGGGTGAGCCCTATGAAGCGTGTGTTCTCCTGTGGGCAGTGGCAGAGTTACCCTTCACCCCTGAGTCCTGATTTCTCAGCCTCTTCATGTGACTGTCTCCTTGGCTCCTGGGAAAGAAAGAAGCCTCTACCTTCCCTGGATTGAATGCAGCCCTTCTTGTCCCGTCTGCAGAGCATGAGGAACAGCTGGCCACCTGCACCTGACAAGGCCTGTGGCCGCGGGCAGTACCCAGCCCTGCGCTGACGGCCGCTCCAGGTTGTTGCTGGATGTGGCGAGCTCGAGCTAATCGGGCCTTTTAGGCTTTTGTTTCTTAGCAAATGATCAGCTGTGAACTGCCCTTGGCCTAACTTGGCCTTGTTAGCTCAGAAGCCCGCAATTCATTGCATTTTACCCTGAAGAGGAATGGTAGGTCTGAGGACATATTTATTTTTCTGTGGATTTTTTTTCCCCTTGATCCAGGAAATTGTCTGTCTTCAACAACCTAGTCTTGTCTCCTCCAGAGAAAAGTTTTGAATCCTCTGAGGAGCGGTCTGTCGCCATTGTGGCCTGTGGTCAGTGGGTCAGACCAGAGCCCTGACAACTGTCTCCCTTCCTGGGCCCAAGTGGACACCAGAGGAGTTTGGGGCTCTGGGATCAGCCTGCTCTGGCGAGTGTCCTTTCCCTCCCACTCTGGAACTGTAGCTTCTCAGCCCTCTTCTTGATGCTGGGCGGGTGCCTGGGAGGCCCCACCCCTTCCCTGGGTACCTGGGGAGGTCCCCGACTGAGAGGTGGGAAGACCTGTGTCCCCTCCCCCAGCACACTCTCAGCCTCTGACTTAGTTCTCATAGGAGGAGGCAACAGCTTCCAGGAGCTGCTGCTGTTACCCTCGACGCCATGATGAGGAGGAAATTGCCTGGTCAGGAGGGCTCGCCTGCCTCTTCACAGCCAGGCGTACTGTAGCGGCCTCAGGAGCGGTCACCCTGGGAGTGACTCCTCACCTCCTAAGCAGCCCTGGGGCATGAACACTCGTCCTGGAAATCCTGCTAGGCTGGCTTAAGGGAGTTGCTTCTAGCATGCCTTTCTGGATAAGCCTAGTAGAATTGCTTTTTCTACTATAAAAAGGAAAGAATGGGGCTCCTCATATTATAGTAACAGAATTCTTGGTACTAGAACTGGTAAGCCAAGAGAAATGGAAGCTGACCAACTTTTCTCTCTGCACAGGGTTCAGAGGGATAGAAACACACAATTTGACTCTGCATGCACCAGAACCTTCTCACTCAGGGTAAGGGACAGCCACAGTTTCTGGGACGTTACCTAAAAACACAATAATCCCACTTATTCTCTGACAGATAATCATCAGTCATAGCCCCACTACTCACTTTTATTAAAGAAATAGCTGGGCCCTTTTAGGTAAAGCCCTTTATATACTGGGAAAAAAGGTCATGTTATCCATTCCTCAAATCCCAGGTAAACTCCTGCTGGTTACTCAAAAATAAAAACCAAAATGAAAGCCCATTCATCACAGGGATGCCTAATCTTGTAATGAGGGAATCACTGAGTGTGGCACAGGGAAGACTCCTGAGAGATTCTGATGGGGTACAAGTGTGCTGACCAACGTCCTAGATACAGTGGGCCCTTGAACAATATGGGGGCTAGGGATATCAACCCTGTGCAGTCAGAAATCTACGGATACCTTCTGACTCTCCCAGAATGTAACTGCTAGTAGCCTACTGCTGACCAGAAGTCCTACCAATAACATACAGTCATTTAGCACGTATTTGGTATGTTACATGATTATATACTGTATTCCTGCAATAAAGTAAGCTAGAGAAAGTGTTAGGAAAATCATAACGACAAAATATATTTATTATTCATTAAGTGGAAGTGGATCATCTTAAAGATCTTGATCTTCATTGTCTTCACGTTGAGTTGGCTGAGGAGGAGGGGGCTTGATCTTGCTGTCTCAAGAGCAGCGGAGTCATAAGAAAATGCACATTTAAGTGGCCCCATGCAGTTCAAATCCATGTTGCTCAAGGCTCAACTGTACACCGAACTGAAAAATGATTCCATTTTTAGTAGGAAATGGCCTACTCTAAGTCCTACTGCTTCCCTTTGCACTTGATGGCAAGGGTCTTTAACTGTGTCAGTGGAGCTGGTTTGGCTCCACTGATAGAGACTCCCTGACCATCTGATAGGCCACTTTTGTTAGAGGAGAAGGTACCCCCTTGCCTACCTGTTCTTTTCTTACTTCATGGGTCTTGATTCCTGACTCAGGAGCACCCATTACAGAAAAGCCCTGGGACTAGATCTAATTTTATTTAATGAAAAACCTATGGAGCATTTACTCTTGCTTCTAATAAATTAACAAGTCAGGGCTTTCTTCTGAATAGGAGGGTCTCTTGACTCTTTGATATTTGACTTTTGAACCAGACTAGATGAGGCAGAGCTTCAGCACATATTTTACCAGTGTCTTCAGCAAATGCCTTTCTCTTTGCAAAGCTCCATATTACTACCAAAAATTAACCCAACTAAATTGTAATTTCTACTCACCCACATTTATTGAGTACTGTGTTTCCTTGAAAGATCTCAAACAAGGCACCTTCTTGCAAGATCTTCACCACCAGACCTTCATGATAGTCACCTCCTCATTAGGCTGAGACGCATACACAGTGATTACGTTCAGACACAGGGACTCCTGTGTCTTAAGACCTTGTGTGACCCTTGTAATTAAAGCATTACACTTTGCAAAGGCTGACAGTGGTATAGGGGCTGTCTGAAACTATTCAGCCATAGCCTGGTCTCTGCTTTCTTTTTACAAATGGGAGGTTGGCTAAGGCAGACACAGGGATGGCTAAGAGGGATAAAGGACGTGACTTCCATAGAACCTTTTGTTCCTAGAGGAACCTCTCCATGAAACACACAGTGAAACTAGATTAAACCAAAAAACGCCCTCAGCTCCAGCAGATCCTGAGCTACAAAGCACCTCTTCCCTACCGAGCCTTCTCACCCATGCGCACTGAGTTTCTGAGTATCAGAAAGTCAGGTTTCTGAATCCCTAGAGAAAGTAAAAATTTCCTTGGACACAATGGGTTTTCTTTGCTTCCTGCATGACAGTCACGAAGGGGAATCTGAAATAGAGAACTTGAATATGCGGCTTGCTGAAGGGAAGTGTACTGTACAGTAGCCCCCCTTCTCCACGGGGGATCCATGTCAAAATCCCCAGGGGATGCCTAAGACTGCGGATGGGACCGAACCCTGTATACGCTTGCCTTTAATGCCTTTTCCATTTCAGCTCGGCACTTAGCCCACACTGTGGCTGTAACTTTTGTAGTTTTAGGTACAGCAGCAAAACTAGCACAAATTTCTTTGTCCTTTTTCACAATTTCATGGATAGAAGATTGATTCTTACTGTAGATCTTAGCAATCTCAGCATACTTTTTTTTTTCTTGAGAACTTTCACCTTTTAACTAAAGGAAGGACTTCATGGCTGGTTTTTGGCATATCCAGATTGCCAGCATCATACTCTTGGAACTTTGAGGCCATTGTGAAGTCAAATAATAGTTCCTGCCAGGCACAGTGGCTCACACCTGTAATCCCAGCATTTTGGGAGTCCAAGGCAGGTGGATCACTTGAGCTCGGGAGTTTGAGACTAGCCTGGGCAACATGGCAAAACTCTGCCTCTACAAAAAACACAAAAATTCACCGGTCACGGTGGCACATACCTGTAGTCCCAGCTACTCGGCAGGCTGAGGTGGGAGCATGGCTTAAGCCCAGGAGGTGGAGGTTACAGCGAGCCAAGATCATGCCACTGCACTCCAGCCTGGGCGACAGAGCCAGCCTCTGTCTCAAAAATAAAAAAGGAACCTAAGCACTGAGACCCCCTGACAGTAGATCTGGTAACTGAGATGGCCACTAAGTGACTGGTTGGTGGTGGGGGTGTCTACAGCGTGGAGATGCTGGACCCCGAGAGAGAGGGTTTATGACCCAGGCAGGATGGAGCAGGACAGCACAAGATCTCCTCACACTACTCAGAATGACTCACAATTTAAAACTTATACATTGTTTATTTCTGGAATTTTCCATATAATGTTTCTGGACCATGGTTGACCACAGGTAAATGAAACCTTGGAAAGCTAAAACCTTGGATAAGGGGGGACTACTGTAATATAAAGTTTACAGTTCCTGGGGTGAAAGCTCAGGCAGACCCTATCTATGCATTATTACAACGTACCATCAATTCAAAACCATAAATTTGCAGAAACATCGTTGCTTTAATTCCTAAAATATTGAATATGAATAATAAAAATAATATATGCTTTGTCTTAGAAGCACCTTTTTAATATGATTGATGTGTATTGATCTGTTTCTTCATTCTAACATGAACATTTCTGTAACAGTCATTTCCCCTGAAATATCTAACCTGTGGGTACCTGAGACAGCTTGTCAGTTAGGAAGAACAGTGGTGGCGATAGCCACGTAGGGCTGGTTTGGTCGTGAGTGCAAGTGTGGTTGCAGCAGCTAGAGCAGAGGACTGTGTGGAGAACATGGGTCAGGTCAGAAGGCAGTAGCCAGGAGGGATGCAGAGTCGAGAGAGAATTTGTTGATTGGAATGACTCAGGTTGACTTTCAGGATGAAGAGAAGGGGCCAATAGAGAGGGAAGAGAGGACAGTTGATGAGGCAGGCTCCAAGAGAGGAGGGCAAAGCGAGATCAGGGGCTCCAGTGAAATGCCTGAGTGTGATGAGAAGAGCGCTGTCTTGTGAGGCTAGAGAGGGAACCAAGGATGGGTGGGCCTGGGAAGGCTGGAGAGGTAGCCTGTCAGGGAGCTGCTAACCCACTTAGAAATACTCTTATTGACATAACAAGGTTTTTTGTTTTGGTTTTTTGTTTGTTTGTTTTGAGAGAGCGTTCGCTCGTTCCCCAAGCTGAAATGCAATGGTGCAGTCTCAGCTCACTGAAACCTCCACCTCCTGGGTTCAAGCGATTCTCCTGCCTCAGCCTCCCGAGTTGCTGGGATTACAGGTGCATGCCACGGGTGCAGTGGCTCACGCCTGTAATCCCAGCACTTTGGGAGGTCGGGGCGGGCGGATCATTTGAGGTCAGGAGTTCAAGACCAGCCTGGCTAACATGGATATAACAAAATTTTCTATTTCAAAAGTTCAGTCGTGGGCACAAGTTGATTTTGCCTTACAGTCTTGATAGTGAAGGTGCATACTATTTTTAAAGCTGTATTCCTTAGATACTACCATATTATCTAATGTTTCTAATAATGGAATTAGCAAAAAATGACTACATCATCCAAATTTGACTTTGTACTAACATACTTGGCGTACTCCATATCCCTGAAGGTTAACAAGAGATA
This sequence comes from Homo sapiens, assembly GCF_000001405.40. Taxonomy (NCBI): domain Eukaryota; kingdom Metazoa; phylum Chordata; class Mammalia; order Primates; family Hominidae; genus Homo; species Homo sapiens. Next base: position 100,483,072 of record NC_000013.11, read on the forward strand.
AATTTGGCCTAGACTGGTCTTTTCCTGAATTCATCACTTAAAAAAGGAAAAAAAGAATGGGGAGGAAAAGCCACGTTTTACTTTTATAATTTTTATTCCATCATTAAAAGTACAACTTGCTTTATGATCTGAAGAAATACCATCTAAGTCTTTCTATTAGGAACAAAAGTGAGCCTTTCAGGGAAAAAAAAAAAAGGAGCTGGGCTTAATCTGCATTAGCCCTTTGATGTATTCCCAGATTTTAAAAAGCTTCCCACTGTTCTCAGCCACGTTGAAACAGACCCAGCCATGTGTCCGGCGCTGTCCTTTTCTCCTCTCAGCACACACTTAGCCGGAGACACCTTTTGGCCAATGGGCCAGGATTCTTCCATTGCATCTTCAGCATGTGACCGTTTGTGCTGGCTCATTGGGAGTTCTGCTGCTCAGTACTCCTTCCCCAGGCAAAGACTCTTAAGTTAATAATTGGTTCAGAAGAATAAACTATACCGCCCTCTTGGTCTTCTTTTGGACATTTCTTTAAGATGAGGCTCTTACTGGTATATCTGGGGTACTTTATTGAGAAATAGAAAGTGCTAGCTGAAATAAGGCGTATCAGTCTAGAGTTAGGAAGTGAGAAATGCAATCGGTAAATTTTGCTTTTAAATAAAAATGGAAGCCCCATTTTAATTGTTGCCATTTCTAGTCATTTTATCATTTTTAACAGCCTGGTTTTCTATTTTAGAGAAGTTGCTGACCAATATTTAGAGAGCACCTCCCTAATCTGCACATCCTCTTGTGTGTGATGGTGAAGTGATGGGTTGGAATCGTTTTTAATGCTGTTTCCATTGATGGGACATTATTACCAGAAGGAGTGCTTTGTGCCAGCTGGTTTCATGGATGGAGGAAAACAATCTGGGTTTCAGTTTCACAAATAGAAAAACAAAACCTGAGAGGAAAAGGAAGTAATTCGTTAGCAGTGGCCACTGTGCAGAGTAGGATAACCTGCCTTCAAAGATTTTTGTTTCATGCACTATAATATAATGTTTAATAAATACTTTACTTCAAAGAACCTCACTACAAGAAAACTGGCCGCTTTCCTGCTATTCTTGTTCTCCGGCTCAGTATGACTATAAGTAGCTCATATCCGGTCCTCTGTGGTCTCAGGTGGTCGTTTGTGTTTATGATCCTTAAGCTGAAACTGTAAGGACTGTGTCCCTATTTTAAGTCTTTAGCAGATCCACCGTGTTCTGCAGGAATTGACAGAGGCTCTCGTGAAACCCTTGACACTTTGACCCATCTTGAGGAAAATGCTTAGATGCTAAAAGCAGTGTGCATAGGGATTACGTCCTCCAAAAATAGAAAACTCTAAATTTACTAAGCAGGGAGTAGAGAAACTCATCAGACTGCACCTCAAGTTTTTGATGTGTTCTGGTCGCCTCTGCACTCCCATTCTAGACTTCTAAACAACACGTTCAGGATCTCTGAGATAAAAGCTGGACTGAAGTTACAGAAAGAGCATTAGAGATGTTTGAATTTTTCTTTTTTCCCCCCTGTAGATATATTTGGCATATGTAGAATTTGAGAGTCCACTATTGATACCAGTTTCTTCCAGATATTAACACATATCAAATAGACAGCTAGAACTCAGAAGAAACTAATGGAGCTCTGAAAGAAACCATTGTTTTTTCCACTATAAATCTTAACTCAACAGCATTTAGGGTCTGGGTGGAGCCAGTCACCTGGGCAGCTGCTTCACACCCATTTTGAATTAGCTGCCCAGTGCTTCTGGTGAGCACCTCGGTAGGAGCCACTGCTGTGAACTCTTTTGCAAGTTCTGGTGGTGACTGGTTTGGTTTTTATTGCTCCCTGTTTGATGCACTGATAGGACCTAGGGCTGTTCTTAGAAATATAGGCCTGAGACGACTTAAATTTCACACTGGTTTTGTCTTCCGTTTCCACATTCCTCTCACTGACTCTCCCTCCCTTCCTGCCCTCTCTCTCTCTCTCATATGAAATGAGTTTAAAATCAGAGGGGAAGGATTGCTTTAATATTTAGCAGTCTAAACAGAGGGGGACAGGGCTGAAGAGGAGGAAGGGAGTGAATGGGTGTAGAAGAGAAAAGCTGTTCCCACCCCATTGCTTTAATGACAGTGGAAAGGGTGCATGGATTGGGCCTGTGTTTCTCTATCAGCTACTTTGTTCTTTAAAGCACTGGCTAGCTAAGCCATCTCTTTCTCTCCCATATTTTGCCTCTTTGAGTGTTTGCCTAGAACCACTTAGCTGTGGCAGCCCTGCTGATGGGGCAAGGTGCTCTGCAAGTTTCTAGGCAAGGTTTCTGGATCCATGTTGAAATTGAACGCAGATAGCACAACCATATTATAACAGCTACTTACAAACCAGTCAGCACATGTGTGGTGAGCATTTCTAGAGTTGAGTTATTGCTTAGGTCAATTGTAAGAGGAGTTTCTCTGAAAGAGTTCTGCTCTTTGAACTGGCAACCCCAACTCTAGAACTTACAGAATTGTTTTTGTTAATTTTTCTGGCAAGAGATTCATCCAAGTTTCCTAAACGTACTACAAGGGTATATGTATACAGAGACCTTAAGGAATGGCCAGCCATGCAAACCCTAGGGAACATCTTATCTGACAGTTCTTGGGATCCACAGTGGCTTGGGTCATAATGATAATACTGTAACTGGGAGAGCTGATGTATATGGAGCACTCAGTATGTGTGAGGCACCATAGATTCTCTCTTCATTTAATCTTCTCATGAGAAATACAGACGTTAAATAATTTTCCCAGGGTCACATAAGCTGGTACTAGGAATGAGGCTTAAAGCAGGGCTCTCTAAGAACAAAAGCTGTGATGCCTTAGCATCATTGACAGCAGCTCCCAGGTCTTACTCATCCTAGTGCAGTCCCGTTAGTCTACCTGAGCTCCCCCTAACACAGGAGTTGGCCTCTGCCCACTGGGGCTTTCATTCCCACTACCACCCACAGTTTCTGCATATGGCAGGTCGGAGCCCATCGTAGTGTCATGAGCCATTCTCTAAACCACCGTCTGCCTGAAAACTGCCTCATTCTCTGTCATTCCTGAAGGAAGGACTCTGGCTGGCCCATCTCATCTTTACTCACCTAGGTGTTCAATGGATCACTGGGTAATCTGAGGGTTGATGTTCTTCTTTAGTCTATCAACCAATCCCAGAGATGGGAGGCAGGGCTTACATAACACTGTAAATACTGCCACCTGGGATGACTTCTGCGGGAGAAGTACTGAGACCCAAGTCCACCATGGGAACTAACTGGATAAGTTTCCGAAGATTTATGTCAGTAACATTCACCACCGTGTCCTTTGTATTCACAAAATAATTAGAAACTACCTGACTGTCCATCAATAGGAGTTTAGTTAAAGAAGTTTTGTTGTTCCATATGGCAGAATATTCATATGCAGCCATTAAAATAGTGATCAGGTAAATGTTTACAAACATGGAAAGATGCAATATGAACTATATTGTAACATGAAAAAATAAAGTTAAAATGGCCCGTGTAGGATATTGCTTTGTTTTACAAACACAAAGTTGAGGCTGGGTGCAGTGGCTTATGCCTATAATCCCAGCACTTTGGGAGGCCAAGGCAGGATGATCACTTGAGCCCAGGAGTTTGCGACTAGACTGGGCAACCTAGTGAGACCTCATCTCTGCAAAAAATTCAAAAAGTACAATAAGCCAGGTGTGATGATACATGCCCATGACCCCAGCTACTCAAGAGGCCGTGGTGGCAGGATCGCTTGAGCCCAGGAAGTCAAGGCTGCAGTGAGCTGTGATCGTACCACTGCACTCCAGCTTGGGTGACAGAGCAGAGAGACTCTGTTTCAAAAACAAAAAGCCCCCACAAACATGAAAGGCTTAATCCAGGACTAGTAATAGTTGCCGAACTTGAGCGGAATTGTCTTCATGCTCTTATGTTAGCATCTGATATTTTATAATGAGCATATCCCTTATAGATTCAGCAATATATTTGAAAAATACACCAAGGTAAAGGAGTTGTGCTAATTAAAAGTAGCTGAAATGAAAAATATTGATTATTGAGGAAGAAAAACAATGAAAGTAAGACATAGAGGCCTCAGCAGTATTACTGATAACTCAATCATTGTTACCTGTATAATAGAACAAATTAAGGGCAGAGGTTCTGAACTGAAGCAGTGTTATTACTAAGGTGCTTGAAGGGGGGAACCCACATTTCTTTAATAGCAACACTCCAGGTTTCTAACATCTGGAAGTATCACACCATGAATTTTTTTTAACCCAGAAAAACTGGGAAAAACTTCAAATCACTGAATGACGTGTTAACCAAGTTTCTGACTTTAAGACTTTAAGATTATTGACTCTGAATTTACATAGAATTCTAAGAATTTCAGTTAGTTGATTGTGTGTGTGGTGTGATGTTTAAAATAAGTTTGGGAAATGCTGGGTTAAATTAATATTTTTTATTTCAGGATGTCTCAAAATCTTTACTAAGTGGATGTCTGTTTTGAATCTCCAAGATGGAATATAGAATGCAGCATTTCTCAAATGGAATTTGACCACTGAGTCCTTGTTTTCTTTGGGCATGTACTAAGTAGCCTTTCCCAGAGCTCATTTTGTGGGATACCATAGGAAATGCTGCGATGGGACCTTTTAATTAATTTATTTTTTGAGACAGGGTCTCCCTCTGTCACCCAGGCTGGAGTGCAGTGGCAGGATCATAGCTCACTACAGCCTCAAAACTCCTGGGCTCAAGCGATCCTCCTATCTCAGTTCACTAAGCAGCTGGGACTACCGAAGCACACCACCACAGCCTGCTAATTAAAATAAAAAAAAAATGTAGAAACAAGGTGCCACTATGTTGCCTGGGCTGGTGTTGAACTCCTAGGCTCAAGTGATCCTCCTGCCTCTGTCTCCCAAAGTGCTGGGATTACAGGTATGGCCACTGTGCCCAGCCATATATGTATATATATATATTTTTTAATGAAGCCACAAGCATTCTGCCTCTGTGCTTTTTATTTATTTATTTATTTATTTTTGAGACGGAGGTTCGCTCTGGTTGCCCAGGCAGGAGTGCAATGGCACAATCTCGGCTCACCGCAACCTCTGCCCCCCAGGTTCAAGTGATTCTCATGTCTCAGCCTCCCGAGTAGCTGGGATTACAGGCATGCGCCACCATGCACGGCTAATTTTGCATTTTTAGTAGAGACAGGGTTTCTCCATGTTGGTTGGGCTGGTCTTGAAGTCCCGACCTCAGGTGATCCACCCGCCTCGGCTTCCCAAAGTGCTAGGATTTACAGGTGTGAGCCGGCCGACCCTATATATTTTTTAAAAGCTTTTAAGAAACACAGTAATCTTTGAGTTGAGATTTTGAAAAAAATTGCAAAAATATTGCACATTAGCATTTTAAAGTTAGTGGAGGCTGGGCATAGTGGCTCACACCTGTAATCCCAATACCTTGGAGGCTGAGGCTGGAGGGTCGCATGAGCTCAGGAGTTTGAGACCAGCCTGGGCAACAACATAGTGGTATCCTGTATCTACAAGTTTTGTTTTTTTGTTTTGTTTTTTTTTTGTTTTTTTTTTTTAATTAGCTGGTGTGGTGGTGCATACCTATAATCCAGCTACTCAGGAGGCTAAGGCAGGAGGATCACTTGAGCCCAGGAGTTTGAGCCTGCAGTGAGCTAGGATCGCATCACTGCACTGCAATCTGGGCAGCAGAGCGAGACCCTCCCTCACAAATAAAGTTAGTGGAAAGTGCTATAGTAAACTTTTCCCAGTTTTCCCCTAATCTGTTTTACCATGGGCCACTCCCTTACCCCCACTTTTATTTTTTTTCACATTAGCTATTAACATGCCCTGAAAGTAATGTTCCTTAGAATTCCATCAGGCAACACTACTCTAGATCAGATCTGCAAACTACACCCCACCAACTGTTTTTGAAAATAAAGTTTTGGCTGGGTGCGGTGGCTCACGCCTGTAATCCCAGCACTTTGGGAGGCCGAGGCAGGCGGATCACCAGGTCAGGAGATCGAGACCATCCTGGCTAACATGGTGAAACCCCGTCTCTACTAAAAATACAAAAAAAAATTAGCCAGGCGTGGTGGCGAGCACCTGTAGTCCCAGCTACTCGGGAGGCTGAGGCAGGAGAATGGCGTGAACCCGGGAGGCGGAGCTTGCAGTGAGCCGAGATTGCACCACTGCACTCCAGCCTGGGCGACAGAGCGAGACTCCGTCTCAAAAAAAAAAAAGTTTTATCGGAACACAGCCATGCTCATTCCTGTATGTACTGTCAGTGGCTGCTTTCACGTGACTGAAGCGGAACTGACAGTGTAACATGCAAAACAGGTAAGAAAAGATTGACCATCTAGCCCATTGTAGAAGAAAGTTTGCCCACCTCTGACCTAGATGATTAGTCATAGGTAGTTGCATTTGCAAATTGACTAATTTTCTTTTTACACTCCAGCATGAATACATGCAATTGAACAGCTAATATAGGTGTGTGTATGTGTGTGCACATATGTATACTAAAATATTGTAAAATGTCAAGTGTTGCAAATAACATTGTTAACTGAAAGTGACGGAATGGCCGGCCAAATTTATATTTATTGTGTCAAAAACAAAATGTACCAGACAATTAAGATAATTTTACCCAGGCCACTGCAGTAGGGGTAACGTTTATTAATGAGAAATGTCTCAGAGAGAGGAAGAACTAGGGTTTTATAAATGCAGGTGAACAAGGGAGGGGTCCAAGAATTACGGGGTTCATGAAGAAGAGTGGAAGTCTATGGGGAAGGTTGCTTTGCCTCCAGCCATTTCCTGGGTTAAGAAAGAGGAGGAAGATTCTGTAACTGTTTCTGTGTTCTAGGAGCACGGGGCTCAGGGAAAGTTCAGCATTGTCAGTTGTCAACAAAATCAGTAAGTGTTATTAAATACCCCATGGTGTGTGGTTCTGGCACTGAAATGGGGCTGTTTCCTAAGGCTCTGTCCATGGCCACCTCTGTCTATTTCTGCATTCTGTCTTGCATTGCTTCTGTTGCCTATATCCTGGTCAGCACAGTTTATGGTGAATCATTGCTTATTGAAATAGAGACGGCAATAATGAAGCCAGCTATTATAAATTAGAGCAAATATACACATCCAATACGTTTTAAACGCATGTGATCTCTGGAGTAGTATCACTAGGTAGCTTCCATTTCAGTTCGCCTTTGGTATATTACTGTACTCCAAAGAATATCATTTTTCCCTCTGTAAAATTTTCCTCATGAAAATGGTCACCATAGGTCTGATTTACTTTTTGGATCAGTAACAGGTCACAGCATAAATCCCATTCCTGCATCAAGGCGGAACAAGACCCTCACACTTTGGAGGGAGCTGAGTTCCTGTTTAGAAGAACATGCACAGTTAGATAAATCTGTTCACACGGCTTAGATGATCAGAGCCAACATCTGATGACTATGAGCAAGGCACTTTTCTAAACATTTTTAGTATTTTCTGAACAGTTTTGTTGAGGTATACTTTACAGATAACATTCACCTCTTGAGCTGCAGTTCAATGAGTTCTCGTAAACTGAGTTGTGCAGCCATCACCACGTTCCAGTTTTAGCACATTTCCATCACCCCAAAAGTTCCTTTCTGCCTGTTTGCAGCCAATCCCTGCTCCCTGGCCAGCCACAGGCAAGCGCTGTCAATGTTTGGACAGTGTTGGATTACCTAATGGACTCTTCAAGACAGTCCTTTGGGGTGTTACTGTCATTCTCTGTTTTACACGGTGAAGAAGTGAGGCACTGAGGGCACTCAGGGTGGTTTCAAATGACCGAGGCCAGGTGCTCAGGGCCCAGAACCCTCTTACCCCCTCCAACTTCAGTGAGCTTCAAAATCACCTGCTGAGCTTGTTTGACCACAGACTTGTGGGCTCCACCCTTGAATTCCTGACGCCCTAGGTCTGGGATGGGGCTTGACAATTTGCATTTGTAAAAAGTTCCTGAATGCTGCTGCTGCTGCTGGTCAGGGAACCCTGCTTTAAGACCTCCTGGTTTATGCAATTTCAAACATTGTAAGAAATAGTCACTCATGTGATTGGTTTGTGTGCTTGGTGTAGACTGTACGAGGATTTTTCAAAAGTAAGTATTGTTCATTCTAAAGGAAGGAAATGTATGTTATGAGATAGAATTATATAATAAACAGAACCATTAAATGCCATCTGAAAAGTGGTGTTTTCAATGGCAGGAAGTAGCATTGCTGCGTATTTTGTGTGTGTGCGCAACTCAGCTTTGTGTCATTGTGTAACTTTAATTTGAAAGAACATCACGTGACTGCTGTTTTCATTTCTGCCTTTTAAAAAGCAGACAGCTATTCAGAACAGCAAGAAGCAGACCCAAACTTTGTTTGTATGCCCCTAGTCATAGGCAAAAATGGAAAGGGTAATTTACCAAAAAAGAAGAAAATAGATAAAAAGGAAAAGAATGGAAAGAAAGTACTGACTCACTGCAAACAGCTGCAAAATGTTGCCCTTGGGATAGAGGTTAACTCGGTTGTGAAATAATGGCCAAAGCGGTGCACTCTTAATAACTTTTTTGTAGCCCTGGAGAAAGCTTCTGGATTGACTGTGAGAAGCTTGGCAGAAGGTGCTGCGGCCTGGTGGCTGGCTCAGCAGGAGGCCTGGGATTGAAAGCTCTCGGTTTGTACAAGCTCTTTTGGATTTGTAACACTTTTATTTTAAATCTCCAATAAATGTAAATATTTTGGTCCCTTTTTTTCTCTATTTTTTAAAATAAAAATATTTTAGTGAATATGAGTTAAATGAGAATCAAGTGGCTTCTGGGCCTCCCTGAAAGATCAAGTGGAAGCACTGGATGACTCTAATGATGCCGAATTGTAATCCATAAAGCACCTGGGCAGAGTTCAATCAGAGGTCCCATTTCAGAAGTTTTTTGGAATGTAGGGAAAGAATTACTTAGAAAAGGTTCATCTACTTGGAGAGGAGATGGTTCAATATGACTTTTAGAAGAAGCCGCAGTCCCTGCCCCACAGGGGCTGCTTAGATTGCTTAGATGGATTGTCATCTCTCTCTCTTTTTTTTTTTGGGACGGAGTCTCGCTTTGTCGTCCAGGCTGGAGTGCAGTGGCATGATCTCGGCTCACTGCAAGCTCCACCTCCCAGGTTCACGCCATTCTCCTGCCCCTGCCTCCCGAGTAGCTGGGACTACAGGTGCCCGCCACCATGCCTGGCTAATTTTTTGTATTTTTAGTAGAGACAGGGTTTCACTGTGTTAGCCAGGATGGTTTCGATCTCCTGACCTTGTGATCCACCTGCCTCAGCCTCCCAAAGTGCTAGGATTACAGGCGTGAGCCGCCGAGCCCGGTGGACTGTCTTCTCTCTAAGCAGTAAGAGACAGTGGGAACTGCAGAAGGGTGTTTGCAGCCTCATGCAGTTGACTGAATGAATTGGCCCCAGAGTCACCCCTAGCACCATCTTGATATGGACAGGAGGCAGGGAAATACTGGGTAGAAGAGGGTGGTTCCCCAGCAAAGGCCCCACCCTCAAGCCTGGAAATCCGGAGCCCTAAATGGGAACAGGCATTCCCGTTTTTGTGCCCAAATGTTGCCTTTTGGCTCACCACGCCCCCCTCTCCTGTATCCATATAAACCCCAAACCCCAGGCTCCACAAGCAGAAGAGTGGCAGAGCAGTGCAGCAGAGAAGGAGAAAAGAAAAGGTGCTTCTGAACATTGAGAGGAGTTCGGCTGGGGAAGGTAGCAGAGATCAGCTATGGGATGACCAAACTCCAGGGGAAAGATCATCTTCCCACTCTGTCCCCTTTCCAGCTCCGCATCTCTCACCGAGAGCCATCTCCATCACTCAGTAAAATCCTCACATTCACCATCCTTCAAGTCTGGGTGACCTGATTCTTCCTGAATGCTGGACAAAGACTTGGGTACCAAGAGGGCAGGGCTTACAGGGCTGTCACCCTTATTCTCCGCTGAGCTGTTTTAACACGTAGCCATCCGCAGATGGCAGCTTCTAAAAGAGCATTAATTGTAACAGACCCCCAGACACTACCATGGGGCCAGAGCCCAAAAGTGCTCACCCCAGCTCCTACACCTGCCCCTGCCCATCTGCGTGCTCTCCCTCCCATAAGGGGTTTGAGCACGTGTCGGCCAAGCAAACGAGCTTCACCCCTGTCACAAGTCCTGAGAGGAGTCAGGGAACTCTCCCATTTCATTCTGACACAGGTGGGACTCAGCATTCTCAGACCTTCAAAGGCCTGTTGGGTGGATGTGGAGGTGTGCGCTGCCCCACCAAGCTGATGCCTGATCAGGGGAGGCCACTAGAATAGTCTCTTGTACAGCAACAGAGCCTCTTACTACAGTGAGCTTCTCCTGGGGCTTTCAGAGTACGTCCGAGCTCCACACCAAGAAGAGAGCCAACCCACGTGGATGCAGCTCGGTTCTTAGGGCTGACTTGAAACTTGATAAGACTGCCTCAAGCATGTGCCACAACCCCAGTTCTTGCAAACCCCCACAGAGTCTTGAGAAATCCCTCTTGTGGTCCAAATTGGGGAAATATAGAATTAGTCAAAAGAAAAGGCTGAAGTCTTGGTCATCTACATGCTTGCAAATTCCAGCCTTCCTGGCCTGTGAGTGTTGCATGAATATAGCAGGAAGTCAGCACTCTCCATCTTTCACAAAACGTGATGTGTTTCAGTCCGTGCCCGGTGAACACTATTCTCCACCTCCCTCCCTCCCAACTTGCTTGCTTTCAGCTTCTCTTTAAAGTACACCTTAAAATTCAATCTATCATTCAGACATAGAGAGCAGTGGCATATGAGAAGCAAACATTTGGCTGGGCGCGGTGGCTCACGCCTGTAATCTCAGCACTTTGGGAGGCCGAGGTGGGCAGATTACGAGGTCAGGAGCTGGTGACCATCCTGGCCAACATGGTGAAACCCCATCTCTACTAAAAATACAAAAATCAGCTGGGTGTGGTGGTGCACGCCTGTAATCCCAGCTACTCAGGAGGCTGAGGCGGGAGAAGGGCTTGAAACCAGGAGGTGGAGATTACAGTGAGCTGAGATCATGCCACTGTACTCCAGCCTGGTGACAGAGGAGACTCTGTCTCAAAAAATAAATAAATAAATAAATAAATAAAGGGCAAACTTTTACCAAGTTCTCATCTCTTAAGCCATTGTTTGTTTAATGGAGTAGTAGATGATGTGGGTTGTTATCTAACAAGAACATTGTCCCTTGTGGGACTGCACTTAGCATTCACCTTCGGATGCCATGGCTAGGTCAGGATGCCAGCCTAAGCAGTCTTGACTTTAGATTTGAAATTCCGGCCGGGTACGGTGGCTCACGCCTGTAATCCCAGCACTTTGGGAGGCCGAGGCAGGTGGATCACCTGAGGTCGGGAGTTTGAGACCAGCCTGACCAACATGGAGAAACCCTGCCTCTACTGAAAATACAAAATTAGCCAGGCGTGGTGGTGCACGCCTGTAATCCCAGCTACTCGGGAGGCTGAGGCAGGAGAATGGGTTTAACCCGGGAGGCGGAGTTTGCGGTGAGCCGAGATCGCGCTATTGCACTCTAGCCTGGGCAACAAGAGCAAAACTCAAAAAAAAAAAAAAATTTTGTAATTCCTTCAACACATTATAACATGACAAGTGCTTCTTGCCTTATCTACTAGTGAAGACTCTGCCCGGCCCGCTGGCTTCCTAACAGTCCTGTGGCGGTCTGTTCTTTCCTGTGTACACTCCTTAAATTGTGACATCCCTACTTCTGGAAAGCTCACCATTTCCTATACCCCTATTTGATTTATTTTATCCCAAGACTTATCTCAAATCCTCCCTGCTCCCAAAATCCTCCTCTCACTGCCTTAGTTCTCCCTCTGAAATTCCATAGCATTTCATTTTCTCAACACAGACTCAGAGAAATTTGCTGGTAGGAGGGACCTTAGAGGTGCGATTCTCAACCGGGGCAGTATTGCCCCCGGGCATATTCGGCAATGTCTGGAGACATACTTGGTTGTCACAGCTGGGAGGGAGTGCTATGGCATCTAGTGTGTGGAAGCCCGAGACCCCGCTAACCGTCCCACCCAACACAGGACAACTCCAAAACAAAGATTAATCCAGGCTTTCGGCTGCTGTTGGGAAACTTGTCCACATTACCACCACATACCTGGTTCCACAATTTACCTCTACATGTGCATGTTCCTGAGTAATTGCACACTTTGTAATGTCTCGTAGCCCCTATAGCTAGTCTAGTTAATTTCTGGTCATCATGGAAAATGCCACCTCTCTGAAATGGCCAGCACTGGAGAGACGCTACTGCTGCTGATGGTGAATGTCAGGGGACTACTAGGTGTCCCTTCTATTTTTGTTAACTTGTAGTTATTTGTAGGATGATTGCCTTTAGTGCAGAAAATTTTTTTTAAGTTTATAAAGCTTGTGAGAAAAATCCTTATTTGTAAAGAAGCTCAGTATTATTTTGAATGTTCTTGCTTCTCATTTATGACTACTCAATAAAGAAAATACCTTTTCCTGCTCTGCTGTCCAGTTTGTTGGGTTAATTTGGGAGATAGTGTCAGCACCCTGGAATTGTGCCAACTTCCAATTATCACTCTGTGTAACCACTGACTTCAATTTCAAAGTAATTACTGCAGATTTTTCTCACTACCCTGAACATAGCCTACACGCTTTTAATCCTACACTTATTTTTTTCCCCATCTAAAAGGAAAACTTATTTTGATTTTGATACTTTTTAATTTTTTAAAACTTATTTTGAAATAACTTAGACTTGGGAAAAGTTGCAAAACAATAATACAAAGAATGTCCAGATAATTTCACCCAGAGTCCGCAAATGTTAACATTTTATCAGGGTTGATTTATTGTGTATTCCTCTCTTTCTCTCTCTCTCTCTCTCTTCCCACCTCCACCATCTATATATGTAAATAATTGGTATCTTCTGAACCATTTCAGCAAATTGCTAACAGTTCTTAAGTGTGTATTTCATCGACACAGGACAACATTCCCTTATGGAACTGCAATGCAGTACTGTTACCACAATTAGGAAACTGACATTGAAACAGCACCATTGTCTTATCTACAAACCTTTCAAATTTTGCCAGTTTTCCTACTCTTTAAAATGTTTTCAAATTGTTGCCAGTTTACTCACTACAAAAAATACTGTCTTTAAAGCAAAAGAAAAAGAAGTGTTATTTTCTGGCCCAGGATCCGCTCAGAGTCACACCTTGCATTGACTTTTCCTGTCCTGTTGGTCTCCTGAATCTCGAATCGTTCCTCCGTTGTTCTTTGGCTTCCGTGATCTTGACATTTTTGAAGACAGGCCATTTATTTTGTCAAATGGCTCTCAATTTGGATTCATTTGGTGTTTCCTCACAGTCAGGTTGTTACTCATTTTTGGCAGGAACGTAACGGTGGTGCTGCTGCGTTGTCCTCGTTGTCCCCTCTCGGGAGGCGCATGTTCACGTTTCTCTTTGTCCCACTGTTAATGGCATCACTTTGATCATTTGGTTCAGGTGGTGTTTGTCCCTTTCTCCACTCTGAAGTTACTACTTTCCTTTTTCCATTTATCTGGTAAAGGAAATAGACAGTTAAGCTGGTAATTTCAGCATAATATGGTGAGTGTTAAACAGACAGCCAGGGTGCCTTGGGAGCCAGTAAGTAGATGTCACCCAACCTGGTAGCTCAGGGAAGGCTTCTGGAGTTGATGACACCTCAACTGTGACTTAAGGTAATGATTATGAGTCAGCCAAGCCAAGGAAAATGGGGAGGATACTGTAGAAGGACATGATACCATGAACACAGCCATGGAGCCACGAAACTTCATGGTGTGTTCAGGTCGCTACAGTGGCTGGCAGCTTGAGTTCTAGGATGGAGTTCGGAAGATGTCACGGAATCCCAGTATGGCAGTACAAGTGCACTTGTTCTCACGGGAGGCTGGAAGCAAAGGCTGTGCTCCTTGTTCCTCAAAAGCTCTAGGGTCTCTTTTGTCTCTTAATTCCATAGTTCTCTCTCCCCTAATTAACACAGAGCTAAAAATAGCAGAGAAATGGGGAATTGGGGGGAAGATTATAGTCAAAGAAGTTTCATCACAGGATGCACAGTTAATTTGGTTGCACTGGAAATTGGTTTCCTTCTCTTAGAAAATAAAAATCATCTTTGCAAAAAATTGTCACTTCTTTTTCTTTCACTTTTTTGAGGGTGAAAATTAGTGAAAAATGAAAATATGAACAAGTTGTGCAAATAAAACTAAAAAGTCACCGAATTTGGCTTTGAAGTATGCATCTGAGAAGCCTACTATTCTTTGGCTTGAATGAGAAGTGTAAGTTGTGGAATGGTAAAGCAGTGTAGCCTCTTTGACACCCAGCCAATTTAATTTTTTTTTTTTTTTTTAATTTTAGTGGCAGTAAGTACTGACTTACCAAGGCTTGGGGTAGCAGATACTATCACAGCTGCCAGGACTTTTCCAGGCTCCTGTCAAGAAACTGCTGCAATTCTGCAAGAGTCTTCAGATTAAATTCATGCCAAGTCATTTCCTCTGTTCTTCTACCAGTGAGGTCACCTTTGCAGCTGACCATTAGTGATGCTGTCAGCAAGAAAAGGATTATGAACTGAGGTCTAAATTTCAGTGATGTCTAGGCAAAAATAAATGTTCAAAAGAATTTAGCGAGGTTTCCAAGACCTGGTAAATTTCTCCCTAAGAGAAATTGCCAGATTTGTGGGCTCTTGATTTTAGCCTGAAGAATCACATTCTTCAGCACTGGAAGTTTTTCCTTCTTTTTTTACTTTTCTTTTTTTTTAGACACAGGGTCTCACTCTGTCACCCAGGCTGGAGTGCAGTGGCAGGATCATAACTTACTGTAAACTTCGAACTACCGGGCTCAGTTGATCCTCCTGCCTCAGCCTCATGAGTAGCTAGGATTACAGATATGTGCCACTACACCTGGCTAACCTGTTTTTTTGTAGAGACAAGGTCTTGCTATATTGCCCAGGCTGGTCTCAAACTTCTGGCCTCAAAGTAATCCTCTCACCTCAGCCTCCCAAAGTGCTGAGATTACAGGCGTGAGCCACCACACCCAGCCCAACATTGGAAGTTGTCATAGTTATCGCCAGTTGCCTCTCTTTTTGTCTGGAGATGTGTAGGTTAGCCAAAAAAAAAAAAAAAAATTACCGATTTTTTTTTATTTTTTCATTCACAAATATTGAATGTCTTCTCTATGTACCAGATACTATTATGCTCTCTCATGGAGGTTAGTACTGTCTACTGGAGAAGACATACCAAAAACAAGAGAGAGAGAAAGAGGAAAGCCACAAATCAGTTGGAAACACGCCCGTATTAGTGACTGAAGAGCCTGCAAATGAAAGCTTTACAAATTCATATGGCCAAATAGATTTCCTTGCTCCTTGAGTTAAAATTCACATAACACAATTAACCATTAGCTAAGTTAAAACATACAATTCAGTGCATTTATTAACGTTCACAACGCTGTACAACCATCATCTCTCTCCAGTTCCAAGACGATTCATCACCCCAAAAGGAAACCCCATTTCCATTAAGTGATCACTCCCTATTCCCCCACCTCCCCCAGCAACCCCTAGCCTACTGTTTGCGTGTGACTTCTTCCACTCAGTATAACACTTCTGAGGTTCATCCACACTGGAGCATGTGTCTGGTCTTTGTAGGTTTATTCCACTACCAACCATGTTCTTTATGCTTAAAATAACTCCTCCCTATTGAACTGTTTTGGAGTGATATTTCCTGGGGTGGAGGTAGTTTAATGATTCATCTCTGTCTTGTTAGCATGCTTGTTTATGGTAGAGAGAAATTTTGTATTCTGCCACCATACCTTGTCAAAACCTTTTAACAAGGCATTGATTTGGTTCTCTGGTTCTGAGAACTTGGCAGTGGAAGACAAGACTTCCACCCGCATTGCAAGCAAAATCATTGATGTCAATTCACGTTATTGTGGAAAACCGTGAGTTGTGACAAGTGAAAGCTTTTCACCAAGCCACAAAACTATGGGCGTGTGCAGTCAACACACGGAACACAAGGGGTTTGCTTCCGTGGCTCAGCATAGCACTCTCTCACTAGTTCTAAAATATTCATAGCCTTTGCTGTTCCCAAAAGACGTTTGAAAAATAAGACTTCTCCTTTGTCAGCATCCGCGCTCACATAACTGGTGAAACTAGGAGATAGTTTTGTATCCCGGAAGATAATCATTGTTCCATTCAGGTGTTGGGCAGAGAGAAATGGCTTATCTGCACATCTGCAGGATGTAAGAGATTAGTGAAATATTTGTGATTCTGATGTTGATGACTTTTAATGTTTGACAGAGAAACTTTTGCAATTATTTTCTTCTGGTCCAGGCCTCACTCCTTCTAGCCCACATGGCTCTAGTCAACCTCCTTTAATCAGCAGAGTAATAGGCAAGACTGTAGTAGGATGCCTCAAGACAGACTTTTATGTTGGGACAAGTAGTGTCTTATTAAGGCGGTTCCAGCCTTTCATATCCTGCCTCCTTGGGATAAAGAGTGTTTGTTTACAGAGCTTCTGGGATAGACTGCTGCATGCTGCATCCGTACCTCTGTTGCAGAAGCACATCTGTCCCATTATGTCTAGTGACAAAAATAAGACCTACGCCTCAGTGAACTTTGCATACATCTGAATGTAAGCAAGACAAGTATATTTGACATTTTAAAAAGGTTTTTTCTTTCACAGTTTTCAAAATAACATAGGAGAAGCAAAGGAAAAAATATTTCTTGTGTTTCTAATTCACAGGTTGCTTGAGACTTTTTTTGGAGGTGCTAGCATTTTATTGGCCACAGTTTTGAAGGAAAATACAATGAAATCATGCTTCTGTCGTTTGGGGAAAAGGAATAACAGATTCATTTTTTCTTTTTTTAAAGATGAGAGAGATAGTATTTGGAATCTATCTTTAGACTATTCTACCTCTGAATCTAATTGAAGTAAGAAATTGGGCAAGAATGGAATCTTACTTACCACCCAGGAAAAAAGCTAAACAATTGTGGCTCAGTCCATTTTCCCCTGAGACTGTCTTCAGATTGAGGCGATCAGTGTTAAAATGGATGGAATCACCAGGCTCTCCACATTCTAGTAAGATTGTAGTACGGTTGAAAGTCAAATGAAAGTCCAGCTCTTCAGTGTGTCATTTCCTCTTGCAGACACCAGACCAAGGGCAGTGGTGGTCTGGCGCTTATATTTTGTTATTATTTGTTGAGACCAGAACTCTCCTTAAGGATATATTTATATATGTTTTAATATTAAAGTTTCTTTTCAAGGAATTTATACTAATTAGTTCATGTAATAATAACATGTGCATTCCATTTAAAGTTACCTTGCTAAATTTTCTAAGACTTGTTAGCTTCCCCATAGTTTTTAATAAACCAAAAGATCAAACGAACAGTCCCCAGTTGCCCAAATATTGAGCAGTTAAGGCTGGTTTCAGCTCATCTGAAATCTGTAAACATTTAAAGAGAACCTCTCTCCCAGAAGATAGTGAGCACGGTGGTATTCTCCAGTCTCAGAATATTAAGGTTACTTACAGACTAGAGAGGCCTTCAGTCTATATTAACGAGTTCCTTTCCTAATCTCACCCTTCTAAGAATATATTTGATCCAATTTAGGGACAGCAACATTGAGGCCAGAGAAAAATTAATGGGGTAGTAACTGTAGACACCAAAACACTCCCCAAATCTTGAGACATCAAATAAGCAAGACTGAATTTATGCAAAAGATACTTTAAAGATGTTTCTTTAGCTGGGCGCAGTGGCTCACGCCTGTAATCCCAGCACTTTGGGAGGCCGAGGCGGGTAGATCACAAGGTCACGAGTTTGAGACCAGCCTGGCCAATATGGTGAAACCCCGTTTCTACTAAAAATACAAAAATTAGCCGGGTGTGGTGGTGGGTGCCTGTAGTCCCAGCTACTCGGGAGGCTGAGGCAGGACAATTGCTTGAACCTGGGAGGCGGAGGTTGCAGTGAGCCAAGATCGCCAAGATCATGCCACTGCATTCCAACCTGAGCAACAGAGTGAGACTCTTAAAAAAAAGAAAAAATGTGTCACTCAGAGATTTTTCTACCTAGAACAAGAGTCATACATACTTTTTGAAATTATTTTATCTATGTAAACTTACGAGGTACAAGTGTAAATTTGTGACATGCATAGATTGAATAGAGAGGAAGTCAAGGCTTTTAGATATTCATCACCTGACTAATGTACATGGTACCCATTAAGTAATTTCTCATCATCCACCCTCCTCCCACCCCGTCACCCTTCTGAGTCTCCATTGTCTACTATCAGAAAAGCCTTCTCCAGCAGCGCATTGTCAGCTGAGTCTAGGAGAAGAAAGCCTTCTCATGGACATGAGCTAAATTCCCTGGGAAAGGCCATTCCATAATGGAGAAGGCCTTCTGTTCACCCACAGTGTGGTCCTCAGACCAGCAGCTTCAGCGTCTCCTGGGAACTCACTAGAAATGCAGACCCCAGGCCCAGTGTGGCAGCTCACGCCTGTAATCCCAGCACTTTGGGAGGCCGAGGCGGGTGGCTCACGAGGTCAGGAGTTTGAGGCCAGCCTGGCCAACATAGTGAAACCCCGTCTCTACTAAAAATACAAAAAAATTAGCCGGGCATGGTGGCGCATACCTGTAATCCCAGCTACTTGGGAGGCTGAGGCAGGAAAATCACTTGAACCCGGGTGGCGGAGGTTGGGCTGAGCTGAGATCGTGCCGCTGCACTCCAGCCTGGGCAACAGAGGGACACTCCTTCTCAATAAATAAATAAATAAATAAATAAATAAAATGCACCCAAACCTGAATTGGAAACTCAGGTGGGGGGCCTAGCGGTCTGTGGTTTTACTAGCCCTCCAGGCAAGTTTTGATGCTTTGGTGATTGAGAACTGCTGCTTATGCTGTCTTGGTGGAGAGCACTTCAGCCAGTGCCTCTTCTGCTGATTCTGTATTTATCAAAGAACCACTGACTATAATTTAGTGCTCACACTACAGTTAGGAGGTGTGTGAGTTCCCTTTACAAACCTATTTCTGATTGTAAATTCCTAAGATGTTTTACACATCAGTATCTTGTGAGCTTGATAAAAGTGAATCCATCTCGTTCAGAGTGATGCATTATGAGTGTATAGTGGAAGTCTAGCTTCTAAGCCTGTGAAACAGAGGCCCAGCCCCCTGATCCAGGCAGATTTCACTAAGGTAGAGGCCAGGGTAGATGTCCCTGCTGAACGGGCACCCTCTCATCCCACCTCACCCTGGCTGTGTGTACTGTATATTTTTAACCAAGAGGAGAGCAGAGCGGCACAGAATGGCTGGTACTCAGTATTCCTGGTTTCTGGATTATACAGATGCAAGGGAAATGTCTCCTAGTCTTATTTCATGAGTTACTGTGTAGCATTATTGAATTGCAGTGGTAAGAGGGTTAGGTAGGCCTTTCTCATTTTTGATTAGACAGCTATCATTTACAAATTAGACCACAGGGAATCGACCTTAACTTCTGTGACTAAAGCTTTTGGCAGTTACTTTTGGCATTTCTGGCCCTCTAGACTTGAAAATGACTGAGTGGTTACAATTTACAAAGTTAAGAGAGCTTTCTGTTGATTGGTGTGAATGGTAGGATATGAGACAGACTCTTAGGAGTAAAGGACAGGGATTTAGGGAAAATCCTAGTGGAGTCACTGCAGCCAGGCAGAGTTGTCTGTTACATGCAGATAACAAGTCACGCTGTTGGGGTTAATTAGAAAAAGAGGAAACAAAGTTGAGAAAAGAAGAGGGAGGCAGAGCAGACGGCAGAGGACAGGAATTTTCAGTGCAGCGTTGGGAAAGGTTGTGGAAGCTGAGGCTGACGCAGACCTAGGGCGTTAAAGCTGTATTTACAGCTGGACCTTCTGATTCCTGGGGAGGAGGGGAGGCTGGATCGTGGGTAAGAGAGACTGGCAGGGCCAGTGGAGGATACTCTCCCACTGGAGTTGTCCAGTGGGAGTTGTCTGGAGTTGTCCTGGGCAGAGGCTGCCTGTTGACAGAGGCTCAGCACAGCCATGCTTAAGATAAGCTAGCTAAGCAGGTACGAGGAAAAATAATTTACCTGAAGTTCTTTCTGGCCGGGCGCAGTGGCTCACGCCTGTAATCCCAACACTTTGGGAGGCCGAGGTGGGTGGATCACCTGAGGTCGGGAGTTCAAGACCAGCCTGACCAACATGGAGAAACCCTGTCTCTACTAAAAATACAAAATTAGTTGGGTGTGGTGGCGCGTGCCTGTAATCCCAGCTACTCGGGAGGCTGAGGCAGGAGAATCACTTGAACCCAGGAGGTGGAGGTTGTGGTGAGCCGAGGTTGCGCCATTGCACTCCAGCCTGGGCAACAAGAGCGAAACTCCATCCCCCCCCAAAAAAGAAATTATAATAAAATAAAGTTTTTTCTGTATTAAACATCTTGTGTTTAAAAGTCTACAGTGAGTCAAGGATGTTGAATGGCCAAAGATCATAAATCTCTCCCTCTTTAAATGAGCTGTGGGCTGGGCACAGTGGCTTATGCCTGTAATCCCAACACTTTGGGAGGCTGAGGGGCATGGATCGCTTGAGCCTAGTAGTTCGAGACCAGCCTGGGCAACATGGCAAAACTCTGTCTTTACAAAAAATTTAAAAAAAAATTAGCCGGGCATGGTGGCATGTGCCTATGGTCTCAGCTACTTGGGAGACTGAGGTGGGAGGATCACATGGGCTGAGGAGGTTGAGGCTGCAGTGAGCTGTGATCACACTACTGCACTCCAGCCTGAGTGACAGAGTGAGATCCTCAATAATAAGCAGTCTTCAGTGTTTCATTTTACCCAGGCTAAATGTATTTGTAGTATACATATATGTTTATATTTTGATAGATTCATGTGAGTAAAAGATATACAATAAAAATTGACATTACCGAAGGGGAGTGGGATTAGATGTGAGAGGGTGGATTAGTAAATTGTTTTACACACCTCTTTACCATTGGACTTGTTACAATAAGCCTATAACTATTTTTAACTCCATAAAATACATTGTTTTATAAGAGCTGTCAAATTTCACTTGCTCAGTCCCCTGATTCTCATTTTCTTATAAAATCTCAGGTTCCTCAAATATGAATTCTTCTGCCATGAGAAATTAGCAACATAGTCTTAAAGTCTGGGGAAAGATTATAGTCAGATCCACATAGATAGGACAACGTTCCAAGTCGGGAGAATGTTCATATGAGAATTGAATAGAAGGCCAAATTTTTAGGCTAAGAATATGATCAGAGGACACTTCCAGTGGAGAGAGTCAGCGTGAAGAGTTGAGGTGCATGGCTGTTGTGCATCTGAGAGCGTGTACGCGGGCGTGAGAGCGATTTAGATCCCTGTGTGTTGAATTCGAGACCCACCCAGACAGCCTCCAGTGTCTTCTCAGTGACTGTGCCCAAGATTTCTGTCCATCTGTGGACATGTTTTAATGACAGCAATTAGTGGTAATGATGGCTATTAAATACTTAATGACATTTCTGTGTTCTGAGGCTTCTTCATACAAGAATTCACTTACTGGCCGGGCACCGTGGCTCACACCTGTAATCCCAGCACTTTGGGAGGCTGAGGTGGGCAGATCAAGAGGTCAAGAGATTGAGATCACCCTGGCTAACATGGTGAAACCCCATCTCTACTAAAAATACAAAATAGCTGGGTGTGGTGGAACGTGCCTGTAGTCCCAACTACTCGGGAGGCTGAGGCAGGAGAATCACTTGAACCTGGGAGGCGGAGGCTGCAGTGAGCCAAGATCATGCCACTGCACTCCAGCCTGGGTGACACAGAGAGAGACTCTGTCTCAAAAAAAAAAGAATTCACTTACTTTCCACAGAAGCAGGCACTGTTATGATCCACAGTTCATAAAGAAGGAATCTGAGACATGGAAAGTCGACCTTTCCCAAGCTTGTAAGTGGAACAGTATTCTGACTCCAGATCCTAAATGGTAAACCACTACTCTCTGCTGCCTCGCAGCCTGGAGATTTTCTGTAAGAGAGGGGCTAAAATAAAAAAGCCCACCTCATATTGATCACATTCTTAGTAATCCTTGAATACGTTTATATTGTGTCATTCATGAATGTCTTTTCCCTCTGGCCAGATTATGGTATTTAGGTCAGGAGCCATTTTTTCTTGTTTATTTTGTATTCTTACATTGCCCAGATATGCTCGATAAATGGTTTTTGAATGAATTAACCAAACTGTTTCTCTAATTCACTATGCTTTTAACTGTCTAAGGAAAAGACAACCGTGGGGTCCCTCGCTGCATGCCTGGGAACCTCTCTGAACACGGAATCAACTTCCTTTCTTTGATTTTAGAGCCAGATGTGATGTTTGAAGAATGTAATCTATTTGCTCTCAAACATGGAGAGCATAGAGCTAGAACTCCAACAATTAGAAGTTAATCTGAGATGTCCTACAATACATGATTTTAAAATAAAATCCACCAGTGTCAGTCTGGTGCAGTGACTCATGCCTGTAATCCCAGCACTCTGGGAACCTGGGGCGGGCGGATCCCTTGAGCCCAGGAGTTCAAGACCAGCCTGGGCAATGTGGCAAAACCCCATCTCTACAAAACATACTCAAACACTAAGCAGGCATGGTGGCGTCTGCCTGTAGTCCCAGGTACTTGGGAGTCTGACGTGGGAGGATCACTTGTGCCCAGGAGGTCGAGGCTGCAGTGAGCCATGCCTGGGTGCCAGAGTGGTACCCTGTTTCTCTGCCCACCCTCCCCCATCCCCCCCAAAAAAATCCACCACTCTTTCATTCTGAACAACCAGAGATGTTTGGAAAGGACACAGGAAATAATACCTGGTGAATAGTTACTCTCGAGCACTTGCTAGGTGCGCTGCAGATCTTCGTAAATTTAATCCTCAAAACAGTTACTCAAGACCTGTATTAGCTTGATTTTAGAGTTGACATCTGTCTGAGAAGGAGGTAACTTGGTCAGAAGGTGCCATCTCGTTGGGATGTCACAGTCGGGCCTGTTGGCTTCAGAGACTTGGGCTTTCATGCTCTGCTGCTGCCAGGACGGGGGCCACATCGCCCTGTCTCCCGATTTCTCCCATGGCTCTCCAGGACTTGGCCACCTTCAGCATCGTGTGTTCTGTACACAGCACAGCATGAGGGTGCCAGCAGTCCTCCTTGGCTCAGCGTCTAGGATGTGTCAGAACTGTAAACCCCAAGATTCTTAGGCAACCCCCCTACCAGCGCTCATTTCTGCTACTTCAGACCAGAAACCTTCGCGGGCGGGGGTGGGGGCGGGGGCGGCGGGGGTTTCAGTTGCTTTCTGCTTCAGTTTTCTTGGCCGACGGTCTACCTCACAGTATCACAGTCATCTTTACTTTCGTTTACTCTGCCTTTCTGTATTTTAGTTTCTGAATTTCTGTCCCATAAAGCCAGCATTTAGGCATTTTGAATTTTGAGTTTCTTCAGTGAATTCATAATAGTAAAAATATTTAAGAAAACCTGTAAAGGCAAGATTGTTGTTGAAGCCCCTCACATTAGAACACTTCCCAGGTGCTCCAACCTGGGGGGGACTGAGGACTTACATGGGAAGTCAGAGCTCCCCATCTTTTTTCCCCAAAGGTCATTCATTCTGACAGCATGACTTCAACTTGATATGAGCAAAGAGCATTTCAGATAGGAGGAGAAAAAGGAAGAGGGTTGGGCACCGTCGTGAAATGGTACACTTCCTCACCGCGGTGCTTATCTACATAATTGTGTTTTTATAACATTTCCTTTACTTTTCTGTAAGCTGATGCTGCCCTAATTATAGATTTTTAAGAGAACACTTCATTGTACCCCAAATTATACAGTGCTTTAAAAAGGTACTTTCTTACCGGTTTACCAAATACCTTATAAATTCGTAATTACATAAAACAATTCGAGATACAGAATAGAAACAGCCTGTACTGTTAACAGGTGTTGGTATTGTTATATAATTGAGTACATGGCTTTCAAAGATCTATAATATTTTTCTTGAGTAAAAAGAAAAAAATGACTCATTATAGTCGTAATGTGTCACAGAGACTCCTGATCAAACAGAATGCACATGTTCTATTTTGTGCATTCTGTACAGTTCATTGTAAATGGACTTGCCTTTGTGGAAGTGAAAGTGCCACTTATTCCAGCAAATTGCCTTTGTGGCATATGCACCTACTTGTTAGACAGCTTGGGGGCACTTGGGCCAGGCAGAGGCTGGGCCCCCTTTATCATGGGCACACCTGCACACATGGCACTATGGCGCCACACTCCAGGTAGGCTGCTGTCATTAACAGACTTGCTCCTTGGGAAACCCACTGAGGACTTCTCAGTGCCCTCCTGCCCATCAGAGACCACCTCGGAATTCTTAGAAGACTAGGAATGGGGCAGCTTCCTAGACGCTAGCTCTTTTCCCGCCACATCAGTTTTAGGCCTCTCTTATGATACAAGTGATTCAGATTACAAGGTAACCTCAGTGCAACACAAGGGAAGAAATAAATCCTCTCTGTTATTGAGTGCTGGGTCTAGTGTTTAATTTTCTTTCTTTTCTTTTCTTTTTCTTGAGACAGAGTCTCGCACTGTGGCCTGGGCTGGAGTGCAGTGGCGCGATCTCGGCTCCCTGCAACCTCCACCTCCCAGGTTCAAGCGATTCTTCTGCCTCAGCCTCCCGAGCAGCTAGGATTACAAGCGCCCACCACCACGCCTGGCTAATTTTTTGGATTTTTAGTAGAGACGGGGTTTCACTATGTAGGCCAGGCTGTTCTTGAACTCCTGACCTCATGATCCTCCAGCCTTGGCCTCCCAAAGTGCTGGGATTATAGGTGTGAGCCACCGCACCCAGCCTAGTGTTTAATTTTCAATTTAATTTTTGGCACTATTTTTTTTTAAGTTGCTCATCTTAGGACAGTATAACTGGAATGAGCCTTGTGTTTCCAGTTACAAAAACAAGACAGAACAAAGGATGAGGCTAGATTTTTGTATTATTGACAACCCCATATTCTTCCCTCCAGAGGAGAGATCATCTTTCGGAAGCAAGCCCGAGATACACACAGTCTTACCCATTCCTTCAATGCTGTTGATGATTAGCCTTAAGATGGTTCTTTTCTCTAAGGAAACCCTCCCCATTTTTGCAGGATGTTTGAAAAATGAGTTGCTGAATGGGCTTCAGATATTCTTATTCTTCTGTTTTGTTGGGATTTTCTTCCCACTCCTATTTGTGTTAATTTTTCCCTCGAAAAATGAGATTGCTGCTCACTGCCGTTGAGCCTCCTTGTGGCACATTCATTGGTCCAGTAAACGACTTAACTCCAAGAACCACCTACCAGTAACACAACAAAACCTTGAGTACAGATTGATTCATAAATGGCAGCGGACGAGTGTTGAAAGTGACGCATTATGTCGCTGCAATGTATTGACATTATCAATTGTGTGTCACTAAACAGCCAGGCTAACTGGATGATTTACTTTGTGTTTAACTGCCTTTTTCAGTTGGAGCAAATGTTGAGGAACTGGGATGCAATGTCAGAAACCATATATTTTCTTCTGTTAACACCAGCTTCACTGAGGCGTGTTGGTTTTGGCTGCAGGCTGTAAGGCTCTAGTGTAAAAAGGTCTAAACAAGTGATTAATGCCCAGGAGGCAGGGCTTTACACTGTCTCCACATCTTTTCTCCTTTCTATTTGTGTTGCCTTAATGCTTGGGGTGGGGGGTTCAGGCTATTTATTGTGCTGACGTTGGTTTCCATCCTGAGAGTCCTTGATGTTTCTTTGTGGATTTTGTTTGTTTTTAATATTATTTAGCATAATAACCTAAACCGTAAACGCTTGCAGTTGCGATCCAGGTGTCCTTAGTTCAGCAGTCAGACGTATAATAAGGGCCACTCTGTACAGTGAAAGGTGACAGCTGTGGCCCCCAAAAAAGCAGCTCTGGACTTTCCCCTCCCAAGTTTCAGTCCTGGTAACTTGAACTAGACTTGCTAGTTTCTTGAAACATTGTTTTATTTTCTTGCAAGTTAGTGTGGTGTTCATATTTCACAACGCTGAAAGATACAGTGTTTCTCAAATGTGCACTTGCCAGTAGACGGATATGTTAACTGTTACCGTGACGCTGAGAACTGGAGCTGCTAACTGACCCTATGCGTTTGTTCTCTGCGTAAAATGTTGTAACAGTGCTAATTACTAAGCAGCTGAATTTGTGAGAAGGTCCACAGCACTAATCTGCGCCTCAGTGTTGCCTTGCTAGTGAGAAAACGTGAGCATGTACTCAGGACACATGTACTTGATGATGAACTTCCAGGGGCACGTTTATCTGTGGATCACGGACGGTTTGACTTGTGGGACGTAACATTTGATTTCTATATGTGCGCTTTTGAGACACTCGTTTTTACCCTATTAAGAGTTGTTGAGTGCAGAACAAGACATTTTAAAAGGGAAGAGTAACATTCAGAGATTTTAAAACGGAAGCTTTTAAATTACTACTTGCTTCTGTTTATTTTTTATTTTTTGCT
This sequence comes from Homo sapiens, assembly GCF_000001405.40. NCBI lineage: Eukaryota > Metazoa > Chordata > Mammalia > Primates > Hominidae > Homo > Homo sapiens. The sequence continues at coordinate 100,509,619 of NC_000013.11, forward strand.
AGTTTTAGAAAAACAAGGAAGAATATCTCAAGTTGGAATAGTCAGATTTCAGTGTTTGGGTGATGGTGTTAAAATCGTTGTTTTAATGGTAGATGAAAATGATTCTGTTCTGTTGGATTCACATCCTGAATAAATGTTTCTACACAATTAGAGTCTATAACAGACTAAGCCAGCATAGTGGTGGTGTGGGTTTTTTGTTTTGTGTTTTTTTTGTTTTGTTTTGTTTTGTTTTGTTTTGTTTTTGTCTAAAAGAACAACTTCAAGCCTTGGGAAAGAATTTGTTTTTGCCCTGTGGATGGGTCAGAAACATCTGCTTCAGGTATAGTTTACAAGCGTTATTTATTAACCCATGAGCCGAAAACCCAGATGAGGAGCTCTGACTATTGAAAACTACACATTCCATGTTTTTATAAATGTATATTAAGATGAATTCCACATACCTATTATTTGGATTTCTGGCAGCCGGAACTTCTACAAGGAATTTGTGTTTTTAAAAAGGAATGTAAAATTAATTTTTCTTGTATCAGAGTTTTGCTGTATATGAAGAAATCCTGCTCATGGGCAGAAAGCAAAGGTTTCAAAGGAACCTCATCTCCATATGGTTTTACTCGATAATCCTTTATCCACCATCTTCAGCTCTCATTCCTTTGCTTTCTCGCCTGTGGCTACATTTCTATCTCTGCATCAATTAGCACAGTGATTTATACAACAAGCAAGCAGTTTAGAGGTAATGGTACACAATTAACATCTCATTCCACCATAAAGGGTATGCTAAATACCCCAGTCATTGCTTTCTCTGCCTGGAATTGAAATAAGTGTTTGTCCTAATTCATATGCTATCTGATGTGAAGTGGGCCTGCTTTGTACCGCACTACACCATTAATCTAATTATAGATAGCTGCAAATGAAGTGCTGTCTGAGCTGGGAGATTGAAGAAAATAGCCTTTTGTCATTTAGCATGACTCTGTGAAGCAAGATCACACTTTACAGGGCAATACTACAAAATGGAAATCTCAATAATATTGCTGCCTGTTGCATCTTTTCTAATTACAACAATATTGTAAACACAACTGGGCGCTGATATAAATAGAGCTGTAGATATGCTGTCATGTGGGTTGTAGGAGAAAGTCCTCCGAGTGCTGTTGGATTAAATGATGCATCCTGATTGACAGCTACCTTGAGACTGCACTGATGGAGTTGTCACAGCATTATGCTAACAGGCTGCTCCAGCGACTGCAGCTGTAGGAGGCTGTGGTTCGCCCTGCGCCTTAGCTGCTGCCTGTCCATGTCCGCTCCTTTGCCTGGGCTGCACCTCCAAAGGAAGGACGGCCGTAGGCTTCAATTCTGTGTATTGTCACTGTTGTGTCTTGGAGATTTGTGGTGGTGGTGGTGTAGCTCAGATATCAGGCGATTGGGCCCTGTGCAGAAGTAGAGGGAAATTATTTTGTATGGCTCCTAACCTTGCTCTGCTTTTCCTCAAGTGATAATTGTGTACCCTACAAAGAATTTAGGAGAGTAGAACGTGGTTGAATTTCAAGTCTCATTCCACTGAACTGTTTTAACTCATATCTAGTTTTTCTCTGCTTTTCAGCCACGCCAGTGTTTTTAAAGATGCATCATTTTTGCATTTCGCGCTTTCCATCACTTTAAAAACACTGACACTGTTTCTCCAGCTCTGAGTTAGGACAGTAGACCTTTAGGGGAATATTTGAGTGTTGCTCTCACTGCCACGCTGCGGAAATGAAGACAGAGCTTAATGTTGGAGACCTTTGGGGCCAGAAGGTGTAAAACCTTGACTAGGAAGAGAGCCTAATCTTTGAAGAAGTGTCTGCCTCCTTACTTAGTGAGGGGTGCATGGACAGTATTTGGCCAGTGCTTCAAGATAGCTGATGCACAGTGATTTACAGTCAAAGATAGCACCTGCCCTTGAGTTGGTATTGACTGAGATGGCCAACAGTTGAGGACATGAAAGAACATTAACAGTCAGTCAACTGTACGTGTCCTAATTGTTACTGGAAGAATGACTTATAAATGGAAACTGGAAGTGAGCCCACTTGAAGAGGAACGGAGGTTGACAGTGGCACTGGAGGCTTTGAAATCACAGCTGAAAACTGTACAGCAAACTGCAAGCGCTCACCTCGGGAGCAGCCGCAGACCTCGGGATCATTGCAACATTTAGCGCATGGGGTCTGCAGAATTACATTACTGCTACTTCTACAGGCTGTGGAAAAAAGTGGGTGGATTTAATGCTGTAAGGAGGTGCATGTACTGTACAAATACAGAAGCCTCCAGGGTGGTATTCTGTGTATCCGTGAAAGTGGAGTGTGTCTCAAAGTGGGTCATTCTTTGCTGTCTTTGGGGTGCTGATTTCTGGGGTGCAGGCATACATGCCCAGTTGCAGGATGCTTTTCTTAATGAGGTCCAGTGATAACATCCCTCTCTCACCCAGACTGTGACTAGCCGCCGCCTCCTGCTGCAGCAACCACTCTCAGCCCCCAGGCTTTCAATAGGTCCACGGAAGAGCTGCGTGTCAGTTTTAAAAACAATCCCACTGGTGTTTCTTGTCATTGTCCTGCTCTTGTGGCCTTCCTCCTGACCCTTTCATGTCAGCTGTGATTCCTTTTCTTTCTTTCTTTTAATCTTTTGGGAGAAATTTTCTTGTTAGACATGATTTCACACTGTAGAGGCCATAAAATTAATTTGCTTAGAGACCCGGGTTCGGGTCACCTTTCCGTCATTCAGTCCTTAGATAACACCTCATTCCCTCCCATTACTGTCGTGTGTGGGTTGAGGAGTCCCACCAGGCCAAGCCAGAGAGCAACTGTTCTGTTCTCACTTACGTGGTGAGCTGTTTTTCAAGAACATTTTTTTTCATTTGGCTGTGTGGTCTGGAGAACACCTTCCTAAGCCAGCGGAGTGAAGTTCCACGCACTGACCAGCCCCGAGCTCACTGGAGCGAGTCATCTTCCGGCTCCATGGCAGCCCAGCCCCACCCACAGGCAGCTGCCTGTCACCCACGCTGGCATGTTCCCTCATCCTACCCAGGCAGCGGGAAAACCTGGCTGCTTCTGGGATCCTACTACTCTGTCCTGTCCACAAGCCTTCAGAGTCTTGGATTCCTACCCTCAAACATCAACTTTGTGATTTATCTTCTTGAAAACAACCACAAAAACTTAAAATCAAAACTCTCTAAGGGAGTTTCGCACAACCCTTGAGGAATAGTTAAATGCCCACGGTGAAACCGAGCTTGTACCCCACGGTCCAGGTAGGGGCACATTCCTGAAGTCTCACAAAGCATTGGCTCTCTGTGCCCCCAAAGAATCCAGAGATGCTAGTAAATAGCAGTTTTGATCAGAAGCTTGGAAGGCCCTGGTGTACATTCTTAAATGACTTCTTTTCTGGGGCATCAAAAAGCTTTTACGGTTCTCACCAGGCAGTTCATTCTGATGGGCCCCTACGCTGCACCCTGCTTGGGCCCCATCCCGGCACGCGCCCCGTGCAGCACAGCACAGGCCAGCTGAGAGGCTGTTTTAAGAAGGCGTGTTTGTGTGGTACACTCACGGGCTCAGGACAACATCAAAGGTAATCTTAAAAAGAGAATCTCTCTCTGTCTTCTCTTTTTATATTCAGAAAGGTCATTTCTAAACCAACTATTTGCACCAAGGCCTCTCTGGAGGAGTTTACCCCGTTGTTATTTTTTACTTGCTATTACAATAAGTCACTTATCCCCCAAACAGATTTAAGAACAATAAACAAATACAAAAGGAAAAGGAACATCTCATCAGTAACAAAGACTGCATCTAAAGGCATTGAGTTTGTGATTCTTTTACATCTCTTTCCAAGCAAAGCAGGAGTCCTACAGAGAAAGGAATCTGAAAGATGAAAATTATAAAAATAGTAAAAGGATCCAGTGTTCGTCAGAATCTTGTAATTTCTGGGGAGAAATGAAGCTAAATACAGTCTTAGCGCTTCGTTCATATGCAGGCTGATCTGTGATATAACTAAACTTAGTTTTTGGAGTATATCCACTGTGGGGAAATGTGGTAAATCATATTCTCAGCGAATGAAGATACTTTTCCTGAATTTAGGCTTCATATTTTGAAGTCGAATTCTGCAAAACAAGAAAAAAATAGATCTGTGTGCTACACTGAAAACTGAACAAGGCACGTCGTAAGTCAGTCACACAGAAGGCGCAGCTCAGGGCGATACCAACTAGAAAAGTAACTTTTTTGTTGACTCTGATGCCTCTAGTGATGTTGGATTTTTTCCCCCATTGCAGACAGCACAGATAGGAAAACTGTGCAATTTGGTCCAATTATAGTCCTCTCTGTCCCTCCACACCTTCCCCCATTGATTTAATGAAGGACTTGGAGGTACAATTCACTGATAAATAGTCCCTCTGCCCAGAATGTTTATTAGACTGACAGCAGCGTGCACTCTCCTCGCTTTTTCCCTCACCACTTATGACTCAGATGAATTTTAATAGGAGCAAAAAGCTTTTATTTGCACTGTAATTTCACTTAAGGAACATATCCTTCAGAAACTGGCAGACGCTTCTATGTCTTGATTGCAAAACACACACTCAGGAGTAAAGAAACATGCAAAAGATGTTATTATTCAACCTGTCACAGTGTCGCAAATCCACTTGGAACTTAGGCCATCAAAGCTCTGCCCCCACCCTTTTCAGTAGGCCCTGTGAAGAGGCACTTAGAGATTCCCGCCGTCCCCATGCAGAATTAAAGGGGGAATTATATTTTGTTTTTGCATCCCTGCCATCATGATGCCCACAGGAGGCTTTGAGTTACAGCAGGTTTTTTGAATGAAATGGAGCTGTCTCACTGCTGCTTCTTTCTTACCCAAGAGAAATCAGACCTGGTAGGGATCCAGAACCTTCGGGTGGTGGTTCCAATTTCACCAAGAGACACTTCCTCAAACCATTTTATCTTTTTTCTGTTTGGATAGACCAAATTGTGGCTCATAGATTTATTCACGGAGAGGATAGGAATTCTCTTTTTTGAAATGTTCTGCTTCACTGAACTGCCCTAAATATGCCCGATTGTTTGAGAGCCACCTACAGAAGGTGCCATGAATATACTTGTCTGTGCGTATTTTCCATCAGTGTTTATAACATCTTGATGTTATTGTCTCTCAGTGCAGAAGGCTTTCTCATTATCTTGCATCTTTTCCTAACCATCTTGTTACATCAGAAAGACTACATAGTGCCTTTAAGAAAAGCCAACGTTTTCAGTCATGAATATAACATTTTCTGTCACTGAAAAAATGGAATTTTAAATACTATTTTGCCCAAAATGAACACTGAACCCCATTGTCTTAACTTACTGATACGTAGTGCAGCCGCTCTTGGAGGGCTGTGGGAAGCTGCAACAGCCATCTGCTGCCATCTACTGGCGCCTGTCCACATGTCACCTCCTCCATCCCCTGGGTCTGCCCAGCTCATGGGATTTTCCTTGATAGGGATAAGTTTGTAGGTGGTGAAGGGAATACAAGTAAAATTCTCAGTTTTCTTTATAACGTTTTGAGATGTTTTTCTTAAAGATACAGGATGATACTTATCAATGATTAATTTTAATAACTGGAATAGCCCTTATTTCAAGAACTTTCTGAAATAGCTCAATATATGACAGAAACAAATATATTTTGATGTGTGCAGCAATTGAGAACCATTTGAATTTAAGGCTCTTACTGTAATTTGAATTTAAAAGCTAAAAATTGATTTAGAATGAATGCTACTTTTGAGGAAAATTTCATTTAAACTCATTTATGGTTTGGTTTTGTTTTTCCCTTAAGTACAAGGTGAATATCTTAACCAGACTTGCCGCAGAATTGAACAAATTTATGCTGGAAAAAGTGACTGAGGACACAAGCAGTGTTCTGCGTTCCCCGATGCCCGGAGTGGTGGTGGCCGTCTCTGTCAAGCCTGGAGACGCGGTAAGGGCTGTGTGTGTCTCTCTGCAGGACATGCTGGTCTCCAACTTCCCCTTCCAAAGCGACGGCTAACGGCACAGCACGATTCGGCTCTTTGCAGTTCTTACTTAACCGACGCCCCCTAAACAGCAAAATCGATTGCGTGTGTTGTCGACCTGTTTCACGTTTGCATTACGTTGGTGCCAGGACCCTCAGCGCTTCCCCTCCCAAATGATCTGGGAGTGGAGCAGAAAGAAGGCCAGATGCATTCCATCATTTTGCAAATGCAGTGTTTTGGGAAGTACTTTCCTTAAAAGTGCTGCTTACTCTCTAGTATGCTGTGCTCAAAGCATCCATTGAAGTCATGCCAGGGAATAATACTCCGATGAGGAACTTTTTGCATGATTCCTGGAACAAATGTCTAATTGGGAAGAAGAGTTGAGGAAAGGTTAATTCTGCAATCTGTACAGTACCAGAGCACTTCCATTACTTGGTAAATAAAATGTAGCATCACAGTTTGAAGTTTTTCATCTTGATCTTGTGACATTAAAGCACAAATCAAAGCTATATTATTTCCTCGAGATAACTTACATGGATGAATTGATAGGATGCACACATTTTCTTAGAACATGGATAGAAATCTCTACTGATGAGCAGCAAAAGTGAAAAGAAAACAATTTAGGAGGCAACCAGATTTCCAGGTACACTTAAATACTTGCATTTTTATTCATGTGCAGGAAAATAGCATCCGGACATGACTGTCTCTCATGGATGAGGTGGTGATTCCGTTTTGTATCTCAGGTCACTGGGACTTACATTTTAGTGCCTCCTGATTTCTCAATAGTACAGATAAAATATCTGCTTAACATTGAGGAAAAAATCAGGTAGTTGGCATTGGCTTCTAGAAAAGTATTTGCAATAAATGTGAATATTAAGAAAACATGATCAGTTTTAGTTGTTTGAATGACCAGCCCTGAAACTAATATGCGAAGTTAGAAAACCGACTTAACAGCTGCTTTACCTGGTGATACAGAAATAGAACTGTCCACTTTTTCAGAAAGGCATAAAAGAGGCTACGTGGCTGTGAATTGTTGTTTGCTGTGAAAGCATTGATACTCCTGGAAGAAAGCCCTCTTTAAGACTGTCTAATGCCCACGTGTTAAGGATTTGGGAGAGGCCATAAGAAAAATTACGTGTGTGTGTGTGTGTGTGTGTGTAATGTGTGTAAAATTCAGGGGAGGACATCTTCCTTCTCCAGAGTTAGGGTCGTAAGAGGATAGTCTCGTGGCCTTGACATTAAGAATCGTTCACTTGCACGTGACATTATCAGAGCTGTCAGTGGAATCTTCTAGTGACTAGATATGTAGGTTCGTAAACAATATAAGGGTTTTGTTTTGTTTTTTTCATTTTTCTTAAGTTTTTTTTCTGGAAGGCATCTATCTAGTCTGTATACTGCCAGCCTGAGCTTTCCACTCCTAATTGTGTGGCTTTAATTATAAAATCGTGTGTGTGTGTGTGTGTGTGTGTGTGTGTGTGTGTGTGTGTGTTTCAAGTAAGTGTTTTCCTTAAATCCTTTTCTAACACCTGAATCCAAACCGGAGTGGAGGGAGGGCGGGCAGGGATGAGGGAGACCACTCCTGCCTCAAGCCTGGAGGGCAAGAGGGTGAGACTGCAGCCCTGGCCCCTCACACGGCCCTCAAGGAGGTTGCTCAGAGGCAGTAAACGGGGCGCTCCCAAGGCCAGATCAGCGCAGCCTTCTGGTTTCTTTAACAGCTGCTGGCTCCTGATCTGACTTTCCCACATACCGAAAGGGTTTGGCCTTTGTACGTTCCATTTCCTGGTTAATAATTGAATGTAGAAAAGCAAGGCATTTCGTAAATGGGAACAATGTGATATCAGTCCTTGGTTCATTGATGTAGCTCAGATATTAAAAACACCCACCAATAATTAAATGTGTGTACTCATTAAGAATGGTTTGAGAACTGTTAAAAATATGTTACGGCAGAGCAACGGGGCCTATATTTTATGCATTCCTTTAAATTCAGAGTACCTGGGGGGCACGCGTAGTGAACAGGCTCAGGACCTCGGGATCTGTCAGCTCCCTCCTAAGTTCTGTTTGCGGGGGCTGCTCAGGTGGGGCGTATACTTGCTTTTATTTGTCTTTTTTGGTACTTGCAGAACTTCCTTTCATATTCTGTGCCATTGTGTTTTGATGAAACAGCCTTTTCTCTTGAATTACTGCTTGTGAAAAATGTCCCAAACCACTAATACCGAAACCCAATGCAGCCTGAGAAGTTTCATCGTCGGCTCTTAGCGCAACTTCTATAGTTAAATTCTGCTTAGTGTAATTAAAACACAAGAAGCTTCCTTGGACCAGAGGCACGTCACTTACTTGAGGCCATTGTGAGGAAACACTACCTGTCACGTTGAAATTTTGCGGTTTTAAGTGATTTTAACACCGCGGGGCGTGTTGTGTTTTCCTCCGCACTAACAATAGCCGGGCGAGGTTCCCCTTTTATGGGTGGGAAGATAATGGAGTCAGTCTCCTTGGTGTATTTTCAAGGAAAATAAGGACCCTAAAACAACTAAGGGCCTTACAAGTATTCTGTTTTTCTTTGAAATGTTACTTTTTATCGTTTAAATTCCAGTAATCTATCATGTTTCTGTTTAGCTTAGCTGAAGTAAAACTTGACCAATCGTAGAATGGTGGGCCTGGCAATAAGTTCTAAAAAAAGTGTCACATAAATCGTAATGAACAAATCTGTTTTGTGAAGTAAACAATTTGAACACAGTTTAAAAACCTCAGGAAGAAGAGATGTGGGGTGGCCGTTGAGAAGTAGTGAATCCGCTCGGGGCGCTTGGTGTGGCAGGGCCTTGTGCACTGATTCATTTGAAACACTCAGCCTGCCCTAAACACAGAAGCTGTGTTTTATTTGAAGGGCTTCTGTAGGGTTCACACAGCAAAAGTTCCTAATAACTTTTTCAGTGTCTGTTATATACTATTTAACATTAAATGTGGCAGGTCACATTTTAAATGATTGTGTAATAGTTTTTCCGAACACGTGGAGAGAGGATGTTAATACACAGTAAAATGCAGGTAAGCAAACAAATCAATAAGAAAGTACAGTGGATTATTAAGGTCCAGAATCAGTAATATAATTTAGGAAACAACTGATAGAATAAATTTTAGTGCCTTTTTATATGCCTTCTGAAAATGTTTCTGCAGTAACTCATTTCAGTTTGAAAACTCGTTTTCTTAGACTCGTAACACTATTGTAAACTGGGAGCACTTCTGTAATCAAAGTTAGCATGACTCAGCTGTTTCAAACTTCTACCTTTATGATACTCTTGAACAGAAATGTTAGAAATATATATATTTTCAGAATAACGGTAGAATACATTTTTCCACATGTCAAATTAGACTTATAGCTGCTGAATTTATTGCATAATTTTCACTTTGACTTTGAAGTCAAATAAAGTCATGATGAGCACATTCGCTTTGTTAGCCTTTTGATATCAGAAACAAAACCACCCCATAAGATAGTCACCCAAGGAGGCATTTTAATATTGCATTTAGTTAAGATTCTTTCAAGTAATGTTCGTATTCTGCAGTCATCACAGATTTGCATCAGAAATACTCATTTAATACACCAAACAAATGAGAAACAAACCATAAGCTGCTATATACTCATCTGCATTTCTTTCTTTCTTAACAATTAGTGAAACCAGGTGAAAGAATAGATTGAAATTAAGTACCTGTTGCTGCTTTTTCTTGCGAATTAGCCCATTCGATATTAGACTTCGGGATATTTTGGTGGGGCTAAGATGAAAAGATCCACCTCGTGATGGAATTGACCTTCAGCAGGGGACAGTGAGGTGTCTGCGGTTGTTCCTCTTGTGAACAACGCCTTAAAGGCGAGAAACAGCCTACTGTACAGTGTGCCAGGGAAAGCATCACATCGGTGGGCGTCGGTGGCAACACCACTTACACTTCACCCTGATTTTGTTTCCTCCTTGCACGTGCTCCTTTGACAGGGCAGGCTCCCAAGCAGGTGTGCAGTCAGGGCCACAAGACACAGGCACCCCATCCCATCTCAGAGTCTGACGTCCCCTCCTCCCCTTTGTCTCTAAGCCTCATGTAACTGAGCTTATAGCCGACCATACAGAACTGGCAAACTTGGTGAGATACCTTTATTTTTTATTTCTTAAACAAGATTTTAAAATTTCATAAGCTCTCACGTATCCTAACGAGAAGGCAGGGCTGGGCCCTCCCGACGGGTGTTTGCCTGGCATCGCGCTTGTGTGCCTCATGCAGCCCAGGCTCGCTCACTGCATCTTTCCCTGGCAGAGGGGCTAGCCTGGCTGCTTCATAGACTTTCCAGTTTCTGGATACCTTGATTTACAATCACAAAATAATTGCAGTAATTAAATTTATATGTTTTATAGCAATAGTTATTCAAGCAGTTTATTTGACAAGATGCCAGTTTTCACCCAAACCTCAGATTGTATCTCACAGCATGTACACAGAGATCCATGCATTTGTTAACATTTTAAGACTTTAAAATTATGAAATACTACAAACATGCAGAAAGTTACAGAGAAGAATCCAACAAGCACTCCTGTGCCCTTTGTTCACCATTTCCATATGTGTTTCAAATTTTATTTAACAATGAGACATTACATATAACATGAACTTCCCCTGTGGCAAGCTCCTCCATCTCATTCCTGTCCTGTCTTCTTCAGAGGTAACGACTACCCCTGGATTTGGCCTTTTAATCTTTTCCAGATAACATTTATTTTTAAATGTTAAGAGTTGGTTTTTGGCCGGGCGCGGTGGCTCACGCCTGTAATCCCAGCACTTTGGGAGGCCGAGGCGGGCGGATCACGAGGTCAGGAGATCGAGACCACGGTGAAACCCCGTCTCTACTAAAAATACAAAAAATTAGCCGGGCGCAGTGGCGGGCGCCTGTAGTCCCAGCTACTCGGGAGGCTGAGGCAGGAGAATGGCGTGAACCCGGAAGGCGGAGCTTGCAGTGAGCGGAGATCGCGCCACAGCACTCCAGCCTGGGCGACAGAGCGAGACTCCGTCTCAAAAAAAAAAAAAAAAAAAAAAAGAGTTGGTTTTTGTTGGAGGTAACAAATATCTATTAGTAGATAAGAGGAGGCAGAAAAAGATGAGGAGGTAAAAAAATATCTATTAGTACTGGGAATTTTTACAGTTGAATATACTCAATGATAATTATAAAATAAAAAATATTTATGTGGATCAGTATATTAAATATTATAGGAGAGTCTTCTCCAAGCTTGGCGTTTGATTTTTCAGGAGTGATCTGCTTGGGAGTAGAAGGTGTTTTCTTTGTTTTCAACATTTTTATAAGTGACCATTCTCAGCCTTACCAAGATGTAAACTATCTTTTTCTCTTTTAATAAAAATAAAAGTTTACAAAAAATCATCCTTTCACGGAGCGCTTTCAGGCAGCATGCTTTACGAAGGTAGAGGGTCCAGGCTAATTTCCAAAGGTATTGTGAATGACATCAGTTTCCACTAGTTCTCTTTGTAACTGCAGGCTTTGGCTCTGATTTTGAGCTAACTTAGAGGGCAGCAGGGAGTCATATTTTTCTTCATTTTAAGGAATTTTAAAAGAAACTGGACTTGTTTTATATCGGCCACAAGTCTGTACTCTTACCCTTAGCCCCTTGGGTGCTGCCCAGTTCTGGGGAGCCCCACTTGAGAGACAAGGGGAGCACCAGGCAGACGGCACGTGTGCCTGAAGTCCCGAGCCGGCAGCGGGGCTGGACGGGTGGCCCCTGGGTTCCCGCGCCCTCCAGAGTGAGGCCGCTCGTGCATGGGCCATTAAAGGAGTCTTCAGCCGGAGAAAGGGCTGGGCGGCGTCTCCTGCCCGCCTGGTCTGTCTTTGTAATTTGATGATGGTTCCATCCTTGCTCAAATACTGCAGTCTCCCGTGGCCTCCTCCCCGTCTCGCTTTACATGAAGATGTTGGGATGTGAATACACGTTTCTTCTTCAGGAAATATCAGGGGATATTTACCAGCCTATCTTACCGGCTCAGAGGAAGTTGCTATTAATATAATCAGATGCGAGCAGGCAGTGCCTTTTCACTCAATCTGAGATGCCTTTTTTTGTGACTGTTAACTGAACCTTTCTTCAGATCTAAGGGCCTTAAAATGTGTGGCATTCAGGCACCTGTGTTCCAAGCAGACCAGCCTTTAACAATGAAATGGTGGGATTTTCACTTTTGTGGCGTAGACACCAGGGCTGATATTGATCCGTGTTTTTCCGGTGGTCCGGCGTTGCAGAAGTGGAAACTGCAGCGGGCTGGTAAGCCCTCCGAGCCTTCTGTCTAATTTGGCAGAAAAACACAGAATGTAGGACAACAAAAGAAGCCTCCTTTTTCCATAAAAATTCTTCCTCCCACCCACCCTTCTTCCCCAAAAAGGGGACTTAATTTTTCAGCTGCACGCAGTGATTTGGTGCTCACTCTTGCATCGAAACAGTTGCGGTCTGAACAGGCAGGAAACAGTTTTCTTTTAATTGCCGAAATCATTCGGAAGTGCTTCATGCCCTGCTTCTGTACAGCAGATGCTGTGCATTAATTGGCCTGCGTAGAAGTGACCCAGGGTTCCTTGCAGCGGGCCCAATTTTAGGCAGAGGGTTTAAATAGCTTATTTATTATTTTGTATAATCTGGCGTACATTGTGTGCTCCTGCACGTGTCGTATTTCATGGTCTGCAGTTTCTAATGTCATGTGGGTTTCAAAACCTGTGTTTCTCTGGTAATGTACTAGCAGCAGGTAAGCTCAAAATACCATCCATCAGGAGCTAATTTTTTATCCAGATACTCCAATGACTGATGAACCTGTCTTTTGTATGAATGTTTAGCACAGTGGAAAGCCATATGCCACTGGCACCGTTTCCTCTGCATTCCTTACAGTTGCTAGAGAGTGGGCTTCCTGGGGGGCGGGGCGGCTCGATGCTGTGAACGTCCCCTGGCCTCTATTTCAACGATAACACCTTTAAAACAGCCCTGGGTTTGGGCAACAAAAAGAGGATGGGCTGTCTTAAAGGAGACCTGACTCCCTCGTCATTTTCTTTATCAGAAATACGACTGCACACTCTTAATAGGGAACCTTGTTTTGTTACTCCCCGTCTGTTCCAAACAGACCTCAGCCCATTAGAAGGGCCTCCCTTGTGTGGGAGACCACAGCTGTTACTGTAAATCTCATCCACTCACTGTATCACCCCCATTTTGTGGCTCTGAAGGATGAAATTGAGAAATGGAATACTGTGCAGTCATCCTTTACATCTCCAATTTTAGGCCTTTGCCATCATTTTCATGCTTTTATTCCAAATCAAATAACATTAGTGAGCTACACCACCTTCTGATGAATATCTGGTCTTGAGCACCGCTTTCAAGCCTGTGCTTGTGGGGGCTTCCTTTTATGTTTGGTGGTCTTTTTTCCCCCGTTCTCTTCTTTTTCTTCCTGCACTTTCTTTGAGCGTTCTTCGTGGTCATGGCAGTCTGCAGTTTGAATGATCGGCATTGCCAAATGTGTCCCTGTCTTAGCATGTTTTCTGAGAGGGGGCATGTGCGGGAGAAGGTTCTCTGTCTTTTAATCTTTGTGGAAGGAGTGAAGAGAACTTGGTAGAAGGATATTGGGGGCTTTAATCAGAAATAAGAAGTGGTTTAAATCATTAGCACAACAAAGCATACTATAAGCTTGAAGATAAAAGTCTCTGGGGAAAGAGTCCTCTGAAAATAAATGGAACTTGATAGATTTCCATATCATTTATAACTTCCCTTAATTACACTTGGAAGACTTGCCAGTAAAACTGGAAAATTGGCAGCCTATATCCATTAGAGTCATTTTGCCGACCATGGCAAGCAGCTGGCTTTACGGGATTTGATTCCCATCACTCACAATTCATCATCAGCTGGAGGTGTCTGCAGCTCTTCAGCACAGAGCAATGCTGGGTGACACTCGGGCCCCCACGACATGCGAAAATCTGCTGAGTAAATGGGCCGAGGTTTCTCTCAAGCCTTGTTTGGGGCAAGGCCGACTCCTGCTTAATGAGTGCCGCTCTGATAATCGGATGCGAACGTGAACCTTGACCTCGTGTCAAAGGAGAGGACGCAATAAGCTGGATGAAAGATACAGGATTCAGGCCTTCAAACTTTACACCAATTAGACAGGGAGCGGGGAGATACATCAGGCCCACTAGGTTCATCAAAAAGACTTGTGAGGCTTGTGACCATTTTGTAAGCCCAACATTGGAGACATCCTGTCACAATCATTAAGTCTTTATCAGATGATTCACAAAAGTGTTGGAGAAACGTGCGCACACATCCTGCAGGAACGGGCCCCGCACATGGGGGCGTCTGATGGAGACGGAATGGTGGAGGGCCCTCTCTGTGCACCCAATTAATGCTTGGCTTCCCAGCCACCCTGGGCAATCCGGAAGGTGTTGCTTCCATTGGGCCCACTGCCCAGCTCCCTGGTGTACCCTACATGTACTCTACGGTGTGCGACACATTCTGCAGGAGTCAGCGCTGCTGGGAGCAAGGCTCCAAAGTCCTAAGGTGAGAGCCCCTGCTCCCAAGGGCCGAGTGCTGGCATTTTGCTGTTGTTGGAAGGAGCCCAGCTCAATGCCCAGCCATCCCTGGAGCACGCCCTCGAGTGTCAGCCTCTTCCCACAGACTGGGGCAGGTGTAGTTTGTGTTTCCATTGCATTCTTTGACATTTGGTTTGTACATTTGGTTCTCCAGCTCAATTTTTTCCAAAGGATGAAACATGTTGAAATTCAATTAAGCTCGTGTGTGTGTGTGTGTGTGTGTGTGTGTGTGTGTGTGTTGGGGTAGAACATGTTTCTGTTGAGCAAGATGTATCTCACTATTTTGTAAGGCATGAAGGAAGTTTTTAAACACCATCTCTTAGGGATGAATTAGGGAAAACGGTCTACAAAACAGATGGTGCAAAATTAATAGAGAAGTGTGCTACTTAGTTTTTCATTTACAGCTAAATAATCTAGGCTGGGCACAGTGGCACACATCTGTAACCCCAGCACTTTGGGAGGCCAAGGTGGGCGGATCACTTGAGGTCAGGAGTTTGAGACCAGCCTGGCCAATGTGGTAATACCCTATCTGTACTAAAAATACAAAAATTAGCTGGGCGTGGTGGTGCACACCTGTATTCCCAGCTACTCAGGAGGCTGAGGCAGAAGAATCGCTTGAACTTGGGAGGTAGAGGTTGCAGTGAGCTGAGATTGTGCCGCTGCACTCCAGCCTGGGCAACAGACCGAGATTCTGTCTCTAAGATAGATAGATAGATTAGATAGATTAGATTAGATTACATAAGATAGATAGATAGATAAAATAGATTAGATAGGATAGATAGGATAGACCGAGATTCTGTCTCTAAGATGGATAGATAGATAGATAGATAGATAGATAGATAGATAGATAGATAGACAGACAGACAGGCAGATAAGATAGATAGGATAGAGCTAAATAAGTAGACTAGTAGACACCACGAGAGGAACTAGGGAGGGGAAACAGGAATGAAAGGCGGATGGAGCAGGGAGGATCTAATTCTATGATTCAGTGCTGTGCTTGGATGGGGCAGAAGATGGGATCGCTTCAGTGGGGACACGCCTTCTTTAAAGTCCTTTGAATTGAATTGCCGGACTCTCACAATCAGACAGAAGGACTATTTGAATTTCAGGCCTCCCCACTTTTCCTGATTGTCTCGGGCTAAATCCGAGGTTTTTTTCTGATGAACAACTGGGGACCCAGCACTTGCAGTTACCTGTGCGTTACCTCTTTGCAAATCACCCACATTAGAAGCACAGAGCCAGCCAGAAAGATGGTCAGTGGCAGCCACAGCAGAGCCCCTTAAGCTCCTGTCCACCACCCACTTGCTCCCAGGCCCTGGCGGGGCCCAGAGTAGAGCTGTAGCCAGGTCAGGCTGGCCTTTGCCCCTAGCGTGACCTTGGGAAATCCCCAGGCCGCATTTCTTCATATTTGCAGTTGAGTTGCTAACGCACTCACTTGAAGATCCTGTAAAACAGAAGCAGGAGCTGCCTGCCTGTCTGGCCCGCAGATTCTGAGCAAGGGGATGGGAGGGGACGTGTGGTGGAAGGGCACACCTACTGGCAGAGAGGGTAGGGGCTGTGCCACCCATGTGAAGCCAATGTACTTGGCGGGGGGACGGGGCTCTGGCCAGTCCTGGGCCCTCAGATGCCTGCAGAGGAAGGGCTGGGTGGGTGTTTGGGAGGCCGGCATGCAGTCCCCAGGAAGCTCCTCCACCTGGAGAGAGAACAGTGCCCAGAGCGGGAGAGTGGATTCCTCATTTTTGGATGGCATTTCTACTATGTTCTGTTGAGTCTCAGATCCACTTCCCAGAGAGTCCCCGGTCCTGTTGCCTGAGTGCTCAGTCCTAGGTCAGAGTCAGTCGCAGTGAGTCCAGCTTCTAAGAGGACACGGCCAGGCTTCCAGGGTCCCCTGTGTGGAGCTGGCTGGCAGGTGTGCTGCAGTGAACTGGACCTGCTCCTGGATTCCCTGGTCTTTGCCTGCCTTTGAAGAGAGAAAAAAGGCTGTAAAATGCCAACTGGAGGGAGTGACTGTTCTGACACCCCTGATGGGGGCCTCTGCATTGTCTCTGCGCTGCCCCTCCCATCCCCCTGCAAACAGCCCTCGAGGCTGATTCTTCGCTCTCCCTGGAATGCAGATGCCACGTGAAAATGAATCAAAAAGGGCAGCGCGGGCAGCGCTTCCAGGCCCAGCTCCTCAGCGCGGTGTCTCTCCTCCGTGCCAGCGCCAAAGCCTTGGCATCGTCTCTCTTCCTATATTTCTATGCCAGGAAGAAGCAGCCCACCACCTGAACAGCAGAGGAAAAGAGTACATCGGCTCAGGCGCTCCAGAGTGCCAGCAAGACAGCTTGCGCCACACGGGGGGGCCAGAGGGGGACTTGGAGATCATCTGGGGATTTCAGGAAAGAACATTCTCTAGGCGCTTCTGAGGCATTGGACGAATATGGCCACAGTGGTGTGAGGGGCCAGGAGCCCCATGCCAGGACACCCACCCACACCACATAGCCATTGCCCTAGGAACCTGGACTTGCCCGTTTCAAAGACTGGGAGGCCAAAGAAAAACCTGGCCGGCTCAGGACGCTGACCCATCGGGGCAGAGCGAAGTGAGTGCGCAGCATGGTTTTCAGCTGCAGCTCACTCCTGCAGGGAAGCCTCACGCTTAACGCCAGTGGGCTTAACCCAGCTCAGCCTGGCTGCCCCTCAGGATGAAAGGCAAGTTCTGAACGCAGTCTGAGCAAAGGCCCGTGGGCGCTCCCAGTCTCCTAGCATGGAATGCATGTAGCTCTGGAAGTCATTCCTGTGTCTGGAGGGTTTTCCGGAAGCTGCCTTGTGCCTTGTTGTGGGTACTCGCTGTGTCTTGCAGAGGATGGGACAGTGGTCCTCGTGGCGCCAGGGCCGAGCTGTTCCCAGTTCCCCGGGACTATAGACAGAAATATGTATATTTGGTGGTGGTTTTTTTTTTTTGGTAACAGCTATACTGAGATGTAATTCACATACAATTTAGCCCTTTAACGTGTACGATTCGGTGGTTTCAGTCAATTCAGAGTTGTGTAGTTGTCACCACAATCAATTTTGGAACATTTTTATCACTCTCAAAAGAAACCCTGTACCCTTCAGCAGTGACTCCCCTTCCCTCTTCAACCCCAGGCAACCTCGAGTCTGTCTGTAGAGATCTGCCTATTCTGGACATTTCAGGTAAGTGGAAAACATTCCAATTTCCGAACACCTCTGTTAGTGGCAGAGCCAGACTCAGAGATCCCCAGGGTAGGCCCCGCCGCCAGGGTCCCCACTTCTCCAGGGTCAGGGATTTTTTTTTTTTCCAACGAGGACTTTATGAGAGAGAGAATGGCTTTTCTCTACTGTTCCTAAAGATGAGCTTGGAATAGGAAACATTAGAGATTGTTGCTGCTGTTCATAGACACATATTTTGGGGCATTTGACAAAGAATTTCTTAATGGCTTCATTCCTAAGTGTTAATGCAAAATTAGAATGCTTTTAAAACTTCTGCCCATTTTTGTTTTCCAGGTAGCAGAAGGTCAAGAAATTTGTGTGATTGAAGCCATGAAAATGCAGAATAGTATGACAGCTGGGAAAACTGGCACGGTGAGTCCCTAAGTCCCCATCAGCCCAGGCCGGCCCTGTGATGGAGGAACGCCCACCTTTGAATCGTGGGTGGTTTGGCTGGAAAGGGCCACAGAGGCGCCCTCTCCCCCTCGCTTCTACAGAGGAGGACGTTAGGATTGGGAGCTTTTGCCATTCTGCCCTGATGCATCCCTGCCTCGTAGAGAGCGTGGCTTCCAAAAAGTCTGTGCTTTATGTTCAGGTAGTCAAAGAACAATTGTTCTTCACCTTAATGTCTTTCTTTCAAATTAAGGGGTCTTTAATTTTTAATGTTTACATCTGTCTTGAAGGCAGTTAGTTATCTGAGACTTAGGTGACACAGCAGCAAATGGTTTTACAAATTGCAAAAATTAATGTAACTCTTCAAGACAATTTCTCTACAAAGGGAACAATTCAGTTGCAGATCAAGAGAAGCCAAAACCCCATGTACATGTGGGACTTAATTATTTAGGGAGAAAAAAATATTAGTACTGAAATTCATTCATAGTGAAACTTAAGTGTATTTTTTTCTTGAAGATAGAAAAGTCCTTTTAAGCAGTAACTTCATTATTCTTCCTGTGACTAAAAAGACTGAAAAGATGCCGTTAGTAGGTAAATGATCCTTTTGTGAGGGCCGTTGTGGTTTGGAAGTGTCTGCATGGGAGAGCATGATGGGAAGCGCAAGGCTGGCCGTGTTCTGCATGTGGCCATGCCTTGGGGACATCAGGTGCAAAGAGAGATCCATCAGTTCATAACCAGGTTTGCATCAGAGAGACACACAACCTCTGTCTCATGCTCTGTCACTGCAGAAGGCAATGAAATGGATTCTCAGAGAAGGGGCAGCGGGGATGTCATGCCTGGTCCCGGCTGGGAGAACAGAGGCCCAGGTGTATGCCAGGGGCTCCTGAGCCCAGCCCGCCGGTCTGGAGGGGTGTGGACAGTTGCACTGTGCTGGTATGGTGTGAAGAGTAGAATGACATGATTTGTGGCGTTTTTAAGGAATTCTTTCTAAATTACTTCTTTAAAAAGTGAACAAGAAAATGTTGGTTTCTGTTCATGTAAAAATTTTATCTGTTCTTTGGGATTTAACATTTGTGCTGCCCTAGTATCACGACATCCATCCATGATGAGAACTTGGCCTAGGTGTGGGGGACCGAGAACGTGTGTCCGCCGCATGCCAAGGGCCCTGTGCGGCAGGTCTGAGGTGCTAATGCAGAAATGACCTTGGCCTCATCAGTTCCCTGAAGGGGCATGGTGCCATGTGGTAGTAGGTTTCCTGTCCTCGTGGCCTGGGTCTCCCTCGGCCCTCCTAGTTGGAGTCTTCCTGTGCATTCTGTTCACCTCACCCCATCCCCAGGCCTCTCAGTTCCAACCCAGCCAAGAAGAGCAGAAGTGGCCCGAAGCCCCCGTGCAAAGTAGCAGGCCCTGGTTCCTACCTGCGAGGCCACTTTTCCTCCCAGAGAAAAAAAGTTCACAAAGGAAACAGATCCTCTACTCTGGTCATCGCTGCATCACTAACACTGCGTCCTCTAGTAGGGCTGCTAAATGGAGGCAGGAGCATTGTGGAAAGCAGCCTTTTCAGTCCAAGCAGCATCTGCAGTGGCCGATGAGTTCTAATCCATTTTTCATTTTCAGGCCCAAGCAAGAGCCTCCAAGAAGTCAAATGACTGTCTCTTCCCCACCTCAAGCCCCTCCTTGCTAATTTTAAGTCAGAACACAAATTTCGGAAAGCAAAACTTGATAAAGATTGACTGAAACCGGTAGGACAAAAAGGCACAGTTCCACCCACCCATGGTGCTGGAAAGGGCGACCGCACAGCCCCACCTGCCAAGGACTCCATTTCCCTTCAGAAAATGGAGGTCAGGCCAGGGAGGTCCTCCTCTTACTCAGCAGCTGATCTGACTGTCGTGTGTTTTGTTCCTTTTTTTCTTTTACACTAAGTATTCCATTAATTCTCAGAGAACATTTCCACAACCTCAAAACCACAGAGAGGGAGGCTAGGGGTTAGAACTCACCTGGCAGTGAAGAGCCTGCCTAGACCTGAGGGTGCCAGAGCGCAGGCCACAGCGCAAATGCTCCGGAGAGTAGCCCTCAGGCCAGCCACTGTGAGGGTGCCGAGGACAGAGGAGACGGGAAAGGGGAGGAGTGAGCCACGGCCACGGCCACCATGGCGCCTCCCTGTTCACCAGGGTCCCTTCGATGGGCTCCGGTGGGGTGGGGTGGCTTGTCCCTGTGCTGCTGAGCTTGCAGGACTGTGCATTTTTAGAAATGGATTAGGAGCCTGCCGCCTCTTGGTTCTGGTTACTAATTCTTACTCTCCCCTCCCCCTGCATTTTTCAAAATTCAAGGTGAAATCTGTGCACTGTCAAGCTGGAGACACAGTTGGAGAAGGGGATCTGCTCGTGGAGCTGGAATGAAGGATTTATAACCTTTCAGTCATCACCCAATTTAATTAGCCATTTGCATGATGCTTTCACACACAATTGATTCAAGCATTATACAGGAACACCCCTGTGCAGCTACGTTTACGTCGTCATTTATTCCACAGAGTCAAGACCAATATTCTGCCAAAAAATCACCAATGGAAATTTTCATTGATATAAATACTTGTACATATGATTTGTACTTCTGCTGTGAGATTCCCTAGTGTCAAAATTAAATCAATAAAACTGAGCATTTGTCTAAATATTAGTTTGCCCTTTCTTTGAATGAAGACAATGTACACATAGGCGACAGGCTCTGCCAGTAGACTACCAGCATTTCTTTGTGATCCTTTTAAGAGATTGATATAAATGTCAGTCAGTTCTCTGCCTTGCTTTATTAAATTAGCACTTGCCATTTTTTCATCTGATTGCCTTACTACTTCTAGAAGTGAGGCCCTCACTCCTGGTGCTGATTTTCAAAACTTCCTAAGGACCAGAGACTGCAAATGCAGATTTTGGCAATCCCTTTCCTGCTGTGTCTCTATGTGGGTGTACTGTTGGTGGCTGACTCCCCTGGAGGTCACCCTGAAGCTTCCTGGTTGGCCGGGGGTGCTGTCTCCACTGTTTTTGTTTGTTTTGAGGATGAGCGCGCTGCCTGGTCCCTTCCCCATTGCACAAGCCAGGGCAGTCACAAGGAGCTTGGGCTGCCTCACCGCCCTCATCAAGCACAGGGCCGCCACGAGCTCATCAGCTGAGACCCAGCGTAGCCTTTTTGTGTTTTTTGTGAAGCAAGTTTCCAATTAAGCAAAAGAAGCTAAAAATAATGATCATGTTTTTGTGCCAGATGCAGTTAGCGATCACAGTCTGCCATTAAGTTGAAGAGTAAGTGAGCTCTCCCAACAGAGAATGAGGTTACTAAAGATCACAGCAGCTGCATTTTCATTTGGTTCTGAAATCCTTGGAATACATTTCAGACTTTGCTGGGAAGCAGAAGCAAGAGCCGTGCACCGAGTTGAATCGATGCTGACAATTATCAGATGGAGGTGGGTAGTAATTGGTACTTCGTGCCTTGCTAAAATTATTTTAAGTGCTGTTTGTATTTGGAAGCTAAGCTTCTGTCAGGCCTGAAGAACAAATTACTAATGCATTGGCTCTTCTTTGAAAGGACTCACCCCCAAATGCTCTCCCTTCAGGGGGCAGGGACGGGGTCTGGCTACTGAGATCTGGGCTCAGATAAACTTCCACTTGAAGTCCGGGCGCTCAGCTGTGTCTACCAGCAAGTGGGTGTTCATTATTTTGCTAGATCAGAATGTAAAGAACCTTCTACCAAATAAGTATACCAAAAAACGTGGGGGTCAAACACAGTACCAACACTTTTATATCTGATTTCCCAAAACATCGACTTCAAATTTAAATAATCTTTAATATTTGCTGTGAAGCTTGATCTGAAAATTAGGAAGAATGGTGCTATACGCACTCTGATATACAGCATGCTTGCCCTGTGGATCTTTTCTACAAATTCTACCCAGCCGTGTAAAATCGGCTTTCTCAGGGGTTACAGGCCAGAATCAGTATAGTAGGGCTGCTAAAATCTAGCGGCAACACCAAGTCTTTACACTGATCCTAAATATTTATTATTATCTTGAGCTCAAAGCAGAGCCAACAGCAGAAACAACACGAGGAGGAAGAAGAATTAGGCATAACACGAGTTCTCTAAATGTCATTTAGGGGAGTTAAAATCCTAAATTTTTCTTACCAGGTAGAAAGATGGGAGGGAAGCACCTTGCTATTCGTATCTCAACATTATTTGTAAAATCAGCTGCCACTGAAAGATTGGTTCCTTTCCGGCAGATTCATTGGAAAGGGCCCTGTTCGGCTTCCGCCTTCACCCAGCATGGGCTGGGCGCATCTTGGAGCCCCAGGGCTCTCAAACCTAGGCCCACCCTGCCCGTCCCCCTTATCTGTTCTCCCGGGGGTTGTAGCGCAGCCCGTGCGGCCCCTCGGAGTCGTAGCTGTCATGGTGCGGGAGCTGGGCCCACTCCGGCGGGAAGGTGGCCCTGCTGTACACGAAGCACTGCACCGCGGTGGGCGCTGGCGGCTCCTCTGCGCCCGGGGCCCGGTCCTCCAGCAGCTGTACCCGCAGCACCGTGCGCTGGTACAGGGCCGGGCAACTCTCGAAGTCATCCAGAAAGCGCAGCATCCGCTCGTCTACCGCGTAGACCTCGCCCTCCACGAGGCGCCCCGAGCCGGGCAGGTGCAGCAGCCACGGGATGTTGTGCTCCCCCGCGATCACCAACGGGTAGGGCTCCAGCGTGCGGCCGCGCGCCCGAAAGGCTGCGGAGCCGTGGGCGCCGTCCCGCAGGACCCTGTGGTTGGGCTGACCCCGCTTCAGGGTGCCGTACACGAAGACTAGGGCCATCCGGGCAGAGCTGCAGGGAGAGGGGAAGTCACAGGTCAGCCCGCAGTGGGAGCTCTGTGTCTGCACCTGGGACGTGGCTCCCGGCCCACAGAGCCTCCACTGGGGCCGCACCACCTGAATGCGCCTGGCTGTGCTCAGATAAGGCGTTACTTACCGACGCAGATGAGAATGACCTACAGTTTTCACACATCATGAGATATTTTGACTTTCGGCCATTTAAACATGTGAAAGCCATTCCTAGCTTGTGGGCTGTTCACAAACGGGCACCAGGTCGGCTCTAACCTGTGGGCATGGTGTTTTTGGGTTTGCCAGTCCCTAGGCTAGAGAAAGGGGCACACATTGGTGACTTCCTTGATGTGTCTGTAGCAGACAGGACACCTGCGTTCTGGGCAGGAGGACCGTGCCCTCAGCCTCCCCACACCACCTGGATGGACTAATGTTCCTCAGCCCTGCAGGGGCAGCCCTGCCTCGCCTGCACAGGCCACCCTTCTCTGAGGAACACAGTCCTGACCTGCTGACTGCGCAGCCTCCCCGACTCCCTGAGGGCACCAGCCTTCCACCCTTCCCAACTCCTACCCCCATCGTAGCAGCTCAAGGCCAGAAGACGCCCTGTCCAGGCCCTAGTATGGCCCTCCCAGACACACCCTGTCCAGGTGAGCAACTACCCCTGCTCCTGAGCCCAGCACAGCCCATACCTTACTGTTCTCAGCCCTTGTGTGGTGGGCGCGGAGGTTGCGGAGGTTCCAGGCAAGGCCGCCACCCTCTAGAGCTGCTGATCTGGGAAAAGGCGCTCCTTGTATTAGGACAGTCTGTCAAACCTGTCCCAACAGCCTGCCCTGCTACCTGAGCCCTGCAGAACTGCCATTTTCTTGAGCAGTTTTCAGTGTTTCTTAAAGGACTTTGAAAATTGCCAATAACTATTAAAGAAAAATTAGAAATAACCCTAAAAATACATATAATTTTGTAACCACCTGCTATCCAGCTGCAGTGAGAACCCAGGTTTCAGCACTGAGTTCCACTCAGGTCCTGGCAGTCTGACGCAGCGGAGCTCAGCACCCACACCTTCTGGTGTTTCCCCTTCCAAGGTCTTAGAGGGCAGTGGTGCTTCACGGGACTCCCCGCAGCGATCTTGGCTCCAGCGTGAAGGTAAATATTTACCACTTGCCTGGGTCTGGGCCACAGACTGTTACATAAAGACAGAAGTGATTTGTGTGAAAGTGACTCAAACAAAAATGGAAATGAACATTAAAGGGGTGGGGGCCGCTCTCCCCGGCCCCTCGCTCCGCTGCCCTGTGTGCCCCCGCCATGAGGTGACAGCCTGTGGGGCGACTCGTTGAGATGGGCTTTGCAGACGGGACTGCAGGTGCAGGAAAACAAATGCGGCTATCCAGGAAACAGCAGCGGCTCGTGACCCGCCAGAAATGGCCCCGGACACCACACTTGCCACCAATCATGTGGACAAGTGGACCCTGAAGAAACTGAAGAAGTCACACTGAACTCATGGGACTTCTGTTTTCTTCTCAGCAAACAAGAGCTGCTCTGGGGGGTTCTAGGCCTCATTTTGCTCAAGAGGCACGTCTGCTGCCTCTTGGTTCTATCACCAGCCTGTGCAACAACAGTATTCCCCAGATTTCAGGCACATTGCACTAGGAAAGGTGTGGCCGTGGGAAAAACACAAGGCTAGCCAGATACGTGCGCCCTGTGGGCCTGGCCATGTGATAGCCCTGGGACACCCTTCCCAGTGTGGGGACACAGATTAGACCTGGGGGGCATGCTGGGATAGGAAAGTTGAGATGTGAATTAAGGAGAACCTGGGGTAGGACGGTACTGAGGAAGAGAAGAGGCAAGTGCTCAGGCCTAAAATTGCCAGGACTCGGCTGCTGGGGTGTACGTGAAAATGACAAAAGGCACCAGCTGAGAGCAGCGCTGGTGTCTGGAGAGGGCACTGGATGGAAGCAGCTGTCTACAACAGCGGGCAAGGAGCTATCCCAAAAGACGAGCACCTGGGGGGCGATGATGGTTTGGATCCTGCTGTGCAGCTGCCTTGGGGACTCAGCATTTGGAAGGATTCATGTCCCTCCCCACACCTGCATCCCAGCCCCCAGCGAGACCCATCAGCACTTCCCCTGCCACGTCTCCCAACCTGCTCTCCTCCTCCAATGCCTGCCT
The DNA here is from genome assembly GCF_000001405.40 of Homo sapiens. Classification (NCBI taxonomy): domain Eukaryota; kingdom Metazoa; phylum Chordata; class Mammalia; order Primates; family Hominidae; genus Homo; species Homo sapiens. The sequence goes on from NC_000013.11 coordinate 100,534,761, forward strand.
GCATCCCTGTTGTCTTTGTTCCCCTGGATCCTGCCCCCAGTGCACCACCCAGAGGGTCCTTGTCAATCTCCTGCTGCAGACTTAACTCTCCCACCTCATCTCCTGCACCCTCTCTCCCCTCATCCAGGTGGCTCCTGCCCCGACCAGCGCCTGACCTGGAGGGTGCAGGAGTAGTAGGCAGGGCCTACTCAGTCTGTCACATCACTCTGTCTGGTTGTCGTTATAGCACACGTGCTCTCTAAATCACTGGTCTTGTTTGTTGCTGGAACATGAAGGGCCAGAAGAGAACTTGGAAACTGTTTGGTCCAGCACCTGCAGGTGAGGAAGCCGAGTCCCAGGCTGGTGGCGATCTAGGACCAGCCAGCCGGGCAGGGCCGTAGTCACACTGCAGACCAGCTCTCCACTGCCAGGTGCCTGCCTGGCTTTCCCTGATGCAGTTTTTTAAAATGGCATGTGTCCAAAATGTCAATAGATTGCTTTGTAAGAAAAATGAAGTTTCCTACCCCTTTCCACTCCCTGGAGGCAACACTTTTAAGGCTTTTAACTGTTGTGTTCAGCATTTATCTCCATATTGTTACTTACGCTGCTACTTCTTGATGTCTTAAATCATATCTTGCCCTTCTACTCAAAAAGTGGGTGAGCATAGTGGTTCTAAAGCACAGACTTTAACTGTGTGACTTTAGGCAGATCATATAACCTCTCTGTGCCTCAGCTTCCTCAACTGTAAACTGAAGTCACAGTAGCAGCCTGCCTCAGAGACCGCGGTGGGTACCAACACACGTGGTCCTGTGTGATCTGCTGACATGTAGCGTGTGCCGCTGCTGTCATCACTGTAGAAGCCTGACCCTTGGCTCTCCTACCACATCCCGCCATCCTCCCAACAGACTCATCATAGTTTTGGGTCAGACCCAGATCTATTTCGGCATTAGAACCATGCAAACACGGCTCTTGGCTAAGACACAGAGCATACTATGATTACATTTCCTTTCTTGGACAACTTTATGTTTTCCTTGAAATTAAAAATTGCTTCAAGTTTGTTTTTTTTGTTTGTTTTGCATTTCGCTTAGTTTCTAGGATTGTAATTCAGCCTCGCAGTTTCTGAGAGCATGGCCAGAACCCGGGTCCTGACCATCCGCTGGAAGGTCCTCCCTGCCAGCTCTAGTCTGGGCTCTCTGTGTCGCTGCCATCCAGGCCACCCTCATTCCTGTCCCGTCCTCTGGCTGGGATGTTGGCCACATTTTGCTGAAGTGTATTCTCTCCCACTTTTGGTTAATAACATGGCTGCGTAGAGGATTCTAGAAATCATTTCCCTCAGAACTTTAAAGACATTTCTTCATTGTCTTCTAACTTTCCGAGTTCTTGCAGAGAAGTCAGTGTGCTGTGATCCAGGTCCCCTGTGTGTGTGACTCGAGCTCTTCCCTGGAGGCTCTTAAGGGCTTCCTTTTATCCCTCAGATTCTAGAATTTTCTGATGATGTAGACTCTGTTTTCATTGATTGTGCTGGAATTTTGATCTGAATGCTCCTTATCCTGGATCACGGGGGCATTTTCTTACCCCTCCTTCCTCTCTGTTCTCTTTCTGGCTCTCCCAATATTCCGGCAGTGGAGGTCCTGACTTCAGCCTCCAATGTTTTTATATTTTCTCCTTTCCTCCAGGTCTATATTATATTCTGCTTTATCTTGCATTTCTTCTATTAAAAATTTTTTTGCCATGATATTTATTTCCAATATATTTTTCTTGTTGTGTGTTTTTTTTTTCAACTTCTTGTTCATTCACAGGCTCAATATATATATATTTTTTAAGTTTTCTTCATTCCCTTCATTGCCTCCATTTCTCCTAACTCCCTCTTTTCTCTCTGTTTTGGTATCTGTGTTTCAAGAGATTTTCTTCACATGTGATCTTGGCTGGGAAAGCTGAGCCACTCTTTGGAAGTGAGGCTGAGCTGTCAGGTGGCAGGCCTCACACGGGACTCTGGGGAGCGGCGCTGGGAGCTCTGCACTTTCCCCCAATGCTTGTTTTCAGGGTGCCACCTCACCACCACTCAGCTAGGCCTGTGTCCCCAGCGGAGGTGTTCTTGTCAGGCTCTCCAGAAAGGAACCCGCCATCCTCTGCCAGGTGTGAGGGGAAGCAGTGGGGTCTCCCTGCACCTTGTGCACACTCCCAGCCTTTCCGTGTCTTGGCCTGTCCTTGCCTCTGTGGCCTGCGGTTCTGGACTCCTCCAGCGTTGCAGACACTGCTCAGCTGACTACTTGTCAGCCTCTCACTGTGCAGGAGCTTAAGTTTTGGGTGTCTCTAGGTTAAGTCTGCTGTCACTCACTTCTGTTTTCCGTCTTCCAGAAGCGTGTCGCCCGCTTTCCTCCACTGTCCTTGTGGGTCGTTTGAGTAGCATTAGGAGGAAGCTGGACACAGGGCCTGTCCTCCCTGTCTTCTCCCTTGCTGCACCGCCAGCCCTAGCCCCTTCCTCTGAGAGACTTGATGTGAGCCAGAAAGGAAGCGACAAGACAGAAACTGCTTGCTTAGAAGGATGGCAAGGAGGTTTTCTTCAGGTACAGGAGACTCAAGGGTATGTCAGGTCCCCGTGAAGAAGCCAGGAAAGTAGCAATTGTGGCACCAGAGTGAGGGCTGGGTAGAGGGGATGGCTGGTGATAGCTGAAGGAGCCAGGCAGCGGGGAGGCAGAGAAAGAACTTGCTCTTCCTGCTGCTGAGACGAGAGAAAGGAAAGACGAGGCAGCACTTGCAGGAAAAGGAAAGCCTAAATGCAGCCATGCAGGGAACAACGCAGCCATGCAGGGATGCCCTGTGCTAAGTGCTGGGCATGCAATGAGACTCCATGAAGCCACAGTGTCATTGAGGGGAGACAGAAGACACACTTGTCAAAGGGCGCCTCGCGGGAGACAGCTGCACAGCACAGGCACTCTCCCTCAGAAACCGCTCCTTCAGTAAGAGGTGGTGGCACCATCCACTCGGGCAGGGAGACTGCCGCCAGGCTGAGAACTTGCAAAATGGAAAGAAGTGAGAACAGTCCTATGGAAGCAGCACAGACTTTGGAACAGAGTTGTAAGATGCCAGGACAGAGCAGGTACTCAGCACGCAATGGTCATTGTTTTCACTATTCCGGGGATTCAACTGCAAAGGAAGAAAAATATTTCATCCAAGAGTGGACAAGCAGGCTTAGGACAGAGGTAAGAGGAGAAGAGAGTTGGAGGATAGTGTTTCTGAAGAAGGCTAATTCCCAGGGAGGACTTCTGGGACCTTGCTTACCGACGACCGAGGTTCACCTGGGTGTACTGGGCCCCGCACTAAGTAGCCTGTGTAATCTCAGTTTATTTAATGCTCTCAACTCTGTAAAGTAGGTGGTATTACCTTCATTTAACAGATGAAGAAACTAAGATGAGGGCTCTGGCCCGAAGCTGGTGAGAGGCAGCAGCAGGAACTGAGCCTGGGCCTGCTGGACTCCAAAAGCCTCTCTGGCTCTGTCACTTGCACTGACCCCAAGGCCCAAGGGAGGTGACCCTGTCAAGTATGGTGGAGGACTCAGGCTCTGCAATGGCAGAGATGGTTTGCAAAGCACCCTACACTTCCCTATGCTTTTTGTTCCCTACTTGTTTTAAATTTTATCTGATAAACCAAATCCTTCTCTGTATTTCCTGTTTTTTAATTTGTGGAGTTTTAAAAATTGTGATAAAATACACATAACATAAAATTTATCATAACTATTTTCAAGTGTTCAGTTCAGTAGTGTTAAGTATATTTGAGTTGTGAAAAAGGTCTCCAGAACCTTTTCATCTTGCAAAACTGAAACTTTGTACCCATTAAACAATAACCACGGAAAGCAAAACCACAGATAAGGAGGAATTCCTGTTCTATGCTATTTTGATTACAGTAACTTTATGATAAGTTTTGAAGTCAGGAAGTATGAGACCTCCAACATTGTTCTTTTCCAAGATCACATTGTCTATTTAAGGTCCTTTGATATTTCCATATACATTTTTGGATTGGGTTTTCCTCTTTCTGCATTAAAGGACTGCATTAATCTGTAGATCACTTTAGGAAATATTGACATCTGAACAATATTGTCTTCCAATCCATGAACATGGGATGTCTTTCCATTTATTTATGTCCTCTTTAATTGCTTTCAGCAATGTGTTGTACTTTTCAGTGTACACATCTTGCCTGCTTGGTTAAGTTTATTCCTAAGTATTTTATTCTTTTTGATGCTATCATAAATGGAATAGTTTGTCTTTTCAGATTGCTTATTGTTAGTGTATAAAAATGCAATAATTATTTGTGTGAATTTTGTCTCCTGCAACTTCACTGAATTTGCTTATTAGTTCTAAAAGTTTTAAGGTGAAATGTTTACATTTTCTATACAGGACCATATTGTTTACAAATAGAGTTAATTTTACTTCTTACCTCTGACTTGGATGCCTTTTAAATTTCTTTTTCTTGCCTGATTGCTCCAGCTAGGACTCCCAGAACTATGTTCAACAGAACTGATGAAAGCAGCATCCTTTTCTTGTTCCTGATCTCAGAAGAAAAGCTTTCATTCTGGCATCACTGAGTATCATGTTAGCTGTGGGCTTTTCATATACTGCCTTTATGATGTTGAGGTAATTTCCTTCTGTTCCTTTGTTGACTGTTTTTAAATCATGAAGTTGTGTTGAATCTTGTCAAATGCTTTTTCTGTATCAATTGAAGTGATTGTGTGTTTTTTCCTTCATTCTGTTAATGTAGTGTATTACATTGATTGATTTTCTTATATTGAAACATCCTTGCATTCCAGGAATAAATCCCACTTGGCCATTGCATATAATCCTTTTAATGTGTTGTTGAATTCTGTTTGCTAGTGTGTTGTTTAGGATTTTGGCATCGATCTTCATCAAGAATATTAGTCTGTAGTTTTCTTTCTTGGAGTGTCTTTGGCCTTAGTATCAGGGTGATGCTCAACACTGAAATGTTCCTTCTTCTTCATTCTTTAGAAGAGTTTCAGGAGGACTGGTGTGAATTCTGTAAATGTTTGGTAGAATTTACCAGTGAAGCCATCTGGTCCTGGGCTTTTTTTTTTTTTTTTTTAAGTACAATTTCCATTTTATTTTTCTCCAGAGAATAGCCTGTCTTCAGTCTTTAAGAACTCAGCTCCTTACATGGGCTTTGGTGGGGGACGTGGGGCAGCACCCGCAGGTCTAAATCGAGGTGGGGGTGTTCGGTCCTTGCGGGCTTCACGAGATCGATTCCTGACTACTTTGCTGTGAATTGCACAACTCACACAGTAATGTAGCTTCACATACAGCTTGGGAAGCACATAGGCATCGAAGACGCTCGCTTCAGAAATGTCCCTGACTGCTGCGGCCTCCACTATGTTTCGAATGACGAATTTCTTAATGGCGTTGTCCTTGGGCACGCATCGGGCACAGTTAGTGCAGCGAATAGGCTGCACGTGGCCGCGGCCCTTTTTGGCACGACCATTGTTCCTTCTTTTCTTTGTCATCTTGGAGGCACGGACCGGAGAGAGAGTGGGCTTTTCTTTTGGGGGAGATTTTTGACTGCTGCTTCAGTCTCTTTACTAGTTGTAGGTCTGTTCAGTCTCAGTAGGTTGTGTCTTTCTAGGAATTTGTCCATTTCATCTAGGTTAGACAATTTGTTGGCATAATTGTTCATAATATTCTCTTGGCCTTTTTATTTCTGCAAGATGTGTTGTTCTGTAGGACGTGATGTTTTCTCGTCCATTTCTGGTTTTAGTTATTTAGATCTTTTCTCTCTTTTTATTTAAGTTAAAGGTCTGTCAATTTTGTTAGTCTTCTCAAACAGCCAACTCTTGGTTTAACTGATTTTCTCTGTTGTTTAAAATTCTCTTTTTGTTTATCTCTGCTCTAATCATTACTGTTCCTTTCCTTCTGCTAGCTTTGGGTTTTGTTTGTTGTTTTTTGAGCTTCTTATCTCCTTGTACTCTTGTTCCTTGTCTCTCATGTTCAGCCCATCTCCAAGGGCTGCTGTGAGGATCACAACCAACAGGACACATGAAAAGTCTATAACACTGGCCAGATGCCTCTCAGAACCGCAGCAGAATGTGCCTGTGATTCATTCTGGCTGAGAAAATGTCGGGCTCCTCTTTGGGTGCACCAGGCCCCTGGGCCGGGCTGGGAGGGGTGACACTGCCACTGCAGAAGGGGATGCCACCTTCTGAGAGCCACATGTTACTGTGTCTTCAACCCTGCCCCCTCTCACCATGCTAGTTTTTTGTTTGTTTGTTTGTTTTTCCATGGCACAGGGTTAGAGTCAGGGTCTCAGATAAAATGTAAGGGCTTGGTTTAATGAGTAATGGTAAGAAACGGCTGTAGGCAAGCCATCTGAGTTTTTCCAGATTAAAACAAGTATTTCTCTTGGTCTCTACCTTAATGTGAAGTAATTGCCCCCAAGTCAGCCCTGCTGCATCAGACACAGTGTGAGCCCAGCCCTTGCAGGGCCAGCATCAGGAAAGGCAACCTCAGAATTCTGTAGATGGGCATTTAGGGACAGAGTGCAGGGCAAGTATCAAACAATCCACTGTGCCATAACAGGCCTGACTTGAGTTCCTGCCTCCATCCCTGAGCACCTGTGGGACTTTGGGCAAGTGATTTCAAGTTCTTGAGCTTCCATTTCCTCCTATTTACCCCAAAGAGTTACCCTCCACTGACTGCCGACTGTGCAGGCATGAGCACCTGATGAATGTGAATTCCCTCTTCCCCTTGGCCCTTCCTTATCCCTGCTCCCTCCTCAGGTCTCCACTTAACTCCATCCTTTATCAACATCTTCTAGAAATATCTACTAGCTATAGTCTTCTCAAAAATAAAAATGAACACATTATAAGTGGGAGAGGGCATCAGGCATATCGAGTAGTGGTTGTGGCCTTAATGATTTTCCAAAACCAAGAAAAATGCTTGGGAGGGTGATATTACGTAGAAATGAAGGTGATTAGGCCACAGAAGGTTAATTCCAACTCTGGAAAATCAGTTCAGTAATTGTCTTCTGCAGAAGATGATAGCTTATTTCTGTAAAATAAAACCAGGCAATAAAAGTTAACCTTCATTTCTAGGAAATAATCCAGCCTGCTAGAATGACCAACTAAAATTTTCTACATTTTATGTATTGAGTTCAATAGCATCCTTCATAACATAAAGTTAGTTTGAGAACACTACTTATGCAATAGAAAAGAAAATAGCCTGCATTTCTGGCTTCTGTCATAAGAAAAACTTCATTACCTTTCTGATTGTGTTTTGAACAACACACACAGATCCTAACAGGAAGAAACTTGTCCCCATGGGGACTGAGCCAGGATCAGAGTTAAGCACTGAAACAAGCAATTAATTCCCCTTAGAGGATTAAGGCACTCAGGTTCACTTTGAATCAGAAAAGCGAATCAAGAATAAAATGGTGTACAACCAAGAGGCTGCCAGTCCAACTTACTAAGTTAGAGAACTGAAGAGCAACCCCGGGTGCACAGGAGAAGCAGAGCAGCCGCTGACCCCCCCAGCAAGAAGACGGGTAGGGTTTGTTTCATGGGACAAGATCGTCCTTCATGACGCTGTGGAAACGTTGGGGAGAGCACGGTTTGTGCCCTAGGACGCTGGCCTTACTCTTAACAGATCCAGTCCACGAAAGTAAATCTAAAAAGCGTGTTCCAGCCTGCCACGCTGTCATCCCTCGTGCACGGATTTCCTCATAGCATCTTACTGTTAATACACAGAATCAAAGAATGACATGCATGAGACCTTAACATCAGTTTGGAGAATTTTACTTTGGGTTCCTAGAGCCAATTCTGAGGGCACTGAACATCTCTGCAGATGTCGTTCCCTGATGCTGATGTGTTAAGGATAAGGGCGGCCTGCTGCTGTGGTCAGGATTCAGGCATCCTCCACTCTGGAAATCCAAGAGGCCAAAGCTGAACCTCTGTCCCAAAGCTAACTGGTCCGGACAATAGCGGCATCCAGGGGACAGCATGGAGGTGGAACAGGCTCAGAGAGTCTCCAAAAGCTTTAGATCAGCAAAATCTGGTTTCCCATTGCCAATATTTGAGAAAATAAGAAGACTCATGAGCTGTCCATCTGGTCGGGCGCTGCCTGAAATGCCTGTCACTTATTCAGCAGTTCTCCTTCTTGAAACGCAGTCCGTCTATAGTTTCATATTTCACCACTGAAGCAGAACTTGAAAGTGATTACGAGTCCTTTGCATAACTGTTAGATTTTTTTCTTGATTTCTTTTTTCTTAGCCACCTGGTGGCAAGAGTGTAAAAGGCAGGATTTAAGAGTTTATGATGATAGTTTACAAATCACAACCACTTCATATGCCTGGTACACGTTTAAAAGCATGCATACGCAGACCAGGTGAACCGAACAAGGAAAGGGCTAGTGTTTAACTCTTCTTAAACTAATTTACAAAAGGATTTTAAAAAGACACCAGCTTTTTTTTTTTTTTTTTTTTTTTTTTTTGAGACGGAGTGTCGCTCTGTCACCCAGGCTGGAGTGCAGTGGCGCGATCTCGGCTCACTGCAACCTCCGCCTCCCAGGTTCAAGCAGTTCTCCTGCCTCAGCCTCCTGAGTAGCTGGGACTATAGGTGCCCACCACCACGCCTGGCTAATTTTTGTATTTTTAGTAGAGATGGGGTTTCACCATATTGGCCAGGCTGGTCTCAAACTCTTGACCTTGTGATCCGCCCACCTCGGCCTCCCAAAGTGCTAGATTGCAGGCATGAGCCAGCACGCCTGGCCAACACCAGCTTCTAACATAAAAACCACCTTTATAAATGGTGCCTCAAGAAAATATTCATCTTTATATGAAAATTTCATGACAGGAGGAAATGTTAGTAAAATCTGTATGTCATCATGTCAAAGCATCTGTTTTCTCCACATGATATATCAAGCCAGTAACAATGCATACTGCCAGTTGGCAAGTTAAGACTTTGTTAGAAAAAAGTAAAATGATTTAGACTTGGGTAGCATGAAGCTCAGGCCCCTGCCAGAGGGGCTCTGCCACTGGCCAGGGAGAAATAGTATCAGAATCATAAACTCCTGGTCCAGAAGGTGGCATGGCAAAGAGCTTATCTCTATCTTTACATTTGCTGCATTAATTTGCTTTTGTCATTCAATACCTCGTGTCAAAATTGGCCCCAGCAGATCCTGGGCCCACCAGACTCACGAAGGGCATGGTGATCACGGCTGTACACTGGTTTCAAGGACACCAACTGCTGCTCTAGTCCTTCTGTGACCACCAGCAGCCCCACACTGTGCCAGCCCTGAGCAAACGCAGCCATTCTACATGGTGGAGATGGAGTAAGAGTCACATGCGATGTTGTGCACGTTTCCCCTAGAGAGGGTTTTTCTTACTTTATGGAAACCTTCTTGTGTCTCATCAAGTAGCCACTTCCCCTCCCTCCCCCACTGTAACATTATTTTCCCTGGAGAAAACGCCGAGTGTCTGATATAGTTACACATTAATTCTTCAGAAGTTTCTTAGAACTGTAGGAAACAGGTGAAAAAACAAAATGCCTTGAACTTTCAACCTGTGCCTGGCCTGTGTGCGCGAGGCGGGCCCTAAGGTCACTCTTCCCCGCGCGGCTCGGGGCAACGTGCCAGGGAGGGCTCGGGCCGCATCCTGTTGGCTCTTTGATGCTTTCGTTTTGTCGCTTGCTAGTTTCTTTACAGCAAAGGCAAGGGCTTCCTGCTAAGGCAGACCCCTCACCAGCCCCACTGCATACCCCGGAAAAGTCCCTGGCAAAACACCTTTCTTCCATTATCTGCACCGGCCCCGGTAAAACGCTGGCGCCTTTGAAATCAGAGGCCAGGGTCTCCTCTTCACAGTTCGCTCAAGACACTGAACACTTACGGGTCTGTGAAATCAAACGGACACTTGGTCCCTGATGCCACCCCAGGCCTCCTGAATGCTCCTCAGCAACCATCCCTTGAGTTTTTACTCTTTGGCCATGCCAAATATAAATAACGATTTTTTTCATGCCATATCACTTTAAAGGCAATTGTGTTGCCACCTTTAAAATGTTCAGTGACCAACAACGCAGACATGACCATCCCCTGCATCCCCATGTCTGCTTCAAGTATGGAAAGGAATCACTGGAAAATCCCAAGATGCCAGGCCAGGGAACGAGCTCTATGCAAACAGGCAGGATGGAGAACCGGCCAGGGCCATGGCCCCAAATTCCAGGCACGGCAGCAGGAGCGGAGGTGCTGCCAGCCCCTGCTGCCTCCTGGTGTGACACTCAGAAGGCGCAGCGGAGGCGGCAGCAGGAGGCAGAGCCAGGAACACATGCTGGGCAGGCGGCCAGCGGCCCAACACTGGAGATGCCGTCAACCTCGTCACACAGGGCCAACCTGCAGGCACGGCCTCAGGAACCTGGCTCCACTTGCCGGACCTACCTGTGGCTCACGGGGGATCAACGCCACCCCCAAGGGAGAGCCCTGACTCCATGCCCACCCCATGCCAAGTGCTTTACTTACATTCTTCACCTGGTGCTCCAAACCACATGGTGAGGCCGCTTCACTCCCAGCTTCTCCCCCCTTTTGCAGATGGGGAAGCTGGGGCAGAGGTGAAGTGACTCACACACAAGGCGACCCAGGCAAGGGCAGCAGAGCCTTCACGTCCCTTCCTGACCTCCTTCCTGACCTCCACGTCCCAGGGCCCCTGGAGGAGGGCACCCCCTCACTGCCCCCAAGCACTCCAGGGCCCCAGGCAGCCAGTGGCCTGGGCTGCCCTCATACCAGGCTCCAGTCACATCTGCCGTGGCCTCCTGAATCTAGAAGGTGCCCTCAGGGTTTATTAAGCACACCCTGGGCTGCCTGCCTGCCTGGCATGTGCCATGGAACTGGCACTCAGAAGCTGCCACTATCCTGAAATTCCCGATTTTGTCTTTGTATTTTGTAAGCAAAGCGAAGCCTGCTGGAATAACACAGCACTCCTGTGAGTGGAGAGCCCAGGAGTGTGGGATCGTGGTAGACCCAGGGTGTGGGGCTTTCTGGCATTAGGGTGAAGCTTGGGTGAGCTGCTGCACTTCCCATTGCAAGCAGAACCTGTTCCCCCTACAGAAGGAAGTAAGGGTTCGGAGAATTCAGACACCAAAGGCCCCATCATGTCCCTTCCTACACATGCGTCAGCCAACCACATACTCGGAAAATGACACAGAAAGCCAGGGCAACCTGCTGGGCCACCCAGAGTGCCTTTCCCCCTCTTTTCCTCCATCATCAGTAGGTGAAGGCAGACAGTGTTGATAGAATATGTGCACCTCAAGAGGTGAAAAACAGCTCAGTTAACTTTCTGATAAGAATGAAATAGATGGCCGGGCACAGTGGCTCACGCCTGTAATGCCAGCACTTTGGGAGGCCGAGGCGGGTGGATCACGAGGACAGGAGATCGAGACTATCCTAGCTAACATGGTGAAACCGCATCTCTACTAAAAATACAAAAAAAATTAGCCGGGCATGGTGGCGGGCGCCTATAGTCCCAGCTACTCGGGAGGCTGAGGCAGGGGAATGGCGTGAACCCGGTAGGCGGAGCTTGCAGTAAGCCGAGATGGCGCCACTGCACTCCAGCCTGGGCGACAGGGCAAGACTCTGTCTCAAAAAAAAAAAAAAAAAAAAAAAGAAATACGCATGTGTAAGTTATGAAAACTGTCATTTCTGTGATTCCACGAGTTAAATGCACTGAAACTTAAAACTGATATTGTACAACATAAACATAAAGATGAATGAAAAACTCCATGCTGAGAATTTTGTAATAAGGAAATAGACTGGGTGCGGTGGCTCATGCCTGTAATCCCAGCATTTTGGGAGGCTGAGGTGGGGGGATCGCTTGAGCCCAGGAAGTCAAGGCCACAATAAGCCATGATCTCACCACTGCAGCATGGGCCTCAGAGTGAGACCCTGTCTCTGAATAAATAATAACAAATATGGAATATGTAATAAAATAATGTTTAGTTTTTAACAACTAAAACCCTCCATGCCAAGTTGCGAGGCTGAGCTGCGAGTCAGCAGAGGAAAGGGCTGCCGCCTCTTCTAGGTCTCTCGACTGCACCTTTTCTTGCTTTTCGAGCAAGGGAGTCGCATGGCCCATCCTCATGCCTCTAAACCACAGCTCCTCGAGGGCGAGGTCTCGCCTTCTCTTCCTTTCACCCCCCTACGTCATCTGGCACGGCCCGGCGCATGCAGTAGGCACTTCATAAATACTGCAGGAAGCCAAGGGGCCATCCCACTCAGCCCAGATTCCCAAAGAGGCACGATGGGCCTTCAGGCTGTTGGGAATCCTTCAAGTTCTCCTTGTCTCTCAAACCCTACAGGTTCAAACATAGCCCTGGGGGCACATTCATAGGCCCTGGATTCAGTGCCGGCTCTGCCACCTCTTCCTTCCCACAAGACAACCAGGTCTCCAGACCCTCAGACCAGGCCCGGGAGCAGGGCAGAAGCAGGACGTGCAGAGTAGCCAGGCGGGATGTAATCAGCCCCCATCACAGCCACTGACAATGAACCTGCAAAACTCACCTCCCGGGACAGCACCCAGACCAGAGGGGGTGGGGTACTTGCTGCCGCAGACACAGGGCCCTCTGGGGAGATGGAAATGCTCCTTATACTGATTGGGCAGCGGTTCCATGGGGGATACATTTGTCAAAATCATTGACCTATCTGTGCACTTAATCTGTGGATTTTGTTGTATGTAAATTATACCTCAAAAAAGGTAATCTAAAAACAAGACTGAATGAGCTCACGGGAGGCAGGCAGGCCCCGCGCAGGCCTGGTCTGCGCTTACTGTCACTCGTGTGCGTTCTTGTCGGAGCTCAGCAGGCTTCATAGCCCCGAATCAGAAGCTGAAGCTCCTCATCTTTTCTTTAGGGTTTCCACAAGTACCCAAGTCTGTCCAAAGCATTTCTACAGATTTGTGCTGGCTTCCCTTACACTCACTTGCTTTCTGGAGACATTCAATAAAACAGGACAAGAACGAGACATCTCTTGGCAGCAGGGTCAAGGTCGAGCAGGCCCAGAGGCATGAGATGGCCGTAATCCCTGCAGGCCTGGGCACTGGGGTGGAGACCAGGGCCTTCTCTGCCCACCCAGGCCCCATGCACACCAGCTGTTGACTAAGCAGTGAGTTCCCACGAAGAAACACAGCAAACGGTTTGCCTTTTAGAGTATTTTTCCAGGCCTGCTGGAAGACGGTGCAGCAATCACACGCTGGCAGTTGCTCAAAATATGTTTATTCTGCCTGGGGCAGCAAAACCCCGGGCAGCCGGGAAAAGCCAAGAATCTGTGGCTTGTCCCAGCCCGCTCTCCACTTGTTAAATAGGACACCCAGGTCTGGCTGATGGCAGGCAACTTCTCGTCTACCTTGTGTGCTCCCAAAGGTCTGGATTGTTTCAACTCCGGCAGAAGGCAAGGGAGGCCTGGGAATGCCACCTGTGCCTTTCTGCTGTTCATTTTTCTAGAGCATGGCTGCTTTTCATTTGGAACCTTTGGGCTAGAAATACTTTGAGTTTGAAACAGGAATAAAATATATATTAGTGTTTTGTTTTTTAGAAACATCTTAAGGTTGTATTGATGAACATAGTTTTATATTACTGTTTTGCCTTCTTAAGTGAGAAATAGAGAATCCAACTTTAAGTTAGAAGAAGCACAAAACAATTACAAAATATCACAGTCATTCTCTTCTCTAGGTGGTTTGCTGACAGAATATTCTAGAAGGATGAGAATATGTAAGAATAGGAAGTTAAACCTACTTAAAAGTGAAGAAATACAAATTAAAGATACAGGTGAGGCCCCTGGCGAGGCTTGGGCCAGCGCGCCCTGTATTTAGCAGCTTAGCCATCTGGTTGCTTTGGGAGGATCAAGTCCCCTGGAGAGGGACTGCACACAGTGGGTACAAAAATAGTGAGATCCCCATAAACAGGAACAATTATCTTGTGCCCTTAAAGTTTAAAATTAAAAAAATGTAAGAACCGAGAGCTGATAAACAGAGGTCAAAGCCACACTCCTGTCAAACATCTGGGAAGAGGCCTTCCTGGCCCAGGCCAAGCAAGGCAAAGCCACAACAGGGTGGGATAGACTGCAGGCACATCCAGGGGACACAGGGTCCACAGGAGAGCCAACCAGGGAGGCCACCACCCAACATTGTGGAGCAGAATAAATGCATCAGCATGAATTAGTCAAAGTATTTCAGAGAATACTTTCAAAGATAACCACCAAATACAACTGCAAGATGTCAAATTTAAAATCCCTAGGAATGCCACCTCCACTACGCGTGGAGGCTGAGCGCAGCTTAGAAACCACCACCCATGGACCAGGAGCAAGGGCTCGCGGCTGTAATCCTAGCACTTTGGCAGGCTGAGGCGGGTGGTTCACCTGAGGTCAGGAGTTCGAGACCAGCCAAACATGGTGAAGCCCTGTCTCTACTAAAAACAAAATTAGCCAGATGTGGTGGGTGCCTGTAATCCTAGCTACACCAGGAGGCTGAGGCAGGAAGATCACTTGAACCTGGGAGGCGGAGGTTGCAGTGAGCCGAGATTGTGCCATTGCACTCCAGCCTGGGCAACGAGTGAAACTCCGTCTCAATAAATAAATAAATCAACAGCCACCCATGTGGCCCTACCTGCTCGTCTGTCCACTTCAAACCAGCACAGCGCCATTCTAATCCAGGGCTCGCTGCTGGTTGGCACTGCCAGGCAGGGCCCTATATCCCACTGCCCAGAAACATGAAATCAGGAGCTAAAAGGAACCCAACTGGCCATTGAAAACTGGGCAACAAGTTGTATCATAGCTAGCTGGTCTCTTGTGCCAGCGGCAGGGAGCTGGGTCAGGGCCCAGCCAGACTCCGCCTCCAGTGGGCTCTGTAAGGCAGGACTCGTTTTGGTAGTAATAACAGGTTTGCCTTCAGCATCACCTTTCGCTAAGAATATTATTAAAACCAGTTTAAACCCTCCAAAAAGATGCTAACTACCTGGAGATCATATAGCCAGAGGTGGCAGATAAAAGAAAGGAAAGCAACTCTAGAAAAGTCCATTGCTTACGTCAGTGCACCCAAGGAGATGAGACCTCATCCCCAACACACATGAGCACATACACACAATGCCATTTTCACACATTTGAAAAAAATAAACATTTTTAAAGATAAAAGCATAGAATTCAAAATTAAGCCTGATTAAGTTTTTTTGTATAAATTATCTTGTTCCCAAAGCATTCAAATCCTTTCAGTGCTTGTATAATTACCCCAAGTTAAATTCAATTAAAATGGCTGAGAGCGAAGTTAAGACTCAACTACAAGGAAGAAGGGAGCGGGGAAGGCAATTCGGCATGTGTCCCTGAGCGAGCTTCTACAGCCCCTGCACAGAGTGGGTCCATCTGCCACATTCCTGTGAGTCCTGAACGTGAACGCACGGCCGGCCACTGTGTGCTGGCCGGACAGCCTGAATTCTGAGGCCAAAACTTCCAGAAAAAGGCATTGAGCTGGAGGGACTGGCCCTTCTAAGGAAACTGGATGCGCTGAATGAATTAAATCCGAGCCGATTATACTCTACACACACACACACACACACACACACACACACACACACACACACACACACACACACCACTGGCCCTTCTAAGGAAACTGGATGCGCTGAATGAATTAAATCCGAGCCGATTATACTCTACACACACACACACACACACACACACACACACACACACACACCACTTTTAAAAGCACCATTATAGCCAGAAACCGCCGACAAAAGCCAGGCCAGGCTGCAGCCAAACACGCCAGTGTTTGGGTTTACAACTCCTTGGCCTCCCCAGTGTTGGGGGTGGAACCCAGGACCCTAGACATTATTTAAAAGCACATTTGGGTATATACTTGGCTTTTGAAAAAGCACTTAAAGGCCCACGCACAGGCCACTCCCGAGACAGTGGAATGCCCCGAGAGAACGTGCAAAGCCCCAGCTGTTGCTGTGTGGTTATTAGGGAGAGAGGCGGCTCCTCCCACTGAGGCGCTTTCTCCAATCCACTCGCTTCAGAAACAGCAGAACAGCCGCTTTGTTTTTCATTATGGAGTTGTTGTTTTTTCTCCCCAAATTTACAGTGTTCTTTCAGTCATGAAGTTAAAATCATGTTTACTCAGCCATTTTCTGAATTGAACAGCTCACACATGTGAGGCATTTAACTTTTTTGGGAGGAGTATATAAAAGTTTTATCATTTCTCTCATCCAAAACTACTTTCTTAATTAAAAAACAACAAGGCCGGGCGCGGTGGCTCATGCCTGTAATTCCAGCACTTTGGGAGGCCGAGGCGGGTGGATCATGAGATCAGGAGATTGAGATCATCCTGGCTAACATAGTGAAACCCCATCTCTACTAAAAGTACAAAAAATTAGCCGGGTGTGGTGGCGGGCGCCTGTGGTCCCAGCTACTCGGGAGGCTGAGGCAGGAGAATGGCATGAATCCGGGAGGTGGAGCTTGCAGTGAGCCGAGATCACGCCACTGCACTCCAGCCTGGGCGACAGAGCGAGACTCTGTCTCAAAAAAAAAACAAAAACCCATAATGTATATATACACAGACAGGATAAAACCAAGGATGTTCTCCTCTCTGCCCCTAAGCTGTCCAAGCCAAGAAAACCTTTTCCCCAGGGAGGGACCAGCGCCCGTGGCAAGGTGAGGAGGCCACTAGCCTCTTCCCACCTGCCAGAACTGGTATTAACAGACTTCCCCTCGGCTCCCAGGAACTTCCCAGAAAAGAAGGAAAAAGGGATTTCTCCTGGGGGCCATGCTTCAGTAACCACAAAATAGCTAAGGGGTAGCTAAACTCCTAGTTGAAGCACCTTAAAAGTGTTCAACCCTTTATTGGCCCTTTGAGTGGGTCCCCTAAAATCCAGGACCCCCAGGCTGTGCTGTCCAGGGGGCACCTGTGCCCAGGCAGAGAAGGGCTGAGGAACGGGGCACAGCTGCCCAAAGAAGGTGCTCCCATCCCTTCGATGTACAGGGTTTTTCTTTAAAATTCATGCAAATTTGGCGTTGTTTTAATATAACAATGATTATACTTATTTTCAGGTTAAGGAATTTCTCTCCCTTCCCTTTGCCCCCATCTAAAGGCAATTCCCTAGGGAGCAGGTCTCTGTCTCTCAGAGGGGGCAAGACCAGTACAAAGAGGTAGGCTATACCTCCTCCCCTGGCCTAGCACCCCAGAAGGAAAGGAGGTGCTGCCTGGCTGGGGTAGCTCCCTGTGGGCACACTCCCTCCAGACCATGCTGGCTCTACAGCCACCCGCACCTGAGGGGCCCTTGACCCTTCTCCCAGCCATGTGCAGGGCAAGCTTTGAGTGTGGTCCAGGCCAGATCTCTCAGGAAGGCAAAGCCTGGTGGAAACTTGCCCTGTGAATTTCTAATTTCCCCAGGAGAGAAGAAGAAAATTCAATGGATGGGGGCTGTCAGGGGCTCTCCAGGAACTGATTTTGTTCTCTCCTGGGGAAATGAGGAATTCACAAACTGGGCCTCCAACAGCCCCGTGACGAGGCAGGTGTTACTGTCCCATCCCACACATGGGAAACTGAGGCTCAGAAGAGTTATTTAACTGACACAGCAAAGCTGTTATGGGCTGGATTTAAGCCAGGGATTGATCCAAAATCTACACGCCACCCCCCAACATACTCTGTGGTCAACTAGGAGAAACAGACGGGGAAGTTCTCTGTTGAAGAAGAGACTGAAGCTCTAGCTGGTTCTCCCAGCAAACACAACCATTCTGAGATGTCAAGACGGTGACCTGTCGTGAGCCTTGTTATCAATCCCCACCTATTGTTCCTGTGCAAGGGGCTGTGCTTTGAGTCCTTTTCTTTCCAACTTTAAAAACCAAAGCTAGATGTAAAGGTTTTCTAAGGCCAGGAGTGCCTGCCAGCCACTTAATGTTTCTGTTAAGATCATCTGCCCAGTGCTCAGGACGTCCAGGCTGGCTGACAGGCCATTCATTCATTCACTCATTCAGGAGGTACTGAGCATCTAGGACGGGCCAGGCATCCAAAGACAGAAAAAGCAACAGTCCTTGTTCGTAAAAAGCTGCAGCCTGGTGGGGTGGCAGAGATGCTGAGTGCTGCTGATGAGAGGACACTCTAGAGTGGGGACAATGAGTCCCGCATCAGGACCAGGTGTCAAGTGTCCTGCAGGAGAGGGCGACCCAGGCAAGCAGTAGAGCCTCTGGGGATACCCAGGAGCAGGCAGGCCAGGTGGCGGGTGGCTGGGGAGGGGAGGGGGACCTGAGCAGAGGGGACGGTGGGCTGTTGGGGGAACAGAAAGCATGCCAGCAGGCAGGGCGAGGCAGGGCCCGGGCCTCCAAGGGCCTTCCATGGTATCTTATGGAGTCAGATTTCGGCTTCTGTGTGATGAGAGCCGTTCGAGGGCACTACGCCTGGGAGGTGCATGGCAAGATCTGGGTTTTAAAATATTGTGCAGTGAATCCCCAGGGAAGACTGCGTGGCAGTTTTAGGAAAGCTGAGCCTGTGTGTCCCCAAGGACCGGCAATTCCACTCCCAGGCAGATGCAGGCAAAAATGTGAATGCAGGTTCACCAAAATGGCAAGAATGGGAATGTGCTGGTCAGCACCAGGTGTCATATCCCCAAAGCAGACACAACTGAAATGTCCACCAACAGTCAAATGGGCCAGTCAACTGTGGTATACCTGGGATACTCTATGGCAACAAGAATGAATAGGGGCAGCAACACGATGGCATTCACCATGAGCAGCACCACCTGAGAGCGGCCAGACAAGGGCACACACTGCAGGACAAGTTTACCTGAAGGTAAAGAAGTAGCAGGCCGGGCATGGTGGCTCACGCCTGTAATCCTGGCACTTTGGGAGGCTTAGCCAGCTGGATCATGAGGTCAGGAGTTCGGGACCAGCCTGGCCAATAATGTGAAAGCTCATCTCTACTAAAAATACAAAAATTAGCTAGGCGTGGTGGTGTGCACCTGTAGTCCCAGCTACTTGGGAAGTTGAGGCAGAAGAATCGCTTGCACCAGTGAAGCAGAGGTTGCAGTGAGCCAAGATCGCGCCACTGCACTCCAGCGGGGGTGACGAAGCGAGACTCCATCTCAAAAAAAAAAAAAAAAAGGTAGTAACAGCCAAAATGAACCTCTGTGCCAGGGGCCAGGTACACAGTGTGTCCACAGGAATCTTGCACTCTTCTAACGTATGGTATACTTTCATAAAATGTACACTAAGCCTTAAAAACAAAGATTAACAGTAGAGGACAGATTTTTCAAGGGCCAGAGCTACACAAAGGAAACACAATGAACAAAGATACATAATTAATTACTACATATAGTTAGTACTACACATAATTAAGTGGAATTCAGAGGTGATGGAGATCAAAGGCTTCATGGACATTGCCTGGCCTGAACTGGACACAGAAACCAGATATTTCCCAGGTCTTGAGATGGACAGTTGCCCACCCTTCCTTTATGTTCCCCCAGGGGATGAAAGCCAAGGTACATTTCTCAGGGGTTCAGAAAGTTCCAAGTCATCATTTAGTCCTCTCAGATTGAAAAAACTCCTATTGCAGAAAAGTTAAATGATACCAACTAGAAGCAGACAGATCCAGAATGTGAGGCATTTTAGGGGAGAAATGATTATAAGACAGTTTATTGCATTAGAAAAAGTGAGGGTGATTTCCCTTACATTAACGATTTCAGGTACAGCCATGGGTAAATGTACAGACCTTGTTTGGATTCTGATTTGAAGATATGACCTATACACAATGACATTTTTGAGACACTTAGGAAAATCTTACAGGTAAATCTAGGTAATAAGAGTCTACCAAGGAATCACGATTAATATTTTAAGGTATGGTAATGGCATTGTGGTCCTGTAAGAAAATATCCTTATTTTTTCAGAGACGCATATGGAAGTATCTAGCATTTGAAAATATCACGTCTGGAACATACTTTAAAATATGTCAGCATATCAAAGAAAAGAGGGAATTGATAAGGCATGTGTGCAAAGGCTCGATAGTTATTGAAACTGGGTGATGGATATATGAGAATCATTGTACTGCTCTATTACTTTTATAGGTAAACGAGAGAGAGAGAAAAGAAATCATCAGTATAAGAAATCAAGGAGGGAACATCACTATAAAACAAACGTTAAAAGGATAATAAGGGAACATAATGAACAACATTATACCAATAAATTCTACAACTTAACTGAAATGGAAAAATTCCTCAAAAGGTCTCAAGTATCAAAGCTCACTCAAGAAGAAGTAGATAACCTGCAAAGCCCTGTATCTACTCACAGTTAAAAACCCTTGCCCAGAGGCAGATGGCTTCATTGGTGAAATCTATTGAACACTTAAGGAAGAAATAATACCAATGTTTTCCAATAAATACCAAACAATTTTCCAGAAAATCAAAGAGGGAGGAGCACTTCTCAACTCCTTTTATGAAGCCAGTAGTACCTGATACCAAATCAAAGACATTGGTAGAAAAGAAAATTACAGCCAGGCATGGTAACTCATGCCTGTAATCCCAGCACTTTGGGAGGCCAAAGCAGGTGGACTGCTGGAGTCCAGGAGTTTCAGACCAGCCTGGGCAACACAGCAAAACCCTGTCTGTACAAAAAATACAAAAAATTAGGTGGGCATGGTGGTGCATGCCTGTAGTCAGTCTCAGCTACTTGGGAGGCTGAGGTGGTAGGATCACCTGAGCCCAGGAGGTCGAGGCTGCAGTGAGCTGTGATTGTGCCATTGTACTCCAGCCTGCGTGACAGAGTGAGACCCCATCTCAGGTTTTTTTTAAAAAGAAAAAAATCTGGGTATGGTGGCTCACACCTGTAATCCTAGCACTTTGGGAGACAGAGGCAGGAGGATCATCTGCCAGCAGTTAAAGACCAGCCCGGGCAAGAGAGAGAGACGCTGTCTCAAAAAATAAAAAAAGAAAAAGAAAAGAAAAAATTACAGGCCACTGTCCATCATAAACATAAATGTAAGAGTCTTGAACAAATACTAACAAAATTCAACAATATGTTAAAAGGATAATACATCATTACTAATGTTTCATCCTAGGAATGCAACGTAGTTTAATATTTAAAAATCAGTCAATGAATTGCCATGCCATAGAAACAGATTAAAATGGAAAAACCACATGACGATCTCAATAAATACAGGGTAAGCACTTGATAAAATTCAGCAAATTTGAGATAAAAATTCCTAGCAAACTGGAAATCAAAGAGGACATCCTCGATCTACTAAAAAGGTTAAGTCTCTGAAAAACCTATGGCTAACATCCTTCTCTTTGTAGTGAATAATCAAGTACTTTCCCTTGAGACTGGATGCAAGGCAAGGACGTCCACTCTTCCTACTTCTAAATCCTCGAGGTTCTAGCCAGGCTAATAAAGGAAGAAAAAGAAATAAAAGGCATACACTTCAGAAAGAAAGAAAACTATCTTTTTTGCAGTTAACATAACTGTCAGTACAGAAAATCCTAAGAAAATCTACCAAAAGGTTACTAGAACTAATGAGGTTAGCAAGGTTTTAGGATATAAGGCCAATATACAAAAATCAATTGTATTTGTATATTCTAACAGGGGAAAACTGGAACTTGAAATTTAAAAATCCATTATCATTTATAGTATCACCAAAAAATCTGAAATACTTAGGGTCCAATTGTTTGAACAAAATATGTGCAAGACCTGTGCACTGAAAATTCCAAACACTGATGAGAGAATTTTAGTATCTAAATAAATGGAGAGATATACCATGTTTTGATGGATAATTTTCACAGTAAAAATGTTAATTCTCCCCAAATTGAGGTAGACATTCAACACAATCTTAATGAAAATCCCAGGGGTTTTTTTTTTGTAGAAATTGATGAGCTAATTCTAAAATTTATATAAAAGGTAACTTAAAGAGTGTAACTGGATTGTTTATAACTCAAAGGATAAATGCTTGAGGGCATGGATAACCCATTCTCCATGATGTGCGTATTTCATATTGCATGCTTGTATCAAAGCATCTCATGTAACCCATAAATATACACATCTAATATGTACCCACAAAAATTAAAAAATAAAACTTATATAAACATTTGAAGGATCTAGAATAGCCAAAACAACACTGAAAAAGCTGAACAAAGTTTCTCTTTTTTTTGAGGTGGAGTCTTGCTCTGTTGCCCAGGCTGGAGTGCAGTGATGCAATCTTGGCTCACTGCAATCTTGGCTCACTGCAACCTCCACCTCCCAGGTTCAAGCGATTCTCATGCCTCAGCCTCCCAAGCAGCTGGGACTACAAGCATACACCACCACGCCTGGTAATGTTTTTCTATTTTTAGTAGAGATGGGGTTTTGCCATGTTGGCCAGACTGGTCTCAAACTCCTAGCCTTAAGTGATCTGCCAGACTTGGCCTCCTAAAGTGCTGGGATTACAGGCTTTAGCCACCATGCCCAGCCCGAAGTTTCTATTTCAATACTTAACTACAAAGTTACAATAAACAAGACAGTGTGGAATTAGAGAAAAGATATGCATTAAGGTTGATGGAACATTCTTTTTGAGATAACGTGATATGGAATTAGTGGTGCGGGCTGCACAACTTTGTGAATATACTAAGACCCACTTACTTGTATACTTTAAAGTGGTGACTTTTATGTTGTGTGAATTACTTCAATTAAAAAACAAAAACTAGTTAAAAAAATCAATGGTACAGAACAGAGTCCAGAAGTAGACCCCTACTTGTAGGGTCAACTGTTTTCAATAAAGATGCCAAAGTAATTCAATGGGGAATCTATAGACTTTTAAACAATGGTGCTGGAACAACTGCATATCCATATGCAAAAAAAATAGATTTTTAAAAACCTCTTATCTCACTCCCTATACACTAATTAACTCAAAATGTATCCAAATATAAGAGTTAAACTTTCTAGAAATCTTTTGATAGGACACAAAAAGCACAAATAATAAAAGAAAACATGAATAAGTTTTGACTTCAGAATTTAAAACACCTACTCTCAAAAGACTCGGGTGAGTAAATGAAAAGGCAAATGTAGACAGAGAAAATATCTACAAAATAGCTATCTGATAAAGGACTGTTATCCAGAATATACAAAGAACTCTCACACCTCAAGAAGAAGAAAAACAATCCAATTAAAAGTAGGCAAAACAAAGGCTGGGCACGGTGGCTCATACCTGTAATCCCAGCACTTTGGGAGGCCGAGGCGGGCGGATCACCTGTCGGGAGTTTGAGACCAGCCTGACCAACATGGAGAAACCCAGTCTCTACTAGAAATACAAAATTAGCCGGATATGGTGGCACATGCCTGTAATCCCAGCTACTCTCGAGGCTGAGGCAGGAGAATCACTTGAACCCAGGAGGCGGAGGTTGCAGTGAGCTGAGATTGTGCCACTGCGCTCCAGCCTGGGCAAGAGGAACGAAAAACTCCATCTCAAAAAAAAAAAAAAAAAAAGTGGGCAAAACAGCCAGGTGCTGCAGTCCTCTTTGGGAGGCTGAGGCAGGAGGACTGCTTGAGCCCAGGAGTTAGAGACCAGCCTGGGAAACACAGCAAGACTACCTCTCCAAAAAAACCAAAACCAAACAAACAAAATGTGCAAAAGATTTAAACTGACACTTTACCAAAGACCTATGAATCTCATGTAAGCACATGAACAGATGGATGCTCACTATCATTAGTTATTAGGGAAATGCAAATAAAAACCACAAAGAGATACCATTAGAGTGGCTAACATTGAAGACTATTAATACCAAGTGTTGGCAAGATGTAGAGTAACTGAAATGCTCATACATTGCTTCTGGGAATTCAAAATGGTACAGCAACTCTGGAAAGCAGTTTGACAGTGTCTTTAAAGTTAAACATACATTTACCATACAACCCAGCAATTTCACTTTGGGGAATAGACCCAAGATAAATGAACTCATATATCCACATAAAGACCTGTACATGACTGGAGGATGCTATGTGAAATGAAATAAGCCAGGCGTAGAAAGACAGATACTGCATGTTCCTGCTCACATATGGAATCTGAAAAACCTGACCTCCTAGGAGCAGAATGGTGGTTATCAGAGGCTGAGGTAGCTAGGGGGAGAGGGGATGGAGAGAGGTTGGTCAGAGAGCACACATTCACAGTTAGATGAGAGGAGTTAAAAAAATAAAAGAAAAATCTCCAGAATAGGCAAACATACAGAAACAAAAACAAGTAATTGCCTGGAATTGGGGTGTAGGGGTGGTGGGTGTGGAGGATGGAGGAGGAGAGAAATAGGGAATGACCACTAATGGTTATGGAGTTTCTTTAATGGATGATGAAAGTGTTCTAAACCCACCACGGTGATCCATTTTATGAGTCAGAGCACAGCTCTGATGATGGTAAATGCAGCTCTGCACAACATCCCAAAAAACCACTGGACTATACATTTTATTTTACTTATTAATTTATTCATTCATTAATTCATTTTTGAGACGGAGTCTCATCTGTTGCCCAGGCTGGAGTGCAATGACACAATCTTGGCTCACTGCAACCTCCGCCTCCCTGGCTCAAGCGATTCTCCTGCCTCAGCCTCTCGAGTAGCTGGGATTACAGGCATGTGCCACCATGTCCAGCTAATTTTTGTATTTTTAGTAGAATAGGGTTTCACCATGTTGCCCAGGCTGGTCTTCATCTCCTGACCTCAGGTGATCTACCCCCCTCGGCCTCCCAATGTGCTGGGATTACAGGCGTGAGCCACCGTGCCCGACCTGTACATTTTATTTTTATTTATTTTTGAGACAGAGTCTTGCTCGGTCGCCGAGGCTGGGGTGCAGTGGCAACATCTCGGCTCACTGCAACCTCTGCCTCCTGGGTTCAAGCAATTCTCCTGCCTCAGCCTCCTGAGTAGCTGGAATTACAGGTGTGTGCCACCACACCTGGCTAATTTTTGTATTTTTAGTAGAGATGGGGTTTCACCATGTTGGCCAGGCTGGTCTCCAACTCCTGACCTCAAGTGATCCACCTGCCTTGGCCTCCCAAACTGCTGGGATTACAGGCATGAGATACCACAGCCGGCTGATAGGAAAGTCTTAAAAAAAGAAATCTAGCTGTTAAAAAGATTTTGTGTTACATGTAATTCAGTTATGTATACCAGTTTAACAGCCAATAACTAGAAAGAACCCAAATGTCCATCAACTTGAGAATGCTTAAACAAACTGAGGTGTACAGATACAATAACATGCATAAATCTCAAACACATGAGCTGAGTCAAAGAAGCCAGACGCCAAAGACTACATCCCGTATGATTCCATTAGATCCGGGTAGATCCAGGAAAAGCCAAGCCATGGGGGCAGAGCAGAGGCTGCAAAGGGCTGTTACTGGGGAGGGAGACTGACTGCAAAGAGGCCGCAGGAAGCTTTTGGGGAGATGGACAGGCCTGTATCTTGAATGCGGTCGTGATTACATGAGTATATATATTTATCAAGATTCGTTGACCCTTTAAAAAAACGCACTGAACTTTAAACAGTAAGTGAGTAAATTTTGTCTGTAAATCAAAAAAGCTGAATTATTTTGGGGAGAAGCCCTTCCTCAACAGCAGCATCTGAACAAAGTCCTTTGATCCCCCAGGATCTGACTCGCTTTTCTGCAGCGTGTTGCTGCTCCATAAACATTAAGCCTTTTCTTCTTTGCCACACAGGCCCGTCTGTTCCTCTCTCCTATTTGAGTGAATATGGCTAGAAGTCTCTTCATATTCTCCCTTCTTAGCCCTTTACCCAGGAGCTTAACTCAAGTCTACTTCCAGGGCCAACAGGGAATGGACAGGGAGTGAGCATCCGTGGGAGCTGTGTGGCCCTCCCAGGCCCTGAGGGCTGCGCTGGGAACGTGCCCTGTGGGCTTGTATCCATTGCTTTCACTGGGGCCACTCCTGGCTGAGGAGGGTTGCAGCTTTGCAGCTCTGCTGTCACTGAGCTCCACGCGATCCCTTTAGCCTCCCCAGGTTTTATTCTGGACATTTCCATTCCCTCACATAATCTAGCTTTGTTTTTCTGACTCTTGGCCAAGGTTTTTGGTGTCAGTGTGTTCCTAGGACATGGTGTCCTAAAGTACAACGGAGTGATTTTCTAAAGAACCAGGACACATGCTCTAGCAAGACGGATGTGTGGGGCAAAATATGGGTCAGAATCTTTGCAATTGTGAACATCTCTGACAGCCCAGGCTGCGCACCCCGCATCTCCTCCAGGGCCTGGGATAGTGGGCTGGTGGGCTGTCATTTCATCACAAGCACGCCTCCTAGACCACTCATCCACACAGCCCAGGAACACGTGCCTCTTCCCCCGGCTCCTGACTACATTCATGGTGAAGCTTGTGGCTACGCCCTCCTAAGTCTCATCAAGCAGCAATACCCCCGCCCCGGGCATTTTAACCTCTCCATTTCAGTATTTCCAGCTCCATTGCTATTATTTTACCAATGATTATCTACAAGCTTTCCTTGAACGTTGTGTTATATTTCATTTTGGTTATCATTTTCTGGTATAAGCAACACTTCCATATTAGGAACAGCCCCAGAGAGCTGCTTACATCTGACTTGGTAATGGTGGTGAACTGTATGGTATGTGAATTATTTCTCAATAAAGCATTAAAATAATGCAATTCTGTATAGATCCATAGCAAACAAAAATAACACTGAAATGGTTTCTATCATAAAGTTAATAGTTGATGGATGAAGATGGTAAGCCCTGCCTCCTGCCTCTTCACCCCGATTTTGAGCTATCTTAATGCAGTGTCTTCCCACAGAAGGCTTTCCTGGACATGTGGCCTTGTCTTACCTGGGGCTATTAACACCAGGATGAGATTCTGAAATGTGCAGTGCTGGCTAAACACCCAGCAAGTGGTACTGGTTCCCTTCTCAGATCAAGAGAATGCTATCTTCAGAAGATGTGTGCAGCAGACATTCCTGTACTTAGAAGAACCCAGCAGTGGGAGGGCCCGGGATGCCCTTCACACCTCCAACCCAGGACCCTGGAGGGGCAGAGGTGCTGCTCAGTGGGGGGCTGGGGCTCACGACCTTGGCAAATGACTGAACCTCTCATCCTGGATCTCCTTCTCTGTCCAGTGAGACCCTGGCACTTCCCAGAGTGGGGGAGTGGGATCCCCTGGGAGTATACAAGTGCCCAGCATGGGTGGGTTCAAGCAATGACAGTTGTTTTGAATGAAATAAAACAAATAGGAAATCATTAACTCTGCTCAAAGGTCATGCGGCAGAGTCTGCATGCCCCGGAGGAGGCTGTGCCCAACAGTGGGTTCGAAAGGACCAGATTCCAGGCAGCTCCTGGGTGACTCACTTTGCCTCACTGGGGTTTAGGTGCCTCTAAATAGGGACAGAAACTCTTACCTTGCCTACCTCGCAAGCTTCAACCTAAAGCTCAAATTACTGGAAGTACACAGAAGTTGTGAAATTTTATTCTTCTATAAAACGGCAAGCCCCTGTCCACTGCCTGTGTGGACCCCGACAGAAACTACCCTAGATATTCTCTACAACTAAGCTCGGTGAAGGGCTAAGACTTGATTTCCATTTTCATAAATACACCTTAGTTTTGCACAGAAAAAAAAATTTTTCCTTGCACAAACACCATTTTCTTCAAACCTGGCACCAGCAAGGATCATGCCTGGCACCTCACGCAGTACCTGTGATTCACCAAATATACTTCACCCACCTTCACAGCACTCAGAGGACACTGGGACAGACAGCACAGGCAACTCACCCAAAGTCACACCACTGGTAAGAGAGGCACATGAGGCCAGGTGTGGTGGCTCACGCCTGTAATTCCAACACTTTGGGAGGCCAAGGCAGGCAGATCACCTGAGGTCACGAGTTTGAGACCAGCCCAGCCAACATAGTAAAACCCCGTCTCTACTAAAAATACAAAAATTAGCCAGGCATGGTGGTGCATGCCGGTAATCCCAGCTACTTGGGAGGCTGAGGCACGAGAATCACTTGAACCCAGGAGGCGGAGGTTGCAGTGAGCTGAGATCACGCGACTGCACTCCAGCCTGGGCAACACAGCGAGACAATGTCTCAAAAAAAAAAAAAGAAAAAAAAGAAAAGAAAAAAGAAAAGGCACAGCCTTAAACTTGGGTGGTTTCTTGACTCCAGAGTTCAAACTCCTAACAACCCCAAAAAAAGAGCTCCCGTTCCCCTGCCTGGGCCCCCACTGCCATGTGCTAAAAAAGAAAGCAAGTCAAAGCGTTACTTGCCTTGAATTGCAAGCAGACTCCACACAATCTTACTTATATAAATCAAGCCAAGCAGAGGCTTCCAGAGAAACCAACCCTGCCGGCCCCTGATCTTGGACTTCTGAACCACTAGAACTGTGAGAAAGTTCTGTTGTTGAAGCCACCCGGTCTGTGGCACTTGGTTGTAGCAACCCTAGTGAATGAATGCACTGATGGATGCTGCCCCACGATCAATCTGCAAATATTATCCTCACTCAGAGGGGCCAGACACATGGGGCACATGTGACATGCATCCACTGATCCAGAACACCCAGCACGGGTAAAGCCACAGTGACAGGTAGGGGGATGGGGGCTGCCAGGGGCTCGGGATGGAAGAATGGGAGGGATGCTTAGTGTGGAAGAGGTTTCTTTCTTTTGGGGTGAGGAAAATGTTCTGGAACTAGACAGAAGTTGTAATCACATAACATTATGTACTAAATAATCATGGAATCCTTCACTTTTAAATGGTTTTCTGTTCTGTGAATTTTATCTCAATAAAAAAACCTCTAAATTAAAAGTAAATAAATCTTTTAAAGTGGTCCAAGCTGGGCATGGTGGCACATGCTTGTAGTCCTGGCTACTCGGGAGGCCAAGGTAGGAGGATCACTTGAGCCTAGGAGTTTGAGTCCAGCCTGAGCAACACAGTTAAGACCCTGTCTTTACATTAATTAATTAAACTAAACTTTAAAAGATGATACAGATAAAATCTACTATTAGAATATGATGTGTGGAATGCCACAGTGAAGGGTTTGTTCAGCATGTCATAAGGAACAGGAAAGAGAAGAATGAATTTTGTGTGGGTGACTTGGATGCAGCCCCCAACAGGTTGGGCACTGCCCCTGGAGGAGGGTAAAAACCATGCTGGAAAGAGGGGAAAGGAGGAGGTGGGTGCCTTCCAGGCAAGGAGCGTGAGCCCAGGCGTGTGCAGGGAACAGAGATTTGGAACCCCTGGGGGCCTGTGGGCTACTGGGAACCAAAAGACAGGGACTGGGTGGAGGGAAGCCTGGGGCAGTCTCGGTGCCTGTGGCCACCCTGGGCTGGACCTGCGGCTGGGGCTCCCCACGCCTGTTGAGTTCCCAAAATGCATGTGAAGCTTCAACGCTGATGTTCTAGGTCCCTCGCAAGAGAGTTGGATTTAGTAATTTAGGAGCTGGGGGCAGGAATCTACATTTCAAATAAAATACAGTATTTTTCAAAGCTCTCCAGGCGATTCTGGTGATTACCCTTTGGGAAAATCATTGATTGTGGGAAGGGTCTATCTGTTTTACAGTGATGCTCTCGAACTACTAACTTTTAGATTAAAGAGGATTCATGATGCTCTGTATACTTTAAAAACAGAGAAGGGGCACTCCTTCATTTTCACAGGTTTTCCTAAAAAAGACTTACATTCAACCTTCACCTACATGGCAAGTTCAAAGAACCAGAAGAGCTAATTTTCCAAGTATTAAAGATTGAAGATTTGTATAAACATCTTTTTTAAAAAAATTATCCAAGTTATACAAAAAGGAAAACAAAATATGTGAAAATGAAGATAATACAAAAAGCCTTAGAATAACTAACAGGTAGCCCTTCCAAGTTTAGTACACATTCACCCTTTAAATTTCTTATCATTCTATTTAACTACGAGACTGTTGCCTAAATAACGCTGAGTACACATTTTCTAAGAGCATTATGTTTTTACTTTCATGATTCAAGGTCGACCGAAGTACAAATATTAAGCCACAGGAATGGCCATTTGAAAAGTGTGGAAATAAATTACATTTTTTACTTTCAACACCTGGTGTCACCAGCATCATGCAGTACCCAGCTCTGAGTGCTCTATGCCCCGGGCAGGGGGCGGGGGGGCTGGGCCTGAACCCAGCAGAAGCCAGGCCTTTATGGGGGAGGGAAGCCCAAGGCCCAGGTCACCCTTCCAGAAACAGCATTTTAACCACACTCCAGACCGCTACTATTCCCAGGGAACATACAGGTTTAAAGGGAGGTTGTGATGTTTGTTTTTAACTTCAAGCACAATGATGCAAGGAAAAGCCTGTTGTGATACAGACCTGGTATGCTCTCCCTGTAGTATTTCACAGGGGATGGCCGCCGCCTCCTTCCCAATCTTTGACCTTGTTCCCACTGCGTATGTGGCTCTACTCTAAGAATTCACGGTTCGTCTTGTTTAGAGCGGCTTGGTGAGATGAAAAATCTAAAATCTCAGGGAAAACTTCATTCTTTAAAATAATTTGTGCTCAGATCAGAGTTCAAAAAACTGGGAGATTTCAAAAGGAAAGACACAATCCTTTAACCATCATGCTGAAAGATCAGAGTGTCAAAAGGGATTAGTTGGTATTTTAAAGCCTGGTCCAGTCAACCTACCTGACAACGTTAACAGCTTTCATTTGCACATCTGACTCCTGACAGTCAAGGCAAAGTAGTGCTTACGAGACGTAACTGAAAAAATAACAGCCCTGATATTTCACAACTTTAAAACGTGGTGCTGGTGACACCAGGTGTTTGAAACGAGGTCGCTGCCTTGTAGCTTTCACAGCAAAAGGATTCTGCAAAAGCATCTCTGCAGAAGCTGGTTTCTAACCACTCAGGTTAACCCCCCTTTCCTCCCCAGCTGCTTGAGCAGTGTTTTACGTTGATGATGACGCCCATTTCTTCTTCCCCACTCAATTCTGTCCTCTGTGATCCTCTCCCAAATAGTTTCACTGCTGCTCCCCCTCAGAGCTAGAGTGATACCTCCAACATGCATGCCTGGATGTGCCCCTGCCTGTCCAGCTGTGGGGACTTCTGTGTGGCAAGCAGACTCT
The DNA here is from genome assembly GCF_000001405.40 of Homo sapiens. Taxonomy (NCBI): domain Eukaryota; kingdom Metazoa; phylum Chordata; class Mammalia; order Primates; family Hominidae; genus Homo; species Homo sapiens. The sequence continues at coordinate 100,565,789 of NC_000013.11, forward strand.
CACATGGCACCCACCAAGCCCATGCCTGGCATCCCTGTCCCTGTGTGATTCCTGCCCCTCCAAGCATGGGTTTAGTGACTGACAGCCAACAAACACAATCCAGAGGAAGTGATGGGATTCAGTTATAAAAAGACTGCGGCTTCTGTCCTGGGAGCTCTCTGCCGCTCTCAGATCCCCTACTGTGAAGGAAGCCAGCTGCCATGCTATGAGCATTTCCATGGAGATGCCACGTAGAGAAGAAGTGAGGTCTCCACCAACAGTCAGAAAGGACCAAGGCATGCCAGCTGTCAGGGAAGTGAGCTCCAGGTCTCCCCAAGTCAAGCCTGGAGAAGGCCACAGTGCAGCCAGCACCTGAGTGCAGCCTGTGACAGACCCAAGTCAGAATCACACAGCTAAGCCACTCTTAGATCCTGAGCCACAGAAACTGTGGGATAATTTTTGTTGTTTTCAGTCACTAATTTTGGGGGTGATTTGTTCCTCAGCAGTGGATAAGTCCAGAGGGCCAATCCAAATGTCTTCACGTGCTCACAAAGGCCAGTTGCCGCTCAGCCATGCCTCACACTGCCTGTGGTACTTTCTTTGCTTTCTCGGTTGCTACTGCCTTTCAGGCCCTTCACACTCTTCACTCCTCAGCACTCTGCCTGGCAAAATCCTCCTTGTGCTTCCAGGTTACTTCAAACACCATCCTTCTGGTACCATGTCTCTCACCGTGAGCCCTAGAGGCAGAACTGACCCTGGGACACTGCTGCCCTTTGCCCCTGGCCTTGCGGCTGCCGAGGTCCCCTTTACCAGATCCCTGGGGGCCCGGGCACCAGCAACTCATGCTCCTCGGCTCTCAGCCCTGGTAACTGGGTGGGTAGGTATTTAAGAAGTGTCTGCTCAGGGAGTAAACCACTGGTTAGTTGCCAACCTGATGCCCTTTATCCCTGAACACAGTCATGTCTGTTTCCCACAAAGACATCTGATCTCACTACACTACAACCTGTGACATCAGGGCATCAGCATTTGTGACTAAGTTTACCACCTTCTCGCAGACAGTTTGAACTTTTTCCAACTGTCCTGATAACGTGCTTTACAGCAAAAGGGCCCAGTGCACAATCCCAATTGCATGTAGCTATGTCCTTTAGCCTCCTTCCATCTGGAACAATTCCTGCCTGTCTTTGGCATTCACGATCCTTTAAAGATTGCAGGCCATTGATTTGGTTGAATGTCCCTGAATTTGGTTTTGTCTGATGCTGTCTCCTGATTAGATTCGGATGGTATATCTTGAGCAGGAATCTTTCCGAAATGATGCTATGTTCTTCTCACTGCCTCCTATCAGACACCATATGATTTCAACTTGCTCCATTATTGATGACATTCACTCTGATCACTTAAGGTGGTGACTGCCAGGCTTCTCCACAGAGAAGTTACTCTTTTGCCCTTTATAGTTAAGCATTTTATGAAGAGGGATTTTGAAACCATGCAACATCTCATTCACCATCAAACCTGCCACTTGTTCATTTATTTATTTGTATCTACATGGACTTATGGTTTCCTATTATATTCAATGCTATCATTATTTCTTTTGATGCTTACATTGTCCCCTTTTGGACAGATGGGGTGAATTCCAGCAAGCTTCTCTGTCCCCTTGGCCCATCTTCCTCATTATTCCATTGCTTTCTGGTTCAAGATGTTCCAGGCTCATCTTAGACTTTCCCTGTCCCAGCCCTGGCATCAGCCCTCTCTCCAAGGAGCTCTTGTTCTCTTGTAGCAAATGGTATTTAGATGCCAAGATCTGGGTGCAGGGTGTGCTGTCTTTGGGCTGCATCTGTCCACAACCCCTGCGCCAGCAGAATATATGCCTGTATCCACATATAAACATACACACACGCACACTTACATTCACTTCTTTACACCTTTACATCTATGTTCACTTCTATATCTGTCTACACTTATTGAAAACCATGAATTCACACAAACACACACAACCCAAAGCATATCACAGGATTCATTCCAGTTTTCTGCATTTCTGTATTAATAACTCTCTTCTTTGACACTGGGAAACCTGGCTCCCACTAGCCTGAATGCAGTTATGTATCTGACTGATCCTTCTATGTGTTAACTAATTTCTAATCTCAGGTACCACCATCTTCCCTCACAAGACAAAAAAGGCTGGTGGAGCTCTAGCCATAATGTCACATTCAAAGGAGGTGGCATGAGGCAGGGCAGGTGAAGAACCAGGGCCCTACTTCCAATTGAATCGGGTTCCTTTTCAAAACCTCCCTGGAAGCCCCACACATTTCTGCTTACCTCTCATTCACCATAACTAGGCACATGGGTCACTGAATAAAACAGGACCAGTAATTAAGAAAGAAGAGAATGGATATTTGGTTGCAATCAGCAATTTCTACCAATCCCACTTTTTATATTTATTGGCCAACATCCTGCTGTCAGGGGTTACTGAAGACCTTGTATTAGTCTGTTCTCATGCTGCTAATAAAGACACCCAAGACTGGGTAATTTATAAAAGAAAGAGGTTTAATTGATTTACATTCAGCATAGCTGAGGAGGCCTCAGGAAACTTACAACCATGGCAGAAGGGGAACCAAACATGTCCTTCTTCACAAGGCAGTGGCATCAAGGAGAAGAATGAGTGCCCAGTGAAGGGGCAAGCCCCTTATAAAAGCATCAGATTTTGTGAGAACTAACTCACTATCACGAGAACAGGATAGGAGAAACCATCCCCCATGATTCAATTATCTCCACCAGGTGCCTCCCATGACACGTCAGGATTATGGGAACTACAATTCAAGATGAGATTTGGAACTACAATTTAAGATGAGCCAAACCATAACATCCCACTGCTGGCCCCTCCCAAATCATATGTCTTCACAATTCAAAACACAATCATGCCCTCCCAACAGTCCCTCAGTCTTAACTCATTCCAGCGTTAGCTCAAAAGTGAAGTCCAAAGTCTCATCTGATACAAAGCAAGTCCCCTCTGCCCATGAGCCCACAAAATCAAAATCAAGTTAGTTACTTCTTACATACAATGAAGGTACAGCCATTGGATAAATAAACCCATTCCAAATGGGATAAATTGGCCAAAACAAAGGGGCTACAGGCCCCATGCAAGTCTGAAATCCAATAGGGCAATCATTAAATCTTAAAGTTCCAAAATGATCTCCTTTGACTCCATGTTTCACATCCAGGGCATGCTGATGCAAGAGGTGGGCTCTCATGGCCTTGGGCAGCTCCGCCCCTATGGCTTTGCAGGGTACAGCCTCCCTCCCAGCTGCCTTCACAGACTGGCATTGAGTGTCTGCTGCTTTTCCAGGTGCACGGTGCAAGCCATTGGTGGTTCCACCACTCTGGAGTGTGAAGGACCCTTTTCCCACAGCTCTACTAGGCAGTGCCCCAGTGGGGACTCTGTGTGGGGGCTTCAACCCCAAATTTCCCTTCTGCACTGCCCTAGCAGAGGTTCTCTATGAGGGCTCTGCCCCTGCAGCATCGTTCTGCCTGGACATCCAGGTGCCTCTGTACATCCTCTGAAATCTAGGCAGAGGTTCCCAAACCTCAATTCTTGACCGCTATGTACCCACAGGCCCAACACCACGTGTAAGCTGCCAAGGCTTGGGGCTTGTACTCTCTGAAGCAATGGCCTGACCTTTACACTGGACCCTTTTAGCCACAGCTGGAGCTGCAGCAACTGGGAGGCAGGGGGGCACCATGTCCCGAGGCTGCATAGCGCATGTGGGCCCTGGGCCTAGCCCACAAAAGCATTTTTCCCTCCTAGGTCTCCAGGCCTGTGATGGGAGGGGCTGCTGAGAATGTCTCTGATATGCCCTGGAGACATTTTCGCCACTGTCTTGGTGATTAACATTTGGCTCTTTGTTACTTATGCAAATTTCTGCAGTGGGCTTGAATTTCTCCCCAGAAAATAAGTTTTTCTTTTCTATCACATTGTCAGGCTGCACATTTTCCAAACTTTTATGGTCTGCTTCCTCTTGAATGCTTTGCTGCTTAGAAACTTCTACCACCAGATACCCTAAATCACCTCTCTCAAGTTCAAAGTTCCACAGATCTCTAGGGCAGGGGCAAAATGCCGCCAGTCTCTTTGATAAAGCGTAACAAGAGTGACTTTTGCTCCAGTTCCCAACAAGTTCCTCGTTTCCATCTGAGACCACCTCAGCCTGGACTTTATTGTCCATGCTGCTATCAGCATTTTGGACAAAGTCATTCAACAAGTCTCTAGGAAGTTCCACACTTTCCCACACCTTCCTGTCTTCTGAGCCCTCCAAGTCTCTAAGAAGTTCCAAACTTTCCCACATTTTACTGTCTTCTTCTGAGCCCTCCAAATTGCTCCAGCCTCTGCCTGTTACCCAGTTCCAAAGTGGTTTCCACATTTTTGGGTATCCTTATAGCAGCACCCCACTCTCTGTGGTACAAATTTACTGTATTAGTCCATTCTCATACTGCTAATAAAGACATACCTGAGACTGGGTAATTTATAAAAGGAAGAGGTTTAATCGACTCGTGTTCAGCATAGCTGAGGAGGCCTCAGGAATCTTATAATCATGGCGGAAGGGGAAGCAAACATGTCCTTTTTCACATGGTGGCATCAAGGAAAATGAGTGCCCCATGAAGGGGGAAGCCCCTTATAAAACCATCAGATCTCATGAGAACTCACTATCACAAGAACAGGATGGGGGGGAACCGCTGCCATGATTCAGTTATGTCCACCTGCCCTCCCACAACATGTGGGGATTATGGGAACTACAATTCAAGATGAGATTTGGGTGGAGACACAGCCAAATTATATCAGACCTCAAATGAATCTCTGGAAGCAGTCTGGGTCCTTACCCATCCTCTAGGTTTATAAAATCCCAAGGAATGTCTCCTTCTGCCATGATTATAAGCTTCCTGAGGCCTCATCATCCATTCTGAACATGAGTCAATTAAACCTCTTTCCTTTATAAATTACCCAGTCTCAGGTATGTCTTTATTAGCAGTATGAGAAAAGACTAATACAGTAAATTTGTACCACAGAGACTGGGGTGCTGCTATAAGGATACCCAAAAACGTGGAATCTTAGGCTTAAATGCCTGCTCAGATGATGTATCGCTACTTATTTGCTCATCTAATAATTCCATATGTAAGAAAATGTTGTGATTGGCCTCCCCGAGAGATTGCTCAGTCTCCAAGAAAACGACCCCCTATGAGGACAGTTTATAGCCCTTGAGCTGTGTGAAAACACAGTGCCAGAATGGATCAAAGCTCCAGCCCAAAACACCATGGCATTAAAGAGACAGGGAAGCAGAGAGCAGTGACAACAGTCCTAGCTCTCTGCCAATCCAAAGGAAAGAAGGGAAAAAAGGGAAGATAACAGTGTCGAGGAGGATAACCTCAGATACATGGGAACTGGCACATGAGAAGCACACTTTTGTAAGTAGGGAGATTTATTTTGCAAAATCCCCCAGCAGGCAAGCCTTGGCAATACATTTCAGATGAACTCATCCAAACTGATGCTGTGTCTTCGCAAGGAAAATTGAAAAGACTGTATTTAATGCAAAGATATTACAGTTTTTCTAATGATCATATAGAAGTGCCATTCTTTGATATTGCTCTAATATCCTTCAGAACACAGATGTGTATGCTGTGCAGCAGAAGAAAGTGTGGTGTAGACAGAGAACATACTTTCTTTTTTTAGTTTTAATTTTAATTTTTGTAGAGACGGGGTCTCATTTGGCCAGGCTGGTTTCAAGCTTCTAGCCTCAAGCAATCCTGCCACTTCAGCCTCCCCAAGTGCTAGGATTATAGGCATGAGCCACTGCACGCGGCCCAGAGGACACACTTTACAACTAGATGTACTTCATTTCAAAGTCATGTAAAACCCTGCCGTGTTTCAGCTGTGTGACCTTGTTCAGGGTGTTTCATCTCTGTGAACCTCAGTTCCAATTCCCTACAAATGGGGATAATAATGCCCACCTCAAACATTGATGTATGGAGATAATGTATGTATATATACATTCTGGCCCACACATGATCTCAATAATTCTTACTCCCTCTGAGAGAAGGATAAATCACAGAACTACAAGGACTAAATAGAATATATCACAGATATAATAATGCCTTGCATATATCTTGTATCCAATAAGTCTTAACCTTTTTTAACTTACTCAAACATACAAAAAGCCATACACTAGTTATCTGGTATGGTTGACTGGTGTTCTTTATTATGAAATTTAACCTTTTGTGTGCAGGAAAAACCTGTATAAGCCCTTCTCTGCATTGGTCTGCACAGTATACTAAAAATGACATAGCTCATGCACGTTCCCAGCATCAGCCAAGGGTTGGACGCAACCCAAGTGTCCACTGACAGAGGAAGGAATAAACAAAATGTGGGGTATACACACAATGGAATATTACAGAGCCTTGAAAAGACTGAAAGGAAGGAAATTCTGACCCATCCTACAACAAGGATAAGCCTTGAGAACACTATGCGAAGCAAAATAAGCCAGTCCACAAAAAGACAAATGCTGTAAGATTCCACTTTTATGACATACCTAGAGTAGTCAAATTCATACAGACAGGAAACAGAATGGTGATTACCAGGAGCTGGGGGACGGGGAAAATGGGGAGTTGTTTAATGGATATAGAATTTTAGTTTTAAAAGATGAAAATGTTCTCAAGGTTGGTTGCACAACAATGTGAATATACTTAATACTACTGAACTGTACACTTAAAAATGGTTAAGATGGTAAAATTTATGTGTTAATGTTTAAAACATTTATTTATTTTTGTAGACAGGGTCTTGCTATGTTGCCCAGGCTGGGGTGCAGTGGCTATTCACAGGTGTGATCATAGTGCACTGCAGCCTCAAACTCCTTGCCTCAAGGTATCCTCCTGCCTCAGCCTCCAGAGTAGCTGGGACTACAGGCGTGCACCACCACACCAGGATAAAAAACATTTTTCAGATGATGTAAGCTTTTCATAAGAATGCAGAGTCCTCAAACTGATTAATGATGAACTGTGCTGCAGGTACATTTATGCATTTTGCTGCCCAGAGCTGTAGCTGTATCTAGCTTCAGGGTGTACTCTAGAACTTGCTTTCCTGAACGAATATCTGGGGTTTCTTAGGATACAGCTGCTAAAGGAAAAAAATAGAACTTGACATCTTTTGCTATATAATGGCATCTTTTATTAATACCCTTGGAGAAGCATAGGGTATTAAGGCTGGAAAAAGTTTAGAAAGTACATTTTAAAGTTGAATATGAAATCTACACTTCAATCCAACTAAAAGATTTTTCTAAGACCATATAGGTAGCAATCACAAGAAGAGTGGGAGAGAAGCGGCATCTTCCCAGTTTCCTCTACAATCCTCTTGACACCCACAGTCCACTGGACTTAGCTCTCCACAAGTCCTTACCTTTGAACGTCACTGTTTACTACACTGCCACCAGGGGGCAGCAGCTATATTAGTCTGGTATTCTAAACACCCTGGACTAAGGCCCAATACTCTTCCATTACCCCTTCCCCCATCCCATGAAATATGTGCATATATGTGCATATATGTGACTTCATTGAAACAATCTCAATAAGCCAGAAGTTTAAAAGAGACCCATATATAACTTTTTAAACAAAACAAAGACTTGAGTCCAATGGATGTAACACCCTTACTAATCCTTTACTATTTCTGATTTATTCCAATCCCAACAGATGTAATGGTCAATTAATATGTTAGGTTCTTTATTTGTTTGTTTTGAGAGATGGGGTCTCAGTATGTTTCCTAGGCTGGTCTCAAACTCCTGGGCTCAAGCAATCCACACGCCTCAGCCTCCTAAAATGCTAGGATTACAGGTGAGGGCCACTGTGCTTGGCCTAATATGTTAGTTTTAAAACAAAAACTACTCGAACACAGGATCAACAAGCAAAAAACAAATAAACCCATTAAAAATGGGCAAAGGACATGAACAGACACTTCTGAAAAGAAGACACACAAGTGGCCAACAAACATACCCAAAAAAGCTCATCTTCACTAATCAGAGAAATGAAAATCAAAACCACAATGAGATACCATCTCACACCTGTCAAGATGGCATTATCAAAAAGTCAAAAAAAAAAAAAAAACATGCTGGCGAGGCTGTGGAGAAAAGGGAATGATTATACACTGTGGAAATGTCAATTAGTTCAGCTACTGTGGAAAGCAGTTTGGAGTTTTCAGAGAACTTAAAACAGACCTACCTAGCAATCCCATTACTGGGTACACATCCAAAGGAAAATAGATCATTCTACCAAAAAGACACATGCACTCATATGTTCATTGCTGTACTATTCACAACAGCAAAGACATGGAACCAACATAGGTGTCCATCAACAATGGATTGGACAAAAAATGTGGCACATATACACCATGGACTACTACAGTCATAAAACAGAAAGAAATCATGTCCTTTGCAGCAACATGGATACAGCTGGAAGCCATAAGCTTAACTGAATTAACACGGGAGCAGAAAACCTGGCCGGGCGTGGTGGCTCATACCTGTAATCCCAGCACTTTTTGGGAGGCTGAGGCCGGTGGAATCACTTGATGTCAGGAGTTTGAGACCAGCCTGGACAACATGGCAAAACCCTGTCTCTACTAAAAATACAAAAATTAGCTGGGTGTGGTGGTGCACACCTGTAGTTCTAGCTACTCAAGAGGCTGAGGCAGAAGAATCGATTGAACCTGGGAGGCAGAGGTTGCAGTGAGCTGAGATTGCACCACTGCACTCCAGCATGGGCAACAGAGCGAGACCCCATCTCAAAAAAGAAAGAAAACCAAATACCACGTTCTCACTTATAAATGGGAGCTAAACACTGAGCACACATGGACATAAACCTGGGAGCAAGAGCCAGTGAAGATACTAGAGCAGAGAACGGAGGGAGGCAGGGGTTGAAAATGACCCACTGAGTACTATGTTCACTACCTGGGTACAATATGCTCTGTAAAAAACCTGCACAGGTACCTCCTGTATCTAAAATAAAAGCTGAACTAATAAAAAGAAATTAACAGAACTGCTTCCTCCAGAATATCATATAATATATAAATCATACTTATGTGTATTAAAAAAAAAAGAGACAGAAATCTATCCAATTTAACACTTGAAACCAAATCTTCCCTACACTTGGCCTCTGAGGTTTCAGCCACAGCAACCTCAAGAGCCCATCTGATGTCTGTCCTCAGTCTTCCTTTGTCAGCTCAGTTTTTCCTTTGTGATGTCCCTATATTAGAAAGGAAGGTCTGCCAATAGGTCGAACCCTCCAGCAACTTTTCAGAAGGAAAAACAGGGAGATTCCAGTCACAAAATAAAACCTATATGCTAACGTTCTTCCAAGTAGATGACAGGAATCTTCGTTCTGTGTCTTTTAAATACTACCACCAACTGAGAGCCTATACCATAGCAGTTAACGGGTGAGGTTTGAATTTACAGAAGGACCTCCATTAGCAATGACCTGTGTACCCAGAGACTTTCCCAGTTTCATCGTAGGGGAGGAGTGAGAGATGACAAACATTAACAGTGGCATTTTAGTAACTAATCTAGGAGTCAACTCCAGACTTTCAACCAATAGTGATCAGAGACTACTGTTCCTAAATCAGACAAAGAGATAGATGCATGATTTTTGTTTCACAAATTTCGACTTGTTTTCTTCTTTGAGCTCACCATGTTTTAATAAGGAAAAAGGTATTCAAATGCAAACTTTGACTACTGCTTCAGACACACTGGAGCAGCCCATTAAAAAAACTATGATGGGATCAGCCCAGGCAACATAGCAAGGCTCCATCTCTACAAAAAATTTAAGTTAGCAGGATGTAGGTGGTGCACAACTGTGGTCCCAGCTACTTGGGAGGCTGAGGCAGGAGGATCACTTGAGCCCAGGAGGTCGAGGCTGCTGTGAGCTGTGACTATGCCATTGCACTCCAGCCTGGGTGACATAGTGAGACCCTGTCTAAACAAACAAACAAACACTACAATGGTGTTTGCTACAGTTAAAGGGCATTCAAACAAATTACTCTCTGCTGACATCCAGTTTGTTCTCATGTAATCAACTATTCATCGACCGATCCAATCTAGCATAAAACTGATGGCAAAAGCAAACATGGCACTACTAGTTACTACTACTAATGGTCAAACAGGAATGAGATGCTCAGGAATGAAATGCATATAATGAATGGATCTTGCATTGCAAAATGCATTGTGAATTCAGTTATTATTTTGTAATACTTTGCCAAATATAATCTCTTAATTAGTGAGATTTGAGAATGACTCTTATCTATATAATATCCTGGCTTTTTCAGTATACTTACCATATTTCAATGTAAAAAATCAGAAAACCAATATTTATTTTGAAAACAGGTATATGAATTTAATCCAATAACTTGTAAGAGAATTATTAAAAACAAATTTTTGTAATCTCAAAAACCTAATAAAAATAACACATCTATTAGGATGGCTCAAATAAAGAAACACCAAATTGATAACATGAGATGCTGAGAAGGATGTGAAACAACTGGAACTCTCACCATTGCGGGTGGGAATGCAAAGCAGTACAGGCATGGTGGAAAGTGTCTTATAAAATTAAATCTAGAACTTTCTTACAAAATTATGACCCAGCAATTGCACTCCTAGGAATCTACCCTAGAAAGATGAAAACTTTTCTTCAGATAAAAACCTGTATATAAGTGCTTACAGCAGCTGTATTCAAAATCACCAAAAACTGTAAATAATCCAAATGGCCCTCCACTGTGAATGGATACATACAATGCAGTACATCCAGACGATGGCGATAAGAAAGGACATACACACAAACAAATCTCAAAGTTGTCGTCGAAGTGAAAAATCAGCCTCAAAGGTTGCATATTATATCATTTCATTTACATGACATTCTGGAAAAGGCACAACATACGAAGATGAACAAATCAAAGCTGTCAGGGTTTGAGGAAGGGGTGGGTTAGACTACAAAGGGGCAGAATGAGGGAGGGTTTGTTTTGTTTCCTGGCTTTTTGGTGATGGGACTGCTCTGTATACCGTTGGTGATGGCCAGTACAAGAATCCACACATTTTAAAGCTATTCACATTGTACAAACAAGTTGGTTTTACTGTAAACTTAATAATAATGAATGAAAGCATGAGAGCATGCAACTACTCTAAAACAGTTTAAAAATGAAAGGTAAAAGAATAAGAACACTCTGAATCAAATTAATGCCTGGCATACAAAATTATTTTTAAAAGAGACAAGAGATACATAAACCAAATACAATAGATGGGATTTAAAAATTCTGACTTGAATAAACCAACTGTACAGACCTTGTTTTAGAAAAATAGGCCGGGCAGTGGCTCACACCTGTAATCCCAGCACTTTGGGAGGCTGAGGACGGCGGATCATCTGAGGTCAGGAGTTCAAGACCAGCCTGGCCAACATGGTGAAACCCCATCTCTACTATAAATACAAAAATTAGCCAGGCGTGGTGGTGGGTGCCTGTAATCCCAGCTACTCGGGAGGCTAAGGCAGGAGAATCACTTGAACCCAAGAGGCAGAGGTTGCAGTGAGCCAGGATCACGCCATTGCACCCCATCCTGGGTGACAAGAGCGAGACTCCATCTCAAAAATAAATAAATAAATAAATAAATAAATAAATAAAAAGAAAAAGAAAGGAAATTGGGATAAAATATTAAAAGATGTTAAGGAATATTTTTTCATTGTTGGACAGAATTATATTTATGTAAAAAACCCTCAAAATTCATAATAAAATATTTGGGGGTGAAATGACATGATTTCTGGCATTTGCTTCAAAACTCTAGAAACAAGCAAACAAAAGTCCAAAACACAAAGGGAGGAGGGCACGTGGAACAAGCATGGCAAAGCCAGTATGGTGCAGTGATCTCTGATCCCGGGTGGGTGGCACATGAGGGTTACTATACTGTACTTTTGAGTATGTCTGGAAATGTTCACAGTAAAATGCTGAAAAGGGAAAAAAAAGAGAGAAAGGGGAGAAGGAAAGTAGGGAGGGATGAAGGGGAGAAGGAAAGGAGGGAGGGCAGCAGGGAGGGAAGAAGGGTTCATCAACTGGGATGTGTCTCTATCCCTGCAGGAACCAAATTCAAGGCCAATTTGTACCTAATTGTTATGAATAAAGGGTGGGAATGATATTTTCACTTGCCTTTCTTCACCAGGGGTTCGTTATTTACTCAGGCACAACTAAAATATCAGAAGGGAAAGATAGAAAAGGGAAATGGATGTTTTCTAAGAGAGCCCTGATCACAAAGTTGACTCTGAAAACCATTCATTTGATAAGGCGATACTGGCATCTGGGCGTCCACAGGGAAATGTCCGAACACCAAGTGCACTCCTCTTTTCCTCCCACGGTAGTGGCTACCTTCACCTCTACAGCTCTAATCTCAAACACTGCCAATGGAGAGAGCACCTCCCTGGACACAAGTTTGTTCAAGATGTCTTTGTTATAGATATTCTGCCAATATTGTTTTTATTCTACATAATGAAAACATCCACTTATGCCACCACTACACCGCAACCTGAGAGTCCAGAATGTGTCGCATTTGCGTAAGATATCTGCCAGTTAGCCCAGATGGGAAGTGACACAGAGGCTCGAGAAAACCAGTGAGAGGCAGGTAACCGAGCTTCTGGCAAGCTCCCACAGTCAGTACATTCATTTATATCCCAGCTGATCTTAAGCCCCGGAACCCTGGTTCTGCTGGCTTACCTGTGAGTCTACTTGACTTCTGTTGTAAAAGATCCTGCTGTTCACAATTCTTCCTAAAATTACCACGTTAACCATGACTTAGACTTCGTCAATGTTCCCTCCAATGCCGTCAAACCATTCTTTGTTCATTTATGAGATATACTAATCTCCTCTTATAAGTTTTTATTAGGCTTTTATAATCTGGATCTAACTTTGCAGAAAACTAAATCAAGGGAGGAAGAGTAATTCAAAGCAGGCAGTTATGATTATTTTCAATAATGGCTCAAAGAACACTTTTCAAACCTCATTTAATGCTGGAAAGTTAATAAAACCATCATGAGATGTAAAAATATTAATTTTCTTTAACTTACCTGCCTCGTACTCCCAAGTACAGATGACAACAGCAGGAAGAGGTAATTAACACTCAAAAGCTTGAAAAGTAAATGTGGTCATTTGAAAAATGGACAGGAACACAGCATAATATGGGGAGTATTCCCGCATATACTCTTCCTTACTCTAATTTACTCTGGCCTGACTCAGAACATCAGTTCTGTAAAAACACTCTCGACTAGCTGGAAATGAGTTCTTTCTTACTGGGTGCCCACTATGTGGAAGGCATGATGGCGGACTCCGAATGAGGAAGGCATGGTTCTCACCCAATCAGAGCTCACAGCCCTGCAGTGTTTAGGCTAGCATGCAAAAACAATTAATTATGCAAGACAAAATAACATGAAATTCAAATAAAAGAGCAACTGCAGCAAAACCACCCCCAGGGTACGGAGGCAGGAGTACCCACAGCTGTGGGGAGAGGAGGGCCTAGGAGTTGAGGGGTTCAGCAGCTCAGTCTCTCTGACTTTCTCCTGCGTGTGTCTTGCCCCTCTCATCCTCCCCCAAGACAAACCACAGGATCCAGAACTTCTCTTCCCCAGTGCAGGTGACAGGAACCAGAACCCCTTTCCCCAAAGCCAGCCATAAAACCTAAAAATACTACTCTCTAGCCTTCCCCATGCCTTTCTGTATAACAGCTGGCCATAAAGACCTTGGACAATGAGACCCTCATTCCAGAGGGTCCTACCCCATTCCTGGAAGGAAGAAATGCTACAACAGAGAGGCCAAGAAGAACCTGAGGAGACAGGCCTTGCTGGGCTTCCCTACTCGGTCTATTTCCATCAGCTCACACCCTTTTTTCCAAATGAATTTCCACATGGCGGTCTGTGCTTCTTCACATCTAAGCAAAATCTGGAGAGTTCACCCTGGGTCTCTGGGTCTTCATTCTGAAAGCTCCTATGTCATTTAAAACTATGATTGAACACGTTTTGCTTTTCTATTGTTAATCTTTGTCATTGGGGTGTCAGCCATGACCCTTATGACAGGGTAGAGAGGGATCACCCCCTTTCTGCCCCTACAGAGTGAATCAGAAGGTTCTGAGCACCGTTCTGCTGATGGAATTCACACGTGGAACTTAGGTCTCCTGTCAGCCCAAAGCCCCCTCCCTTCAGCGCTGAGGAAAGAGGGGCCTGCTGGGTCTAGACCTGATGGGTCTGCCTCGGTGTATAAGAGCAGCAGAAACACACCTCGGGGATTGGCACCTGGTCTTACTCTGCCAAAAATGCCTGGGGATCTGCTCTGATCCTGCGACTGCTGCTGCATCACAAAGTGAGGCTGACAGAACAAAGGTCCCCAGCAAACATGTCCATGCCCTAATCCCTGGAACTTTTGACTATGGCACCTCGCACGGCAAAGGGACTTTGCACATGTGATTAATTAGGGAAGCTGAGATGAGATCATCCTGGGCAATCTACACGGGCCCTGAATCCAATGGCAAATATCCTTATGAGGGACAGAAGACAGACACCGAGGAGGGGGCCATGTGAAGACACAGCAGAGCCGGGAGGTGTGCGACCACTTGCCGCAGAACGCCTGGAGCCGCCAGAAGCTGAAAAAGGTAGGGAAGGACTTTCCATACAGCCTTTGGAGGGAGGGCAGCCCTGACAGCACCTTGATTTCTGGTTTTGGATTCTGTGAGCAGAGAATAAATTTTTGTTGTCTTAAGCTTCCCAGTTTGTGGTAATTTGCTATGGAAGCCCTAGCAAATGAACACAGTTACTAAGTAACTCTTCTGTGTCAAGTCAGGATAGCAAAGGCTGCCTTGGCTTAGGCAGAATAAAACAGCCAGGGCTCACAAGTGATGGAAGAACTGCCAGGGGGAAGCTATGAAATCTGCACCCTGTAGATCTGACTGTTAAGATGTTCTCAAGGTAGTAGGATCTCATTTCAGCCTGCCCAAAGAAACTTTCACCTGTTGGCCCAGTCTACAGTTACAAGACTAAAGGCAAAAGGAACTGTGTATATTCATAAAAACCGGGCTCTCGTTGTTTAAGTGGTTCCCATAGGGCGAGATGGCAATTCCAACACTGTGATACACACATATGTACTGAACAAGTAGGCAAATGTGCCACAGGCAATGGGAGCCACGTTTCTCACTGTTGGAATGGGAGGTGAGAGACAGCAGGGAAAACGCAAGAGTGATCCACGGGGTAAAGGATTAGGGCTGGAGACACCAGTGTGGACTCACAGAAACAAATGGTTCCATACAGAAGTATTTAGTGATATGTGTATATACACAGGTCAGTACACACAGACATTTCCTTGCTCCATCAGCTGAGAGGACCTAAAAGCAATGCCACCACAGTCGAAATGAGCACACCAGCATCCAGCTTGTGGTTTCTAACACCATCTCCAACAGAGGGGACCAGGGTTCCCCAGAGAAACGGCTGAACCTAAGACTGAAGCAGGAAATACACAAGATCAATCTAGGGCATCTAGCAATATTGGAAAGCAAGGAAGTGCTCAAAAATAAACAAACCCACCAGCCCACAAAGATGGGACAAGTTGAAAGGACACAAGAGACAATGGAACAGGCTCCCAATGGCCAAAGCAGGAACAACTGGAGAACAAAATAAGGAGTATTGGATTAGAACCTAAAGTATAATATAAGTATCTGTGAGTCCATAATGATATAAATGGCTGAGTAAATAAATGCAAGAAAACAGATAACCCTCCTGCACGGAAGAATTCCAAATAACATATGTAGACACTTTCCCCTTAAGGAGATGAAGCCTAAATAACTCCTCCCTTCAGAAGTGCAGGCTGCTCACTGTGACTTCCTTTCAGAGCACAGTATGAAGGGAGGGGGAAAGTGTGACTTTACAGTGGAGAAACCTGCCAATCACTATTTCAGTCAGGTAATCAAGATCAACAGCAAAAGAGAGAAGTCATGTAGACAGTATGTGTGCTTGATACGATGTAGCAAAAATGACACTTTATCTCCATGGTCTTCCTCCCAATCCCCACACCCCTGTGGCAGTGACTCTGTGGGGTGAGGGCTAAAGCAAATAATAAATTATGCTGGGTTGTTCTGAACTGAGATTTCTGGAGTGGAAGAAAGGGGTATGGATATAAGTTCTATGACATTAAGCAAAAACGTTGTAGTCCAGAAAAAGACTTGGATGTTACCAGTATGCGCTCATGAAATATTTTATCTTGAACAATGGTTTTCCCTGTCTCTGTCTGTTGAAATGGCTTAAAAACAACTGCCAATCCAACAGCAATGAGCACCTTATTAGGGCCAGATTATGGCCTTTAAGTACCATTTTTCACTTTAAAACAGCTAACCAGGGCTCCTTGGAGAAACAGCTGATTTCAGATTTGGGGCAATAAATCTGACCATAACTTCCTCTTACTGTTGGGAGGAACTTCAAAACTTATGATGACCTACAGAATCCTCTCTCCCTGGCTCCCTCTCCAGTCCCATCTCCTCCCTGCCAAGGACTCAGCCACATTCACCTTCTTTTGTCTCCTCAAATCTGTGGTTGGCAGAATAATGGCCACCCAAAGATGTTTACATCCTAATCCCTGGAACCTATGAATATGTTAACTCCTATGCCAAAAGGGACTTCACAGATGTGAGGACCTTGAGGTGCAGAGATCAATCTGGATTATCCAAGTGGGCCCAATCTAATCAAATGAGGAATCCTTAAAACTGGAAAACCTGCCCTGGATCAGATCAGACAGATGTGACGACAAAAGCAGGGTCAGAGAAGGGTAATATTGTTAGCTTTGAATATGGAGGAAAGGGCCAATAAGCCAAGGAATGCAGGTGGCCTCTAGCAGCTGCAAAAAGGAAGAAAACAGATTCTCCCTAGAGCCTCCAGACAGCTGTTATTATACACATATTTTTAATTAAAAAGTCCAAAATCACCCAGCTAGTAAGTGGCAGTGTCAGGACGAGAAGCCAGGCGGTCTGACACAGAAGTTGGTGCCCTTAACCATGATGCTAATATTTGTCTCCCACATAATAGAAATTCCAACACCTTTTTCATTCATTAACATGATACCCTCCAGTGTTCAGAATAGCTTAATAAATAGCTGCTGAATATGAATGAATGGGACAAAGATATAACTTCCCCCTGCTATTTTTTTCTTGGTAAAAAAAACTGTGTTATGGAAAGTAAAATATGTACAAAACTAGGGTAATGATAGAAGGAACTCTCAAATACTCATCTCCCAACTTCAACACTTAGCAACATACGGCCAATCTTAATGCCAACATTAGTTTGGTATTTATTGTCTGGAAATACTCCCCCTTCAATAATCTTTTTCAGAATCACATGTTCCTAGCTCTCATTACATTTTCATTTATCTGTGTTAACACGAATTTTTAAAAGAAACCTTAAAATGGGCAAGTCTTTCTAAGCAAAACACAAAACAAAGACACTATAAAGGGGAGATCGATATTTTTAAGTACATAAAATTAAAATTTTTTGCAAAGCCTAGAGACTGTATTACACAAAGTACAAAAAATAGGGTGGAAATAGTTATAGTACGTATGACAAAAGATTAGTATTCTCAATGTATAAATAATTCTTATAAATCAAAAGACAACCCCAGAGAAAAACAGATGAAGAAATGAATATACACTTTCTCTACTATTCTTTCCTTCCCTTTCCCTCCTCCTTTAATTTTTTGAGACAGGGTCTCACTCTGTTGCCCAGGCTGGAGCACAATGGCATAATCAGTGTAATCACAGCTCACTGCAGCCTCAATCTCCTGGGATCAAACAATCCTCCTGCCTCAGCCTCCTAAAGTGCTGGAATTACAGTACAAGCCACCGTACCTGGCTCCCCACCACTACTATTCTTAAATGACAAAGAGACAAGGGCTTCCAACTGGCACTATTTGTCAGCATACTTCTTGTGGTGCTCTAGAATTTGAGCAATGAACACTCTAGAACAGAGGCTAACAGTTCTCACCTGTAAGCTTGTTTCTTCAAGGAAGTGTTGCCTTAGAATCCAGATCCACAGTAAGCCTGAGAGTCTTAAAAACTTTTGACTTCAGAATCCTTCCACATGATTCAAGAAAAAGTTAAGTCCACTTCACAGGGTGACCAGAAAGTCCATGGGGACCAAATATCCAGTTTTCAGTCCTGTTGGGAGGTGAGATAAGAGGAAGTCAACTGAAGAAAGTTAAACATTTAAGCAATAAGGGGCTTACAAACAAACATAAATGACCTAACTACCATTAGAAGGCAATCTCAGACCCTGGGCACATACCCAGGGAAGGAATATACTTATATTCAGTGCAAAAATGCAGTCCACATGCTTGAGGGGCCAAAGAATGCCTTGAATAGAGGAACCTTCCCAGTGACCTAGAGAAAGGGTTCAAAGTTCTCAAGACCTCCTTGACAAAATGTGGTACATATACACAATGAAGTACTATTCAGCCATTAAAAAGGAGATCCTGTCATTTGCAACAATATGGTGCAGCCGGAGGTCGTTATGTGACGTGAAATAACCCAGACACAGAAAGACAAACTTTGCATGTTCTTACTCATTTGTGGGAGCCAAAAATTAAAACAATTGAACTGACTGAGATAGAGATCAGAATGATGGTTACCAGAGGCTAGGAAGGGTAGTAGGGGGGTTGGGGGAAAGCAGAGATGGTTAATGGGTACAAAAACACAGAAAGCAGGAATAAGATCTAGTATTTGATAGCACAACAGGGTGACTATAGTCAGTAATAATGTAACTATACATTTAAAAATAACTAAGAGTATCGTTAGATTGTAACACAAAAGATAAATGCTTGAGGTGATGGATACCCCATTTACCCTGATGTGATTATTACACATTGTATCTCATATACCTTGTAATGAGGGTTTATTATTACACATTGTATCTCATATACACCTATTACTAGGTACCCACAAAAATTAACTATCAAAAAAGAACTATTTGAGAAATAACAGCTCTATATACTCTCCTACAAATAAGAAAAGTAAAAAGAAAAAGAAAAAATGTCTTCTCAGCCATCAGGCAAAGCCAATTTTAGTAATGCTGAGCTCCTATTTTGGTAATGTTGAGCTTCTTTGATTCTTTGATGAGGGTTTCCAAGTCTTTAAAGTCAGATAAATTTAGATTTAAAAAAAGTCAAACCACTTCTGAAGTAGACTTGCCAAAAATGGCAAGCATGAACCTAATTAAGCCTCTAGATCTAACTTCTAGTTTACAGGAAATATAGGGGATAGAGAAGCAAGCCAAACCACACTCCACGAAAAGCAGCCCAACAGATCCAGAGTGTGAGGCACCCTACAGGCAATCAACCAAGTAACATCGACAGTCATTGGTATTGAGGAAACCCGCCAAGGCTGCTCTAGACTTGGGTCGGCAAACCACAGCCTGCGGGTAAGTCCAGCCTGTGGGTGGATTTTAAAACACAAAAGCTTTGGAAATTAAGTATTATTGGAACACAGCCATGCTTATCCATTTACTATCACCCCTGGCTACTTCTGCATGACGATGGCAGAGCTGAGCAGTTGTGGCAGAGACCATAGGGCCTGCAAAGCCTGAAAGAGCTGGTATCTGGCTCTTCACAGAGACATCTGCCACCCCTGCCCTAGATTGAAAGGGGCAACAGCTGAGCACGGTGGCTCACGGCTGTAATCGCAGCACTTTGGGAGGCAGAGGCAGGTGGATCACTTGAGTTCAGGAGCTCCAGACCAGTGTGGCCAACATGGTGAAACCCCGTCTCTACTAAAAATACAAAAATTAGTTGGGTGTGGTGGCATGCGCCTGTAGTCCCAGCTACTTGGGAGGCTGAGGCATGAGAATCACTTGAACCCAGGAGGCGGAGGTTGCAGTGAGCCAAGATTGTGCCACTGCACTCCAGCCTGGGTGACAAGAGTGAGTGAGACTCCGTCTCAGGAAGGAAAAAAAAAAAAAAGACCAGCCTGGGCAATACCTGTCTCCACCAAAAAAAAAAAAAAAAAAAAAAAAAAAAAAAAATAGCTGGGCATTGTGGCACATGCCTGTAATCCCAACTACTCAGGAGGCTGAGGTGGGAGGATGGCTTGAATCCAGGAGTTCGAGGTTACAGTGAGCCATGATCTCAGCAGAGCTGGTTCCTGTCTCAAAAAATAAAATAAAATAAAAAGGTAACAGTCAACAAATTCTTGTCTGGATGTGGATTCAAACAAACCAACAGTAAAAATAAGTTCATTTTTGAGGTGATCAGGGAAATCTGATCATGGACTAGGTTTTAGAAAATGTTAAGGAATTATTGTCAATTTCATCAGGAGGTGATAATTGTATTATGGTTACACAAGCAAATGCCCTTTCTCTGGAGAAACATACTGAACAATTTAGGGGTGAAGTGTTATGTTGTCTGGAATAAACTGCTTTAAACTGCTTCAGCCACAACCAAAAAAAGAAAAAAAAAGATGAAGTGGATATGGCCAAACAAGACTTGTGAAGTCCATTTGATGGATATATGGAAATTCATTCTACTTTGCTGGGCTTTTATGTTTGCTTAAAATTTTCCCAATAAGCAAAACAAACAAACAAACAAAATCAGAACCTTGATCAAAATGTAGAGGTTATCACTGGAGAGCCTTGCTTTCCAGGCACCCCCACCCCCGACCCCACCCCTCCTCTCGCGGAGTCCAGCCTCAGCACGCCAGTTGTTCACCTTTGTCTGAACACACTGTCATTTTCAGCTTCTTATTTTTGCTCATGGTGTTGGCCACCCTTTCCATTCCTGTGCCTATAAAAATCTGTTCTCTGCTTAAGGTCTCCCCAACTGTGACCTTCTCCTGGCCCTCCAGTGAGCACTCACCTCTCAGTTCCAACAGCACACTGCCTCTGGTTTCATTCTTCGCTACGTTCTAGCTATTTACCAGGTCTGTTACCTCATGATGCCATACAATCCCAGAGACTTCCAATAGCTAAGTCTTTTCTGTAAATCCATTTAAGGGGGTATCACGATGCCTTTTACGGAGCAAGCTCCGCAGTCCAGGGGCAGGTCCTCACGGCCTAAACACGGCTGCCTTATCCTGAGTAGTTTTACTGACAATAGAGCTTCAACTGAAGAATGAATTCCTGTTCAGCAGGACACTGGGCAGTCATGTTTAATTGAGAACTCTTAAAATTCCTAATAGAGTTTGCCTAGATGGAGGATGTTCTAAAGAGGGCTGCGAATATTTCGTGTTTCTGTCCTCTTACTGTCACCTTTCCTTGGGTCCTGTCCCCTCTTCAAGCATGGCTGCACTACACTTCCACACCAGCCTGCTGGTGTCCTAATCACTGGTAAGGGCCCTGGCTCGAGGTGGATACAAAGCCTCCCAATGACTTCACTTCAAGAATGGACACAGATTGGAAATCTTACTAGTAAAGAGAGAAATGAACAGATCATTTTAAAATCCCTCTTCTATTCTGCTTACTGCTACCTACTATCCAGATCACCACAAACAACCACCCTCTCCTAACTAGTAGTAGTTAGGGCCTGGTTAGTAAAATCAACTAGCCCAAAGTATTTCCGTACAAAAATCCACCAATTAGAAATTAATTTAACTTTGCAAACTCAGCTTTTACAATACGAATCTCTGCTAGAACACAGTGGTCTGCTTATTCAGGGAAGTCTGGCTTCTTCTGGGAATAGTTTCAGGAAAACAAGGCATTTTGGGAAAATACGGGCAAACTGCAGGTGCTCTTCATCTGAGCATTTCAATAAATTGAATGAGGCCAGGGAAAAGTCTTCACTTACAGGTAAATGTACATAAGGACACCTACGTGTGTGTAAGACCTACACTTTAAATAGGTCACCTTTAGTTTTTCATTAATCATTTCTCCTGGGACATTTAGCAAAACGAATAACTTGCTTTTAAAAAAGGCCACAAATCCCGGGTGCAGTGGCTCATGCCTGTAATCCCAACATTTTGGGAGGCCAAGGCGGGCGGATCACGGGGTCAGGAGTTCGAGACCAGCCTGGCCAACATGGTGAAACCCTGTCTCTACTAAAAACACAAAAATAAGCTGGGCGTGATAGCAGGCGCCTGTAATCCCAGCTACCCGGGAGACTGAGGCAGGAGAATCGCTTGAACCCGGAAGGCAGAGGTTGCAGTGAGCCGAGATCGCGCCACTGCACTCCAGCCTGGGCAACAGGGCAAGACTTCATCCCAAACAATAAAAAGGGCCAGAAATCGACTGCATTTTCTTATCACTTAAATATTAAATCAACTAAGCGTGGAGTTAAGAAGCTGTGTTCAAAAAACACTTAAGTCTGCTTTTGAGCTTGTGGCGTTGTCCTTGGCCCACAGAGTAAAACAGCAATGATAACCATAATTAATAATCAAGGCAGTAAATTTCTTCAAAATTTCAGAAGTTTCACTAATGGCTCCAAAGAAACCTTAGATCAGAAATTCACAAGTGCCAGGAGACGTTTTTAGATTTCTTTTGCAGCTTCTAGTCTCCTTACAAACAGGAAATCTTTAAAATGAAAAACAATTTCTGAGAAGTGTTAGCCCGGTTCAGCTGAGGTCCTCTGAAAGCCAGCGTGTGGGCTGTCACGCTTCCTTTACAGGGAAGCAGCGCCCGTGCGTGAGGCGGTTCCTGGCTTTTACCGCCCTCTGCCCGTTCTGGCAATCGCGCCCGTGGCCCCCGCGCGGGGCAATGGAGGACGCGTTTCGGGGTCCACCGTCCCCTCCCTCCGGCTGGCCTCGCCGGCCGGCGGCGCCCCAGGCCTCCTCCCTCACCCGCGGGGACGCCGAGTGCTGCGGCCTCGACCCGGACGCCGCGCAGGGAGCGACGCCCCAGGTTCCCGCGGGCGCCAGGACACCCCGCCTGGGGGGCGGAGCAGGCGCAGCCCCGACCCCCGCCCGGGCTCAGCGCCTCACCTGCCGGCAGCCGGGGCTGTCGGGGAGGGCAGGGCCAGGGCGGAAATGCAGGGCCGGGCCCGCGCCTCTGCTCCCAGGCCGCCCCCGGCGGCGCCCCCTGCAGGCGGAACGCGAGGCCCGCCAGCCCCTGCGGCGCCCTCGCACACACGTGGCCGCTCGCACAACTGGCCGCCTAACAGCCAGACCCACCCACGCCGATGCCCGCCGGAGACGCCCCGCCGCAGACACAGCGCAACCAGCTTCACACACCTGGGGACGCCCCACAGAAGTCACATCCACCCTAACACACCTGGGCACTCAGGCTCAAGCCCCGACTGCATGGTGGACCCTGACACACCTGGGCCACACCCCACAAAACAGACTCACAGACGACTCCACAAGCTTGGGGACACGCCACATCAAATGGACACACATGCACACACAAATGAACCCAAGCGCAGACACACTTGGGGATGCCAACCATGTGTGTATCTATCACATCACACACCACCAAGGCCCCCCAGCTGGGCATGCACACAGCCCTGATACCGAGTCCAGACCGCCATCTAGTCACACTGCCCACTTACTTACCAATACTCTTAAAATGAAACTGTGGCCGAAGGAGACAATGGAAGGATGACATCACCTCTTCCCTAGCTCCAGGACTAATTTAAGCCCCAGAAATTATAGGACTGAGAACCAAAATCGAAAGAGAACATTTTCCCTAGAGACAATGGGTTAAAGCAATGCCACTTGGGGGCCAGGTGGTAGGAATGGTACAGCTATGGAGAGAGTGACACTTCTGTCTCTCCGAAAGACACAAATCTGTGTTTATCAGATTAGCAATAATCCCCCTTAATCATTTCCTGCCCTTTCTACTTTCTCATGGATGTGGACTGATTGAAACCTTTATATAAACTGGTTTTTATCCAAACGTTTCCAACAATGCAGATGTAATTGTATTTTGAACAGATGTACAATTCCAAAAGAAATCTAAACCATCAGGTACATAAGTCGTTGGTTTTCACAGTTTTTTCTTGTCTTGGACACTTCATAATTAAATTGAAATGTATTAAAAAACCTTGTCTAGCTCATATTAATATTTTTTTTTTTTTTTTTTTTTTTTTTGAGACGGAGTCTCGCTCTGTCGCCTAGGCTGGAGTGCAGTGGCGGGATCTGGTTCACTGCAAGCTCCGCCTCCCGGGTTCACGCCATTCTCCTGCCTCAGCCTCCCAAGTAGCTGGGACTACAGGCGCCCGCCACTACGCCCGGCTAATTTTTTGTATGTTTAGTAGAGACGGGGTTTCACCATTTTAGCCAGGATGGTCTCGATCTCCTGACCTCGTGATCCGCCTGCCTCGGCCTCCCAAAGTGCTGGGATTACAGGCGTGAGCCACCGCGCCCGGCCTCATATTAATATTTTTAAAGACAGCAGTAATTCTTAACTTTTTGAAGCGAAAGAATGATTCCACTTTCATCTCTTTTTTGAGGGGGGAAAATCATGTCAGCAAAGGAAAGTGAGACAAATAGATAAATAATTCTTCTGATAAAGGAAAATTAAAGATGACGCAGACTAGACGAATTTTTTGTTTGTTTTGAGATGGGTTCTCACTCTGTCACCTAGGTTGGAGTACAGTAGCATGTTATTGGCTCATTGCAACCCCTGTTTCCCAGGCTCGAGTGATCCTCCCACCTCAGCCTTCTGAGTAGCTGGGACCTCAGGCACCCACCATCACGCCCGGCTAGTTTCTTGTATTTTTTGGTAGAGACAGGATTTCACCATGTTGCCCAGGGTGGTCTTGAACTCCTGAGCTCAGGCGATCCACCCGCCTTGGCCTCCCAAAGCGATGGGATTACAGGTATGAGCCACAGTGCCTAGCCAAGACAAGTGTTAAGTTGCATCCCAGATAAGGCTGGGGAAGCCCAATCTAACATAGAATAGGCTCTGTGGGATGAAGCCTTCAGTTTAACTTCTTGGAAAACAACTCACAGTTTGAAGAGCAGTTTTTGAAATGTGGTCCCAGTCCAGCAGCACTGGCAGCACCTGGGTATTTAGAAATGCACAATCTCCAGCCACACTGGAGGTGTCCTGACTCTGGGGGTCAACTCAGTGTCAGCAAGTCTGGGGGTGGGGCCCAGAGATGGACATTCTAATGAGTGATGCCAGTTCAAGTTTGAAAACCATCGCCTTTTGAGGATGTACCTCGGTGCTTCTCAAACTTTAACGTGCACGTCAGTCAACCCAGGGTCTTGTTTTAAAATGTAGATTCTGGTTCAGCTAGCCAGGAGTAGGGTCTAAGATTCTGCAGGTGGACAGAGGGTGCTAAGTGAAGATTTTCTTGTGTATAGACACACTCCAGGGTGCTGTCACTGTGAAGACAGCTCCACAGCAAAGCTTGGGTCTCATAGAGATAAAACTCACAAAGTGCCTCAAGGAAATAGACTGGTCAATCTAAGCAGGTCCCGGGCTTGTCAGTTTAGGGTTGGTCAGTTATTCAGGATCCCTTGGCAAGCCAACTGCTCTGGTAGCTTTTAGGAACTGGGTCGACTCACCAAGTCTGTTTGGTTGTGTCCAAATGGTACAATTGAGTCATTCACTGCAAAGGGTTCAGCTGCTCATTCTGGCCCCTTTGCTCTGCCTTTTTACAAACTCTCACATCCTCTAGGCTTAGGGTCATGCAGTCAGCAAATCACTATGCACCTGTATTAGTCTGTTCTTGCATTGCTATAAAGAGCTACCTGAGACTTGGTAATTTATAAAGAAAAGAGGTTTGACTCACAGTTCCACAGGCTGTACAGGAAGCATGGCTGGGGAAGCCTCAGGAAACTTACGATTATGGCAGAAGGTGAAGAGGAAAGAGTCACATCTTAAATTCTTAAACAGCCAGAGAAGGAGAAAGAGAGAGCAAAGGAGGAGGTGCCACAGAGTTTTAAACAGCCAGATCTTGTGAGATCTCACTCACTATCACGAGAACAGCCAGGGGGAAATCTGCCCCCATGATTCAATCACTTCCCACCAGGCCCTTCCCTGACACCCGGGATTACAATTCAGCGTGAGATTCAGGTGGGGACACAGACCCAAATCATATCAGCACCTGTTCAAAGCTCAGCAAACATTTTCCTTATCAACTACAAGGATTTAAACCAGCAAATTGTCTTTAACCAGAATTAACCAGTTTGGCATTTGTATTTGCCTAAATCAGAGCAGGTAATTGCTGAGCTCTGTTTTCCAGACCTGGGTGTAATAGATGTCTAATTTATATTCCTATTTAACTAAATACATTACTACTTAATATTATGCAAACGAGGCCAGCCTCCTCTGGGTGTTTCTCTCCTGCGTGCCTCCAGCATTGCAAGTAACGTCCAATAGAGGGGAAGATATCCCCTAAGTCTCTTGAAACTCTAGCTATAATGTGAGGTAAACAACCAAAAGGAGGGCTATATAAGGAGCTTGAAGTCCAACTGAATAACACCATAAAATCTACTGAAATATTACCAAATTATTTCAGTAAACCATTTAATAATCATCTTTGGGCCTAAAGAGCCTGCAGACTAAATCCAACCTGGTTGTCTATGGCCTTCAAACTAATAAAGAGTTTTACATTTTTAAATATTTGGAAAAAAATTCATAATAGTTCATGAGATTTAAGTTTCAGTGTCTGTATATAGAATTTTGTTTGTTGACACTGTCTGTGACTGCTTTCACAGGACAGCGGCAGCATTGAGTAGCTGCCACTGAGACCATATGGCCTGTAAAGCCTAAAATACTTAACATCTTCTTTTACAGAAAGTTTGCCCACGCTGCAAACTGTGTTTCTTGCTCTTGCCTCTGTTTCAACACCTTCCTCTCCTTTCTGTAACTGTCTCCCTACTGAACCCAGTTTCACGAGCACAGACCTTCATGCTTTGTGTGTATGTTTCAAGCACCTCGTGCCGTGAGGTTTACTTTCTGATCATTTCCCTGTGTAAACCAGTATGAACTTAACAAGAAGACTTTCAAATTTCAGCATAGGATTAGTAGGCTAATTTAGAAAATGCGTGTGCAAAAGATAGCAAATAGTGTATATTCTGCAAACCATTGGATTCCTTACTTCCACTTCTAAACCCGGCTCTAAAAAGTTGTTAAATTTGAAAACAGCAGGATTATTATTTCTTTCTGTGTGATTATTTTACTTGTTACAACAGGTCTCACTGCTAAACAATTTCCATGACAAATTAACGAGCAGAGAAAACCAACCTCACGAAGCTAAGTTCGCTCACTTTAAATTCAATCCCAGTATTTCTAGAATTAATGTTTTAAAGATGATGTGGGTTGCCGGCAGGTTTTTGTGAATAAGGCATTGACCTTTTCTCCACAAAAGATATGCAGTATCTTTTTTAAAAAGTGTATGAAATTTTCCAAGCAATTGCAGTTGAGATGGTTTATGCTATTCTTGCCATCTTCTGTAATTTCAGGAACAACAAGCAAAGACCGGAAGAAAGCACTATATGAGGTTATTTCCTTAGCTTTGTTGAATAAATCCCCAATCATGAATAGGAGAATAAGAATTCTCAGAAGTAATCTGACCAGCCAAATATACTATCCACCATGCTCAAAGCTAATGACATTGAAAGAGCTGTAGGCAGGCCACAGCCTCTCTAACCCTATCACCTTGCTGCCAATCAAGTCACTGCCCTGCTATTCAAGCAGTAACTTTTAAAAGGAAATAATGCTAATCTGGTGTCTAGAAATGTAGACATTACAAAATGAAATGTAGCTGGGTTCTCTTTGAGTGGTCAATGTGGGGAATTAAGGCATATTGAGTGGGCCTCATATGCCAGGCACGACATGACTCTTCTCGTGTCATCCTTTGAACAATAGTATGAACCAGATATTATTATCCCCATTCTACCTGTGAAATGGCTCTGAGAGGTAAAATAACTCACTCAAAGGTACACTGTAAATAAGCGTGCAATGGCTTGAACTCACACCCAGCTGAGCCGAAAACCTGTTCTCTTACCATGAGGTTTAAACGGGGAAGCTGGGTAATATACCCTGAACTGTATATTATCAGGACTTATCATTTATATTTGAACCTCTTTGTTAAAATTATTAGTTCCAGTAAGTAATCCTATACATGTAGTTCTCTCAGTGAAGCACTTTCACACACACGATCCATTTGATCCTTATTCTTGCATGAAATAGTAAAGACCAGGGAGAATTTCTTCTGCTTTGATTGGCACGTGGCCTGTCTGGGCCCAATCAAAGACCACCAGGTGCAAAACTGTAGTTGGATAAAGTCAGATTTATTGGCTCATTGCAAGGAGAGAAGACTGAGGCCAGAGGAATCCTGGGATGCCTCAGCAAAGGTAAAGTTTGAAGACTTAGGGGAGGGGTGGCGTGTAGGTGAAATTTAAAGGAAAGAGTGTTTTGACAGGTTCAAGGCAGACAGAGCTGTGAGTACAGATCAACATCAGGTCTGGAGTCTGGGGGTCTACATCCTTGGAGACTAGAGTTAATATAGATGCAGACTGGCACACCCAGAAACCCTTTAAGGGAAGTTCTGCACCCAGGTTGGAAATAGAGGCTGCTTGTTTGTTTCAAGGAGACTCGGATCCCCCGGGTAAGTTGAGATGGTTCCGTCCTGATGATTTCAAACAGCAAACCTTCTGATAGTCAATGCTTTTCCAGAAGGAAGCCTCTCAGTGAGTAAGAAAGCAGCAAGCACCCAAGGACGGGGGTGATTTGACCTGATATGACATCCGTGTGTCCTTGGAGGACGTATTTCCCGCTCCCTCTGCTGCTGTCGTTATCTGTGCTATCTCAGCCTGATGGATGGCAGGGGGCAGAAGTTTACTTTTTCAGTCTGAGATACCTTTTTAACTGATCAGGCCATATCAGGACTAGAAACCTTCAAAATACTTTATTTCCATGCGGGTGTTGGCATTTCAAACATTATGATATTTCACAACAGATTTTGATGAGGATTTGCATAAGCATGCAAAGCAGCTCACCTTTATAACTTCTTCCAGTGGACTTCTCTATAAGAGTTCATGTTTTTTTAAAAAAGGATAAAGCATCTAGGTATTTTTGAAGACTCCTGGGTTAGTCCAATCTTATTTCATAGAGGAGAAATTAACCAAAGCAAGGACAACTACTGATAGTGACAGGAGGCAGCCAAATGCCTAGGCAGGTAGGGCAGGTCCCCAGTGAAACGCCACCTTCAGGCCAAAAACAGCCTGAAAGCTGAAAGATCGGATTGCCGGTCCCGGATGAAGTCTGCAACCCAGAGTGAGAACTTCTGTTCCTTTTTGCCCATCCTTTCCCAATTGATTCTTTCTGAATTATGCCTTTTAACTAATCAAATGTTGCCTTTTCCAATATTACCTACAGCCTGCCCCTTCTCCATTCTGAGCCCATAAAAAGCCTCAGACTCAGCCATATTAGGGGAACTTTCCCACCTTTGGGTAGGGGCACCACCCCGGCGTCCCCTCTCCATGAAAGCTATTTCATCATTCAGTAACCCCGCCTTGCTCACGCTTTGATTGTCAGTGCATCCTCATTCTTCTTGGGTGTAAGACAAGAACTGGGGAATCAGTGCATAAGCTTGACCGGGCCTGGGCAGGCTGAGTGGGCAGGCTGTGTCCTGCAGCAGGTAGTGTGGTTGAGTGAGGCCTGGGTGGGGTGTTGCATCTTGCAAAATGACTGAGAAGAAAATCCTGTGTCACTACCATTATTTTTATCAGAAGCAACTGAGGCATGGAGTAATTAACAGATTCATCCCAGGTTCCAAGTAACTAAAGGAAGGATTGGAGTTGTTTGTATCTAATTGGATTGCTGGAACTTAAAAATAAAAGACACATGCCAGTGAAGTTAATCCTAGCACAGCTCTCACACACCTGTTCCCATGCTTTTTCTACCCTGTCACCTTGTTTGCCGAGGTCTGCAGTTTCCTAGGCCAGTACTGTGAAAGCTATCATCTGTATGTTTTATCAGAAAGTTCTAGAAATGAGCAGTTTTGATATTCAAGACAAATCTCAAGTCTAGCCATCATAATTAATGCTATCAAAATTTAACTGCTGAGACAAAATTGTTTTTACAAGATGGATAAAAGTAGAATTTAAATCAAGAGAGAAAACATTTTCTCAAACACATCACAAGTGGGAAGAAGAAAGCTTTATTGGTCTTTGGGAAATGCCACATATTTAAAAATAAATGATTAGAAATGTAGGACACTCAGGCAGTTTTGATAAACAAAGTAACTGATTAAAACTACTTGAACTAGTCAGAAAATAAGTGATTGCCCAGGTGTGGTGATTCACGCCTATAATCCCAGCACTTTGAGGGGAGGCTGAAGTAGGAGTTCAAGACCAGCCTGGGCAACATAGGGAGAACTTGTCTCTACTAAAAAAAAAAAAAAATTAACCCAGCATGGTGGCACATACCTGTGGTCCCAGCTACTCAGGAGGCTGAGGCAAGAAGATTGCTTGAGCCCAGGAGGTTGAGGCTGCAGTGGGCTGAGATCGCACCACTGCACTCCAGCCTGAGTGACAGAGCGAGATCCTGTCTACCCCCCTCAAAAAAATATATATATATAAATCTGAAATTATTTCTGGGTCATTTAATTATAGGAAAAGTGAAGGGTTTTCCCCCCTTCAGTTATTTATCAAATATTTTGATATACCAAGCTCTGGTCCAGGACTCTATATGTCTTTTCTCACGTAAACATCTCAATAATTGTGAAAAAGTTACATTCCCCATTTTACAGACAAGGAAGCCAAGGTGCTGAAAGATTAAGTGACTTGCTCTATTAGTTCCCTAGGGCTGTCATAACAAGGCCCCACAGACTGGGTGGCTTCAAACAACAGAAATGCATTCTCTTGCAGTTCTGCAGGCTGGACATCTGAGATCGAGGTATTGGCAGGGGCCACGCTACCCTGGAAGCCTCTAAGGGAGAATTCTTCCTTGTCTCTTCCAGCATTTGGTGGCCCCTGGTGTTCCTTGGCTTGTAGAAGCATCACTCTAATCCCTGCCTCTGGTGTCATCAACTCAGCATGTGGTAGAATGTGAGTCAGGATGGATTTTGGCTTTGAAAAGCTATACCCTGTTTTAAAGAGCCTGCTGAGGGAGGGAGGCTCATTAATCCAAAAGATAGGCACCTGTGTGGAAGTGCATGCCCCTAAAGGTGGAAGCCAACTGGAAGAGGATGAAGAGAGAAATGGAGATCTGTGATGTTATTGCAGGAGGTCAGTACTGTCTGCGTGGTTGAGTGGGGAAAATGAGTGATATGCCTCAAAATACAAATCCCCAGATTGGCACCACTGCAACATAGAGTGCCTGGAGGGATGCTCCAGTGATGTGAATACCTGCTGGATGTCGTCTTTGGCAGAGCCTTTGTTAAGACTCTGACTCGACATGCTGACGTTTTAATTTCCCAAGAATAATCTAGAAGAGGAAGGTAGACGCTATGTAGGTCTATGGGGGAAATTGGGTTTCTAAGATGCCATCACAAAATTTCCCATTCCACGTGCTCTTTTTACAACGTGATGTTGACATGCCTCCCATGGAGAAGTGAGGTCTGCGTTCCCTCCTCTTGAATCTGAATGGACCTATGATGATGGCAGGAGACACTTTGTGACTGCCAAAGCTAGGTCAGAAAAGGTGACATAGCTTCTGCTTGACTCTCTTGGAACTCAGCCACCATGCTGTGAGGAAGCCTAAGCAGCCACATGGAGAGGCCACGTGTTGGCATTCCAGGTCTCAGCTCCAGATGAGCTCACAGCCAATAGCACAAACTGCCAGACGTGGGTGACCAAGACCACAGATGATTCATTCCAGGTCCCAGTCTTTGTGCCACCCCAGCTCATGTGGCATGGAGCAAGAGAGGACCTATTGGGGATGAATCCAGCCCAACTTGCAGATGCATGAGTGTATTAATCAGGATAACGATGGTTGACCAAATATCTGGGCACCCCATGACCTACCTACTCAAGTTGACATATAAAATGAACCATCACAGGCCAGGTGAAGTGGCTCATGCCTGTACTCCCAGCACTTTGGGAGGCCGAGGTGGGTGGATCACCTGAGGTCAGGAGTTTGAGACCAGCCTGGCCAATGTGGCAAAACCCCACCCATACTAAAAATACAAAAATTAGCCAGGCATGGTGGCATGCTCCTGTAATCCCAGCTACTAGGGAGGCTAAGGCAGGAGAATCGCTTGAACCCGGGAGGCAGAGGTTGCAGTGAGCCAAGATCACGCCACTGCATTCCAGCCTGGGCCAAAAAGTGAGACTCTGTCTCAAAAAACAAAACCATCACAATAAGCAAATTAAACTGTTATTTTAAGCCACTAAGTTTTGAGGGTAATAACTGGAACAAACTTTTTTTTTTTTTTTTTTTTTTTTGAGATGGAGTCTCACTCTGTGGTCCAGGCTGGAATGGAGTGGCACAATCTCCACTCACTGCAACCTCTGCCTCCCGGGTTCAAGCGATTCTCCTGCCTCAGCCTCCTGAGTAGCTGGGATTACAGGCTTGAGCCACCAGGACTGGCTAATTTTTGTATTTTTAGTAGAGATGGGGTTTTGCCATGTAGGCCAGGCTGGTCTCAAACTCCTGACCTCAGGTTATCCACCTGCCTTGGCCTCCCAAAGTGCTGGGATTACAGGTGTGAGCCACTGCACAAACTATTTCTAATCAACAATTGGAAGTGCATTGGTAAAGTGAAAATAATAGCAACTGCGGGACAAAGTGGCTATACAGTCAATTTGTGAAAGCTGAAGCAGAAACGGCTGTGCAGGTGCAATTAACTTGAACCAAAAGCTTCAGGAAGGCACATTTCCAGAAGCTAAGTAAATATCTCAGGAGGACAGGGAAGCTGTCAGCTCTCAAAAATGCAATTTGGATTGTGATTCCAGGGAGGGAAAAGATGGGCAGGCACCTAAAACCAGTAATAAAATCAGGAAGTTCACCATTAAACAAAGATATTTAAAAGATTTACCGAAAAGACAAAAATATGACTTGCCCCAGGACAATATGAAAGGGACCATTTGCAAGAATGGTGTCAGAAAAGATAAGCAGAGATCCATCCATTCTTCCTTCTTTCTTTCCCTCCCTCTCCTCTCCTCCCTCCTTTCCCTTCCTTTTTCTTTTAATTATTGCAAATCCCAGACCTCCTATCATTTTACCTCTACAAACTTAGTATGTATTTCTATCTTAAATATACACATATTCTATGTAATCATAATAGCATTATCATGACAAATTTACTACTTACGGTCTCAAAAATGTCATTTTGCATTTTTTTTTCTTAACATTAGGCATCAAAAAAGGCAGATTTTGGTTAGATTCAGGTGCAACTGCCTTTTTTGTTTTTGTTTTTGGCAAGGATACATCCTGGGAGGCTCAATGTACTGTATGCAGCATCACAGTGGGAGACACACATCTGGGTGTCCCACTCTTAATGATTGTGAAATTGGTCAGTGGGGCTGGGCACAGTGGCTCACGCCTGTAATCCCAGCGCTTTGGGAACCGAGGTGGTCAGATCACTTGAGGTCAGGAGTTCAAGATCAGCTTGGCCAACATGGTGAAACCCCGTCTCTACTAAAAATACAAAAATTAGCCGGGCATGGTGGTGCGTGCCTGTAATCCCAGCTATTTAGGAGGCTGAGGCAGGAGAATTGCTTGAACCCAGGAGGCAGAGGTTGCAGTGAGCAGAGATTGCGTCATTGCACTCCAGCCTGTGGGACAGAGCAAGACTCTGTCTTAAAAAAAAAAAAAAAAAAAATTGGTCAGTGGGTTCGGCTGGTGACAGCCTGGTCCCTCCAGTGCAGTTTCCCATCAATGATTTTATTTATTGCTGATCTCTGTTTGAATCAACTGGTTCCTTGGGGACCAGAAGAAAAAAGGATGATTTCCTAATTCCCATTCTTTCATCATGTATTAGCTATAATTAGTCTATAAGGAAGAGTCTTCCTCATCAGCTATGGCTGTTTGCTAATCACATAATCACGATAGGCCTGCGGAATCCAGTTTTCCAAAGGGCATCGGACTGGTCCACTTAGGAAAGCTTTAGGGACAAAGATGAGAAATATAGACCTTGTAGGAGTCCAAGAATGAAAACATTAATTAGATTGCAATAATTAGATGCAATAAATACTTTTTAAAAACACAAATTAGATTGTGAGGTAGGTACTGTATACCCAGCTCCTACTGTACTCTAGATCAGTGCTACCCATTGGAAATATCAAATGAGCTCCAAAGCAAGCCATAGATGTAATTTTAAATTTGGTAGCCACATTAAAAAGTTAAAAAAAGGGGAAAATAATTTTAACGTTTTATTTAACCCAATATATCTAAATATTTCAACATGTAATCAAAATAAACTTTATTGAGATCTCACATTAATCTTTCATGCCAGGTCTTCAAAATCCAGCATGTATTTTACATTTATAGCACATCTTGACGTGAACTGGCCATGTGTGTAGTGCTCACTAGCCACATGTGGTGAGTGGCTACCTTACTGGACAGGACAGCTGTAGACATTTTATTATATTAACTTGAACCTTCACAACAACCTTGCAAATTAGACATTACCTGCTTTTTTTTTTTTTTTTAATTTTTTTTTTTTTTGAGACAGTCTTTCTCTGTCACCCAGGCTGGAGTGCAGTGGTGTGATCTCGGCTCACTGCAACCTCCGCCTCCTGGGTTCAAGCAGTTCTCCTGTCTCAGCCTCTCGAGTAACTGGAGCTACAAGCGCACGCCACCAGGCCTGGCTAATTTTTGTATTTTTACCGTATTGGTCAGGCTGGTCTGGAATTCCTGACTTCAGGTGATCCACCCGCTTTGGCCTCACAAAGTGCTGGGATTACAGGCATGAGCTACCGCACCGGCCTTTTTTTTCATATGAAGAAGTTGAGAGTCAGGTGGAACTTCTTGTAATATGACCACTGAATGCTGCAACTGGGGCTTAGCCAACTGTATGAATGTGCAGAGGTGCCTACATCTGTTCCCATCTGGACCTCTTAACATACATACAGGAGCCTTATTTCCTCTTTTGTAGGGCCAAACTCTACCTGATTTGGGGCCCTATCTTGTTTCTTCTCAAGAACCTTCTCTCTCCAGTTTAAGGCCAGCTTCTCCCTCAGTGGCTTCTGCGCCGAATTTTATTTAGTGCCTCTCATTCCCACACCACCCACCTCCTGCCCATGACTAGTTGATTGACTCCTTATCATTACTCTAAACTGTCCACATTTCTCCAGCCCCACTGCCACCTGGCTGCATAGAGCCACCTTCATTTCGACGCTGACACCTGGGATGGTCTCTTGGCTTCTCTGCTTATATCCTTAGCCTCTCTCCAATTCTCTTCTCACCAGCAGCCAAGTGACCTTGTCAAAACCTCACTAACTTGGATCATGTCACTGACCTGCTTTGGATTCTCCCCCAGTTTAAGTAAGCACCACGTGGTCTGTGAACCCTGTATGAGCTGGCTTATCACCAAGGCCAGCCTTCTCAAGCACCCTCCCCGGCCTCCTCAGACTTCAGCTTTCCCGCAGCAGGGCCTTTGCAGATGCTGTTGCTTCTGTGTGGTCCACGTTTTCTCAACCTTGGGACTACTGATGTTTTAGGCCAGTTGATTTTTGTAGGGGGTTGTCCTGTGAATATTGCATGTACAGCAGCAGCCTCTCTCTCCCCTGTCACTTTCCAATCAGTTTTAACAATCAAAAATATCCCCAGGCCTTGCCAAATGCCCCCCGCCCCCAAGGGTGACATCTCCCCTGGTTGAGAACAGCCAGCCTGGAGTGATCTTCCTCCCCTCTGCCTGTCAATCTCCATCCGGAAGCCACCTTCCCAGGGAGCACTTTCTTGACTCTCCAGGTTAGAGCAGGCCTCCCTCCTCAGCTACTATTCATGTGACTCTTTGATCATTTGTTTTCTCTCACTGGACTGTCCACTGCTGAGGGCAAGAGACCGTGTCCTCTTCCACCCACCTTAGTATTCAGACAGCCTAAGAAAGTATCTGGTACATAGCACTTAGTATGTGTTGAGTGAATGGGGAATAAAGGTATCTAAGGCCGGATCTGTGTACTCCCAACAGAGCCCCTCTTTCAAAAGTCCAAGCTATCACCTATGGAGGGTCTACTGGGCTCCCTACGTTATGGCTATGAGGGATCTTCTTATCACCACCGTACAGATGGGAAACTGGCGCCTGAGCAATGCTCAATGCCTTACGTATCATACTGCAGTGGGAGAGCCCCAGGTCCAAGTCTGGGTTTTCTCACCCCAAAGTCCAGGCTGGTTGGGTGTGAATATGGACATAGATGTCCAGTGCTTTGGTGGAGGGCTCAGTCTTCTGTTCCGATATTTTGTCAATAATTTGAAATAAAATGTGAAGAATGGCCTGGCACAGTGGCTCACGCCTGTAATCCCAGCACTGTGAGACCAGGGCAGGTGGGTCAGTTGAGCCCAGGAGTTCAAGACCAGCCTGGGCAATGTGGCAAAACCCTGTCTCTACAAAAAATATAAAAATTATCCAGGCATGGTGGTGCGTGCCTGTAGTCCCAGCTACTCAGCAGGCCGAGGTGGGAGAATCACTTGAACCCGGGAGGCAGAGGTTGCAGTGAGCCAAGATCACACCACTGCTCTCCAGCCTGGATGACAGAGTGAGACCCTGTCTCAAAAAAAAAAAAAAAAAAGAAAAAGAAAAAGAAAAAAAAAAGGAGAAAGAACATCTGTAAGCAATGTGACAGAATGAGAACCTCAAGGGGTCCTGTCAAGGCCTGTAGGCTACATCTGACAGGATGAACTCGGAGAGAAACAAATGTTAAGCCTGCATTTAAATTTGTAAAAATCCAAACAAGAACAGGGAAGAAGTGCTGCATTTTCACATGTGCTACATATGTTAAACCACCCAACAAACCAACACCCAGCTCCAAGCCTCTTTCCAGATTTGTTGATGTTCGCTATCAAGGAAGAGATGATGAGATTTCTCCAACTTGTGACTTCCCCATGTTTGTTTTGACACCTGCCTCCCAACTGTCATTAGCAATAAAAACATTAAAATAGTAAAAGACTCCAAATAAGAGAAGAACTGCGAGGCGGCCTTCCACTTCAGTCTTGTTTGAAAGGAAACCGAAGAAACAAAGAGGGTGGCTGCCTTAAGATGGAAAAAGAAGAAAAGGGAGCCAGTGTGTTATGCTTCCAAAATCTGCACAGATCAAAGACTTCCTGAAATATCAATCAAATTAATCACTGTGTTCCCTGGAAAGAAAACAGCTACGATGGAAATGCTGGAAGCTGAAGCAGTGAAGGCTGAGGGAATTTGTCGGTAGGCAGGGGTCCAGATTTGCACAACTTGATTTGGCACTAGTTTTAGAATCGGTAGGAAAAAAGAAGGATCCTGAAGGGGCTTTTGTAAGAAACATCATTTTGTGATTACTCTCAATAGACAAGTACTGTTTCAAAAAAAGAAGTTTGCTTTAAAAAAAAAATCAACAAAGCATATAATGCATCTATTGTATGACAAGTGAAGCACTATAGGAACATAAATAAGAGGAAGATGGTCTTAGCCACTAAAGAGAGCTATAAATTACTACTGTTGTTTTGGGACCATTTAAGAAATATTTGAAGGCTGGTTATGGTGGCTTATACCTGTAATCCCAGCACTTTGGGAAGACGAAGTGGGTGAATCACTTGAGGTCAGGAGTTCGAGACCAGCCTGACCAACGTGGTGAAACCCCGTCTCTACTAAAAATACAAAAATTAGCCGGGCATGTTGGTGCACGCCTGTAATCCCAGCTACTCGGGAGGCTGAGGCAGGAGGATCGCTTGAACCTGGGAGGCGGAGGTTGCAGTGAGCTGAGATGGTGCCACTGCACTCCAGCCTGGGAGACAGAGCAAGACTCCATCTCAAAAAAAAAAAAAGAAATATTTTAAACACAGCACTTTATTTCTTGATACATTTCAAACACCAGAAGTTACAATCACTGACTGAAACACTACACAGACCTGCCCCCAACACGTGAGTCCAGAGAATCACATTCCTCTCAGTGTGGATCTACTCGCTCTGTTCTCTGAACTTGGAAAACACTGTAGTGCCATTCTATGAAATGGTCCCCAAGTCACACAGAAGCCACATAAATGATGATTTGGTCAGTTTGATTTCATTTTAAGGTAAAGGAGGATACAAAGTTCACTACTTGAAAATAATTGATTAAGAAGGCAATATGACATTTTCATGCTAGTTTGTGTAGTAATTTTACTGCATAAGAAATTACAGAGATTGCATAAATCATTAGGTCAACAGCATACAGAGAAGAACAAAACAAAACATTGTTTGGATCAAATAAAAAACAGCAGGAACAACTCAATTCTTAAAAATACCACGAATTCCCCGAATGTGGCTCCATTTGATAGAAAATTTTGCATTTTCTGGATAATGTCTGTAGTTACATTAAGCAAAATGGAAAACGGCCTTCAGATAAACACACTAAAAAGCAGCTTACACAGATGTGTTGCCCTCTTCACCTTGGATGTAACAAAAATAAAGATGTGAGGCTGCCTGCTCTTGCCTAAAGCATGGCTTGAACTTTCAATTGATAGTAACCGCTTATGTAAAATATTACATTACATAATCTCCTGTGTATTGAAATTGCACAAGTCAGAGCATCCAAAAACTGCAAGAGTCAATTTCTTCCTATGGGGAAAAGCATATAGATATACTATGTTAAAACTTCCATTCCTCATTCGATTATTTGCCCTATTCAAAACATAAAAATACAAATAAATATTTCCTTACAAAGTTCACAGTATGTTGTTTTAAAAAAAAGAGATAAAAAAACTTAATTTGCTTTGTCATTAAATAAAAATGCTAATATATAGACATGTTCAATATTTATACAAATTGTAGGGGCCAGTGTATCCTTTCTTGGTCATAATTGAAGTTTAATAGTGCTAGTCCATACACGACAAGGCTCAGATCCCAAATGTAAGCTCAATTCTACTAAAAGTTGCTCAAGATAATTTTTTCTCTTTTTCTGTTTAATTAAAAAAGACATTTTTGGAATTTTAGAATTACATTTGAGTTGTCTGAAAAAATACAATTTCAATGAAAAATCATATCACGCATTCAAGAGTATATTGCTGGTGCTATAATCTTTTTGCATGTCTTTGTTT
The DNA here is from genome assembly GCF_000001405.40 of Homo sapiens. NCBI lineage: Eukaryota > Metazoa > Chordata > Mammalia > Primates > Hominidae > Homo > Homo sapiens. The sequence goes on from NC_000013.11 coordinate 100,604,870, forward strand.
TCATAGAAAAAAATCAGTAAAATAACATGTCTAAGACTTTTAAATGGTTAAATGTAACCACATACTATTAATGATATGCCTCATGCACACACACACTCAAACTCAAAACATGAAGGAAACAGGATCAGACAGCTTTCTTTTGCATTAGTTCTAGCTTTCTTCTCAGCAGACCGTAATTCTCCTTAGTTCCTGATGCCGTGGGGTCAAGCTGCAAGGAGATTTCATAGTGTTTCTTGGCCAAGTCTAGATGTCCCCAACGATGATAAAGCACAGCTGAAATAGCAGGAGATAAATTTCACTGGGAATGCTTCTGAGTAACGTGCCGTATTCCTACCCTCTTGGACAAAGAAATATTACAGATCCTATGCAAACAGTTTTCAAAAGTCAATTGTATGAAACAATATTGTTTGTACTGAAAACTCTATTTATTGTAATCACACTCCCTGATGATTATCCATTTACTGCCAGTTACTCCTAGGGCTCTTCATAGCACTAGATAAGATACATCTGCCTATAGTAACATTATTACATAAAGAAGCAAAAAGAAGAGTACATGCAATGTCTTAGTGCTGCCATGAAATTTCCAGGAAGCAAGGCTGGGTATGGGAGGTGGGGGTGATGGATGCTAGGCACTGCCCAGAGCCCTGACTATGCAGAAGTTCAGCTGTTTATTTTAAATATTTCCTTACACCATTTGGGGAAGTAATAGCTTGTTTGGGTCCATTTAGAAAAAAGGCCTCTGATATCAAGAGCTGACCCTAAAATGATAGTTACAGTAAACCTAATCATTAGGATGATTAGCCTCTGATCATGACAGTGATTTTGTTAGTAAAATTAACTTTCTATATGGGCAGAAGAGCATCTGTGGACGCTTTTTGGCTTTTGTGAAGAGAAGCTTCAGAGTTGGTAGAGAACAGCTTTGGTGAAAAAACATTTCTGTGAGCATTCTAAACATCAACAATGCTATGCTCTAAACATCTTAACTATGGAGACATACAAATGCAAGAAATGAATTCTAGGGAATAAATGATTATAAATGCATTTTAGCCAAGGCATAAGAGGATATAAAGCAGAAGACCAGGCTGGAAGGGGAAGGTCTACTCTGTAAGAAGGAAGGAAAAGGAGGTAAGTTCAATGGCAAGCTTCCAAAGTACCTACGATTAATTTACTAGGAGAACTCTTCGCAACCATAGCCTCATTCTCTTGATCCAATCTCACCCTTCTCAGCTTAACACAAAGAAGGACAATCTGAGTTTCATCATGAGAAGGTAATAGAGTGGGCAAACTTTGGGGCTGTTCTGGTCATGCAATTGAGATTTGTAAGTGTGGCTATCACTTTGCTATCTTTTTAATGCAATAACAGAACCACATTTTAAAGCCAGGCTAGCTTTGAAAAAACTACTCTCCCAACATTAATTTTATAGACATGCACCCACTTCATTAAAGTAACAAAATTTCAACACGATTCAAGTTGAACATTTTTCTTACCCAAATTACCATGGTAACTTGCAGCATTTGGATTTGCTTTAATTGCCTTGAGGAATAAAGCTTCAGATTCCTAAAAAATGAGAAACATAAAAAGGAAGATATTTATTGTACATGAAGCAAAAGCAGTTCCCAGTTTTATCACCTACGGTTTTCAAACTTTTAACCTCCTCCTTTTGTATCAATGCATTCCTCCAGAAACACTCGGAAGGCCCAGCGGGGCCACGCTCTGCCAAAGAGAGGCTGACAAGGAGCAGTGGGAGGGAGTGGTGGCCGCAGAGAGGGGATGAACATGTTCGTGAGTGCCACCACCTGCCTCCCTGCAGTGGTTGGACTTCTGTAATGTTATGCAAGTCGCCCAGGTCAGGGTGCGTGATGACGACAGGAGGCCCAGGGAACAGGAGAAGGCTGAGCCGTGGAGCATACCCATGCCAATGCCATTTCCAGAGCTCTTGGGGTAGCAGTTGAGGCCCATTTCCTCTCCCCCAAGAACCTACAACACTCTGGGCCGCCCAGAAGCAGCCCCATCCATCTGGAAAGAATGTGCAGAAAAGAGGAAGGAATGGCCACCTGTCAACTACATTGTCACAGTACTGCACATGACCATCACCAAATGCCCCTGATGGGTGTGAATTGATTCTTGCACAGCCTTGCATTTCTTCCAAGTCATACTCACTTCCAACCTGGCCCCTAAAAGGCAGGGCAAAGTGTCTTCCTACCCTGATCACTGCTAAAAACTGATGGCTGGCTGGTCCCTTCTACCATAATGCTGAGAAATAAAGACGCCTAACCTGTTTTTATTGACATGTGCCCTGGGGACGCTGTTCACTCCATCCACCTTCGCATTCCTTAAGGGGAGCATGCTTTCATCAGTATCACATGCTGGGCATGGTGGCTCATGCCTGTAATCCCAACACTTTGGGAAGCCAAGGTGGGCAGATCACTTGAAGTCAGGAGTTCGAGACCAGCCTGGCCAACATGGTGAAAACCCGTCTCTACTAAAAATACAAAAATTAGCCGGGTGTGGTAGTACGTGCCTGTAATCCCAGCTACTTGGGAGGCTGAGGCAGGAGAATTGCTCCAATCCAAGAGGAGGAGGTTGCGGTGAGCCGAGACTGCGCCACTGCACTCCAGCCTGGGCAAGAGAGCAAGACTCTGTCTCAAAAAAAAAAAAAAAATCGGTATCACACATTGAGCTTAACCAAACAAATTTGTTGGTGTGGGGATAGTTTTTGTGCCTTCTACCTGGGTCATACATGAATTTTTTCCAGGTGGGCTTCCCATATCTGTGACTGTGCATTTTATAATGTGCAAGACCACCAGTTCCTTTGCCCTGTATGGCCTGTGGTACCCCTGAGAAATTGGCTGAGAATGTGGGGGACCATCTCCAAAACCATGACCTTTCAGACAGAGCTGGCAGAGAAACATTTATATTTTAGAAATGTCATCCAAGAGGGACTTAAGAAAGACATCAGGACAACATACGGGATGTCAGTTCAAAGTCAGTGTAGTGTCTACATTCCGAGTTTCAGGGGCTGAAACTCCTTCCAAGAGGGTCAAGACTCCGGCCATATCAGGAAGGCTGCAGAAAAAAAGTCAAATGGGTTGTGTAGTTTCGCAGTGGTTTCTGAGTCTCTGGGCTGTTTCTGATGATTTTCAAACATTTCCATTTAAAACCTAAAACTTGAGACATAGGAAGGCCAGGGAACCACATCTACTTAAAAATCCTTCCCAACCTGTAAATGAAGTAGTGTTAACTTGAGAGAAATGGCTTAGGGATAAAAAGTTAGGAGTTTTCTAGTGTTGCTAAATTCATTTATTCATTCAGCTAAGTTCTCAGATGCCTGTGAGGACGAACATCATTCAGGACATTGAGGAGTCAGCAATTTGGGGGACACAGTGGTGCTGAAGACAGGGAAGGGCTCAGATCTGACACCTTGTTAGAGGGCCACTGCTGTCAGCAAGGGCTGGACCCAAACTCTGCAGGGTGAGGAGGAGGCCAGTGTGAAGGAACAGGGATGAGGAATAACAGGCAGAGAGCACTGGGCCAGGGGGACAAAGGAGGAAAAATGAGTCAAGATTTCCAAGCCAGGGCAACAAAAACACGACAGCATGTGGACAAAAGAAGGGGTGTCAGGAGGAAGAGATGGTTTGAGAGGAGGTGTGGGTGGGTCGGCCTGGCTCTATCCAAGTCACGGGGGCAGCCCCTGGGCCTGTACCTGGGCCTGGGAGTGGGGTTGGAGGGGCCTCTTTAGAACGCAGCATCTGTGAGTATTCAAAGCCCATGAAATGTTCATCTATTAAATCAGCCTTCTAATGGCCTCATTCAGGAAAGCAGTGAACTGTTTATAAATTGATCTTCTGTGGAGGTCTCTGGATGACTAAAGACCCAGGCAATGAGCCAATTTAATGCCAATGAACCAATAAACTCACATTTAGAGTTGGGGATATTTTTTTTCTGAACAGAAAGGGGAAAAATAAGGTATTATGTTCTGAAGCATATTAGACAAAATGTATTTAACAAAGGTGTAGGACTGAGAAAGCCTTGCAAATTATGTCTCTAGGTAGGAACAAGCGCTAGTCTGTATGTCTAGGCGAGGAAGCCTGGGTGGGCGGAGGTCATTTCAGCCACAGCAGCCACCCAAGAGTGCTCTGGGGCACAGGGGCCACTGTGCCTCCGCTAGAATAGGAAGGGTAACATGGGAGATCTGATGAGAAGTTGAAACCGTGACTCACACAGGAAGAGAGTTATTCTCTATTCTCCCTCCTTCCTTCTGATTGCATTGGGGCTGAAGTCTGCACTTGGTGGTGGTGTGTGGGCCCCACCCTCTAACATACCGGCCAATCTCTCCTTGAAGCTAAGAGAGCTCAGAGCCTTGGCCAGCAATAGTATCTAGCTGGGATTTAGTATGATTATTTCACTTTCAGTTACCCTGTATTTACAGTAATGATGCGTTGTTTCTCCTTTAAATACATTCATGTTAAAAATCTATTTAAATAAAAATGTCAAGTAAATAAGGTAATACCTAGATGTGGCAAAAAAATATCATAAAGGTGTGACATAAATGTCTGGAGCTTAGGAAACTGACTCTATCAACATAACCTGCACTTAAGCTACAGGGCCATTGGAATTAGCACTACAGAAAAAGAAATCAGCACAGGAAGCCATGATTTAAGCACTGAAAAACATTACTTTTGTATTTTTGCTTTACCACATTAGCTTGAAACTGGAAATTAAATGGCAAGAAGTAATATAAATTTTAATACATTTTAATGATCCCTAGAGATTCACTGAATGATTGAATGCTCACTAAATGTATATATATACACACACACACACACACACACCCATACATATATACATATACATATTAACCATTTGATAGTTGCAAATTAAGTTGTTGTGCATTTTTTTGTATCACCTTGTCAAGAGGGTGGGCAGATAACTATCTCCATTTTATAGATGAACAAACTGAGACCCAGAGAGGCTAAGTGACTGCTGTTAGGTTTTAAGAAGGGCTGCTCAGATAGAATAAAAAGGTGCTTAGAGCCACGCAGATATAACGAGAACACTCACTCTGCATATCAACATCTCAAAATAGGTTCTGGAAGCCTGAACGTTTCAGGGCCAAATGAGAGATGCATTTGATCATTTTACAACTACTTAACTGGGTGCTTCGTAACTGCCCGACAGCAATGGAGATACAAAACTGGGACCAAAGACTCGGCTCCAACCTCAAGAAGCCTCCAGGCTCTCTGAGGAGATTTACCAAGTGCATGATAAATAAAACAGCAAGTGCTTGGGTAAAAAGTGAGTTGTCAGGGAGCAGACACCTGCCCTGCCATCAAGATAGCTGGGCTGGAGGGTCTGTTCACCCAGCCCTGCGACTCACCACATCCCCTCTTCTCTGGGACATCCTGCCCAGTGCTCTGCGAGGAAACACGTCCCCTCACTACATCCTGAAACAAGCAGTGCCAGGGATGCAGCTGACCATTAGCAACCGGTATCATTTTTGCATTAGAAGAGGAAAACCTAAACAGTTGCTTAAAATTCAAACCCTTAACTAAAAAAATACATGGAATGCTTGCTTGGTGGCTGATGCCATGGCTCAGGAAGTCACATCATGTCCCCCAACTTGGTAGCTCCTGAAGATCTCATCGTGAGTTCTGTGTTTCAGATTTCACCTTCTGTTTCCTTAAGTTAGGCCCAGTGCTTTGGCCTTGATAATTAAAATGCAAAATGTGTAGAGAAAGAGGAAGCTGATTTCTCCATTCTGCTTTACAGAGTATTTTCTACTTTACTTGGGGGTGGGGGAGGAAGAACAACATGAACTGGAAGCCAAACGAACTCTGGGTTTTATCCCCTTAATAGAAATTCCAGCAGTTTACAGACTGTGGGATGACAGAAAAATCAATACAACGATTATATAAGCCAAGTCTTCAAGAAGACTCGCTGTAGCTGGGTCACTGGAGGAGAACTGAGACTTGGGACCTGTCCCAGGCTGACAGATGGCTGGAAAGGTCATTAGAAGGGAAACCTGTAAACCTCACCTCCTTCCCCTGCTACACAAGTAGATTCATAAAAACTAAAACTAAGCCCTCTTCAAAAAGCTATTTCTGGAGTAAAATCTAGAAATTTAAAAAATGCATAGTGAAGCTATTCAACTCCCCAACATTATAAAACTAGAGATATGCATGAAATTATCTTACCATTGTTATTGAAAATTATACTGATAATGACATGTAATAAACAGAAAAAGAGAAGTGAATAACACTGGACAGATATTAGCTAGTTGCTGCCTTTAGGTCTTATACATAGGCTGAGTGATTGAAATAAGATATAGCCCCTGATTCTGAAATAAAGGTATTTCTCTTAAGAAACGACTAAGGCACTGCTTCTGTGATATCTGTGTTTAACACCCAGGATGCCAGCTAAAAATGCATATTCCAGCTGGGCGTGGTGGCTCATGCCTGTAATCTCAGCACTTTGGGAAGCCGAGGAGGGTGGATCACAAGGTCAGGAGATCAAGACCATCCTGGCTAACACGGTGAAACCCTGTCTCTTCTAAAAATACAAAACATTAGCCGGGCGTGGTGGCGGGCGCCTATAGTCCCAGCCACTCGGGAGGCTGAGGCAGGAGAATGGCGTGAACCCGGGAGGCGGAGCTTGCAGAGAGCCGAGATGGCGCCACTGCACTCCAGCCTGGGCGAAAGAGCGAGACTCCGTCTCAAAAAAAACAAAAAAAATAAAAAAACAACAAAAAAATGCATATTCCCTGACCTGACCTAACCCACGAAGCCAATCCCTTCTGGGGAGAATCTGGGCATCTCTACTTTAACAAGCTTCCTCAGTGATTCTGATAGACAAAATTAAAGTTTACAACCAGTCCCCTTCAACACACAGGGAGTTATGCATAGCCTATTCCTGCTCCACCCTGGCTGCCAACTGGAGCAAAGATTTAGTATCTTGTGGTTTTTGTTGGTCAGAAAACTCTGGGCCTTGCTGGTGGCCTATATAACTCAGATAAAGAAAAACCTGGAAGCAGCAAGAACCAGTCATGCATCCTCCATGGGCTGGTTATTCTTTTGTGCAGAAGATGGAACCTGCAGATAAAACCTAGAGCTCCAGCCCATGTGCAAGTGACAGAGTCAAACCCTGTTGTGCTAGGGTGGGGCTGGGGCAGGGGCACCTCCGGGGATGCACTGTGGCTGCCCTGAGTCCTCCTCCTGCACCAGCCTGCCCGGCCTCTGAGGCCAAACATTCCACAACTCCCTGCCTGCTCCCACCCCTTCCTTGGGCTTCTCTTCCTCTCTCCACGTGTGAACCACAGTGGTTAATTCTGATGAGAAAGGACACTGGGTTTGGCCCCACACCGCTGTCTTTGAAGCAACTTTTCCAGGAAACAAACTGGCCAAGCCACATTGGTGCACCACTGCCACTGTTTTGGCCTGATTCCTAATTTAACTGGGCAGAAGTAACACTTACGTCTTCTGTCAGATGCTGGCACTAACTGCAAGAACTCACAGCCTGCGGTTTACGCACCTTGTATTTCTGGGATTTCCCCAGCACGTTTGCCAACGAGAACATGAGAGAGTGATCATTAGGTATTAATTCCAGTGCCTCTCTTCCAACTGCTTCAGCTTGGGCTAAATTACCTGGGAGTGAAAAATGGAAAAATAAAAGACATGTTAATGTTGTACTCGCATTTTAGCTTCTCTCTATAACTAACAGGGTTTATGTGCACAGCACATGACAATTATGAATAAACTACTTAAGAAAATCTGTGTAGATCATGTAATACACACACACACACACACACACACACACACACACACACACGACGTTATCAGTGGCAAAGCCACTGCAATTCAGCACATTTCTGACACAACACATAAACAGCTTTTGATTAACTTCTGTAAAACCATCTAAAACCTAGTTTTAATTTTTTCCCAGATACCAGTTATACCCAAACAAATCTGCAAAATAAGAGGATGACAGTAACACTTTCATAACTGAGAATTTATCACATTGAAGTATACATTCTATATTTTCCCTAGAAACAACCATATATCTCTGCTCTACACCATGATCAAATTAACACCATCATTAACATATTTTTACTGACACATAACTGTACATATTGATGGGGTGCATGTGATACTTTGATACATGCATACAATGTGTAGTGATCAAATTAAGGTACTTAAGACAACCATCGCCTCAAATATTGATCATTTCTTTACGTTAGGAACATTTCACATCTTCTAGTTCTTGTGAAATATATCATAAAGTGTTAACTACAGTCACCCTACTGTGCAGTGGAACACTAGAACTGACTCCTATCTGTGTTTGTACCCATTAACCAGCCTATCTTTATCCCCGCCCCCTTCCCAGCCCCTAGGAACTACTGTTCTGCTCTCTAGTTCCACGAGGTCCATTTTTCCAGATCCCCCATGAGTGAGAGCATGTGATATTTGCCTTTCTGTGCCTAACACCATCATTTCTTAAAAGACGTTTGGATTTTTAAAGTGAAGGAGGCAGAGTAACTCCTAATTGATTGAATCTGGTCTGCTCAGGGATAGGAAACCAGATCTTCAAGTCGATTAGCATTATATAAAAAGAAAGAATCCATGGCTCCAAGTGTAGACTGAGGGGGCTCCTTTGAGTGAAGTCCCTGAACTTGGGGCATGGACCTAGTACTATCCATGTCATTAGCCCCAAGGCCATTCTTGCTCACTTCTGAGTGCTCCCAACACCCTAGAGGATGGCCAATGGTGGATAACAGGCTTCAGAAGAAACAAGATACTGTCACACCTCTCCCCCATTACTCAACACCAGTTCTAGGTGGAGTGTCATTTTCCCAGACATTCACATTCCAGTATGTCTAAAGAAATTCCTTCCTTCCCTCCCTTCCCTCCCTCCCTCCCTTCCTTCCTGCCTTTCTTCCTGCCTTCCTCCCTCCCTCCCCCTCTCCCCCCTACCCGCCCCCCCCTTTTTTTTTGAGATGGCGTTTCGCTCTTGTTGCCCAGGCTGGAGTGCAATGGCGTGATCTTGGCTCACTGCAACCTCCACCTCCTGGGTTCAAGCGATTCTCCTGCCTCAGCCTCCCAAGTAGCTGGGATTATAGGCATGCGCCACCACACCCGGCTAATTTTGTATTTTTAGTACGGACAGGGTTTCTCCATGTTGGTCAGGCTGGTCTCGAACTCCTGACCTCAGGTGATCTGCCCACCTCGGCCTCCCAAAGCGCTGGGATTACAGGTGTGAGCAACCGTGCCCGGCCTAGAAATTCCATTTTCTAGAGGAATAGACATTTTTGTAATAGAAAATAATTAACTTCACATTAATTTTTTTTTAAACTCAGTAGGAAAAAAGCACAATAATCTCTATTTCCTAAGTCTTCGGTGGCATTTTACTGTGGAGCCATTTCCTGTGATTTGTTCCATCCAGCTTTCTGTACCTGTATTGTCGAGGAGTATAATCATGTTGTTCCAGGCCAGGCTGTGCTCTGGTTTCAGCACGGTGGCATTTCTCCACGCATTCAAGGCATCCACGTGGCGATTGAGATCTGCATACTGAAAATAAAACACACCAAAAAATCAGTATTCCAAGTTTCCTGCTTCCTCTTTCCAAGACATTATTAAAAAAAAAAAAAAAGAAAGAAAAAGCCCAACAAACAACAATAAAAAACCAAAACCTAACTTTAATTATGGAGCTTCTAGTTTTTCATATCAACTCATTTAATCCTCAAAACAATACCAATGAAGTAAATACTATTGTTATCCCCATTTTACAGAGGAAGCAACTAAGGCACGAGGAAATGAACTTGCCCAAAGTTATAGACTAGAAATGGTAAAGCAGGAATAAGAACAAGGTCCGAACCTGTAATGTCCTATTTCCTGTTATTTAGTGATTTTAGGAATCAAATCATATTTCAGACTGCTGAAATACTGAAGAAAGCCTCATCATTAGTCTTTTTCACTAAAGACTTCATAAGTTCATTGTTGATAAAGTATTACTTAGAATAGTGAACAAAGTATTTCTCATGATCAAAAGCTATGTGTCCAATTCACCTTGTGAAGGGTGGTCTCAGGGCCTCTTCCTGCCTGTGTCTAAAGTAAATATAAAAACAGGAGCATATCAGACATACTTTGTAACTCCTTGGAAAAGTCTCCTATGGTAAGGTAAAACCTCTTGGCAATTTTGAGTTTGTTTGCTTCATTTAGGAAGGAGAAAAATACCTGTTGCTTTCTTATTTTTTATAATTTAAACTTTTATTATTATTATTATTTTTATTTTTGAGATAGAGTCTCACACTGTTGCCCGGGCTGGAGTGCAATGGCGCGATCTCGGCTCACTGCAACCTCCACCTCCCGGGTTCATGTGATTCTCCCGCTTCAGCCTTCTGAGTAGCTGGGATTACAGGCGCCCACCACCATGCCCGGCAAATTTTTTCTATTTTGAGTAGAGACGGGGTTTCACCATATTGGCCAGACTGGTCTTGAACTCCTGACCTTGTGATCGATCTGCCTGCCTCAGCCTCCCGAAGTGCTGGGATTACAGGCGTGAGCCACCGCGCCAGGCGTATGTACGTATTTAGAAACAGAGTCTCGCTCTGTTGCCCAGGCTGGAGTGCAGTGGCATGATCTTGGCTCACTGCAACCTCTGCTCACTGCAACGTCTGCCTCCCAAGTTCGAACAATTCTCGTGCCTCAGCCTCCTGAGCAGCTGGGATCACAGACGTGTGTCACCATGCCTGGCTGATTTTTGTACTTTCAGTAGAGATGGGGTTTCACGATGTTGCCCAGGCTGGTCTCAAATTCCTGGCCTCAACTGATCCGCCCACCTTGGCATCCCACAGTGCTGGGATTACAGGCGTGGGCCACCGCACTCGGCCTTCAACTTTTTATTTTAGATTCAGAATGTACATGTGCAGGTTTGTTACATGGGTAAATTGTGTGATGCTGAGGTTTGTGATAGAAATGATCCTGTCATCCAGGTAGTGAGCACAGTACCCAATAGTTAGTGTTTCAACCCTTGTTTGCCTCCCTGCCTCCCCACTCTAGTAGTCTCAAGTGTCTATGATTGCCATCTTTATGTATTAGCGCTCACTTATGAGAACATGTGGCATTTGGTTTTCTGTTCCTGGATTTATTTCCTTAGGATAGTGGCCTCCAGTGGCATCCATGTTGCTGCAAAGGACATGATTTTTTTTTTTTCGTATGGTTGTGTGGTATTCCATGGTGTATATGTACCACATTTTCTTTTTCCAATCTACAGCGGATGGGCACCTAGGTTGATTCCATGTCTTTGCTATTGTGAATAGTGATTGATGAACATATGAATGCATGTTTTGGTTTTTTTTTGAGATGCAGTCTTGCTCTGTCACCCAGGCTGGAGTGCAGTAGCACAATCTCGGCTCACTGCAACCTCCACCTCCCAGGTTCAAGCAATTTTCTGCCTCAGCCTCCCAAGTAGCTGGGATTACAGGCGCCCACCACCATGCCCAGCTAATTTTTGTATTTTTAGTAGAGATGGGCTTTCACCATCTTGGCCAGGCTGGTCTTGAACTCCTGACCTCGTAATCCACCTGCCTCGGACTTCCAAAGTGCTGGGTTTACAGGTGTGAGCCACTGTGCCCGGCCGCATGTGTCTTTTTGGTGGAATGATTTCTTTTGGGTATATAACCAGTCATGAGATTGCTGGGCCAAATGGCAGTTCTAAGTTCTTTGAGAAATCTCTAAACTGCTTTTCACAGTGGATGAACTAATTTATATACAGTGTCTAAGCATTCCTTTTTCTCCCACAGCCTTGCCAGTGACTCTTGTTTTTTCACTTTTTGATAACAGCCACTCTGACTGGTGTGAGATGGTATCTCAATTGTGGTTTTGATTTGCATTTCTCTAATGATTAGTGATGATGAGCATTTTCTCATATGTTTGTTAGCTGCTTGTATGTCTTCTTTTGAGAAGTGTCTGGTCACGCCTTTTGCCCACTTTTTAATGGGGCTGTTTTTTTGCTTGTTGATTTGTTACTTATAGATCTCAATATTAGACCTTTGTTGGATGCATAGTTTATGAATATTTTCTCCCATTCTGTAGGTCGTCTGTTTACTCTCTTGATAGTTTCTACTGCTGTGCAGAAACCCTTTAGTTTAATTAGGTCCCACTTGCCAATTTTCGTTTTTGTTGCAATTGCTTTTGAGGACTTCATCATCAATTCTTTCCCAGGGCTGATGTCTAGAATAGTGTTTCCTAGGTTTTCTTCTAGGATTTTTTTTTTTTTAAAGACAGGGTCTTATTCTGTCGCCCAGGCGGGAGCGCAGTGGTGTGATGTGGTGTGACCAGTGGCTCACTACAGCCTTGACCTCCTGGGATCAAGCGATCCTCCCACCTTGGTCTCCCAGGTAGCTGGGACTACAGGCACATACCACGATGCCCAGCTAATTTTTTTGGATTTTTTGTAGAGATTAAGTTTTGCCATGTTGCCCAGGCTGGCTTCAAACTCCTGGGCTCAAGCCATTTGCCTGCCTTGGCTCCCAAAGTGCTGGGAATACAGGTGTGAGCCACTGAGCTCAGCCTCTTCTAGGATTCTTGTAGTTTGAGGTCTTGCATTTAAATTTTTAATCTATCTTGAGTTAATGTTTGTGTTTTGTGAAAGGTAGGGGTCCAGTTTCACTCTTTTGCGTATGGCTAGCCAGCTATCCCAGCACGATTTATTGCCTAGGGAACCCTTTCCCCATTGCTTTAAAAAAAAATTGGTTAAATTGTTTGAAGACCACATGGCTGTAGATGTGTGGCTTTATTTCTGGGTTCTCTATTCTGTTCCACTCATCTGTGTGTCTGTTTTTGCACCAGTACCATACTGTTTTGGTTACTGTGGCCTTACAGTATAGTTTGAAGTCAGGTAATGTGATGCCTCTGGCTTTGTTCTTTATGCTTAGGACTGCTTTGGCTATTCAGGTTCTTTTTTGGTTCAATATGAATTTAAGAATAGCTTTTTCTAATTCTGTGAAAAATGACATTGGCAGTTTGATAGGAACAGTGTTGAATCTGTAGATTGCTTTGGGCAGTATGGCCATTTTAACAATAATGATTCTTCCAATCCATGGTCAGGAAATGTTTTTCCACTCGTTTGTGTCACCTCTGATTTCTTTCAGCAGTGTTTTGTAGTTCTCCTTGTAGAGATCCTTCACCTCCTTGATTAGCTGAATTCCCAGGTATTTTATCCTTTTTATGGCTCTTGTAAATGGGATTGCATTCTTGGTTTGGCTCTCAGCTTGAATGTGATTGGCATATAGATATGTTTCTTACTTTTGTACACTGACTTTGTATCCTGAAACTTTACTGAAGTTGTTTATGAGTTCCAGGAGCCTTCTGGTAAAGTCTGCAGGGTTTTCTAGGTGTCGAATCACACCGTCCATGAAGAGAGATAGCTTGACTTCTTCTTTTCCTATTTACATGCCTTTTATTTATTTTTCTTGCCCGACTGCTCTGGCTAGGACTTCCAGTACCATGTTGAATAAGAGTGGTGGGAGTGGGCATCCTTGCCTGGTTCCATTTCTCAAGGGGAATGCTTCCAGATTTTTGTTGCTTCTTGTTTTTTTTTTTTTTTTAATCTCTCTCTCTCTCTTTTATTTTATTTTATTTTTTTATTGATCATTCTTGGGTGTTTCTCGCAGAGGGGGATTTGGCAGGGTCATAGGACAATAGTGGAGGGAAGGTCAGCAGATAAACAAGTGAACAAAGGTCTCTGGTTTTCCTAGGCAGAGGACCCTGCGGCCTTCCGCAGTGTTTGTGTCCCTGGGTACTTGAGATTAGGGAGTGGTGATGATTCTTAACGAGCATGCTGCCTTCAAACATCTGTTTAACAAAGCACATCTTGCACCGCCCTTAATCCATTCAACTCTGAGTGGACACAGCACATGTTTCAGAGAGCACAGGGTTGGGGGTAAGGTCACCGATTAGCAGGATCCCAAGGCAGAAGAATTTTTCTTAGTACGGAACAAAATGAAAAGTCTCCCATGTCTACTTCTTTCTACACAGACACGGCAACCATCCGATTTCTCAATCTTTTCCCCACCTTTCCCCCCTTTCTATTCCACAAAACCGCCATTGTCATCCCAGCCCGTTCTCAATGAGCTGTTGGGTACACCTCCCAGATGGGGCGGCCGGCCGGGCAGAGGGGCTCCTCACTTCCCAGTAGGGGCGGCCGGGCAGAGGCGCCCCTCACCTCCCGGACGGGGCGGCTGGCCGGACGGGGGGCTGACCCACCCACCTCCCTCCCGGACGGGGCGACTGGCCGGGCGGGGGGCTGACCCCCCCACCTCCCTCCTGGATGGGGCGGCCGGCCGGGCAGAGGGGCTCCTCACTTCCCAGTAGGGGCGGTTGTTGCTTCTTTTGAGAGGGAATGTTAACATTGGTAACAGAATATAAAATGGCTAGCTCTCAATTTGCATAGTTAATAAAAGCAGACACACACACACACACACACACACACACACACACACACACACACACAGTGATGGATTTTTTAGCAGGTGACCCTGTTGCCCTCTTATCTCAGTTCAAATGCACATTTTATTTGAGTGTACTTGATCCCTTTAACTCTGCAAAAAGTACAAATGATTACAATTTATCAGAGTTTAAGGCTGTTTCCTTACTTACTGGCAAGTCTGTCTTTTCTTCAGACAACAAAAACGTTCTGACTTGTCCTACGCTACACAGCAAATAGATAGCATATTATGCAAGAAAAAGAAAGCTTTAATGAATTATGGAAACATTTATGAACATCCATTTGCTAAAGATGTTGTGGGAATTTCTCATGAGACTCAGAAACTCAAGTTACAATATTTTTACCCTTTAATGAGGAAATGATAGGAAAAGTTCAGAAAATGAAAATAATGCGATGCTTAATTATTCTAACACTTAATTATCTCTATTTGATGTTCCAGTGATTCCTCAGATCAATTCACTCCACCAAGTGATATGCATTTGAGTCACTTGGACAAAATCCATGGCAACATTTGAACACACCTAGAACAACCAACGTAACTTCCTTTATCCAACATGACAAAATTCTTCACTACTTTACTGTTACTACTACAATTATTATTACTATTTATTGAAGAATAGACTGAATCAGATAAAATTTAGTTTCATTTTGTCTCAAATTCTACTCATCTTACAGCATCTACACGAAGGGAACAAACTTTCAGGGAAGCAGAAAAAGTGGTGATTTAACCAGAACTGCTCATCCAGGAAGTAGATGGGTAACATCAATCACCCAGCAGTCCTACGCTTACCCTTCTGTACTCTGCTCTGAGAAGCAGGGGCTGGGAGTCTGCAACTACATTTCCCAGGCTTCTTCACCCTTTTGTTCTGTTCTGTCAACAGGCACTGGATGGTGGGGAGAGGGGAGCAGTCCTTTCCTCTTACTCTCACTCTCTCCTTCCTTCCCCTGGCAGTGTCTCTGAAGTGACTATGTCCCCTCCTCCACCGTCCCAGGGTGGAAGCAGTGGTCTGTCTCCATGATCACAGCTCTTGAGGCTGTGGTAGCTCCAGAGATTGTAACCTCTTGTGAGTTTTTAAATCTTGGTAGTGCCTCCTGTCTGTTCCCCCAAAACATATAGGATTCCCTTTAATCTCTGAGTTCATGTTACCATCCCATTTTTGCTCATCCAGCCTTCCAATGAGTCTAACCAATTCCTTATATTAAGTCTTCTCTATCTAAAACACTTAGAATGGTTTCTGTTTTCCTGGACACATCCAGTCCTTCCATCATGCATTGTCTTCCGCAATCCCTCTAGCCATTATTGCTTAGAATATAACTTTCTAAGATTAGTAATATGTCCCAGTAATTGCGCTCTTCCTGACTTCCTATTCCACAAGAGAACTGCCTTATATTCTCTCCATATTGGGGTCTAGAAATCAAAACAAATCGCTGTCTCCTGTTACTAGAGAGTGATTTCTTAAAACAAACAAACAAACAAACAAACAAAAAACCCTCTTAAGCTATTAAGTTCTTATTTGCCAGTATATAAATGGGTTGGTTGAGTTGTTAAAGATTAAGCTCTTAATGCTTTTAAGCTGTCAAAGAGGAAAAAGCTGGATAATTAAACCACAAGGGAAAGCAAAAGCCTTAAATAAGCAGGAACAGTTGGCGGAATGGAATACAGGAAGACCATTTCACGGCAGTGTAATTAGTAAACAATATAAACCAAAAGCAGTACAAGGTCTCAATGTGTTCAATGCTACAGATGATCTTCCAAGTGAAAGTGTAATGAATCCCAAGGACTACAGCACATGATAAAAGCTGGTACTTTATATTCTCCGTTCCTCCCTTTGGACATCATTCTTACAGAAGGAGCATTTATTATAAATCCTCTATTTTCCAAATCCCAAGGAACTGCAGTGACGGGCAGCTACTAGGAGAGGGGAGAAGACTAAGCTGTGGAGCCTAGAGGATAACCTGGGAGGCTGTGGGCAGACCCACTCACTTTGTGAGCAATAAAGTAACAGAAGAGCAATCCCCAGAAAAGGAAAAAAAGGGATGAAAGAAGAATTCTTTTTTTTTATTTTTATTTTTTGAGATGGAGTCTTGCTCCGTCGCCCAGGCTGGAGTGCAGTGGCGCCATCTCGGTTCACTGCAAGCTCCGCCTCCCGGGTTCACGCCATTCTCCTGCCTCAGCCTCCTGAGTAGCTGGGACTATAGGCGCCTGCCACCACGCCTGGCTAATTTTTTGCATTTTTAGTAGAGATGGGGTTTCACCATGTTAGCCAGGATGGTCTCGATCTCCTGACCTTGTGATCCACTCGCCTCGGCCTTCCAAAGTGCTGGGATTACAGGCGTGAGCCACCGCGCCCAACCAAAAGAAGAATTCTTATGAATACCAAGTCTCATATTTAGTCACTGAGTACTAGTTTAACAGATACAGTGAACAGAAACGGTAATCCCTACACCCATATATTCATAACCACCCAAATGCATGAATTCAGGTAAGACCTCATGTGCTCCCATCCTCCACCCCACCCCTATTCTCACTTCACTAACTTTGTGAGGATCGCCCCTGCTTTGTATGTGATTGAATTTTGAAGTCACCACTCGTAACATTATGTTGAGGTTTCACAGCCTCCCCTTCCCCCTGGGAACAAACAGCCGATCATTATAATAATTTCAGCTCTCCTGGAATCTTCAGGTCTCACAGAGAAACTGGTTTCAACATCAAAGCAGGTAACTAGGTCATAAAGCACAGAATTTTAAAATGTAAAAGAACAAAAATGCACGCAAGGTCAGTGGTTCTGGAGAAAGTTAATGTGAGACAAAGGAATATCTTGCCATTAATCTTCCTTGTTCAAGCATCATGCCATTCCATGAGTTCAGCCACATTCCTGCCACCCTTGCCTCTGTGCCCACGAAGAAATAATTCCTCCTTTCCACAGTGGAGTCAGCACATAGAGGTGGTATCTTCCTGTGGCATATCATAACTGAAACATGTTTTGCATTTTTTGAGTAATAAAAATGCGGTGATATGGTTTGGCTGTGTCCCCACCCAAATCTCATCTTGAATTGTAGCTCCCATCATTCCCATGTGTTGTGGGAGGGACCTGGTGAAAAATAACTGAATCATGGGGGTGGTTTCCCCCATACTGTTCTCGTGGTAGTGACTAAGTCTCATGAGATCTGATGGTTTTATAAGGGGAAACCTCTTTTGCTTGGCTCTTATTTTCTTTTGTCTGCTGCCATGTAAGATGTGCCTTTCACCTTCCACCTTGATTGTGAGGCCTCCCCAGCCACATGGAACTGTGAGTCCATTAAACCTCTTTTTCTCTATAAATTACCCAGTGTCAGGTATATCTTTATCAGCATTATGAAAATGGACTCATACATGCAACCACTTCACTTTAGTATTTCTTTTTTTTTAAATTTATTATTATTATACTTTAAGTTTTAGCGTACATGTGCACAATGTGCAGGTTAGTTACATATGTATATATTTCTAACACAAGCATTACTCGTCCACGTAAAGGGACTTCTGCAGAGGGGGAAGGTCACATTTTACCATTAGTTAGCCAGACGTTCCTGCTATCTTGTTTTCTCCATTCATAAGATTCTATCTCCACAACTCACAAAATCATGGCTACCCACTCCAGAAACAAAGACAGTAAGACCAAAGACATTCACATTATGGTAAAAACCAAAGCCTGGTTTTCCAATAAATGTAAAGCAGTCAGTGTTTTCTAGGATTGTTCCCCACAAACCATGGCTTCTGCTCTGACATGATTACCCTGTTATCCAAGTTCAGACAGAGCTGCTTCCCTGCTGCAGGGCCAAGGGCAGGTTACTGGAATCACCTGGGTGATTCATTATTGTTATTTTACTTACTTAATTTTTTTGAGGCAGAATCTCACTCTGTTGCCCAGGCTGGAGTGCAGTGCCGCAATCTTGGCTCACTGCAACCTCTGCTTCCCAGGTTCAAGTGATTTTCCTGCCTCAGCCTCCCCAGCAGCTGGGATTACAGGCACGTACCACCATGTCTGGCTATTTTTTGTATTTTTAGTAGAGATGTGGTTTCGCCATGTTGGCCAGGCTGGTCTTGAACTCCTGACCTCAAGTGATCCGCCCGCCTTGGCCTCCCAAAGTGCCGGGATTACAGGTATAAGCCACTGTGCCCAGTTTATTATTGTTATTTTAAAACAGATTCTCTATAGAGCCCTTGATTCCCTAAATGTCAGATGGGGTGGGACGGTCTGGATGCATGTCAGTTTTGGAAACTACTAGTTGGGTTTTGTTTTTTTTTTTTTTTTTTTTTGCAGAAGGAGAAGGAGCCAATGCAATGGCTGGTCTTTATTGGAAAGATGAAACTTTATAGCACATTTTGAGTAACTTGGTGCAGGCGCTCAATGCACCAGCTGATGGGTACCAGCTTGTAATGGGCTCCACAGCTGGGGCATTGCTGGGTCTTGCCTTTGTGCGGCCAAAACCAGATGACAGCACTGTTTTCCTCTTCACAGATGCACCCACTATTCTCTTGTTGGTGATGGAGGGGACTAAATTAGGGTCTTCCTTGGTGCCTAAAGCTGTCTTTGGGGGTAGTACATTGTATGGGTCCAGTCTCTTCCTTGCAGTCATCATGACCTCCATCTCTAGGCCAGTCACCTACTTGTTATCAATAGAAACACCACCTCCAGGCTGGGCATGGTGGCTCATGCCTGTAATCCCAGCACTTTCGGAGGCTGAGGCGGGCGGATCACGAGGTCAGGAGATCTAGACCATCCTGGCTAACATGGTGAAATCCCGTCTCTACTAAAAATACAAAACATTAGCCAGGCATGGTGGCGGGCGCCTATAGTCCCAGCTACTCCGGAGGCTGAGGCAGAAGAACGGCGTGAACCCGGGGGGCGGAGCTTGCAGTGAGCCGAGATCCCGTTGAGCCGAGATCCCGCCACTGCACTCCAGCTTGGGTGACAGAGTGAGACTCTGTCTCAAAAAAAAAAAATAAAAAAAAAATAAAAAAAGAAAGAGACACCACCTCCAGAAGCCATGGCACGCACCGTGGCCATGCCATTGGGACCGCCAGCCCTCAGGGCCTGCGCAGCCAAGCGCTCCAGCTCCATGAAGTAACCTTGAAAGCCATCGACAAGCAGCTAAGGGAACTACCAGTTCTGACAACATAAGAACTCTTTAAAGCGAAACTCTGTCTCCAAAAACAAAACAAAACAAACAAACAAACAAACAAACAAAAAACAAAACCAAGAAGCTTCAGGCCTTTAAAACGAGGGCAGCAGACATCTCTTTAGAACACGAGGATGCCTTCCTACCTGTAAGGCTAAGCTGGATAAAATCTGGAAATCTACATATAAACTTCTGTGAAAGTCATATCACTATGGATGTATTCCAGTTTGGTTAGAATGAACACAAATTTTTTAATTAACAATGTTTATTGAATACATCTAAATATATTAGGAACATATGTATTTGTTTTCTTGAAACCAAATTAAATGGTTGATTATAGGGAGAAGACAACCATTCGTGTTTAAAGAATTTTGCTATGTGTGTGTCTCATTTTATTTTTGTCAAGAAAATCAAGAGCAATCAGATCTTCGTAAACATCCTGTCAATAACCAAAAATATAAAGCTACTACAGAACACGTTATTTTCTATTTCCACCAAATAATGTCAAAGCCCTTTCAAATAAATCCCGTGCCCTCCAAAGCTGCCTTTTTTGGGGGAAATGCTCCCTGCAGATGAAGAGCTCTGCTCCCTTGAAGAAGGAGAACAAGGGAGCTCAGAAATCATACTACGGATTTGTTACTTTAATCTCTGTTCTTACTCAATTCTTGTTTTAAAAACAGAGAAACTGATGTTTATCAGGAAGTTACCCATTGGAGTGCTGTTTTACAGGGCGGACGGGACTTTAACATGTTAATTTATTCCTGGGTTTAACCTTTTGCGTGGGTGACCTCTTAAACTTGACTAATTCACACTGTACTGCTCTCTAATGAGAGCTTTAAAAAATTACTCAAAAGGAAATCAAATAGCTACCTTCAAATGAGATAGAAACATGTGAAAGAACTTTATAAAATGTATGGGCTAGGTGGGTGTCACTATGTCATTTTATTATAAATAAGAAAAATAACCCATCTTTCCTTCCACAGGCACAGGGCACCCCGCGCTTACCAGACGCCCGAGGTTGTAGTAACAGTCTGGGTATTTCCTTCTGTGTTTAATTGCTGTCCGGTAACTTTGCTCTGCTGCTTCAAACCGTTTCAGGCTATTCTGCACTATGCCTAGATTCATCCACGCAGCGGCAAAGTCTGGCCTAGAGGAGCAGTTTTAACAAAGATAAACAAGAAGATGAAAGGCTTAGATGCCGGAATGCAGGAGCTCCTTTCTTTGTCACTAGCATAATTATAAAAACAATGCTTACTGTATTTGAACAGCCAAAGACAGCAGCTCCTCAGCTTCCTGTAGCTCATTCCTTTCTTTTAAGATATTTCCAAGATTATTCATGGCATGAACATACTTGGGATTTAATCTGAAAGTTGAGAAAAAACCAAGCTGACCATTAAATGCTCAATAGTAAGTTTTTACTAAACTCTCAGGAATCGGTAAAGATATTGTAAAGTTGGGGTCTTTAAAGGAACAGGTGTTTCATATTAGAAAGTGAAAACGATCTGTGTACATAATTCTTCTGTAAGACATACTCGCCATACCTTACAGCTTCCCGGTAGTATCTGATGGCAGCTGTCTGGTTGCCTTTATCAGCCAGGTTTTTGCCAATGTTGTAGTGAACCTGCAGACAGAGAATAATTGGGCCATCAGCAGACAGACTTCTTGTTCAGAGCCTGGACCCCATCACATCTTCTAACTGAAGACAAAAGGTAAAGCGACGAGGAAAAAAAATCACCCACCAGAACTTTAGCTAAAACCCTACAGGGGTTAGGAGTTGCTTGTGCTTTAATCTCCAACCCTGTAAGAGGATCAGAAGAAAGGGGGTATAGGCATGATACATCTCTAAAGCACAACAGAAGGGAAATAACTAAAGACCTCACCAGAGACAACCAGAAAACTACAAAGCTGGGCTTTTTAAAATTTTACTTTTGATTTTTAGAGATGGGGTCTTGCTATGTTGCCCAGGCTGGAGTGCAGTAGCTATTCACAGGTGCCATCATAGCGTGCTGCAGCCTTGAACCCCTGGGATTCAGTGATTCTCTTGCCTCAGCCTCTCAAGTAGCTGGGACTACAGGCATACACCACCACACCTGGCTTGTTTTTATCATCAAAACCTCAAATTCCCCTCACCTACACACTCCACTAGAGTTGAGATAACAAAGTCTAGTCACATGTGGACATGAGTAGAAGAAAGCATGATTCTGTCCACCCATTTAAGCAAATATGGCCCTTTCTTGGATGGCACCTTTCTTCTATAGCTAGCATCACAAGCATTTTACTCTGTATCTGTAATAAGCAGAATGTTTATGGACTCTCAAAATTCAGATGTTGAAATCCTGACTCCTAATGTGATGGTATTGGGAAGTAGGGCCTCTGGGAAGTGATTGGGTCATGAGGGTGGAGGCCCATGAATGGATCAGTGCCTTCATCAAAAAGGCCCTGGAGAGCTCCCATGCCCCCTTTCCGCCACGTGAGGACACAGTGAGAAGACGACCGTCTGTGAACCAGGAGGCAGGCCCTTACCACACACCCAACCTGCCTGCACCTTGATGGTGGGCTTTCCAGCCTCTGGCACTGTGAGAAATGAGTGTCTGGCACCCTGTCTCTGGTATTATTCTCACAGGGTCTGAGCAAGGGCCTCGGTGTGGCTGGAGCACAGAGAGCAGGGATGCAGGTTGGAGAGCCCGGGAGGAGCAGCTGCGCTCGCAGGGAACCCTGAGCAAGGGCAGGCTAGGATCAGTCGTTGTCCTCAGAGCCACGAGGCCGGCGCGGGGCGGGGTCTGTAAGTGTGTGAGTGCCCCAGGGTTGCAGCAATAAAGCACCACAAACTGAGGGGCTTAACACAACACACTTCTCTCACAGTCCTGGAGGCTGAGATCACGGTGTGGGCAGGGCTGGTCCCATCACCGGCTGAGGGAAGAGACTGCTCCCTGCCTCTCTCCTGTCTCACGGTGCTTGCCCATAATTTCCGGCTTGCAGATGCCTCGCTCCCACCTCTGCCTCTGTCTTCATGACCATCTCACCTCTTGTCTGTCTCCCTGTCTCTTCTCCTGTCTTAAAAGGACACCAGTCACACTGGATTAAGGGCCCACCATCCTCTTGTATGACCTCATCTTAACTGACATCTTAATTACATCTGCAACAACCCTATTTCCAAAAAAAGGTTATACATTATACTTCTAGGTCCCAGGGGTTACGATTTGAGCGTAGCTTTTGGGAGGCACAATTAAACCCACAGCAGGAAGCCAGGGGTGGGAGGGTGGCAGAGGTCACCACCATGTTTATGTTCATATGAAACAAATCCCGTGGTGGGAAAGAGATGTGAGTGGGGGAGAAGCAGGTGTCAGGGGCTCCAGGGAGGCTGTGGCTGCAGTCCTAGGAGAGAGGTCAGCAGACTGAACTAGGGTGGTGGTGAATCTGTGGAGGGGTTTGAAGAACAGTGAGGAAGCA